>NC_000010.11:26885000-27510000 GCF_000001405.40 Homo sapiens | reverse complement strand
ATTTAGATTAAAAAGGCCAAAGGCAAGAAAATACTGGCCATTTCTATAGAATTTTTAAACACAGGCTTACCTATTGTTGCTGCAAGTTCTGGATCAAACGTATCATCTGTGAACCTCAAGAGCAGGCTGAAAGAGATATTAAAAAGACAGGTTGGGAACTTGAATTTTCTAATCATATGATAAATGTGTTCATGATTATTTGGTCACAAATTATTAGATGCAGATAAAAATAACTGATGTAGGCCTGTTCCTAGGAATACTGCCTCAGAGCAGGTATACACAGAAAAATTAAATTACCAGAAAGGCAATTTAAAAATCCCAAGAGCAAAGTAGTTTACTATGAAATATATTCCCCGTGCTCTCCTACACAATCCCCCAAGTACAAAAGGTGGGGGTTTTTGTTGTAGTTGTTTTTTAACTGTTCTGGTATGTCCTTCTGAGAAAATGATATTAGCAGCATGTCATGCTTTAACTGACATAGATGAAAAGGGAAAAAATAAAGTCTCTTAGAATGCAACAAACTAGCTTTAAAAAATCTGATTGTGTAATCCACTCTGAATTCAAGCAAAACCAGAAATATATCAAAGCCGAGCATTCTGTAACACGCAGTACGGCTACTACCTAAGAGAAGATACAGTAAAAAGAGAGGTTAAAAGAAAGATCACAGGACAGAGTAGATAGACTCGGGCAAACACTAGGTAGAGTGTGTAAAACCAAGTAGGCAACTGGAGGCTACTGGAGGCTTTTAAAGAAAGTTAAGACAAGTACTGCTCTTTGTTTTGAAAAGTTAATACTAACAAAAAATGGAAGAAAATCAATGGAAGACAACCGCCATGGTTATGGCAAGAGAGAACAAAGGACTAAACCTAGGAAATGGTAAGAAACTAGAAAGAAAGGATAAAAGCAAAAGACACCAGATTAGAAGGGTACTCTAAGATTTTACATCTTCCAGAATTATTTTACTTACTATGAAGCAGAAGTGTCAGTTATTAGAAACTCTTCAAAAATAAAATCTAAGCTTTTGTTAAAGCCCTTGATTTTAAAGTCATTCAATCTTCCCTCATGTTAACTTCTGAAGTATAAGACTCTCCTAATTGACCTGTTTGCATGAATAAAATCAAAGAAACAGCCATCAGATATCTAAATTATAGAAAAATCTTATGACTCTTTCTATAGGTTGTGATTATTGCTGGTAGAGGTATGTTTTGTCCATAGAGTTTCTGCAAAACATAATGGCCTCCTGGTAGTTTCCAAACCCAGTGTCATTAAATATATTTGAACGATTAACTCTCCCTTACTTGGTTTTGTTTTCTTGTGTTTACCATAAAACCAGCATCATAAAATCAAAGTAAAAAAGAAGAGTCAAATTCTAGATTTATCTACTTAACATCTTGACTATATTTAGTTACTTGGAACATAGGTAACAATACTAGTAAGACTCTTAAAGACTACCTATAAAATTTTTCTTCTCTCCCAACATACTCAGTTACCCATAATTTAAGAAAAGATACATAATATCTACACGTGGTCACCACAGAAAATATTACTACAAAAACATAAGATTACCTTGTAGACTAGTTGTAATAATATCATAATAATAATACAATAATGATGATATTGGGTATTATTTATTGAACATATGGCAATGTGCAGACACAAAGCCAGAGGTTTTTCTCTCATAATTGCTAATCCTTAAATGGCCTTTGTTATTAACAGTACTTTGTAAGGAGAGGCAGGGAATTGGTGGCATGGTGTGAAGCAACAAATTTTAATACAGGCTCTGGGTATACATCAGATCTTAGACAGGGGTACCCTGGTAGCCCAAAAAGTATTCTAAATTCTATGTGTGCATTTTTCTAGGCAGAGAGTCCATTTCTCTATTAGACTTTGAAAGGGACAGAGAGTCCATTTCTCTATTAGATTTTGAAAAGAACTGACAATCTCAAAATAATTAAGAAGCACACTTTTTTTTTTTTTTTTTTAAGAGAGAGGGTCTCACTCTGTCACCCAGGCTGGAATGCAGTGGCAGAATCACAGCTCACTAATCCTCCCACCTTAGCCCCCCAAGTAACTGGCATGACAGGTGTGCATCACCATGGCCGGCTAATTTTTTTATTTTTATTTTTTTAGAGGCATGGTCTCGTTATGTTGCCCAAGCTGGTCTCGGACTCCTGGCCTCAAGAGATCCTCCTGTCTCAGCCTCCCGAGTAGCTAGGATTACAGGATGAGCCACTGCACCTGGCAGAAGCACCATTCTTATAGTATTGTATATTTACACCCTCATATTTTCAAAGTTAAAGGAGCAAAATGTTTCCCATGCAGAAGTAGAGATGGAAGGAGTAACTACCACCATGGCACTTAGATGTGACCAAATTTATAATAAACAGAGTGTGATTATAACTAATCTGCATTTTTTAAATTTACATATGAAATTCACCAAAAAAAAAAAAAAAAGGGAAGGCAAGGGGCAAAGGAGGGACAGCAATTTAGATAATAGGTCTCTCTAATCCCTTCCAGTTCTTGATATATTCTGCTACTCTTTACCTTACCAGGCCTAGCCACAGAATTGGAGTCTTACACATTTAGGGTCTGAGAGGTTTCTATTCCAACCCCCTCGCTTTTGAAATGAAGGCCTACAGCATTCAAGTATCACACACAAGGTCACACAAGTGGCAGCCCCAGTTTCATAATCCTGATCTCCTGACTACTATCACATACCCTTTAGACTCTAACACTATGAAATCACTAGAAAGTAATCCACTAATTCGGATTAAACATATCCTTTGTTTTCCCCAACAGCACAAGTGCTATCTCACTTCCACTAGCTCCAGCTCTGTAATGAAATAGAAACAAACTTGGTTAAAACAATCCTTTAAGATCATATCCACAGCAAATGTTTTTGTACTAATTCACTTTAAAAGGCATAGACTTCTATTTCAGTGGAGTCATTTATTCTCATCTTATCCAGAGTGTTTAAGATTGTTTTCCACAGCATATCACACAGGCCAATAATGTATATCTAGCTAGACAAATAAGACAACTTTCTCACTATATGTAATCCTTTCACAAAAGAAATAAAGTGACAAAATCCTGCATCGAGCAGTTGATAATCCATTGCTACGTATTGAGGAAAAAGTTTAAAACAGATTAGGCCCACGGTAAATTTGTTTCTTTGTTTCGGTGGCATGAACTAGGGAGACTGATAAATCCACTTAACAGGCCTTACTCTACAAGGAGAACCTCGGTTGGGTGTCATGCCTTGTGTCTGTAATCCCAGCACTTTAGGAGTATGAGGCAGGAGTTTGGCTTGAGCCTGTGTGTTGGAGACCACCTGGGCAACATAGGAAAATCCCATCTATGAAAAAAATTTTAGAAGTAGGGCCGGTTGTGGTGGCTCATGCTTATGTTCCTAGCACTTTGGGAGGTCAAGGCAGGAGGATCTGTTGAGCTCAGGAGTTCGAGACAGCCTGGGCAACACAGTGAGTCCTCCTCTCTATAAAAAATAAAAAAACACTAGTCAGACATGGTGACTCGTGCCTATAGTCCAGCTACTCAAAAGGCTGAGGTGGGAGGATCACTTGAGCCCAGGAGATTGAGACTGCAGTGAGCTATGATCATGCCACTGCACTCCAGTCTGGGTGACAGAATAAGACCCTGTCTCAAAAAAACAGCGGGTAGAGCAGAGGAATTTTGTTTATATACTCCAGTTAACCTTCCAGAAAATTTTAACATACCCTAACTTGTCATCCATGCAATACATTTAGAAAAAGTGCTAACCAACCATGTATTGGGTTGAACTACATGAAATGACAACCAACCATTCTTGACTTCAAAAACACTAATTTCATATGCCTGAACTTAAATGAGAACGATATCTCAAGGAAAAAAGGAGAAAAGAAAAAGAAAGATCACAAGGCTGTGAAATTCCTATTAAGACAACGTTTAACTTTTTAACACTCAAATATGTATGTGCAATAATAGATGATCATGTAAATAATTTTACTCATGCCTTTTACACACACACAGACAAATCATGCTGGTTTGCTAACTCATAGTATTTCATTATTCTATTCCTTGGTATGTGCAAATCCTTCATTCCAGTAGACACAGAGGACATTACATGAGGAACACTATGAAAATGTGTTGTCAAACTGGTGGCTCACGCCTGTAATCCTAGCACTTTGGGAGGCCGAGGTGGGCGGGTCACGAGGTCAAAAGATGGAGACCATCCTGGCCAACATGGTGAAACCCCATCTCTACTAACAGTACAAAAGTTAGCTGGGCATGATAGTGCGCGCCTGTAGTCCCAGCTACTCGGGAGGCTGAAGCAGGAGAATCGCTTGAACCCGGGAGGCGGAGGTTGCAGTGACCCGAGATCGCGCCACTGCACTCCAGCCTGGCAACAGAGCGAGACTCCGTCTCAAAAAATAAATAAATAAATAAGTAAATAATATCAGAATATATTACATAAGCTTTCAAATTCTGAAGAAGCTTTTAAAAAGTAAGACTTTATGAAGTGACTTTTACAAGTTATTTGAGGAGAGCTTTCATTCTAGTTTGTAGAATTAAGGCTATTTCAATTTATGAAATACAAAAAATTATTTGAAAGATACGTGTATCAGAAGGTATAGCTAAAATATGAAACTGATTACAGCCCCTGGAGTGCAAATGTGGTTTAAGGATCAGGACGGCCTTGAACATAACCTACTCATAATCAGATGGCAAGAATGACATCAGCTGGAGAACTCTCTTCCAAGACCTGGATGAAATCACAGCCCTCTAGCAACATCCACCTAGATCCATGTCTTACCTTATACTCAACTCCACTGTCAATATTATTTTCCCCAAGGAAAAAGTAAAAAATGAAAGCACAACACTAATCTTCTGTCTCCACAGGATGTGGCAAAATGAGAAATAACAATTACATTTTATTTTCAAAGGTGGCCCACGGCTGAAGCACTCGGACCTTACACTAAAGCGAAATTTTCCAGCAGTCACAAGATCCAGTTCTTTCACAGCCGACTAATAAAAAAGTAAAAGAATCGACATTAAGCTGCGCCCAAACAGGCCAGGAATGGGACCTAAGGCGTCACGAAACTTCCCGAGGACATTATGTATTTAGAGAAGGCCCCACAGAAACCCTCAAGTGGGAAAGCTATGTCTCCCGGGTCTCGGGGTGGCAGGCAGCCTGAACCCCGAGAGGTTCGAGGCAAGGCGCCCCCGGCCGGATTCGGGCCCAAACCAGCCCGCCACGCCCTGAGCTCCGCGCAGCAAACCTGCCGGCCGAGCGGCGGCCCTCGGAATGGTGTTTTCTCGGCGCTACAGGAGGGAGAGCGACCCAGAGAACTTGGGCCTGGCAAAGGCCGGGAACCAGGCAGGCGCGGGTGGGGAGAGGAAAGCAAACGTCGCGGGAGAGCGCGGCCCAGAGGCCGAGGAGGGCGCGAGCGGAGCCGGCCCGAGCCCGCCGCTGCAGTTTACAGTTCCCGTCGCGGCCCAGGAGACAGCAGCCACCGGGGCAGAAAGAGCCCAGCCACCCTCGTCACGACCCGCACCTCCGCCTCACCTGGACTTGCCCACCCCACTCTCGCCGATGATGAGGATCTTCAGGGTGGTTAGCACGTCCTCGTCCATCCTGACCCCGTTCCGCTCCGAGCCCAGCTGGCCGCCCGGGTGCGCCTCTCAGCCCTTCAGCAGAGTGAGCTGCTGCGCATGCGCGCCGCTCCACGTCTGCCACCTTCCTTTCACACCGGGTGTTCAGGCTGCCGAAGCCCTGGACTCCCCAGTTCCGCCTTGAGGTAGCTCCACGGCTGCGCGACCCAGAATCCCCGGCGTTTTTCCGGACTGCGTGTTCCTCCCCTGCGCAAGCGCAGGTGGGGAGCGCTGTGTGTGACTTTGTTGGCTTCTTCTTGAGGTCTAGCTCCGCCCCAGCCTCAACCTAACCCTCCTTTTGAGTCAGTGGGAGGACTCAGTCAGGAGAATATCAAGCTGTTTTATTTCGGCAGCTGCTCATAACAGCTGCACTGCGGTGGGAAAAGCACTGTGCTTGAAGCAGATTATCTTAAATTTAGGTCCAGCTCTACCTTATAACTGCCTTGTCATACTACCCAGCTTTCTTAGCCTTTCTCCATCTCTGAGAGACACAGTAACACTTCTTAGAACATCTGCTTCTTATTGTTATGAAGGTTAAGTGAGTTAATTTGTGAAGACATGTTGTTAACCAAAGTGCTCTATAAAAGGTGTGATCAGGTATTATCTTGCTGGCTTCCCCTCTGTTATAGTGGAGAGCACCCTCTGCACCCTAATTCATCTTGAAAGGGAGGCGTAGACTTCAGGTAGGTCAGGTGCATTACTTCTGGCGGTGCAACTTCAAGTCAACTCTCCTTCCTCATAAGAACTGCTACACCCATACTGCAGGAAGTGTATGTCTACACCTTGCCTCCTGCATTAAGTTGTAAATCTTAGTGAAGGTACCAAACCTCATTCATAATACTTAGCACAGTGCCTGGTACATGGCAGGCACTCAATAAACCTCAGTTCTCTTGTCTTATTTCCTTATACCTGCAGCTAATGTCATATACAATGGATATTTGATTAAAGACTACATATAAATAAAATTTCAAATGTTAAGAAATTAATTTGTTAAATAGCTGGAAAAGCCCTTTCAAAAGATATCCCAATGGCTTCTCCTCCTTCAGGTCTTCGCTCAAATGTTGCATTCTTAAAGAGGCCTTCCCTGTCCATTCTACTGAAATATGCAAATCCCTCCAGCATTCTCTAGACCTCTTTACATTGTTTTTCTGCATAGGATTTAACCACTCTCTGATACACTATATATTTTACTACTTTATTAGAAGTCTCATGAAGGCAAGGATATTTTGTTTTGTCTACTGGTATGTCTTCAGTATCTAGAGTACTTCATGGCACATAATATGTGCTAAATAAATGTATGCTGAATGAATTAATTGAATGAATGTTGTAGAGTCCATTCCTAACCTTAGAGAATAATGTCAATGAAACAACCTCCACTTCTCATCAGATAGCCCTTGAAACTTCAGTCAAGTCTATCTAGCTTACTTTTCATTATGACAAAAAGATCTTATTTATGAGGTTCACAGTATTGTCAAGCTCTCCTGCCCTGGGGTCCCGAGATCCCTAGAAATCCCTGAAAACCTTTCAGGGGGGTTGCAAGATCAAACTATTTTCATAGTTAATATGTTATTTTTTCATGCACATTCTCTGATGATAATATAATGGAGTTTTCCAGAGGCTATATATTAATAACATGTAATAGCAAAACAGATTGAAGGCAGAACAAGATATGTGAACTTACTGGTTTTCTATGATATTAAGCCAGATATTAAAGGGATTTCCTAAAATGTAAAACATTGCCACTGTTCTCAATTTTGTTCTGTTTTAAAGTAGTTATTTTCATAAACATTTCTATTAACTGGTAATAGGTTTATTATTGTTTTTAAGTAAATTAACATGTTTGAAATTTTCTCAGTTTTAATTTCTAGTAGGATAAATAAGAGATGTAATCTCTTTGGGGTTCTTACAATCAAAAGCTCTTTCAGGTCCTCAATGATTTTTAAGAGTATACTATAATTTGTACAACCAAAAAGTGTGAGAACCATTGCACTGTGCTATTCACACCAAGATAAATACAAAAACAAAAACTTCATCAATAAATCCAGGGCTATCTCTTGCAACCTGTAATACTGTTGACGTACTTTGGCAATATCATTTTCTCTTGGATTTCCTCCATCTCTTGGCCATTTCCTCTCTTTCTTTTTCTTTTCTTTTCTTTTCTTTTTTTTTAAGAGATGGGATATTGCTATGCTGCCCAGGGTGGTCTCTAACTTCTGAGCTCAAGAAGTAATCCTCCTACCTCAGCCTTTGAGTAGCTGGAACTGCAGGCATGCATCACCACGCCTAACTAATTTTTAAAACATTTTTTTAGAGATGGGGTCTTGCTATGTTGCTGGTCTCAAACTGCTGGGCTCAAGCAATCCCCCTGCCTCGGCCTCCCGAATTTACATCTCTGGCTGAGATTTTTCTCCTGAGGTTCAGGCCAACATACACAACTGCCAAGACATCCCCACATGGGGGCTGGCAATAAAGAGATGTACTTAAAAGACACAATGAATAACTGTCCCATGCTTAGTGAAGAAGAGGGGAAAGAAAAGGGAAAGAAAAACATCGAACATTTCTCTAATGTTTCAAGCCTCGGCACTACCAATCTGAGAGAAAACCCAAGACAGAAACAAGAAGGAATATGAGTTTCGTTTCAGCCATAGTGAATTTTATGTAAAGGTGAGCCTTGAAGGCAAAATTTTTCAGACCTCTTTTAGAGCAGTGGTTCCAAGATTCAGGACAGATAGCAAGACACTAAAAAAATGAACCAAGGAGATGGCCTAGGTGTTCTAACCAACAATTTGGCCTAGGTGTTCTCTTCTATATACTATTATCCTTACATCCCTGGAAAACACAGCCAAATCCTTTCTTAGGTTTCAGACATAACTGACTGCCCTTTTCCCTGTGGATCCATCTTCTAGTATTAATTATTTTTACCATATCCAAATATATGATCACCTCATAAAGGAATGTCTATGGCAATATTCTTAATACCTGAAGTTTGGGATGAGCAATGAGCAAGCCCAGTATGTAGGAAGAAATTGAAATGGCGAAACCACTTGGAGATGTGATGGAGAAGGCCCATCCCATGTTGCTGTCAGTAACATGCCTACAGTGGGCAGCCCCAGAGATAGACAACAGATGAGAGAAAAAAACAGATTCAGGCCTTTGACTTTTCTCCATCCTTCGGCATCAGTAATGAAGATAAGAGAAATGCTGCTTGCAGAACTCACATTCTGTGAACAGGTACCAACATGAGCACTGTGACTCATGGCTTATGTAGGACTGCTTGGGTCCAAGTGTAACAGGCGTCTGTGGCTAGAGTTTAGGAGTTGGTAGTGAGAGAAGTCATACAGCATTGCCACCTCCGCCCCCAGCTCCATTGCCCCTGGCTGAGCTGAGGTTCCGAAACAACCCCCACCCTCTCCAGGTACTGCTTCTCCTTGCCTCGGTTGATATGCACAGGAGCTTTGGTATGCAGTCAAGGAAGAGATTACTTTTTGTTGTTGTTGTTGTTGTCGTTAGAGATAGGGTTTCACTATGTTTCCCAGGCTGGACTCAAACTCCTGGGCTCAAAAGATCCTCTTTCCTTAGCCTCCCAAGTGGCTGGGACTACAGGCACATTATACCATGCCTGGTTTAAAGAGGAGTTCATTTCGTTGTTTAATTATTTGGGTGAAGGCTTGGGGATTTGAGAGAAGGGTTAGAAGTAAATTCTGTGGAAAAGGTAGCTGAAATGTCATTTTGACCACTTGGGTGGGGTTTTAGCCCTATGATTAGAGGGGTCAGGGTCAAGAGCTGGAGTAGCTACTTTAGGCTTGCAGCCTGACACAAGCAACTCTGTCTGAGGGCCCGTGGGACAGGATAGCTGGGGCTGAGAAGAAGGTCATTGCACTATTTTTTCCATTTGACCCAAGACCCTTTTCCAACCTTCTCTGTTACAATCTATATAATATCACCTTCTACCAAGGAACTTATTTTACAGCAGAAGTGTGGCTGTGGGCTCAGGCATGCCCTTGGACTTCACTGGTGTTGTCACCAGACCCCACTTCAGGAAGCAGCTAGTATGATAGACAATGGGATGGCCCATTGCCCACTCAGTTAAGGTGGCAGCAGGGAGATAATATTCTGTAAGGTTGCACTGCTGCTCTATAGGATGTAGTAAAAACTTTAAACCTGCAACCTACAAATGATGCTGTTTTCCTAATAAAATTCACAGTCAATGAGGAGCATCTGACCTCCTGGATCATTACATGTTTCTCTTATGTGACTCCCACCCTGGCCCTAGCACTTAGTGGGCTATGGTAACATTATTTTCTGCCTTTGCTTCCTCAGATCTAGGGTGGAAAAGGCTGCCTACTGAAGTTAATTTCTGGGTTCCTCACTTTTTGGTGGCCCTAACCTGGCCATGCTGCTGTAAATAGTCTTTTGGTTATACTCTCTTGAGATATCTGAGTTAGATTTTCTTTCTTGCTGGGACCCTGACTAACCATTCTATTCATTTATTCATTGACCTGAGCACCTAAAGCTCACTTCCTTGGAAGAATTAAGAGATAGCATCTTTGGCACAAATATTAGTGTTTTCAGGAAAGTTACCATCAGCAATGATGATGAAACTTTTTTTTTTTTTTGAGACAGTCTCGCTCTGTCACCCAGGCTGGAGTTCAGTGGCACCATCTTGGCTTACTGCAAGCTCCACCTCCCGGGTTCTCGCCATTCTCCTGCCTCAGCCTCCCGGGTAGCTAGGACTACAGGCATCCGCCACCATGCCCAGCTAATTTTTTGTATTTTTAGTAGAGATGGGGTTTCACCATGTTAGCCAGGATGGTCTCAATCTCCTGACCTCATGATCCGCCCGTCTTGGCCTCCCAAAGTGCTGGGATTACAGGCGTGAGCCACCGGGCCCAGCCAGTGAAACTTTTTTAAGAGGCGGTTTCTCGCTAATTCCCAGGCTGGAGTGCAGTGGCTCTTCACAGGTATGATCATAAAGCACTGCAGCCTCTAATTCCTGGGCTCAAAGGATCCTCCCACCTTAGCCTCCCCAGGAGCTGGGACTGTAGGTGCATGCCACCATACCCAACTCTGATTACACAACTTTAAGAGGCTTTGTGGGCAAAAGGCATCAATCCATGATAGCATGAGCAGGAGGAAAAGATGGCAGAGTCGATATGATAAAAGCCTGGCACCCACATAAATAGTCAACTGATCTTTGACAAGGGGCAAAGGCGATACAATGGATAAAAAATAATCTTCTCAACAAATGGTGCTGGAAAAACTGGAGAGCCACATATGAAAAAATGCATCTAGAAACAGACCTTACGCTTTTCACAAAAATGAACTCAAAATGGATTACAGACCTAATGTGTGACACAAAACTATAAAGCTCCTAGAAGGTATCATAGGAGAAAATCTAGATAACCTTGAGTATGGCAATGACATTTTAGATACAACACTGAAGACGTTTCATGATCCGTGAAAGAAACTGATAAGCTGGACATAATTAAAACTTTAAAAATTTTCTCTGAGAAAGACAATGTTAAAAGAATGAGAAGACACCTCTGCCAAAAGACTGCTATCCAAATGTACAAAAAAACCTTAAAACTCAATAATATGAATACTAACAATCCGACCAAAAACTGGACCAAAGACCTTAAGAGATACCTCACCAAAAAAGATATACAGATGGCAAAAAAGCATATGAAAAGATGCTCCAAATCATATGTCATTGGGGAAATAAAAAGAAAACAATGAGATACCACTATACACCTATTAGGATGGCCAACATCCAGAACACTGACAACACCAAATGCTGAGTAGGATATGGAGCAACAGGAACTCTGATTCATTGCTGGTGGAAATGCAGAATGGTACAGCAACTTTGGAAGTCAGTTTGATGGTTCCTTATACTACTACATATACAGACTCTTACCATGTAATTCAGCATGCAATTCAGTTCTCCTTGGTATTTGCCGAAAGAAGTTTAAAATTTATGTTTTAACTTTTTTAACACAGAAACCTGCCCTCATATGTTTATAGCAGTTTTATTCACAATTGCCAAAACTTGGAAGCAACCACGATATCCTTCAGTAGGAAAATGGATATGTGAACTGTGTTCGAGCCAGAGAATGGAATATTATTCAGCATGGAAAAGAAATGAACTAACAAGTCATAAAAAGACATGGAGGAAACTTAAATGCATATTACTCAGTGAAAGAAGCCAATCTAAAAAGTCTGCATATTATATAATCCCAAATATATTACATTCTGGAAAAGGTACAACTATAGACACAGTAAAAAGATCAGTGGTTGCTAGAAGTTAGTAGGGAGGAAGGGATGAATAGGCATAGAATAAAGGATTTTTTAGGTCAGTGAAACCACTTTCCATGATACTGTAATAGTGGATACATACCATATACATTTATTCAAACCCATAAAATGTACAACAGCAAGAGTAAGCCCTAATATATACTATGTTCTTTGGTGATAATGATGTGTCAGTGTAGCTCCATAAATTGTAACAAATATAACACTCTGAGGGGGAAGGAGTTTTTTTTTTTATTTGAGATGGAGTCTCGCTCTGTCACCCAGGCTGGAGTGCAGTGGCGTGATCTCAGCTCACTGCAAGCTCCACCTCCCGGGTTCATGCCATTCTCCTGCCTCGGCCTCCTGAGTAGCTGGGACTACAGGCACCCGCCACCACGCCTGGCTAATGTTTGTGTGTGTGTGTGTGTATTTTTAGTAGAGACGGGGTTTCACCGTGTTAGCCAGGATGGTCTCGATCTCCTGACCTTGTGGTCCACCCGCCTCAGCCTCCCAAAGTGCTGGGATTACAGGGGTGAGTCACAGTGCCTGGCCTACTGTCTATTGTCTTTGTCTAATTTTGATATTTTATGCTGACCTCATAAAATTAGTTGGGAAGTCTTTTCTTTACTATTTTCTAAAAGAGATTTTGGAAAATTGACCTAAATTCAAACTTAACTCTTCCTTAAGTGTTTGTAAAATTTACCAGTGAAGGCATCTGGGCCTGGTGCTTTATTTTTTGAAAGGTTATTTGTTATTGATTTAATTTCTTTAGAAGTTGCATGGAATTGGTTTTATTCCTTCTTTATATGTTTGGTAGAATTTACCAGCAAAACTATTTGAGCCTGGAGATTTCTTTTTCAGAAAATTTTCAACGGAGAATTAATGATTTACAATAGTCACAAGACTATTGAATTATCTATTTTATCTTGCTCAGTTTTGGCAGTTTGTGTGTTTTAGAAATTATTCTTGTTCAACTAAGCTGTCAAATTTATGTGAGTGAAGCTGTTTATTATCTTTTTAAAGTATGCAGGGTATGTAGTGATTTCCCCTATTTCTTTCCTGATATTGGTAATTTGGACTTCACACTTTTTTTGTGTGTCACTCTTGCTAGATAGAGATTTATCCTATTGATCTTTTCAAAGAACCAACTTTTATTGATTTTTCTCTTTTCTGTTTTCAATTTCATTGATATCTATTCTTATCTTTCTTAGTTCCTTCTTACTGCTTGCTTTTTGTTCTTGTTCTTCTAGTTTTACATAAGGAAGTTTGGTTATTGATTTGAGATCTTTCTTCTAATAAAGTATCTAATGGCAGAAAATTTCCACTAAGCACTGATGTAGCTGCAGCCTACAAATTTAAATATGATATATTTTCATTTATTTCATAGATTCCTGTAACTTCCCCCTCTTCTGTTATGGCTGTCTTGTACATTACATCTACATTCGTTGAAATCCTCACCAGACATTGTAACCACCCAGTGGGTTCACCTTGCCTGCTGCCTAGACAGAGCCAGTTTATCAAGACAGGGGAATTGCAAGAGAGAAAGAGTAATTCACGCAGAGCCAGCTGTGCAGGAGAGCAGAGTTTCGTTATTACTCAAATCAATCTCCCCAAGCAGCACTCAGGGATCAGAGTTTTTAAGGACAACTTAGTGGGTCAGGGGAAGCTGGTCAGCTAGGAGTGCAGATTGGTCAGGTCAGAGATGAAATCACAGGGAGTCAAAGCTGTCTCCTTGCCCTGAGTCCGTTCCTGGGTGGGGGCCACAAGATCATCAAGTGTATCAATCTGGGTGGTGCCAGCTGATCCAACAAGCGCAGGGTCTGCAAAATATCTCAAGCACTGATCTTAGGAGCAGTTTAGGGAGGGTCAGAGTCTTGCAGCCTCCAGCTGCATGACTCCTAAACCATAATTTCTAATCTTGTGGTTAATTTGTTTGTCCTACAAAGGCAGTCTAGTCCCCAGGCAAGAAGAAGGTTTGTTTTGGGAAAGGGCTGTTATCGATTTTGTTTTCAACTATAAACTGTAAACTAAGTTCCTCCCAAAGTTAGTTCAGCCTAAGCCCAGAAAGGAACAAGGACAGTTTAAAGGTTAGAACCAAGATAGAGTAGGTTAGATTAGCTCTCCTTCACTGTCTCAGTCATAATTTTGCAAAGGCAATTTCAACATTGTTAAAATTTTTGCTTTCAAACATATTTAAAGGACTAAAGAAAAAATAATAGCCCATTATATATGCCCATATACCTATCATTTCTGTTGGTTGTCCTTAATTAATAGTTTTCCAAGTATACTTAATCTAAGAATGTCTTTCACTTTTATTCCTGAAACATATTTTTTTAACCAGATATACAATTATGAATTAACAGTTATTTTCTTTCATCACTTGAAAACTGTCTCACTTTTTTCTGGCCCCTGTGGTTTCTGAGGAGAACTCCATAGTCATTTGCATCATTCTCTCCCTGTAAGTAATGAGCCATTTGTCTCTGATGGCTTTCAAGATTTTTTATTTGTCTTTAGTTCATGTGTTATATATATACTAGTTATAATGTGTCTTGGAATGGGTTTCCTTGGTTTTATCCTGTTCAAGTTTTGCTGATTTTCTTAAATCTGTAGGTTTATGTTGTCTGCCAAATTTCAGGATTTTTAGCCAGTTTTTTAAATAGTTTTTTTGGCACCACGTTTTCTTCTCTCTTTTTGGGACTCTGGTGACATAAAGGTTAGGTCTTTTGCTATTGTCCCATAGGTCCCTGAGTCCAAGTGGGTGTTTTTATATCTTTTTCTCTGTTACTCAGGTTAGATCATTTCTATTGAACTTTGTTCACATACACTGGGTCTTTACTCTGACATATCTATTTTGCCATTAAGCCCATACAGTGAGTTGTTTTTGTTTTTGTTTTTTTTTTAGTTTCAATTACTGTGTTTTTCAGTTCTCAATTTCTATTCAGTTTTTATGGCTAGAGTACAATAGCTATTCACAGGCATGATTATCGCACATTACAGCCTCAAACTCCTGGGTGCAAGCAATCCTCCTGCCTCAGCCTCCAGGGTAGCTGAGACTACAGGCATCTGCCACCATACATAGCAATAATTTCTGTTAAATAAAAATTATAGGAGATCACTTTTTTGAACTAAGCTCTTGCTCTAGGCCCCAAAAGACCAAACTAAAAATCAAAATGGAGACATCCATGCTACAGTTTCATGTCACCAAACCCAGACTAAGTTGTTATCTGACCTTCAGAGAAATCGCAAGAGACATAACAGCAATCTTCAATCCAACCTTCAATCCATATGATAATGAAGTTTCCTCTACTTAAATCCTTACACAAAAGAAGCAGCCTAAGAAATCTCGATGGTGTTTTTGTGGACAATATCTGTGTCCACAAAGTGGCTGTGCTAATTTATGTTCCCACCAACAATAAGAGTTCCCTTTTCTTCACCACATCCTTGCCAGTTTCCCTTTTCTCCACATCCTTGCCAGTATCTGGGTTTTGTTGTTGCTGGGTTTGTGTGTGTGTGTGTGTGTGTCTTAATAATAGCCATTTAATTGGGGTAAGATAATATCTCATTGTGGTTTTGATTTACATTTCCCTAATGATTTGTGATGTTGAGCATTTTTTCATGTACCTGTTGGTCATTTGTATGCCTTCTTTAGAGAAATATTCATGTCTTTTTCCCACTTCTTAAGGTGATTATTTGGTTTTTTTACTATTGAGTTGTTTGAGTTCCTTGTACATTCTGGATGTTAGTCCCTCATGGGATGAGTAGTTTGTAAATATTTTCTTCCACTCAACAGGTTGTTTCTTCACTCTGTTGATTGTTTCCTTTGCTATGCAGAAACTTTTTAGTTTAATATTATCCTATTTGTTTATTTTTGGTTTTTTGCCTGTGCTTTTGAGGTCTTAGCCATAATATCTTTCCCTACACCAGTGTCCTGCAATATTTCTCCCATGTTTTCTTCTAGTAGTTTTATAGTTTTGGGTCTTGCATTAGTCTTTAATTCATCTTGAGTTGATTTATGTGTATGGTGAGAGATGGGTCCAGTTTCATTCCTCTGCATGTGGATATACAATTTTCCTAGCACTATTTATTGAAGAGGGTGTCTTTTCCATAATGTATGTTCTTGGTACTTACGTTAAAATTCAGTTTGGCTGTAAATACATGGATTTATTTCTGGGTTCTCTATTTTGTTCCATTGGTCTAAGTGTCTGTTTTTATACCAATACCATGCTGTTTTGGTTGCTATAACCTTATAATATATTTTGAAATCAGGTAGTGTGCTTCTAGCTTTGTTCTTTTTGCTCAAGAAAGCTTTGGCTATTCAGGCTCTTTTTTATCTTCACATGAACTTTAAGATTTTTTTTATTTCTGTGAAAAATGATATGGGTATTTTGATAGGGAATGCATTGAATCTGTAGATGGCTACAGAATAAAATAAAATAAACATACATTATGGAAAAGACATCCTCTTCAATAAATGGTGCTAGGAAAATTGTATATCCATATGCAGAGTAATGAAACTGGACCCTTCTCTCGCCATATACAAAAATCAACTCAAGATGGATCCCATGAGCATGGGATGTCTTGTTTGTGTCCTCTTCAATTTCTTTCATTGGTGTTTTGCAGTTTGTCTTTAGAGCTCTTTCACTTCCTTGGTTAAATCTATTCCTGGGTATTTTATTTTATTTTGTTTTATTCTGTAGCTATTAGAAATGAGTTTGTTTTCTTGACTGCTTTCTTAGCTAGTTCATAATTGGTGTGTAGAAATGCTACTGATTTGTATATGTTGATTTTTTGACCTGTAACTTTAGTGAATTTTTTAAAATCAGATCTCAGAGTTTTTGAGTGGAAAAACTAAAAATTGAACTTCTTTATGCTCCTGCAATCCCACTACTGGGTATTTATTCAGAGGAAAAGAAATCAGTATATCAAAGGGATGCCTTCACTCTTGTATTTATTGCAGCACTATTCACAATAGCAAAGATACAGAATCAACCTGTGTCCATCAACAGATAAATGAATAAAGAAACGTGGTACATGTACACAATAGAATATTACAAGCCATAAAAAAGAATGAAATCCTGTCATTTTCAGCAACGTGGATGGAAGTGGACATCATTATGTTAAGTGAAATACACCAGGCACAGAAAGACAAATATTGAATGTTCTCACCCATATGCGGGAGCTAAAAAAGTTGATCCCAAGGAGGCAGTGTAGAATGATAGATACCAGAGGCATGGAAGGCTATGTGCTGGGAGTAAGGGAGTGAATGCAGATTGGTTAATGGAACAAACATACATTTAGATAGAAGGAATAAGGTCTAATGATCAATAGTGGAGTAAGGTGAGTACAGTTAACAACAGTGTATCATATATTTCAAAATAGCTAGAAGAGACAATTTGAAATGTTCTCAAAATACAGAAATGATAATTACTCAAAATGATGGATACCTGAAATACCCTAATTCAATTATTACACATTCTATGCATGTAACAAAATATTACGTATACCCAATAAATACATATGAATATTATATATCAATAAAAAAATTTAAAACACACGCAAAGTAGCCTGAAGCAACCTGATATTAACTAATCAGTTTTTTTCTATTGTTCTTTCTCCCTGACCCAGCCTTACAAGAAAAAAAATAGCTTTGAAACGACTAATATGCTCTTTGTTCTTTGCTTCTGCTTTCTGCAGCTCTTCTCTGTCTATAAAGCCAAACTCTTCTGCTCAGCTCATCAGAACACTTATTCTGTTTTGTGGAATGAAGTTTTGCCCTATTCTGTAATTGCAATGAAGCTAACTGAAATCTTTAAATTTGTCCTACTTTTGTTCTTTGATATTTCAAAATCTGCATCATCTCAGCACTGGAATCTGCTTATTGTCTTTTTGAGTTGTCCCTGATTCTTTGTAAACTGAATAATTTTGGATTTTGAACAGTTTACATATTATGTTATGAGACTTTGAATCTTATCTAAATCCTATGTAGACTGTTTACATTTTGTTTAAGCAAGGAATGAGGAAACAAATTTCAAACTACCTTCTTCAATTTTCAACAATTTTGCAGGGCTATTGGATATATCCAATGTATGCACTACCCAATGGCCAATTTGGCATAAGAGCAGTCATCTTTGGTATGCTGGATAGGATCAGACCCAACTGTGTGAGCTTGGTAATTAGTCCAGGATAGTTACCCCTGCTATGCCATGAATGTTCATAACTGAGCCCATGTCCACGGTCATGATAGAGGCAGGAGGCAGACAAATCTATGGCAGACAGGAGCGGGTCCCAGTGAAACCCAACCTTCAAGCCAAAGACAGTCCTGGGTAAATCCTTGGACTGGATTGAGAACCTCTTTTCCCATTTGGTGTGCTTTCCTCTGATTGATTCCCGCCCTTCACCTATTTTACATATACCTACCCTTTCCTAATTGGTTTTCTGAACTGTTGTGCCCACCTTTGAGTGGTGCCTTTGTTTTAGCCTTTTTTTTTTTTCATACTCACAAACCAATCAGCACGCACTCCCCATTCTGACCCCATAAAAGCCCCAGACCCAGCCACACTGAGAGACAGACCACCAAACTTCAGGTGAAGGATCACCCTCACATCCCCCATCTGCTGAGAGCTGTTTCGTTGCTCAATAAAATTCTTCTCCACCCTCCTCACCCTTCGATTGTCAAAGTAGCCTCATTCTTCTTGGATGTGGGACAAGAACTCGGGACCCAACAAACACAGGTAAAAAGAAGGCTGTAATACTGTGGCCATCTGCCCTCTGCCATCAACCCAATTATATTGTCAAAGAAGTATCCATTTAGGAATAGGCTGCCTCTCCCTCCACCAAACCAACAATAAGCCAGTCCAGCACCATATCAAAATCTCTTGCCCTGCTCTTCTCATGTAAGGGTACTCATGGCTAGTATGCCTATAGCTCCAGGGCACAAGTAGGTGCTGGCAAATACACACCATGGAAAGTCTAGGCCCCTACCTAACTGTCCTACCTACAGCACTTGGAGAGTCAGAGCTTCTCTACTCACAGTGCCAGCTGGCTGGAATCTGCTCTATGAATCAGGCCAGCTGGCTGGATTCTGCTTCCGGCCTCATTCCTGCCAGTCCCATTGCCTGGGGGCTGTGTCCTGTTCTTTTTCTCTAGTTTTGGGATAATTCTTAGAACAACCTGGCTCTGTGTCTAATACTCCCACTGCTCCTGTTCCAAAGCATGCTTGTGTCCTTGTCTTTTAGATTAGGTTCTCCTTGATGATAAACTGAACTGAATCTGTCCATGTCTGTTAGTTTTGATCTTTTGTTGATAGGACAATTCTCCCACTTTCTGTTTACTATACTTTTTGTATCTGCCTTTTATTTTAATGCATTGACTACCATTTTAGAAAAAATAAAATAATAGTGACAATAACATGCATCACTTTTTTCTATTCCTAATTTTAATGGGAATATCTGTAGAGCTTCACCTATGGTTTGTCATTTCTCATAGCTTATTAACGCAATGTATTATGTTGGATTTTGTAATAGATTTTGTTATATTATTTTGTCCTAAGATTCATTTGGTAAGTTATTCCTTTATATACTGTTCAATTATATTTTCTGACATTTCAATAATGAGTTTGCATATGTAGACATATTCCCAAGTGAAACCAATTCATATTTCCCTTTAACTTACTGTCACTTAGATATGGGAAAGCACAGCAGGCACTGTTCTAAGATAATCATTGATATAGTGTATACGCAATTCTTTATGTAAGACTAGATATCTGTTGTTTCTTATTATCCCAGATCTGTTTCTCCTGGTTCAGTTAACACACTCCTTTTTCCTTGGGAAACCTCTCGCTTAATGTCCTTTGAAAGAAGCTGATCTCCTATCTCACCAATTCCAGAGGGTGCCCATTAAAAAGGTCCAGCCCTATCAGCTCACTCCCCGTGTGAAAATGAAGTAATTCAAGGATGGGTACATTACTCAATGGGGTGAAATTCTGGGACCCTTGCAAAAACTTTGAGAAAAGAGAAGTCCATTTTGCAAGAGATGCCAACAGGTTAAGATAGGGCCCTGGAGGTATTAGGAGCCCTCTAGCTGCTGAAAATGAAGAACCTAAATAAGAATAGCACCTAGAGAAAAGAAAGTAACTCCAAAAGCTGGAGACAGCTCCTGACACCACAACTGGATCCTCTGGATTGAGTCAGACTCACAGCCAGATACTCATAGATCTTTCTGTGACATGACCAGTGGATTCCCTTTTTAAAGAAAATTATGAAATATTTTAAACATATACATCTATAGAGAATATGAATAACCAGTTTTATCAAACGTATTAAGCATCAAACATTATGTTATTAATGTGAAGCACTAAACATTAAAGACAAGTTCAAGACCCCCCTGTGTGCTCCTCCCTGATCCAATCTATTATTTTCCTCTCACCCAGAGGAAAACATGATATGATATGAAAATTGATATGGTTTGGCTGTGTCCCCATTCAAATCTCAACTTGAATTGTATCTCCCAGAATTCCAATGTGTTATGGGAGGGACCCCGGGGGAGGTAATTGAATCATGGGGGCAAGTCTTTCCCATGTTATTTTCATGACAGTGAATAAGTCTCACAAGATCTGATGGGTTTACCAGGAGTTTCCACTTTTGCTTCTCCCTCATTTTCTCTTGCTGCCTAGATGGCAGCCTCTCACCATGATTCTGAGGTCTCCCCAGCTATGTGGAACTGTAAGTCCAATTAAACCTCTTTTTCTTCTCAGTCTTGGGTATGTCTTTATCAGCAGTGTGAAAACGGACTAATACAATAATTACTGTCATAAATTCAGTGTTTGTCATGCCCATACATTATGCTATATTTTTACCTACATATTTATGCATCCTCAAACTTACAGAATTTTATATATTATTATTTTATCAAATTATACAAATACTTCTGCAACTTGTCTTTTTCATCCAGGGGGTTTACCTATGTTTTGGGGGTTTAACTATGTTAAGAGATGTAGCTGTAGTTCATTTAAAGTGCTATATTCTATGGCCATAATAAAAAAAAATCAAAAAGTAGTAGATGTTGGCATGGATGTGGTAAAGAGGGGACACTTCTACACTGCTCATGGGAATGTAAACTAGTACAACCACTATGGAAATCAGTGTGGAGATTCCTTAAAGAACTAAAAGTAGAACTGCCATTTGATCCCACAATCCCACTACTGGGTATCCACCCAGAGAAAAAGAAATCATTATACGAAAAAGATACTTGCACACACGTTTATAGCAGGACAATTTGCAATTGCAAAAATGTGGAACCAACCCAAGTGCCCATCAATCAACTAGTGGATAAGGAAACTGTGGCATATATATATGATAGAATACTACTCAGCCATAAAAACGAATGAATTAATGGCATTCACAGCGACCTGGATGAGATTGGAAACTATTATTCCAAGTGAAGTAACTCAGGAATGGAAAATCAAACATCATATGTTATCACTCATAAGTGACAGCTAAGCTATGAGGATATAAAGCCATAAGAATGACTTTGGGGACTCAGGGGGAAAGAAGAGAAGGGGGTGAGGAATAAAATACTACAAATAGGGTGCAATGTATACTGCTCAGGTGATGGGTTCACCAAAATCTCACAAATCACCACTAAAGAACTTGCTCATGTAACCAAACACGACTTGTTCCCCAATAACCTGTGGAAATAAAAAAATTTAAAAATAAAAAAATAAAAATAATAAAAATAAAGTGCTGTATTCTATATTCCATAAAGCTGTGTGTTCATCAGTTCTTTCACTCTCTGGTGTTTCTGTAGGGGATCAAAATATGCAACCCCAAAATATGCCACTTTGGCATATGGATTATTTTGAACCAAAAGCATTTGAGATCCAACAGATGCAGAAAGAATCCTTCCCAGAGCTAAAAGCAGAAGCTTTTCAGAAATGAAGATTGCCATAAGTCCCCTTTCCTGGAGAAGTTTTACGGCCATGAAGAAGATCGAAAGTGGGTGTCAAGACAGACCTTCACAAACAAATCCTGTTCCATTTGCTTCTCCCATATATTTACCTTCCCATAATTTTCAGACCTTGAAAGCCTAAAGCCTCTTCCTTTGTTTTCTCCATAAATTTATTGTCCTTTGTTAAGATGTTATATAACCCCAGATTCTAAACACCCCTTTGAGTTACTTATCACTGGGTTTCTCTTGCGTGTTTGCACGCTGCATATGGTAATAAACTATGTTTTCCTCTTGGTCATCTGTCTTTTATCAGTCTAATTCACAGGTCCCCAGTTAGAAAACGTAGGAAGATAAAGAAAATTAAGGTTTTCTTCCTCCCCTACATTTCCAATGTTTTGCCAGTATACTCTCTTTTCCTTTAAGCCAGATTACATTTGGGTTCCCCTTACTTGCCAACCAAAGAGTGCTGACTGGCACATTCAGAAAATCTCTAAAAGCTCCCAGTATTATTCTCCCTTCAAGGAGCCTAAAATCCCTAACATTAGAGTCAATCCTGGCTGAGGCATTGTATTTGGAAAACTCTCATAAAGTGAAGGTACTATCCAGGAAGAACCAAAGATGAACTCATCAGATTTTACACAGAGCATAGAACTGTTGCTATTTAGGAGATAGGCAGCTATCTCCTAAAAGAAGACAGGGCCCTGAGTGGAGAACAATAGATAACTACTTTTTTTTTTTTTTTTTGAGATGGAATCTCACTGTCACCCAGGCTGGAGTGCAGTGGCACGATCTTGGCTCACTGCAACCTCCACCTCCCAGGTTCAAGAGATTCTCTTGCCTCAGCCTCCTGAGTAGTTAGGATTACAGATGTGTGCCACCACATCCGGCTAATTTTTGTGTTTTTAGTAGAGACGGGGTTTCACCATGTTGGTCAGGCTGGTCTCAAACACCTGACCTCATGATCCACCTGCCTCAGCCTCCCAAAGTGGTGGGATTACAGACGTGAGCCACCACTACTTTCGAAGGAGGAGGACAGCCCTGAGCTGCGTTGTAACTGGGGAAGACTTGGGGAATCTAGGGTTGGGATAAGAGCACCAAACATTTAAGAAGAGTTAATGACTTTGCCTTAGATGGGAGACATGAAATATCAGCTTTGTTTATTAAATATCAGCTTTGTTTATTAGCAGCATCTAATCAGACAGACTTAATTTCAAAGCTTCATTCAGTCATTTGCTGTCTGTACGATCTTGAGGCAAGTCATTCTGGTTTTTGAGCCTCGATTTCTTCACTTGTAAAATGGAATGAATTATACCTACCTTTAAGGGTCAACTGCATTATTTAACACAATAAATACATAATGTCTAGAAACTAGCACATTTTTAATAGATAATGGTTATTATCATTATCATTAATTTAGCCAGTCCCATAGATAATAGTTACATCAATAACAGTGATTCCCCCAGGGGTTGTACTATGAAGGGCTGACTTGAGAACCTGGGTTCAAAGCCAGGGCTTAAAGGTAAGAGGTTTATCAGAAAGTATATTTTTTCTTCTAGCAAAGATGACCCAAAGAAGGCACAATTTAGTGCTAGAGAAGACTGGGCTTATCCTGGGAGTGGATTCTAATGATCAGATCTCCATCCAAGGTGATCTGATCATTCCTGCCCAGTGCTCAACAGAAGTAAATTGGGATATAATAGGAGGGTTCTGCCAGTTTCTAACAACTTAAGGATAGTCTCTTAATGTGAAAAAAAAAATGATGCCCTATCCAATGTTTAAGAGGTAGAGAATCAAGCTTGAGCTAAATTTGATCATCTTGATAATGTAGTTCTCTCAGAGTTGCTGATATGTCTAACACTGAGATGGAAGGGAGCTTCACGGAGAGGGTGAGAAGTTGCACTGCTTTTCAACCTGAGTCACACTTTAGAAACACCTGGAACTTAAAGCTGTTGATGTTGGATGCCATCCCTCAAGAAAGTCCCATGCCTTAGGTCAGGGTGGGGCATGAGCTTTAAAAAAATTATTCAGATAATTCTAACATGCTGCCAGAGATGAGATCCATTAGGTAGAGAATTCCACGACTTTGGGTCCCATATATACAGGAACAACTACAGTATAAAATGGTGGTGTTGGTGACTCTGGGAGCAATAAGTATCACATGCAGTTAGTGTGAGCTCTGCTGGCAGAGCTGGCATCACTTACTAGAATAAATCATATCCATGGAACCCAAGGAAAATCAGGAGTTCTCAGGTGATAAGGAGAGAGCCCTACCTATGAATGACTGATGGACTCTGAAGAATCCCAGGACAAGGAGCTATGAAGTTGCTCTCTTTCCCTTGTGAACCCTTAAACCACAAGATTAACACAATCACTGCATTTTCAATGACTTGTATACAAACTAATATAAGCAATTGTGCCTCATGTAGGCATTTCTGACTAGATACAACACAGTAATAAAACCACTCATTGCAAAGTTGTTGGTTAGAGAGCAAAGGCTGGCATATACAAACTCTTTGTCATTAGAAAATATTACACTGACGGGTAGAGGGAACAGAGGGTTCTGGAATGCTTGTACTGTTCTGTTTCTTGTTCTGGATGCTGGAGACACGGGTATGTTCAGTTTATAAAAATAGGTATGTACACTTATGAATTGTGTACTTTTCAATATGTATTTTATACTTCAGTACAGTATATGACAAATATTAAAAACTGACTAACCACTGCTTCCTTTCAGCATGTGTATGGAGGATGGCTAGATAATTCTTATCAATGGGAAAATAAATGTCCACATTGAATTCTTCCACTTACAGAGCTTGGGAGGAGTTACACAGGGAAAGGGTTACAGAAGAAAGATGGAAATTGCAAAGTGTTTGCTGGTTCTTCAGTGCTACCCAGGGGTGAACAGGTGGTCTTTTGTTTAGCAAAATGATGAATGTGTTTTCAAACATGCAGAAGGTGAACAGACCTCAACATGAGGAAGAAGCAGAGAGCTCATTGCTCTGTCCTGTAATTAAACAGATTCTAATTTAGGAGAAAGCTAAAGGTGAAGGGACCTGGGGAATCAGGGAATAAGAGGAGATACCTGAGAGAGAGGATTGCTTAGGCTATGTGATGGCATATTGCAGCTTGGGAAAAGATGCCCATACAGACTGGGAATGCATTCTGAAGATGCAATGGTTACAAGACTCTTAAGAAAAGAGAAATCAATTATTTAATTTCAAATTTGTTTATGTGACTGCAGTGAAAACCCCATCCATTGATTCAGACCCTTGGTAACATCTGCTACCTTAGCTACCCTGCTACCCACCTGTTTTGTTGTATTTATTTATTTACTTATTTAGAGACAGGGTCTCACTCTGTCTCCTAGGCTGGAGTGCAGTGGTGTGATCTCAGCTCACTGCAGCCTCTGCCTCCTGGGTTCAAGCGATACTCCTGCCTCAGACCCCACCAAGTAGCTGGGATTATAGGAAGGCATCACCATGCCCGGCTAATTTTTCCATTTTTAGTAGAGACGGGGTTTCACTGTGTTGCTCAGGCTGGTCTCGAACTCCTGACCTCAGGTGATCCACTTGCCTCAGCCTCCCAAAGTGCTGGGATTACAGGTGCCCACCACCATATCTGGCTAACTTTAAAAATATTTTTAGTAGAGACAGGGTTTCACCATTTGACCAGGCTGGTCTTGAACTCCTGACCTCAAGTGATCAGCCCACCTCGGCCTCCCAATGTGTTGGGACGACAGGTGTGAGCCACCATGCTCAGCCAGCTACTTAACATTTCTAAGCTTGTTTTCTTTTGTATAAAATGGGGGAAAATAACTCTCACGCAGAGATTCTGTGAGACCTAAATGAAAGGATGTATTTGAAGCAAGTCCCTTACCAGATAGCATATAGTAAATAATAAATATTAACTCCTTTCCTTTTTGCTCATCCATAATATGGCATATAGAAATATTTTATAAATTACAAAGTGCCATACAAATAATTGTTAAAAAAATTAGTGATAACTAAAATTTGTTGACTGATTATTTGCAAAGCATATTCCTTCCTAACAATTAATTTCAAGAAGTAGAAAGAGTATTTTCATACCATAAATTCAATGAATGATTTTCATGCAGTGATTTTCACCTGGGAGCATTTTGGCTTCCCGAGGGTCATCTGGCAATGTCTGGGGACATTTTCGATCATCACAGCTTGGGGAATGCTACTGGCATCTAATGAGGACAGGCCAGAGACGCTGTTAAATATCATACAATGCATAGGACAGGCTCCCACAACAAAGAATTATCCAGCTCAAAATGTGAATGGCTCCACTCTTGAAAAACAGTTTTGGTGGCAAAGCAAGTTAGTCCGGTTTGTCTTCATATCAATTTTATTGAGTGCCCACGCACACATCAACATATTTTAACCTTAAAGTATCCCCTCCTTATCCTGCGGACTCTCAAAAGGAATGAGAAAATTCACTTCTAAGGTGACCCTGTTCTTAGATGTTCAGGCATATAAACCATGAGCCTGTAATATCAATGCAAAGCTTGTGTTCTGCCCCAGAAAAGTCTAGAGAACTCTCTCACTAGACACTCTCCTCCACACCCCATTAAAAGGTACATTATATTTTGTACAGTGTTACCACTTTAAATGACCTGTACAGTCCTGCCTGTCTCAAGCAATACTTAGTAAATCAAATTCCATGGTACTCAGCTCATTTCATGATTCAACAATGTGGATGGAGCTCTTTCCGGTAGTGAAGATGATTGCTTCAGAGTAAGAACCTGCCTTCATAGCAATCCGGAATCTTAATTTTAGAAATCAGAATGAGACAATTTACAGCTAATGAAAAGATTGTTCAGAAACATTTCTGTTATTGCTAAGTAAACGTTCTTCCCGGCTATGAACCTAACAGAGGGTGGAGCTAGTAACCTGGGGCAACAGAGCTGTTGATATTGTGCTGTTCAGCTTCTTCATCTCCCACCGTCCCTGCTACTTTCTTAATCCCTGGCTCCATGAGAGCAGCCAGAGGTCCTACAACAAAGTCAGAGCTGGGTTAGGGGCAAAGGATGCTGGGAAAGCTGTGTGCAACATGCAGTGGAGTTGTTCTAGAATGCAGTAATAATTATTCTATAATTTACTTTGTATTTTCACAACACATTACTTTTTTTGTTTGTTTTTGTTTTTGTTTTTGAGACAGAGTCTCACTCTGTGGCACAGGCTGGAGTGCAGTGACATGATCTAGGCTCAGTGCAACCTCTGCCTCCCGGGTTCAAGCAATTCTCCTGCCTCAGCCTCCCTAGTAGCTGGGACTACAGGCATGCGCCACCACACTGGCTAATTTTTCTATTTTTAGTAGAGGTGGGGTTTCATCACGTTGCCCAGGCCGGTCAGTCTTCAACTCCTGACCTCAGGTGATCTGCCTGCCTCGGCCTCCCAAAGTGCTGGGATTACAGACATGAGCCAACGCACCCAGCCCAAGACATAACTTATTTGATCCTTCCAACAACCCAATGATGTAAATAAAATAAATATCTTTAAGCCTACTTTACAGATTAAAAGAAAAAAAAAATCCTATAAAGGTTAAATGTCTTACTTTAAATCCTGCACCTATTAAGTATCTAGAGAGCCAGGTACAGTGGCTCATACCTGTAATCCCAGCTTTCTGGGAGGCCGAGGTGGGAGGATCACTTGAGCCCAGAAGTTCAAGACCAGCCTGATCAACACAGCAAGACCCCGTCTTTACAAAAAAAAAAAAAAAAAAAAAATTAATTAGCTGGTTCCAGCTACTCAGGAGGTCAAGAGGCTGAAATGGAAATATGGCTTGAGCCCTGGAGTTCGAGGCTGCCATGAGCTATATGATTGCACCACTGGTCTCCAGCTTGGGCAATAGAACAAGACTCTGTCTTAAAAAAAAAAGAAAAGTATCTACGATCCAAGCCTTCTGTGATGGTTAATATTGAGTGTCAACTTGTTTGGATTGAAGGATACAAAGTATTGTTCCTCAGTGTATCTGTGAGGGTGTTGCCAAAGGAGATTAACATTTGAGTCAGTGGACTGGGAGAGGCAAACCTACTACCCTCAATCTGGGTGGGCACCATCTAATCAGCTGCTAGCATAGCTAGAATAAAGTAGGCAGGAGAAGATGGAAGAGCAGACTTGCTGAGTCTTCTGGCCTTCATCTTTCTCCTATGCTGGATGCTTCCTGCCCTCAAACAGCAGATTCCAAGTTCTTCAGCTTTTGGACTGTTGGACTTATACCAGTGGTTTGCCAGGGCTCTCGGGGTTTTGGCCACAGACTGAAGGCTGCACTGTTGGCTTCTCTATTTTTGAGGCTTTGGGACATGGACTGATCCACCACTGGCTTCCTTGCTCTTCAACTTGCAGATGGCCTATCATGGGATTTTACCTTGTCATCACATGAGTCAATTCTCCTGAATAAACTCCCTTTCATACATACATATATCCTATTAGTTCTGTCCCTCTAGGGAACCCTGACTAATACACCTTCCAACTCCTAAGAGTTCTTTACACTTAGAGTACACAAAAATATAGTTTGTGCTCCTTTTCTTCCAGTTCTCTGCATTTACTTCCCTTTTCTCTGTTGCAGGAGTGCAAAAGAAAACTGGAGATACTGACCTGTTGTAACCCAGCCTGCAGACTCCAGAAAAGGCGCAGAAATCCTTGACTTAGCCTGCTGGTATTCTCCAAATCAGAAAGTATCTGCCCTGCAAAAATGCCTATGGGAAATCATTCATTTCCTAAAAACTCATTTTCATAATGTAATTAATCATCCTGGACAGATTTTTCAAAATTAGCCATTATTTTTTCTTGCCTAATTTCACCTATTACTGTAATTTAAGCCATATTACTGTGATTTAATGTGCTTTTCTTCAGGATTATTACTTTAAACATTGGAAGACGACTTGTTCCAAATTAGCAATGTCATGACCTGAATGAATGTACTTATTCCCTTCGTTAACTCTTAGCTATTCATTCTTCCTTGAAAGGATCTTTCAGTTCCCTTAACTTCCTCTTATTTGAATACTCACTGTAATTTTGTTCATACAGAACATAAGGATCTTTTCTTCCTTTCTGAGAAGTTAGAGCCACCCTTGTTCCAGTTATAGGAAGTTTTAATGAGGGTTTTAGGTGTGTGTATGTAGGGAGATAATTTTATTATTTTTTTTTATTCTTGGAGGGGTCAAAAATTTGACAACCAGCTCTTAATATTATTAAAACTTAGAAATTTATTATATATAGCTACAAATTGTAGCTTGTCTCTAGAACTGTGAAGGACAAAACCAAGAATGTAGTACTCCTGTAGCAGTGTATGGGCCCTGAATTCAGAATACATACCTTCTAACTTCTGTAAACATAACCCAAAATTATACTGTTATTCCTTTTTGCTACTGTACTTTGAAAATTCATAACTTCAAAGGCATAGTAAAATTCTGAGTGAGCAGATGTGATTCATTAACTTCTCCATAATGAGGGAGGCTTCAGCTGGGAAAACAGAAATATTCTGTTCTGGTATCTTCTACCTCTAGGAGAAAACTTTATAATTACTTTGAAGTCACTATGAACATAGGAAACTTCAGCACAGATAAAGAAGGGCGAGGATGTCACTGGAGGAAACAGACAGTGCTTGAGCTCACCAGCCCTTTGCTATGTCAATCCTTGTCTACCTTTGAACTATACCATCATGACTTCTCTTCTTGTAACTGAATGTTGAGTTTCTTGTCTTCAATTCCTTTTCTTTTTTCTTTTTTTTTTTTTTTTTTAAGACAGAGTCTCCTTCTGTCACCCAGGCTAGAGTGCAGTGGCGTGATCTTGGCTCACTGCAACCTTCGCCTCCTAGGTTCAAGTGATTCTCCTGCCTCAGCCTCCCGAGCTGTAATCCCAGCACTTTGGGAGGCTGAGGCGGGTGGATCATGAGGTGAAGAGATCAAGACCATCCTGGCCAACATGGTGAAACCCCATCTCTACTAAAAATACAAAAATTAGCTGGTCATGGTGGTGCGCGCCTGTAGTCCTACTTCCTTTTCTTTAAGCAGTAAAAACTTTATTGTTGTTAGCAATTCATGCTTCAGTGAACAAGTTTACTGGGACCACATATGCCAAACCAAAAATCAGTCTCTCTCGATCACATACAAACATACATTTTTTATTGTGAAATATTATTCACATATAAAATGTATATGTATAGTTTAACAACTAGTTGAAGAAACATACACTGGTGCAACCATCATATAGGTCACAAAATGGAAATTTTCTAGCACTGCAGCAACTGATCAGTGCAGTCCTTCCTACTCCCAACCCATCTACCCATTCAAGATCACTGCTATCCCAACTTACACTAATCATTTCCTGCTTGTTTTAAAATATATAGTTTTACCATATGTACTTTGTTTTCTAAATTTTTTTTTTTTTTTAGATGGAGTCTCACTCTGTCGCCACACTGGAATACAGTGGCACGATCTTGGCTCACTGCAACCTCTGTCTCCCAGGTTCAAGCGATTCTCCTGCCTCAGCCTCCCAAGTAGCTGGGACTACAGGTGTGCACCACCACACCCAGCTAATTTTTGTATTTTTAGTAGAGGTGGGGTTTCGCCATGTTGGTCAAGCTGGTCTCGATCTCCTGACCTTGTGATCTGCCCGCCTCGTCCTCCCAAAGTGCTGAGATTACAGGCGTGAGCCACCGCGCCTGGCTGTTTTCTAAAATTTTTAATAAGATGCATACATATTGTGTGCAAATTTAATGCATCCAAGTTCGTTGCTGTATTAGATTCTACTTTATAAAAATACCACAATTTGTCCTTTCTGCTGATAATAACCATCTGGGTTGTTTCCAGTTTGGGGCAATTTTATCAACACTATTGTGAACATGCTTGTACATGTATCTAGGGTATACCTTGGAGTGAAGCTTCTGAGTCACAGGGTAGGCATATCTTGAACATTACCATATAGAATTAAACCATCTCGCAAAGTAGTTGTACAAATTTAAACTCTTATCCATTGTACATGTGAGTTCTTGCAGTTCAACATTCTGGCCAACTCTTGGTATGGTGAGATCTTAAATTTTTGCAATCAAATGGTTTAAAGAAAGGTATGATTCTTGCAACTTTTCTGTCAATCCAAAATTATTTACCAAAATCCCTTTGATGGTCAATCTCTCCTACCATTTTCAACAAGTGGAACTCCACATACCAAATGTCTAGATATTTAAAAGATGCCAAGCTAATAAACAGTGAAATTCAAAAGTCACCTATATGATGATGTTGTAGGAGTATCTCATTGTGATTTTAATTTGCATTTCTCTGATCACTAATGAGATCACTAATAAGCCCCTTTTATGCCTAGTTTCCATTTAGATTTCCTCTTTTGTGAAGTGCCTGTTCAGGGTCTTTTGTCCATTTTTAGCATTCTCTATGTTTTTTCCATCATAGATGTTCTCTAAATGTTCTGAATACCACTCCTCTGTCAGTTATACAGTTGAAGATGTCTTCTCCAATACTTAGTATATAGTTTCATTTATTTTATGATGTATTTAGAAATTCTTAATTTCAGTGTAAAAAGTAATGAAACATGGCCTATGGTTGAACAAAGAAACAGTCTATAAAAGCAAACCTAGAGATGGCTCAGTTACTGAGTTTATCAGACAGGGACTTTAAAATAACTATAATAAATATGTTAAAGAATCTAGTTGGTAAAAATGGGCAACAGGCATAAAACAGGTAGGTAATATCCAAAGAGAGCTGGAAATGATAAAAAAATTAAAATGTAGAAATAATAAGTACAATAACAGACATGAGAATCATTCAGTGGTCTTAGCAGACTGGACATAACAGAAGAAAAAAAAGTCGGTGAGCTTGTAGACAAGTCAATTGAAATTATCCAAATTAACCTAAACATATGGCCAGGCTGGTCTTGAACTCCTGACCTCAAGTGATCTGCCCCCCTCAGCCTCCCAAAGTGCTGGGATTACAGGCGTGAGCCACTGCACCTAGGCATATCAGGAGTTTTAGAAGTGGAATAGACACAGAGAAGAGCAGTTATGGAGAGGCCAGGGTTGGATCAGTGGAGAGGGGTCATGACTCTGGCCAGCTTATAATGGAGCCATATATGGCAAGGAGATAGTTGAATGCCTCTTTGAGGCTGTAGGTCAAGAGAGCTCCTTGTTCTATGCAGCCAGCTGAGGTGAGTCAAAGCCTTTTTCTTTCTTTATCCCTGTTATTCCTGCTGCTCTAATTTACAGTTCACAGCACATATAGTCCCAGAACATGTCCCTTTCCCCCTTTCCAATGATAGCATAGTGGAAAATGTGGGAACTGTCTTCAATTTTGCAGACTTTTCTCCCCCTTAGTTTCCAGTTTTGTTTCCAGTTTTTGTCCTTTTGTGTATCTTCTTGGGTAATCTAATGGGAAAGTTGGAGAGGTCCCATCAGGCACATCTAGCCTGGTTTTCTTCACAACTTTTTATTATTTAAATATTTTCATATAGACAGGGAAGTGGGAAGAATTTTACAGGGAACATCCATATACCCACCAAATAATTCTACCTAAAGTATTAACTTATTAACAATAAATTTTAACTTGTATACATGCTTTATAATAAATTTTAGTTTAATTCAAGCAGATTCTTATCATGCACATTCTCAGGACCTATAAGCCTTAGATAGACTTTAAAATATTAATTATAAAATAATTAACTAGAGAAACAAGAACTGCAGTATATGTCATTGGGCTACAAATGGTATGTCTGCATTATATTAACAAGTAGAGAGTTGAAGCAATCATTTTAATAACTCCTGTTTTAAAAAATTTTTGTGATGGTTGGTTTAATAATTTTTTACAACTGTCCACCTCATTCCATATATAAAAACTGGTCATAAGAGTTAAAAAGAGAAATAAAGTGATCCTGATAACAATTTGGGCCCATATTGTTTCATGTAAAAATTTACCTAAAAATCAACCAGCTATAGTGGCTCACACCTGTAATCCCAGCACTCTGGGAGGCTGAGGCAAGAGGACTGCTTGAGCCCAAGAGTTTGAGACCAGCCCAGCCTGGGCAACATGGTGAAACCTTGTATCTACAAAAAACACAAAAATTAGTCGGGCGTGGTGGCGTGCACCTGTGATCCCAGCTTCTCAGGAGGCTGAGGTGGAAAGATTGATTGATCCCAGGAGGTCCAGTCTGCAGTGTGCTGTGATCATGCCACTGCACTCCAGCCTGGGTGACAGAGCAAGACCCTGTCTCAAAAAAAAAAAAAAAAAAAAAAGAGTAAAATATAAATCAATCTTGAAATTCATGGAATCTCCTTTTGTAGATTTTTTTTTTTTTTCAGACAGAGTCTCACTCTGTCACCCAGGCTGGAGTGCAATGGTGCGATCTTGGCTCACTGCAACCTCTGCCTCCCAGGTTCAAGTGATTCTCCTATCTCAGCCTCCTGAGTAGCTGGGATTACAGGTGCACGCCACCATGCCCTGCTTCTTTTTTTTTTTTTTTTTTTTTTTTTTTTTGGATTTTAGTAGATACGGGGTTTCACTGTGTTGCCCAGGCTGGTCTCGAACTCCTGAGCTCAAGCAATCCACCCACCTTGGCCTCCCAAAGTGCTAGGATTACAGGCATGAACCACCACGCCTGGCCGGTAATTTTTAAGGATACTATATAGTCACATAGTCTTGTGGCAGATGATGAAGACAACAATCAGAAGATTCTTCTTGGTTTGTGATTCATCATTTTCCAGTCCTTTCATGACTTGAGAGAAAACAACAGTAGCAGCAGCAAGTGGACTGACTTCTTGCGAAGCCCAAGGATGGCCTCAAAGTTCTTTAAAAGGAGTGCTTAAATCTCAGTCTTCTTAAGAAGGGTATGTGTTAACAAAACCTTGGATGTAATGTTCCTAAATTTTACATTATTTCCCTTGTAATAGCGTTTGAAACATCCCAGCCAAAGGACTACAAAGCAATCTTACTTCTATACGACAATTCGCTGCATATTGTTATTATTATTTTTTTAATTGCATTTCCCTGGCACACATTACAAAGAAGTTTTCCTACAAGTCAAAACCAAAAGCTTGGATGAAGCCAAAGTGAGTTTCAACTTGAATCACCACCCACCTGGGCCTGCCTCAGGCTGGCAGCCCGAAGGGAAAATACTGCCTAAGTATATTACCAGCCTCTGGATCTGTCCCTTCTCAGGTGTAGAGAACCAAGATTAATCGGGAGAGGTGACAAGGCAAATTTGACTGGAGATGAATTCTCGGAGGCAGCAGCTTTTAGAGTAGCCTGGCCATTTGGCAAGGAGTAGAAGAAATGACTTTTGATTGGAACAGTTTGAGAAAGAACAAGGTTGTTCATGATTCCAAACTGTTGCCAGAGCTTGCTGAAGCCTTTTAGCTAGAAATGCTTTCAAGACAACACTTTTCCTACTGGAGAAGCTTAAGACCCGAAAGCAAGCCAAATTTTGCTATGATGAAACTTGACAATATGTAAAATGTTAAAACATAGACTCGGGTTCAAGAATTTACTTAAAACAAAAAGAAACCAGAATTGATCTGTTGTTGATTCTAGAGATCCCTTTCAAATCTGTTTTTTATATACTAAAAGTTCAATCCTTTTTCAAATTAATTTTCAGTGAAAGGAAGAGTAGTTTTATTAGACAATTATTGTTCTTTCCTTTTTCCCATCGACCAGATTTTGCCAGGTAAGTAAATGGTGTTAGTTGGCTGAGTCTTTCTAGCTTTAATTATCTTTAACTCTCAAGCCTCTGGGATACTGCTCATTAAGAACAGGTATTAATTATTCTCTACCCAAGAGCCTAGCAATGTGGTATGGGTGTCCTAAAGTTGGTGAAGAGGAGGTGTTGGTGTTGTACACCTTTCTGGGTTGACTCATGAACCCAGAAGCCTGGGAGTGTATGTTGGCTGCTCTTGGGAGGTTTTATAGATGTGCCTGTTTGGAGAACTATGACAGAGTTTCCACTTGCCCCACTTAGTGGCTGGATAGATTGGGACAAGTTACTTAATCTCTAAGGCCCATTTCCTCATCTGTAAAATGGGGCTAATAGTAATGCCTATATCATACAGCCATTTTCAAGATTAAATGCTAAAAACAAAGAAAAGGAAATGCTAAACATATGTTAGCCATTTTTATCAGACGTGTGTGCACACGTCTGTGTGTCTGTATATGACTCATGTAGCTCCATTAAGACCTATTTTTCTTTTGCCAGCAGGATTTCATTGTCAGCTTGAGTCAGGAATATTGTGTTTTTAAACTTCTCTCAAGATTGTGAAAAGATCACAAAAAAGAAGCAGCAAACTGGCCAGGTGCAGTGGCTCACGTTTGTAATCCCAGCACTGTGGGAGGCCGAGGCAGGCAGATCAGGAGTTGAGGTCAGGAGTTGGAGACCAGCCTGGGCAACATGGTGAAACCCTGTCTCTACTAAAAATACAAAAATTAGCCAGGCATGGTGGTGGGTACCTGTAGTACCAGCTACTCAGGAGGCTGAGGCAGGAGAATTGCTTGAACCCAGGAGGCGGAGGCTGCAGTGAGCCAAGATCATATCACTGCACTCCAGCCTGGGTGACAGAGCAAGACTTCGTTTCAAAAAAAAAAAAAAAAAAAAAGGCAGCAAACTGATAACTAAGGCAGAGGAAGAACAGAAATCCCTAGGAATTGTCACTCCCAATATCTTTTTCAGGCACCTTTGGGAGGCCTCTATGGAGCAGGCTTTGTGTGTTTTTCTAACGTTCCTCAACAAACATACAGAGCTTTGCTTTGGGAACACATGTCATAAATCCGTAAAAAGAAATCCATCAAAAACCATATTATGGATGTAAAAAATATTGTAGGGACTTCAATAATGCATGGCTACTTACACAGTATTTATGTTTATGAAGAGACCCTTGAAATAACCCAAAATGTTGACTCAAATAGGCACAACTTGAGCATGCTTTTAATCTCACTGGTGTCCATATGACAACGAGCTATAATTTCATTTCAAACAAATTAGCAATAAATGAAATTACAAAATGTGGTTTCTGTCCCCAAGTGGTGGTTTTTGTTGCTTTTACAATTTTGCCAAGTACATTTTCAAGATAGAGACCTGTATACCCAGTAACAGTAAACAAGATAATTGGATATTAAGAAATTAGCTTCAGTGAAGGATATCCAGATTCTTGGAAATTTTGATTTTCACTTTTCTGCTTTCTTTTTTTCTGTAAGAAGAATGTAATTAGTTTCTTGCTTCTATCTCTAGAGAAACATGAAAAGAGTCTTCATTTCACTGCCATTTGGAAGATGATGTAATGCACACTTTGGATTCTGATACTTGTGCAGACATTCTGAGCCACGGGGGAACCCAGCTCAGAAGCTTTCAAATTCACAATATGCCCACTGACATCATAGGCAATTATTTTATTGTTCCTTTGGCCAAATATTAGGAGAAATTTCAGACATTCAGTATGACTTTACTAAATATTAACAACATCTCTGAGTATTTATAACATCTCTGAGTATTTATAACACATTATATTCTGGTATCACCCATGGTGCTGAAAGAGAAGGTTTTTTTTTTCTAGTTTACATAAATTCTTGATTTTCATCTTCTGAGACCTTACATTGGACACAGAAGTCTCATAATGTCATAGTTATCTTAATTTTACACACAGACAATGGCATGAAACTAAAAGGATTTGGTCCAGCCACTCTAATGAATTTATTTCTATGTAAATTCCCCAAATCTAATATTAATGTTTTGATTCTGCCGTAATGTAGATACTTCAGGGAAATAATAAAACCAAGAACACTTGACTTCAGTCGTGTAGTCAAAGAAAGATCATTAATTTCTTAAAGCTGGAAATGCTCCAATGTATTTTAGACAAGTTTTACCAGGAGATTTCTATAAACACGAATACATTTTCTAATTATGCTCTACAGCACAAAGTTACTGTCTTAAAATATTTACAGAATACTAAAACTTTTAAAACTAAGAGACCAACCTTACCAACTGTTTGTTAATTGAGGATATTTAAAACAACAACAAAAATCTACCATTTACTACCCGGCATTATTTCACCTCAAACATCAACATGTAAAACTAAATCCTTGATCCCTTCCTGCCAACACAAACCTTTTCACTAATGTCATCTAACTTAATAAATGGCACCCACCATTTACCAAAAACTATTTGCTCAAGACAAAGCCTTAGAAGTCAGCCCTACTCCTTTATTTCTCCCATATCCAACATCCAATTTAAGAGCAAATTCCTTTGGCTCTGCCTCCTCCAATTCTCTCCAGTCCAACCACTTCACACCTTCATCTGCTAACACTTGTAGTCTAAACCACTGATCTTTCTAGCCAGATTTACAGCAGTAGGTTCCTAACTGATCCCCTACTTCTGCTCTTGCACCTGATATTTAGTCTATATTCCATACATCTGTCAGAGTAATTCTTCAAAATATAGATTATATTATTTCACCACCCAGCTCAAAATCCCCCTATGACTTCTTATCACATTAGAATAAACCTGAGTTATTTCCATGCCTTACAGGATTCTAAATGACCTGGCCCTTGTCTACCTCTCCAGTCTAATGCTACACCATTCTTTCCCTCACTCATTCTGCACCACCCAAACTTACCTCCCTCCTCTTCCCAGGGCAAGCCAAGCATCCACTCACTCCAGGACTTGTCTGTGCGGTCCACCTAGCTGAATGCACTTGAGATATGCTCTTAGCTCATTCTCTCTCTTCATTCATACCTCTCCTCATGTTACCCAGTCTACCTTCCCACCTAAAATAGTGTGTTTTGTCATTCTCCAACCTAGTGGTTCTCAATGCTGGCTGTACATTAGAACCACCCAAAGTGCTTAAAAATCCATATTTCCAAGCTGTTTTCCAAACCAACTGGAATAGAATCCCTCCAAGTAGAACCAAGGTGACAGGATGTTTTAAAGCTCTCAGGTATTTACAGCATTGGCTCCAGGTTGAGTCCCACTGCTTGAGCTCCTGGTTCTGCTTCAAGTCTCTTCAAGCACTTACTACTATTGGCATGGCATTATATATCTGCCTTTTTCTGTATTCTAGAATTTGCTCTTGTGCTTTGAGCTAAGTCATATGCTGGGAACATAGGCAGCCTCCCTCCAGCCTGAGCCCCACCAACCCCTCGCCGAGGGCCTGGGTTCCCCCATCCAGCACTAGAAGGGTCCCTGGACTATATGCCTAAGCACTGTTGTATTTTGGCTTGGTGCGTATGCTTTTCATTGAGTAAAATTTCTGTTCTTTTTACAATTCAACTAACTATTTCATTTACTGTAGCTTTGAAGACAAAAATCGTAAGAAAAAAATTCCAATGACTGTGCTCTGGTTGAAGACTTCATTACCAAGGTGTTAATATCTGCCTTTTCCCTGTCATTTTGAGGAGGTATTTGACTCCTCCTCCTCCTCCCCTAATGGCTTGTAGTTTTTCCCATGTCATAATAAAGCTACATTTTATTCTGGAGGGGAAAAAAAAAAGAATTTGCTCTGCATGCTTAGAGATGTTCTGTGTTTTGTTCACTGTCAACTCCTTAGGACCTAAAACAGCTCTTGCAAATTTCATGTTTCTTATGTCCTTCCTCTTATGAAATTAATTTCATACATTAGTTATGATTAATTTCATAAGTCGAAGGACATTCCTCCCCACAAAAGAGAAAGAATATGCTCTAAAGAAAATAACAGTTTTTTCTAAGAAAGAAAAATTGGCAGCTTTATACTGATTTTATTTTAACTGTGATTGTTGGAAAAAAAATTGCATGCTATTCCATTGCAAGTTGTGTGATCATTTGTCCCCTAGATCCATGTTTCTAAATTAGGAGTCTTCAACATTGCAAGACAAGTGGAACTCAAATGTCCAGCTTGTTCAAGTACTTCATTTTTAATTCTCTACCAAAAATGGAAGGAACACTCACTGCTCTTTTACTCAGCTTGAGGGAGTCCTCCAAGGTACCAAGCAGATTCCTAGCACAGCCCAGGAGGACGAGCCCTCCCCATCCCTCCAGAGCTGAGGGCTGGGAGCTGCCCTTGTGCATGAGTGATGGCTGAGTATGAATGGGCCCTGCCATCCTTTTCCAGCCTTCAGTAGCCAAATCCCTGGGATTGTTCTTCGTCTCACTCGTTTGTGGGGAAGACAAGAGAAAATGGATATAATCCTTCTGAGTTTCATGCACGTCCGTGTGAAGAGACCACCAAACAGGCTTTGTGTGAGCAACAAGGCTGTTTATTTCACCTGGGTGCAGGCGGGCTGAGTCTGAAAAGAGAGTCAGCGAAGGGAGATAGGGGTGGGGCTGTTTTATAGGATTTGGGTAGGTAAAGGAAAATTACAGTCAAAGGGGGTTGTTCTCTGGCTGGTAGGGGTGGGGGTCACAAGTTGCTCAGTGGGGGAGCTTTTTGAGCCAGGATGAGCCAGGAAAAGGAATTTTACAAGGTAATGTCATCAGTTAAGGCAAGGACCGGCCAATTTCACTTCTTTTGTGGTGGAATGTCATCAGTTAAGGCAGGAACAGGCCATTTTCACTTCTTTTGTGATTCTTCAGTTACTTCAGGCTATCTGGGTGTATAAGTGCAGGTCACAGGGAATGAGATGGCTTAGCTTGGGCTCAGAGGCCTGACATTCCTGTCTTCTTATATTAATAAGAAAAATAAAATGAAATAGTGGTAAAGTGTTGGGACGGCGAAAATTTTTGGGGGTGGTATGGAGAGATAATGGGCGATGTTTCTCAGGGCTGCTTTGAGCGGGATTAGGGGCGGTGTGGGAACCTAGAGTGGGAGAGATTAAGCTGAAGGAAGATTTTGTGGTAAGGGGTGATATTGTGGGGTTGTTAGAAGAAACATTTGTTGTATAGAATGATTGGTGATGGCCTGGATACGGTTTTGGATGAATTGAAAAACTAAATGGAAGATACAACATCCGAATAAAAGAAGGAGAAAAATAGGTATTAAAAGACTAAGAATTGGGAGGACCCAGGACATCCAATTAGAGAGTGCCCAAGGGGGTTCAGTGTAATTACTTGCTTGGTTGGCAAGTTTTTGGGCTCTATCCTTGAGTTTTTTTTATGTTGTCATACACCAGGCCAGATTGATTTAGGTAAAAACAACACTCTTCATTTAAGAATATACAGAGTCCTCCTTTTTCAGCAGTGAGTAAGTCAAGGCCTCGGCGGTTTTGGAGGACAACTGCAGCTAAAGAGCCTGGAGGACTGGTTTGTGATATGTCTGTGATGCTAGCAGAGAAGTCATTAGCGAGGCTACGGAAGGTGGTGACAGAGGTTGAAATGCCTGCTATTCCAGTACCGAGACCAACAGTGGAGGCAGAAAGTCTTAAACTGACAAGCAAGGGAATTAGTGGAATAACTCTTTTTTGTCGTGTCGGTGTCAGGAGGGGAACGGGGAGCTCTTCGGTCCTATTTGCAAATTGAATTTTGGGAGTAAGGAAAACTAGTGTGCATGTGCCTGTCCAATTAGCAGGTAGACACATGTAGGTAGAGGATCCACAGAGGAAGAAGAGACCTTGTGCAAGGCAAAACTGGAGATGCAAAGTGAAAAGGTGAGAAGGAGTGCTGAAAGGGGTGTCTTGTACCCAGACTCCTAGGGATCCAGCTAGGGTGGCAGCTGTCAGAGGTTGTAATGGGGACTGATGGGGTAACTGTGTAGAGGGGGAGGTTCGATTTTCATGGTGTATGAGAAAAGTTGAGTGTCTACGAGCAACATTTCACTGCTATTTTCGGGACTGGGTATAAATAAACAACAAGAGGGCCTGGGAGGAGATTCTGACAAGCAAGGGGAAGGTAGCCAAGGATGGAGTGAAATACAGGGTAAGTGTCTTCCTAAGCAATAATTACTGCTAATGTTTTTAAGTTTGCCCATATTGATAGAGGGCTTGTCTGTAATATGGAGCTGGGAGCCTCCAATTGTTTCAATGATGTGTGTAGTTGGGCTTTGGAGAGGAAGAGTAAAGAACATTGAGAAGGTGAAAGGTTACTTAGGGGAATTCCAGTGGGTCTTTGCCGAGAGATACATAATGGAGCAGCCACAGGAATAGCAGTTTGTGTTGTGAGAGGTCCAAATATGGGGGGAGTAGAGTTGATACAAGGAGAAAGATTTTTTAAGTAAGTGCGGAGGAGGGTGGCAGCTTGCTGATGTGAAATGTCTGGGGAGGTCTTGCTGGACCTGTCTACAAAGCAAATGAGTTCTTCAGGAGGGTAAAGGTGAGGGCTGTTAAAGGAAGTTCGGAGGTGTAAGGAGACAGGAGATGTTGCCTAGTCTGCATGTAAGGCGGGGACAGCTGTGTAGGCGCTGGAAGAAAGGGAAATGCAAAGCCAGCAGTTGTTCGCTAAGGAGGGATTAGAAATGGCTAGGAGAGAAAGGGTAAGGTTGATAGTATGGTGGAGATAGCTGGAGAGAGGAAGAGGGTGGCATAAGAATGGGAATGAGAATAAGAGTGAGTATAAAAGTAAAGAATAAAAGTAAAGAATAGAACTTCATCAGGGTGAAAGTATTGGAGGGTCTCCTGCCAACAAAGATCATCTATCCACTCTAAGAGGGAATTAAGAGTGGCGGTTTGGGGATAGCACCAAGAGATATCAGCTGTGATGGCTTGAAGAAACAGTGTAAACCAGCAGTGTAAACAAGAGTAGGGCATTTATAAGTAGTTGAGAATGGAGAATAGGAGTATGACTAGACAGAAGAGAGTAGGGATGACTAGTTTTTGGGGCCCGGTGTAAGTAGTGGGGGTGACTGCATAAAGCCCTGTTGCAAAAGTAGGGTAAGGATGAACAGACCTAATAGAATGAAGGGATGTATTAGGCTTATAAGGGTTATTACTGTTCTTCAGAAATATGAGTGAGTTTAAGGGAAGTAGGGGAGAGTACTTGTGACTTCCAGGAGGAAGAGGACGGATTAGGCTGGCTGTCCAATGGACATAGCTTTATTCTGGAACTGTGAACCCAGTGGGGAGGATCCTGCAGGCGGACCGCAGTCGGGGTACTATAGATGACTAAGTAGGGTCCGGTCCATCGAGGTTGTAGAGTTTGAGGGGTCAGATTCTTAACAAGAACTGATCGTCCAGCTAGGGTGTCTTCATACGGCTGAGAATCCTCCACCGTAAGAGTTACCCGAAGCTCGGTGTGCGTGATGGTCCAGGGGGCTTCTGAGGCGATCAGGCAGCGTCAGTCTTCAGCCGCTAAGCCGAGGAGATCTGGGAAGGAGTCAGCCAAGGAACATTGGATTTGGGCTCCAGGGGCTTTAGGAGCGGCGGCAATGTGAGTCGGACAGTCCGACCTCCAGTGGGGGCCCGCACAGACACGGCACGGCCTAGGAGGAATCCCGGGCTGTGGGCATTTCTTGGCCCAGTGGCCAGGCTTTTGGCATTTGAAGCAAGGCCCATGAGGATGTTTTGAAGGAGCCCCTGGGAGCTGTGGCTTGGATGTTCTGAAGTTCTTGTATGCTGGAGACGTGGTTGTGGGCTGTCTTACAGCGGAGGCAAGTAGCTGTAACTCAGAAATGTGTTGCTGTCTGGCTACCTCCTATTATTGTACACCTTGAAGGCGAGGTTGATTAATTCCTGTTGTGGGGTTTGAGGGCCAGATTCTAATTTTTGAAGTTTTTTCCTAATGTCAGGAGTGGTTTGGGTGATAAAATGCATATTAAAAATAAGGCGGCCTTCTGGCCTTTCTGGGTCTAGGGCAGTATAGCGTCTAAAGGTTGCTGCTAAGCAGGCCATGAACTGGGCTGGGTTTTCGTCTTTACCTTGGGTAGTTTCTTTAAGCTTGTCATAATTAACAGCTTTGTAAGCTGCCTTTTTAAGCCCTTCAACTAGGCAGGAAATCATGTAATCTCGCCTAGCTGTACCTGGGGAATCTGCCTGATAGTTCCACTGGGGATCCTCTCGGGGAACTGCTCTAACGCCTTCCTGGAGGTCTGGCTCGTGAAGCCGGTTGTTATCAGCGTGAGATTGGGCTAGAGAAAAAACTCTTTCCCGTTCATCTGGGGAGAGGGTAGAAGTCAGGATGACATTTAAGTCACTCCAGGTTAAATTGCAGGACAGAGTTAGATATTGGAATTATTGTATACATTTAGTGGGGTCTGATGAGAAAGAGCCTAAATGCTGACTGATCCGAGAGAGGTCTGATAGAGAAAAAGGTACATGTACCCTGACTATGCCTTCAGCTCCAGCCACCTCTCTAAGAGGAAATTGTTGGGCAGGTGGGGAGGAGCTAGTCGCAGAACTAAACTGTAAGCCGGACCGGGTGTGAGGAGGGGGGGTGGTAGAAGGATTATAGGACAGAGGAGCGGAGGCTGAGGAAGAATTGGGACTTAGCTTGGCCTGGCGACGAGCAGCCTGGGGAGGAGGGGAGAGGTCAGATGGGTCTGTAGATAAGGAAGACTGGAAAGACTCAGCGACGCTTGGGGTTGGGACTGAGGGGACAGGCGGGAGGGAAAGGAGGAGGATTTGGGAGGAATCGCATTGGGAGCAGAGACTAGGGAGGGAATGAAGTGTGAAAAAATGCCTGGATGTAAGGCACCATTTGCCCATTTTTTGACAAAAATTATTTAGGTCTTGTAGGATGGAGAAATCAAAAGTGCCATTTTCCGGCCATTTAGAGCCATTGTCAAGTTTGTATTGGGGCCAAGCGGTGTTGCAGAAGAAAATAAGACACTTAGATTTCAGGTCAGGCAGGAGTTGAAGAGGTTTTGAGTTCTTAAGAACACAGGCAAAGGGAGAAGAAGGAGGAATGGAGGGTGGAAGGTTTGCCCATAGTGAAGGAGGCAAGTTTAAAGAGAAGGGTAGAGACATGGAAAAGGGGGTGGGGAGCAGCCCTGGGCTGCAACGTGGGTGAGCAGCCAAAGCAGGCGTCCCCGCGATTGACTTGCCACCAAGGGAATGTGGGTGAATGATCAAGGTAGGCGTCCCCGTGGAGATCAGACACCAATCGAATGTGGGTGAATAATCAGAGAGGTGTCCCCACAATGATTAAACACCATGGGAAGGCTGGCTTCCCAAGTTCATGACCGGCACTGGAGTTTTGGGTCCACGGATAAAATGTGTCTCCTTTGTCTCTACCAGAAAATGAAAAGAATTGAAATTAAGAGAAGGGAGAGGTTGAAGTGTGGAGCCAAGATTGAAAGGAGAAAGAGGTTGAGGGATAGTGAGGGAGGTTGGAGAAGAGAGTAAAAAGAGGCCACTTACCCGATTTGAAATTGGTGAGATGAGTTCCTTGGGCTGATCAGTCTAAGGACCCGAGGTCGTAGGTGGATCTTTCTCATGGAGCAAAGAACAGGAGGACAGCGGATTGATCTCCCAAGGGGAGGTCCCCCGATCTGAGTCACAGCACCAAATCTCATGCACGTCCGTGTGAAGAGACCACCAAACAGGCTTTGTGTGAGCAACAAGGCTGTTTATTTCACCTGGGTGCAGGCGGGCTGAGTCAGAAAAGAGAGTCAATGACGGGAGATAGGGGTGGGGCTGTTTTATAGGATTTGGGTAGGTAAAGGAAAATTACAGTCAAAGGGGGTTGTTCTCTGGCTGGCAGGGGTAGGGGTCACAAGGTGCTCAGTGGGGGAGCTTTTTGAGCCAGGATGAGACAGGAAAAGGAATTTTACAAGGTAATGTCATCAGTTAAGGCAAGGACCGGCCATTTTCACTTCTTTTGTGGTGGAATGTTATCAGTTAAGGCAGGAACAGGCCATTTTCACTTCTTTTGTGATTCTTCAGTTACTTCAGGCCATCTGGGCGTATAAGTGCAGGTCACAGGAGATGCTATGGCTTAGCTTAGGCTCAGAGGACTGACACTGAGGGCATGAAGATGTCACACATCTTTCCCCATTTCAAAAGGGAAACAGTGGTTTCCTTAATCTTTTGAAGAAAGAAGAAACTTCCTATTTCACCTCTAAGAGCAGAAAGTGGAACAGATGACAAGCTGTTTGTGAAGGATGCGAATATCTTCATGTCAACAGGAAACCCAGGGCCCCTGTGTAACTCTGAAAAGAAGAAAGGTGCCTTCTACTCCTGATTAAGTCAGGTTCATCCGAAATAGAGGAACTGGGCATTTCTTGGTGGCTGGATAATCTTCTTTTTCTCTAGGTGCCATCCTGGGGAAATGGATTATTAAATAATCTATCTACCGCTTCTCAATACCTAAGACACTTGAAGGAGAGTTAAGTCAATTTACCTCACAAAAGGGAAAACCAGACCAGAGAGTTCTTTTCACCATATTTTGTGGGTTTCTGAAAATAGCATTACAAAGACTACAACCTCACTTAAAATTTCAAACAGCATAGGATTAAAATTTAGACATCTCCTAATTCTATATTATCCATTTCACTCCTAAAGGGCAAATACTGTTTGCAGTTTGGGGTGAAACCTACTAGACATTTTCTATGTACACACACACACAATGATTTCCTCCATTCTGTGATGCCATTGAATGTAAAGCCCAGGAGTGAACTGGTGCCACTCCTCAAGTCTACTGTCCCCTCCCATTGCGTCCTCTCCCATTGCACCCCAAGTGTAGGCACAGCCCAATCCCTTTCTCCACAGCAAGACTGATCAAGTAAGTGATGGTTTGCATAGTGATACTGGTATTTTTGAGGGATAACTGGCAGGAATTACATCACAGAAAGTGAAACCAGATTATTGCTCTGGAACTGGACAGCCTAGGTTCGTATCCCAGCTTTTCTACTCACTAATGGCCTGACTTTGAGAAAACTACTGAAGTGTCTCAATTTTCTCATTTGTGAAATGAAGATAATAATGGTACCTGCCATATAGGGTTGTTCACAGAATTCTATTACATACATGAGAAGAGCTTATAGCCCTGCTGGGCAAGAATGAGTGCTTGGCAAATGTTACATTTGTTTTACTCTTCCAAAAATCCACGCATTATACCATAAGGATGGGGTCAGCAAACATTTTCAGTAAAGGGTCACACAGTTAATATTTTAGGCTTTGGAAGCCATATGGTCTCTGTCAAACTCTTCAACTCTGCACAGGGGAAAACAGCCCTAGACAATACGTAAGTGCAGGGGTCTGGCACTTTCCAATAAAGCTTTACTTATGGACACTAACATTTGAATTTCATATAATGTTCCCAAGTCATGAAATATTCTTTTTCAAACATTTCTCAACTATTTTATGTAAAAACCATTCTTCACTCCTAGGCCGTGCAAAATCAGGCAGTGGGCTGGATTTGGCCTACAAGCTGTAGTTTGCCAACAAATCCCCCCACTACCATCACAGGTGTCCCCACCTGGCCACTTCTGCACCCTCTCTTCTCCAGGTCCCCATCTCCCTGTTTTTGCTCATCTTTCCTCTATAGGAGAAAGCAAAACTCAGTAACCACCTTTTTACTCAAGAAGAGCCCTTTCCCATTAGGACACATGTAGCATGGTCCCTCTGTCTCAGGCTCTACACTCCAGGTTGAGCTCTGCCCTCACCTTTGCAAACTAGAGGGACCGGGGAAAATGGTCACGTGTATTGTAGGAAGCAGCTCACCTTCTGTTGGGAACATATATTTTGGCTGCATAGCAGTCAACTGCTTGAGTCCACCAACTTCTTTAACTTGTCCCTTTGTAATTCAACCCCATGTTTAAACTGTAATCCCCAGTATTGGAGGTGCAGGCTGGTGGGAGATGATGGGATCGTCGGGCTGGATTTCTCATGAATGGCTTAGCATCATCCCCTTGGTGCTGTCCTTGCCACAGTGAGTGACTTCCCGCAAGATCTGACTGTTTAAAAGGATGGCATCTCTCTCTCTCTGTCTCACACCTGTTCCCACCATGTGAGATGCCTGCTTCCCCTTCACCTTCTACCACAATTGTAAGCTTCATGAGGACTCCCCAGAAGCACACGCTGTGTTATGCTTCCTGTACAGCCTGTGGAACCATAGGCCAATTAAACCTCTTTTCTTTATAAATTATCCAGTCTCAGGTATTTCTTTATAGCAATGCACAAACCAGCCTAATACAGTAATGAATGTCTATATTACATTGTTTTCAGGTTTCAGGTTTGCACTATTACAAAGAATGATGAAAGAACTCTATGAGAGGGGAACAATTAGATCCCATTTTACAGATGAAGGAATGGAGGCACAGAAACTTTGAAGTAATTTGGCTAATCTCACACATGGTTATGACAGAAACTGCTATGACCCCACTTCCTGGATACAACTGACTGACCTCCAAGAGTGGTCCCCTGAGCCAAGATGTTGTTACGGTAGTAATTCATTTCCTTGCATCAGTTGACTGGTCTTTAAGCAGGCACATGGTCCATGCTAAGCCAATCAGTGTCCTTTTCCTAGAATTTTACAACTGGACTTGTGAAACGCTTAACGATTCAAACTCCGGTCTCCTAGCAGACTTTTGGAGAAAAATTCACCTGTTTTCAAAAAGAAGGAAGCCAAGACAGGCAGAAAAACAAACAAACAAACAAACAGATAAACCATAAGAATCTTGTGGGCAAACAAGGCTTGGTTCCAGGTGTCCTTGAGGCCCAGCTATCCCCCACATCTTCCAGAAGCTACATTGTTTTATAAGAGTCCATAGTATATATTTAATAAATTACTGATATGGTTTGGCTCTGTGTCCCCACCCAAATCTCATCTTGAATTGTTATCTCCATAATCCCCACGTATCAAGGGCAGGACCAGGTGGAGGTAATTGGATCATGGGGATGGTTCTCCTGATAATGAGTGAGTCTCACGAGATCTGACGGTTTTATAATCTTCTAGCATTTCCCCTGCTTGCACTCACTCAGTCCTGCCACCCTGCAAAGGTGGTGCCTGCTTCTCCTTTGCCTTCTCCCATGATTGTAAGTTTCCTGAGGCCTCCCCAGCAATGCGGAACTGTGAGTCAACTAAAATGCTTTCCTTTATAAATCACCCAGTCTTAGGCAGTTCTTTACAGCAGTGTGAGAACGGACTAATAGAATTATTATTATTATTATTTTTTTTTTTTTTTTGAGACAGAGTCTCCCTCTGTCACTCAGGCTGGAGTGCAGAGGTGTGATCTCGGCTCACTGCAAGCTCCGCCTCCCGGCTTCATGCCATTCTCCTGCCTCAGCCTCCCAAGTAGCTGGGACTACAGGCGCCCGCCACCATGCTCAGCTAATTTTTTGTATTTTTTAGTAAAGACCAGGTTTCACTGTGTTAGCCAGGATGGTCTCGATCTCCTGACCTCGTGATCCACCAGCCTCGGCCTCCCAGAATTACTTTTTAAAGTGATTTTATTAAAAAAAAGATTTTCCTTCACTATACCCAAGAGAGTTCTAATTATTTTAAGTAAATTAATCAGCTGGTGGTACCGTAAACATAAGAAGACAGCCATCAGGATAAGGACTATTTCTCTGAAGGCCACTGAAAGTTTAATAGGTTTGTAAACAAAATAAATTCCTAAGCCCCCACCAACTGACTAAATGGATTCCCTCTTGGCCAAGGGGACCCCAGAGAAATCTGAAAAACTGAATTAATGACATTAAAGGAGGTTGGACACACCTCATTATACCCCCTCCCTTTTGGAGTTTAGACACAACTGACCAACATTACAATAAATTTTAAAATAAATTAATTTAATAAAATAAAAGTAATAACTTTTATTAATAAAAATAATAAAATTAAAGTACTTAAAATAAATTTAAATAAAATTAAAATAGAGATCACAAGACTGAAAAAACAGACTCTTTGTGGCAATAAGCTACCAAATTCCAACCTGACTCTGGTGTAGGATTGCGTGACACATAGCAGACCCAGAGAGAAATCAAAATATTTTAACCCAAAATATATTTATTTGACATATTATGAAATTGCCCCACAAAGCTGTCTTTGTGGGGGAAATTTGCATCTGTAGAGAATCTCCATTAATGCAGACAGGCCTTCCCTTTGCAGGCCTTTCCTGGATCTAGGAGAGATTAACCAAGCATCTGATACCTTTAAAGATACAAAAAGAGACATTTACTATCTATTCTCTCTGAAGCCTGCTACCTGTGAGACTTTATCTACTTAACAAGAACTTTGGTTTCCATAAGCCCCCTTATCTTAACTCAAGCATTTTTTTCCTACTGACTTCAAGTCTTTAGACAAAGCTTAACTCTTTCTCAACCAATTGCCAACCAGAAAAATCTCTGAATCCACCTATGACCTGTAATCCTCCCCACCCCACCCCTCATCTCACTGCCCGCTTCAAGATATCCCACCTCTTTGGGCTGAGCAAATGTTTACCCTCCATGTATTAATTTAGTATTTTACCTGCAATTCCCATCTCCCTAAAATGTATAAAACCAAATTGTAACCCAATTGCCTAGGGCACTCTTTCTCAGAAGTTCTCAAGACCGTTCCCTGGGCTATGGCCACTCATATTGCCTTAGAATAAACCTCTTTAAAATACTTTACAGAGTTTGAAGTTTCTTTCCATCAACAAGTTATAGACTCGAGACAAGTATTTCTACTGAATAGCCAAAAGAAAGTACATTTAGCAAACCAAGACGCATACTCTATTAGCTATGGCATAAAAATAGACAAAAATAAAGCCATCAGTGTTGCAGAACTTTCTTTGCTAAAAATAAAGAGGGAAAAATATAGAGAAGTGAAGTAGGAATAACAGATCCCAATCACCAGGAATAAACCATTTAAGCTCTTCTCTGTAACCTCCAAAGTTTTATGTAAAATAAAAGAGGTAGCCCAGATAACTGCCTAGCTCCCTACTATCTGTAAAATTCTTTAGCTCTAATATTAAAAAATGTCAACAGTTATTCACAAAATTTTTAAAGTCCTGAAAGTATGACAAAGATTATTTTCATACTAAACACAACTGCCAAAAATGGAGGTCTTACAACTGACTTAGCTGCAACAATATAATTAGACTAAACACTTCAGAATACTTTTATTGGTTAATTAGTTTGTGTTGATGACAAATTATTACCAGCTCTTAGAAGTGAACTGTGAAGTCTAAGATATAGCTTATGCTTTTTAGATACTAAAAATATATAAAACTGTTGTGTGACGATTCAAGAAAGCAAAATCAAATTGCTGTCATTTATTTCTGTATGGCTTTTAATTTAAAATTGCTACTCAGCTCAAGATCCAACTCATATTTATTTTTGTTTTAAAATGCAGTTCATTTCACACCAATAATTCACTTTATTATGAATGTTTTATTTACCGTGATTCAGTACTATATATATATACACACACACACGCACACACACATGCACACACACATATATATAATTAGGGTAATGATTACAAAACATTTTTGACAAGTACAGAAAATAGTAATGTTTTCCAGCTGCGACATGGTGTGTCACCAAAAGAACCACTGGCCCCACAGAATAAGGCAACACTTATGCAAGTACATGACAGAAATCTAAATGTCTAATGAATTAATTTTGATCATTGACTTACAGATTTTTCTAAATGTTCCCATATGTTGTTTAAATTGCCCATTATCAAAGTTAGTGCCTGAATGTTGTCACTTTCAGAGCTTCACTCTGGAAAGTTTTAAAAATTGTAATTATTTAAATGTATTTGTGTGCAGTGTACTGTCATTGGGGAAAAAAATAAAACTACTGCCTTGCCTAATAGACTATTTCTAGATATCTAATTTTTGAAATTAAATTTAAAGTTCTGAAGTCTCTTTCTTTTATTAGCTGTAGTGGTGCCGTGGCAAGATATTTTGTTCCTTTGGTAGACTTGTGTACTAAAGAGTCAAAACGGAGAAATATATGTAAAGACCTCAAATTCAGACTACACACTGCTGAAAGAAAATGCAGAATGTGTCACAACTTGAATCTTCAAGCTCGGAAAGCACTGCAGATTGTCCACATTCTAGGAGGCTGCCATAGCATAAGCTATCTGTCCCTACCCCATCCCAACCTTCCCAGGGATTGTGCTGGAAGGAGAGAGCTCAGCCAGGGCAAAGCACAAAAACCTCAGAAACTATTTCTAGATGAGTCAGTTTCACTGGTCTGGCATAAAAGTAAAGATCAGAAAGCCTTCCTATAACTAAAACAATTGTTCTAAACATTATAAATACTAACATAGTTATTTTGCTGTTTAGAAAACAACACTTATAATTTATTGACTTCTTACAAAGTACCAGCACTACCTAAGCTCCTCAGAGGCAGGTACTCTACTACCCCATTTAACTTGTCCAAAGTTACACACCTAAGGCACTGTCGACCCAGGATGTGAACACAGGTGCCTGACTATGGAGCCTGTGCCCCCTGACAGTGCACAATGCTACTCCTGAAATGACCGAATGTAAAGGGCTTGATTTATTGGTACAAATGACACAAACAAACTTCCTGTGTTCTTGTCCTAGGCTAAATTATCAGGATGTAACTAAGCAGCCATTTTGTCCTGAGATTCTTTTAGTTCTATTAAAGTTTACACACCCTCCAATTTTTATTGTACATGCAAATACCACACAATGAAAATTTTAAGAAAAAATAGGGTTTATGTCATGTAGCTCTCCCTTTTACAGTACCAGCAAAATAGGCACCAAAGAATCTGCGCCGCTCTCCCCTGACCAAATCCTCAAGTCAAGGATGGGAAACAGGGGCTTGAGAGCCATGAGTTTTGTACGCCCATGTTTATAACAGCGTTAGTCACAACAGCTAAAACATGGAAGCAACTCAAGTGTCTGTCAGTGTTTGAGGGATATGCAAAATGTGGTATATACACACAATAGAATATCATTCAGCCATTATAGGAAGAAAATTCTCACATAGGCTAACACACGGATGAAACTTGAGGATATCATGCTAACTGAAATAAGCCAATCACAGAAAGACAAATACTGTATGATTCCACTTGTCTGAGGTATTTATTTAGAGTAGTCAAAATCATAGAGATAGACAGAAGAATGATGGTTAGATGGGGGCTGGGGACAGGAAGGAATAAGGAGTGGCTTAAGAGATACAGAGTTTCCGTTTTGCAAGATGAGTGGTCTGGAGATGGATGGGGGTGATGGTTGCGCAACCTTATGCCACTGGACAGTACATTTAGAAATGATTAAGATTGTAAATTTTATGTTATGTGTATTTTACCATTTTTTAATTGGGAAAAAAATTAAAATTGAAAAGAGGAGCCCTGGGACAAAATTGTTATCTATAATGACTAGCTAGATGGATTGATTCCCTTCCCCCTGCCCCACAGACCTCCCCATTTTGTCAGTAGCAGGTAGCTGAGGCATCTGCTTCAGGTTGGAGAAAAGTGTGGGTTTTTAAGGTGGAGAGGCAGGGCAGGGCCTTTGTGAATGGCATTGTCGAAGCAGTCCAAGGAGCACCCCCTAAGGATGCGGACCTGGCATTCCTCATCCAGTAACACATCTGGTTCCTCCTCCACATCCTTGGAGACAGACCTCACACAAATACAAGACCTAAGCCAACAATTACCACACAGATGAGGAAAACCAATCTCATAAAAGATACATACTCAACTTAATCAACAGAAGTAACTCCCTAGGGAAAAAGGTTACTAGAGCAAACAAAATGAGCCTTTAATAAAAGTAAAATTAATATCCTCAGGAGGATATCGTAACTATAAAAATACAACTATGAAAACAATTTGAGATCTTAGAAATATAAAAATACCACTCACTATTAAAATGAAACTCAGTACCAGGGCTGAGTGATAGAATGGACATGACTGAAGAGCATGTTCACAAAGCTGAAAGATCAAACTGATTACCTTGCCCTAAATGCAGTGCAATGGAATGAATGGGTGGTAAACACAAAATAAAAACTAAGGCTTGAGGGAGAATTCCAGAAGGTCTTGCAACCATCTAACTAGAGTTCCAGGACAGAACAGAAAGTATTGAAAAAATAATAATAAAAGTAATGATAGAAGAATATTTCCAAGAATATCAAAAGACATGAGTCTTCAGATTGAAAGGGACTACTGAAATGTTTTTATTTTTTTCAACCCTGCTCCTTCTGTAAAGACTACTGAAAATTGATCCAGATGAAAACAACCATAGATAAGTTCTTGTGAAATATTAAAGGGTAAGAACAATATCTTCAAAGCCTTCAAAGAAGGAAAATAATTACCTGCAAAAGAGGAAGAATCAGATTGATATTAGATTTTATCATTACAATGCTGGATGCAAAAAGACATTTGAGCCAATTTTCAAAGTAGCAAGTGAAAATAAATTTAAATCTAATTTAAATTTGAATGTGAACAACTCACATATCCACCGTAACAGAATGATTAGATAAGCTATGCTATATCCTTATTGTGGGACATTTTTTGTGACACTATGCAGCAGTTAAATATGCCATCTCTGAAATACATTGTTAGTGAAAAAGCAAGCTACAGAAATATAATATGCCAGACATGGTTCAAGCCATCTCTAAGACACATTGTTAGTGAAAAAACAAGCCGTAGAAATATTTATATATATCAGTCATGGTTCAACTAAAGAAACAAAATCAGTAGGAAATACATGTTAAGAGATTTATTGCAAGGAATATGTGTATCCAACTGTCAGACTGGCTAGGCAGTCTGAGAACCACAGAGCAGGCCATCAGGGAGAGAAGTCTGGAACTGTCAGGCACGAACTGATGCTGCTATCCATAGGCAGAATTCCTTTTTCTTCAGGGAAGACTCAAGTCTGCTCTTAAGAACTTTCAAATGACTGAATCAGGCCCATCCAGATTATCTAGGATCATCTCCCTTACTCAAAATCAACAGAATATGGATTTTAATCACATCTACAAAAATGCCTTTACAGCAACACACCCAGGTTAGTGTTGATTGAATTAGTGGAAACTGTACCTTAGCCAAGTTGACACATAAAACTGACAATCACAATCATATATATATATGCATCATGATCCAGATGCAGTGTGTGTGTGTGTGTAGATAGAGTTTGGGAAAGATTCACATGAAACAGCTAACAATGGTTACTATTCAGGAACAGAGGGAAAACTGGAAAGGAAAGCTCAGGAACACTGAAAATTGAAACAAGAAGTGATCTAGGGCAAAGAGGAGACTCATTTTCTGCTCTTTATAGTTCCAGTTTTTAAACCTTTTTTACCACTAGATCATATAATGAATTACATGTGTTTATGTTTCCAATTTTTAAGCCTTTTTACCACTAGATCATATAATGAATTGCGTGTGTTTGTGTGTGTGTGTGTGTGTGTGTGTGTATTTTTTTAAGAGAAAGGATCTCACCTAGGCTGGAGTACAGTGGCACAATCATAGCTCACTGTAGCCTCTAACTCGTGGGCTCAATCCTCCAGCCCCAGTCTCCCAAGTACCTAGGACTACACACACATACCACCATACCCAGCTAAACCTTTTAATTTTTTTAAGTAGAGACAGGGTCTTGCTATGTTGCCCAGGCTGGTCTGTAACTGCTGGCCTCAAGTGATCCTCCAGCCTCGACTTCCCAAAATACTTGGATTACAGGCGTAAGCCACTGTGCCCAATGCTACATTTTTAGCATCTATAAAAATGTATGTCTAACTCTTGCCAACAAGTGGTTTATAATGAGATTAAAAACATTAGTAACATGCCTGTAAGTCATCTACAATGAGATAAAAACATTAGTAATATGTCTGTAGGTAAAGAATGAGTATAATCCACCAGTTTCAATGCCAACTGATTTTTTTTTTACAGAGCTGTCATTTTATTTATAAGGATATTCTTTTCAGTGTTAATAAAGACACCTAAAGTTCAGTTTAAAAATTAAATAAAAATATATAAATAATAAGAATCTTTTTTTTTCCAGTAAGCCAGGAACCTAGTTGTACCCCTAATGAGTGAGATATATTATCTCTCTTAGGTCACAGGGGACCTGTTTTTTAGCATTCCAATCTAATAGACTTCGAGTGGCCTCCCTAAGCACCTAGCTATAGACAAAGTGGATTAGACAATATGGAAAATCCAGCTCATTAGGACCCAACTACTGAGAACTACGGAGTCTCACCTCATCAGACTTGAGAATTCATCATAACACAGATGCAGAACAAAGGTCATTGTTTCACAAGTAAAGATGGCTCTTTCTTTTGCATTCTGAATGTACACAGTATAATCTCCTTCTTTGATGTTTCTGGTTAATTTACAAGGTCAGCGTTTTCCAAAGGTTACATTCTAGATTTATATGGGTGTCCTGGGGTTGGGCTGCTCGATATACTTCAACTGGTTTCTTACCAGATTTCATCCAAATGCTTCTCCAAGTGTACCCTCTGTGCTTAGACTGTAAAACAAAAGCAAGGCAGGAGGGGGCTAAAAAAACAGTAGAAATGAATCAAGGCATAGATAGAAACATCAAATTAGAGCCCATTCAGAGCTCCGTTTATTTCTCTTTCATATTTATTAATTATTATTATTTTTTTGAGACAGTCTCGCTCTGTCACCCAGGCTGGAGCGCAATGGCACGATCTTGGCTTACTGCAATCTCTGCCTCCTTCTCCCTTCTGAAAGAAAATTTAAAAGTAATCCTATTTATAATAGATAAAATAAATGCCTAAGAATTAATCAAAAAAGTGAAAGAGCTCTACAATGAAAACAATAAAACATCAATGAGAAAAATTGAAGAGGACACAAAAAATGGAAAGATAGTCCATGTTCATTGATTGAAAGAATGAATATTGTTAAAATGTCCATATTACCCAAAGCAATCTACAGATACAATGCAATCCCTATCAAAATATCAATGACATTCTTCACAGAAATAGTAAAAATAATCCTAAAACTTATATGGAACCACAAAAGACCCACAACAGCCAAAGCTATTCTGAGGGAAAAAAACAAAATGAAACTGGTGGAATCATATTACCTGACGTCAAATGTATTACAGAGCTATAGTAGCTGAAATGGCATAGTACTGGCATAAAAACAAACACAAAAACCAATGGAACAGAATAGAGAACCCAGAAACAAATCCATACATCTACATTGAACTCATTTTTGACAGAGGTGCCAAGAACATACGTTAGGGAAGGGACAGTCTCTTTAATAAATGGTGCTGGGAAAACTGGATATCCATATGCAGAAGAATGAAACTAGAACCCTATCTCTTGCCATATACAAAAATCAAATCAAAATGGATTACAGACATAAAACTAAGACCTCAAACTATAAAACCACTAAAAAGAAACTTTGAGGAAACTCTCCAGGACGCTGGACTCAGCAAAGATTTCTTGAGTAATACCCCCAGTCACAAGCAACCAAAGCAAAAATTTGACAAATGGGATCACATCAAGTTAAAAAGCTTCTGCACAGCAAAGGAAACAATCAATGATGTGAAGAGACAACCCAAAAAATGGGAGAAAATATTTGCAAACTATCCATCTGACAAGGGATTAATAACAAGAATATATAGGAATATACATAAGAATATATATATCAAGAATGCATTGGTCAACTCAGTAGGAAAAAAATATAATCCGATTAGAAAATGGGCAAAAGATCTCAATAGACATTTCTTAAAAGAAGACATTCAAATGGAAAAGATGCTCTGTATCATCGATCATTAGAGAAATGCAAATTAAAACTACAATGAGATATAATCCCACCAGAGTTAAAATGGCTCATATCCAAGGCCAGATGTAGTGGCTCATGCCTATAATCCCAACACTTTGGGAGACTGAGGTGGTCAGATCACTTGAAGTTGGGAGTTCAAGACCAGCCTGGCCAACATGGCGAAACCCCATCTCTACTAAAAATACAAAAAAAAATTAGCTGGGCACGGTGGTGTGTGCCTGTAGTCCCAGCTACTCAGGGGACCGAGGCAGGAGAATTGCTAGAATCTGGGAGGCAGAGGTTGCAGTGAGCCAAGATCACGCCACTGCACTCCAGCCTGGGCAACACTGCAAGACTTCATCTCAAAATAAAAATAAAAATAAAAATAAAATAAAATGGCTTATATCCAAAGACAGGCAACAACAAATGCTGGAAGGATGTGGAGAAAGGGGAACCCACATACACTGTTGGTGGGAATGTAAATTAGTGCAATCACAATGCAAAACAGTTGGAGGTTCCTCAAAAAACTAAAAATAGAGCTACCATATGATTAAGTAATCCCACTGCTGTGTATATACCCAAAAGAAAGGAAATCAGTATATCAAAGAGATATCTGCGCTCTGATGTTTATTGAAGCACTATTCACAATAGTCAAGATTTGGAATTAGCCTGTGTCCATCAACCGATGAATGAATAAAGAAAACATGGTACATATTTTACAAAATGAAGTACTATTCAGCCATAAAAATGAATGAGTTCCTGTCATTTACAACAACATGGGTGGAACTGGAAGACATGATATTAAGTGAAATAAGCCAGGCACAGAAAGACAAACTTCACATATTCTCACCTATTTGTGAGAGCTCAAAGTTAAAACAATTGAACTCATGGAGATAGACGGTAAAATGATAATTACCTGAGGCTAGAAAGGGTGGTGAGGCAGGGTGAGAGTGGGGATGGCTAGTGGGTACAAAAATATAGTTAGGTAGAATAAATAAAATCTAGTATTTGGCAGCAAAGCAGGGTGCCTACAGTCAACAATAATTTATTGTACATTTAAAAATAACTAAAAGAGTATAATTGGATTGTTTGTAACACAAAGAAAGGATAAATGCTTGAGGTGATGGATACCCCATTTACCCTAATATGACTATTGCACATTGTATGCCTATATAAAAATATCTCATGTACTCCATAAATATGTACACCTACTATGTATCCACAAAAATTAAAAATTAAAATATTAAGGCCGGGTGCAGTGGCTCACACCTGTAATTTCAGCACTTCGGGAGGTCGAGGCGGGCGGATCACCTGAGGTCAGGGGTTCAGCACCAGCCTGGCCAACGTGAAGAAACCCCATCTCTACTAAAAATACAAAAATTAGCCAGGCATGGTAGCATATGGGGCCTGTAAACCCAGCTACTCGGGAAGCTGAGGCAGGAGAATTGCTTGAACCCGAGAGGTAGAGGTTGCAGTAAGCTGAGATCATGCCACTGCACTCCAGCCTGGATGACAGAGACTCTGTCTCAAAAAAAAATTAAAATATTAAAATGGCAGATTAACTATAAAGAAATGGCCATCACATGGGTAGCAAAGCACATACAGAAATAAGCAAAAATGAATGCTAAAAGATCACGGAGAAATATCTTCAATGTACCTAAAGTAAAGAACTCTGAGACTAAACTTCTACATATAATAAACTATCATTGAAGGAGGAAGATCATTAAACAAATACACAGATATTAAAAAAACAAAGTTTATGCCTCAATGACATCTGCAAAGAAACTACTGAAGAATGGGCATCAGCCACAAAACTGATTCAAGGAGGAGGGAGGGAAATGCAATGGTGAGCAAATCAATTTGAAAACATATTGCTGAACTAAAGTATTAACTGTGAAAAAAATAACCGCAATAGTGTTCATGTATGTGTTTAAAAAATCAAAATGGAATTAAAATTCTAAACAATAGTAACCAAAAGTTGAGTGTTTCAGCAAGTAATAAAATACTATAAATATTTTTGTTCTTTTTAGAAGGTAACAGAATTATCCAACAAAAGGAGCAAAGAATAATATCTAACAAAAGGAGCAAAGAATAAAAATTTTAAAAGTAGGTGGGGATAAAAGCATGGTAGACAATACAAAACTGGATAACAGAAATAAACCCAAAAATAAATTATAGGCTGGGCGTGGTGGCTCATGCCTATAATCCCAGCACTTTGGGAGCTGAGACGGGGGGAATCACTGGAGCCCAAGAGTTCAACACAAGCCAAGGCAACATAGTGAGACTATGTCTCTACAAAAAATAGAAAAAAATTAAAAAAGAATTAGCCTGGTGTGGTGGCAGAAACCTGTAGTTCCAGTTACTCAGGAGGCTCAGATGGGAGGATAAGTTGAGCCTGGGAGATCGAGGCGCTGCAGCAAGCTACGATAGCACCACTGCACTCCAGCCTGAGTGACAGAGCGAAACCCTGTCTGTCTCAAAAAGTTCAAATGGGTTTAAAACATCTATTAGGAGACAAACTGAATTAAATTAGAAATCTTTCTACTTTAAAATAACTCATGGGTTAAAGAAGAAACATCTAATAAAATTATTAAATTTTTGAAACATTAGGACACTATACATCAAAACATGTAGAATGAAGTTAGTCTGGTATGTAAGTGAAAATTTATAGTTTTAAATGCATTTATTATAAAACAAAAAGCAGATAATATAAGAAGTTAGAAAAAGAACACAGAAAATTGGAGAAAGAAAATAAAGGCAAAGTAGAAACAGAAAGATCAAAGAATTTTAAAACAGAGTGAAACTCTAAAATTAAAACCTGTTTCTCCTGAAAAAGTAGTAAGTATAAAAAGCTTCAAAAGCTTTATTAGAGAAAGAAGACAGTAGACACAAATTTATACTAAGAATAGAAAAAGGGTCTCAAAGTACAGATAAAGAACATACGTTTAATCTTAATCAATAAAATATGACAATTAATTTGAAAACAAATGACATAAATGCATTTTTAGAAAAATATAAATTACCAAAGTTGGCTGAAGAAGAAATAAAAAACCTGATTTGCCCTATACTATCAAAGAAATTGAACTGGTTGTTAAAATTTCCCATTCCTTACAGAGACAGGTTTTAGACCATTAAAAAAAAAAAAATTCCATTCCTTAAAGGCACTAGACCCTGATAATTCCACAGAAGAGATTGAGCAATCTTTCAAGTAACAGGTTGTCCTTATCTTATAAAAACTCTTGTGGAAAATAAAAAGGAGAAGTGAGGCAACTTTTTAATAACATTGTTACTTACCCACATTAAATAATAAAATAAAATTGTAGGCCAATCTCACCTAAAAACATGGATGCAGAAATGCTATATAAACTATTAGTAAATTGAATCCACATTGTATTTTCACATATAGGGTTTTCTAGCATCCTTCGAGGTCAGAAAACATAATAACACCATTTACCAAATACACAGATTGAAGGAGGAAATCATATGATCTTCCCAATGTATCACACAGATGATCTGATAAAATTTAACTCATTCATGATTAAAAGAAAAAAATTGTAGAAAATTTTCCTTACCTTGATAAATGTATAAAACAAACAAAAAACCCACCTTAATCTTAATGTTGAAAATATTTCAAATAATAACAGCTAACAAACACATAGCCCTTATTGAATTTCACATGTTTGAAATAATTTCACATTTTAAATAACTTGGTCTTGGTAACAACCTCATGAGCTACATATCCTCTTCTCCATTTGATAGTTGGAGAAATTGCAAGAGAGTGAGATTCCGTAACTTGCCTCAAGTCATAGAAATAGGAAGAGGTACATCTGAGATTTGAACACCTTGGCCCGAGTCCATGTTTTTAACCAGGATGTCATAAAACCTTGGAGCACATCCCAAACCTCTGAATTCCCATTGCCCATGGGAATGAACTCAGGTATCTCCTGGATTTGGGCTCCCTCTGGGAACATCACTCTGGTTTCCTCTCTGAGATTTCTTCAGATTCTAGTCACTCTCCGTGATTTACCTTTTATATAGTTCAATCTCAAAGAGCAGTCGAGTCTAATTTATCTTATTTTCCTTTTTGTATGTTGAGTGTGGCTTTCAAGATCTCATTTGTCCTTTTCTGCCTAGTTTGAGCTTCAAAACTGTAACACTTCTATTAAAGAAATCTCTATTTTTCGTTACCTTAAGCAGTCCCCAGTTTGTCTTCTGCTGATTCCTGGGGCATCTTTTTTTTTTTTTTTGGTATCACTATACTACAGGAAATTAAAGATTCATTTCATTGTATAAAAAGGAATTTAATGAAAGTCAAAAACAATGTAAATGCTTCTAAGAGTTTTACAATCAGCATTGTGAACCTCACCACCAAGTCAATAGGAGCCTGCATTCTCTTGCTTCCAAGCAAGCAAATCCCAAATGCATGTGTCATACTTGCTAATGCCCTACTAGACCAAGCGTCACATGGCCAAGCCAGAGCCAATGTGGGAGGGAACCACAAAAGGTCATATATGTTGGGATCCATGATTCAGTGGAGGCCATCAATGAGTCTACCACCTGCCCATAACATTATATGCATTTTAACAATATGCTTCCCCTGTATTCATAGACTATATTCATGGTCATTTCCTGCTGCTGTGGACTTTAGTTCCTCCTTCAGTTTCTTTCGTAATTGTTCACATATCAGTTTTAGATCCTCTCCTCAATATCTGATACAACTTACTGAATCTTTAGATTTTTTAACCTATAAAAAGAAAATTGAGTGATTTTATAATGTTCTGTGGCAGACTATTATAAAAGTGAAGAAAAATTTTTATAGGAGATTTTATATCATTTAAATTCCCAACAAGAAAGGAAGGGAGAAAAAGCTGAAGATGGGGCAGACGAGAAGATGCAAAGACAACTTGTATTTCCGTTAGAACAGAGGCATCTGAACAGATCCTAGAAGACCTATTTATCACAGAATCCATTTCAGCCATTATACGTGCCATATTTTGTTTGTTTGTTTGTTTTTATAAACAGAGATGGGGTTTCACCATGTTGCCCAGGGTAGTCTCGAATTCCTGAGCTCAAGCGATCCACCCACCTTGGCCTCCCAAAGTGCTGGGATTACAGGTATGAACCACCATGACTGGCCTATACCCGCCTATTTTAATTATATAATTTCAGGAGCTATGGGAAAGCAAGCAGCAACAGCTAAGTAGTGAGAATAGGGGATACTGACATAAGAAAACATTCTTATCTTTGCAACTGATGCCTTTACCCTCACCCCATCTTGGCTAACAGTGGAGTGTTCTCTAAGTACTGAATGCTGGGATGAGTAAGACACAGCCCTTGTCTCTGAGTTGCTCATAATCAAGCGTAGTGTAAGAGACAGCTAATCCATAACTAAAGTATAATTTTAAAAGAGACGTAGTTACTAGTGGGCAATTTTACTTTATTTATGTCAAGTTTGGTTTAGCTGACCTAAGGGAATGGGACTTAGATAGAGAAAGCAGGGAACAGAAAATTACGGAACACGAGGGCTGCTTGGGAAGAAATGGAGGAAAATGGAATCTGCATATGGCAGGAGATAAAGGAAGGAGAGATAACTTAGCACCAAGTGATGCTTTACTTGATTAACTTTATCTGAACTGAATATGGGTAACTAAGAGAATAAACAAGTTTTTCATTTCTAAGCTATGTTCTTGAATTACCAAATACCCTCACCCTTCTCATGCAGAAAATATTTTCTGGCCTATAGAGAAGCCCATCCTGAAAAGTGGACATCATTCCCAGATTAGAGGCCAGAAGGGTTGGCTGAAATTGAGAGGAAGAACCCGAACAGACATGTTCACCAGAAGCCATGTAGCTTCTAGGCCATGTTACGGCTGCACCCGCAGCAGAGTCTAGAGCTCTGAAACCAACAGGAAAGGGTTGCACAACTCAAACACAGCAGAGGGGCTCATAGAACATTTGGCCTGATTTTATTTTCTACACATTTTAAGAAAGCCAAATTCCTTCTATAGAATGATACAAAAAAACCAGTAAGAAAGTAACAAATGGTGGTCTTTTTCAACTGACTTACTAAACCCACACAAGCATAAGTAATCTGGATATCTGGATTACTAAAATAAAATAATCAGAATAGATCATCTAAAGTCAGGAGAGTAGATTGAACCAGATCCTGAAACATACATGTTTTACTATAAAATTTAGTACTTTGTAGTGACTGATTTGTTGAGTAATTGTAGACATTTAGTTGCTGTGTTTTGAAGGGGTAGAAAAATCTGCTGATGTGTAATAAAGAAATACCATAAGACCTGGCACGGTGGCTGGGGCCTGTAATAGCAGCACCTTGGGAGGCCAAGGCAGCAGGATTGTTTGAGTCCAGACGTTTGAGACCAGCCTGAGCTACATGGCATGACAACATCTCTAAAAAAGTTTTTTTTTTTTTTTTTAGATAGCCGGGTGTGGTAGCATGCGCCTGTAGTTCCATCTACTCTGAAGGCTGAGGAAGGAGGATCACTTGAACCCAGGAGTTGGAGGCTGTAATGAGCCATGATCATGCCACTATGCTCCAGCCTGTGTGACAGAAAGACCCTATTTCAAAAAAGAAAGAGAGAGAGAGAGAGAGAAAGGAGGAAAAGAAAGAAAGAGAGAGAGAGGAAAGGAAGGAAGGAAGGAAAGAGAGAGAAGGAAAGAAAGAAAGAAAGAAAGAAAGAAAGAAAGAAAGAAAGAAAGAAAAGAAAAGAAAAGAAAAGAAAGAGAAAGAGAGAAGGAGGGAAGGAAGGAAGGAGAGGAAAGAGAGAAAGAAAGAGAGAGAGAGAAAAAGAGAGAGAAAGAGAGAAAAGAAAGAGAAGGAGGGAAGGAAGGAAGGAGAGGAAAGAAAGAAAGAGAGAAAGAGATAAAGAAAGAAAGGAAAGAGAGAGAAAGAAAGAGAGAGAAGGAAGGAAGGAAGGAAGGGGAAGGGAAGGAAGGAAGGGGAAGGGAAGGGAAGGGGGGGAGGAGGAGGAGCAGGAGGAGAAGGAAAGAAGAAGGGAGGAAGGAAGGAAGGAAGAAAGGAAGGAAGGAAGGAAGGAAGGACCATAAATACCCGGTGAGCCTGGGTTTAGACTTGCTCCATTGCATATTACTGGTGAATTCCTGCACTCTGACATTTCATCTGAAATGCTTAGGAGAGCAGCTGAGCCATTCTCTCCTTAACATGGATATGGTCCAAGAAATGGAATTCACAAACTGATTACTCTATCTACCAACTTTAAATGTGATCCAGCTGCTACTAGGTTTATAGCTCATGAATGATAAACTCAAGAGACAGCTATAACTAGGACTTGGAACATGCAAAGATGAAAGACGAAAGGGATTCTCAGTCTAATGTACCATATTTATTTTAAAATAGAAAACCGATGCCATCTTGTGGTTAGTTTAATAAGGTCACGCAACTAAAATTCTGGAAAGCCAACAAACAAAAGATCCTCTTCCTTTCTCCTTTAAAATATTGTTAAAGATATTTCCCCTGGACTTTTAGACACATTTCTCTTACAATCTGGAGATTTCGTTAAAATGCTGCATCTACCCACATGAAAACACAATTAGTATTAAACTATTAATGCTAATTAAGTGATTGCTAACCACGGAAAAAGCACCAAGCAATTTTCATAATTCTAGAAAGTACACATGACCTGCCTTTCAATAACTGAGTTCAGTGCATGTTAAAAGGTAGGATTTTCATTAAAATGGTGACATAGGAACTGCAGAATACACCAAAGAAATTGAACAAAAAGGGACAAGCTTACAAAAATGCTGGAGACGGGAGGTGGTACCATTCATATCTTACAAATTTTGGAGAGTTTCTTTCAGATAGAATTCAGAGGAAATCAGATTTAAAAAATGATCCCATGGACTACTCAACTACTCATAATTAATTGCTGGGATAAATGGTGCAGGCAAGTCCTCTAAACATGACTAGATAGATGCATTTGTTTTATTCACAGATTCCTAATATCATTAAAAGAATGTATATATCAGTCCTTGAAAGTATGCTCTCTTAGCCAAAATTACCAGCATAAGAATGGTAACTTACATATGTGAATACAAAATACATTAAATGAAAAAGGAAATACTGTTAACCAATATATTCCTCTGAAATGAGAAAGAAAATAACAAAATGTATCCTTGTGACACCTGTAGACGTATGCATGGCTTGCATGTGGAAGTTGTGGATGAGGATAGAGAATGACTTGGGTATAAGATTTTCCAAATACAATTTGACTAAATCAAACAGACCCCAGGTTCTTCAGCTCTTGGACTCTGGGACTTGCCCCAGTGGCTCCTAGGGCAGTGTGGGAGGATGTTCCTCGGGCCTTCGGCCAGACTGCAGACTGCACTGTTGACTTTCCTGGTTTTGAGGCTTTCAGACGTGGACTGAGCCACTACCAGCTTTTCTCTCTCCCCAGCTTGCAGACGGCCTATCATGGTACTTCACCTTGTAATTCCATGAGCCAATTCTCCCTAATAAACCTCCTTTTTATTTACTTTTTTTTTTTTTGTTAATTTTAATTTTTTTGAGACAGAGTCTCAATCTGTCACCCAGGCTGGAGTGCAGTGGCTCACTGCAACCTCTGCCTCCTGGGTTCAAGCAATTCTTCTACATCAGCCTCCCAAGTAGCTGAGACTACAGGCCGGCACCACCGCACCTGGCTAATTTTTCTATTTTTAGTAGAGATGGGGTTTCACCATGTTGACCAGGCTGATCTCGAACTCCTGACCTCAAGCGATCCACCTGCCTCAGCCTCCCAAAGTGCTGGGATTACAGGGATGATCCACCGCAACTGGCCCAAACCCCCTTTTACATATACATATATCCTATTGTTTCTCTCCCTCTGGAGAACCCTAATAGAATAACCTATCCCTTGATCCAGTAAACTAGACTTACTCTTCTTGCCTCAGATCAGTTATTACCTCAGCAAAATTAGTTTAACATCTTCAGTTCTTGTACTGGGATCACCTTCAAATCTAAAGATAACACATGCAGTACAATCTCCATTGATGACTAAAAGCACTGCACCTCCAGCCAGTTGGTTAACTACTTAACAATAGGATTCCTTTCCCCTCATAGTTCTTTTTTTAATTATTTTTATTTTTATTTTTATTTTATTTTATTTTTTGAGATGGAGTTTCGCTCTTATTGCCCAGGCTGGAGTGCAATGGTCACTGCAACCTCCGCCTCCTGGGTTCAAGCGATTCTCCTGCCTCAGCCTCCCGAGTCGCTGGGATTAAAGGCACCCGCCACCATGCCCAGCTAAATTTTGTATTTTTAGTAAAGATGGGGTTTCACCATGTTGGCCAGGCTGGTCTCAAACTCCTAATCTTAGGTGATCAGCCTGCCTTGGCCTCCCAAAGTGCTGGGATTACAGGCATGAGCCACTGCACCCTGCCGAGTAAAATCCATTAATAGGAACTTTCAGAAAGAGGGAGGGAGAGGCTGGATGCGGTGGCTCATTCCTGTAATTTCAGCACTTTGGGAACTGAGGTGGATGGATCATTTGAGGTCAGGACCAGCCTGGCCAACATGGCCAAACCCCGTCTCAAAAAATAAAAAAATAACAACAAAAAAACAGAAAGAGGGAGGGAAAATATATATATATTCCATATGTATATATTCCATATATATTCCATATGTATGTATATTCCATATGTGTATTCCATATGTATGTATATTCCATATGTATATATTCCATATGTATGTATATTCCGTATGTATATATTCCATGTGTATATTCCGTATGTATGTATATTCCATATGTATATATTCCATATGTATGTATATTCCATATGTATATATTCCGTATGTATGTATATTCCATATGTATATATTCCGTATGTATGTATATTCCATATGTATATATTCCGTATGTATGTATATTCCATATGTATATATTCCGTATGTATGTATATTCCATATGTATATATTCCGTATGTATGTATATTCCATATGTATATATTCCGTATGTATGTATATTCCATATGTATATACTCCGTATGTATGTATATTCCATATGTATATACTCCGTATGTATGTATATTCCGTATGTATATATTCCGTATGTATGTATATTCCGTATGTGTATATTCCGTATGTATGTATATTCCGTATGTATGTATATTCCGTATGCATATATTCCGTATGTATATATTCCGTATGTATATATTCCGTATGTATATATTCCGTATGTATATATTCCGTATGTATATATTCCATATATATCTTCCAGATATACACATATATGTGTGTATATATACATATATGTATATTCCATATACATATACATGTATATATATGTATATTCCATATACATATACATGTATATATATGTATATTCCATATACATATACATGTATATATATGTATATTCCATATACATGTATATATATGTATATTCCATATACATATACATGTATATATATATGTATATTCCATATACATATACATGTATATATGTATATTCCATATACATACACATGTATATATATTACGTATACATATACATGTATATATATTCCATATACATATACATGTATATATATTCCATATACATATACATGTATATATATTACGTATACATATACATGTATATATTACATATACATGTATATATATTCCATATACATGTATATATATTCCATATACATATACATGTATATATATTCCATATACATATACATGTATATATATTCCATATACATATACATGTTTATATATTCCATATGTACATATATGTGTGTATATATGTGTATATATGTGTGTATATATATGTGTGTGTATATATATGTGTGTGTATATGTGTGTGTATATATATATATGGAATTAGAATGAGATTCATATCAGGCTTCCTATCAGCAATGCTGGAAGAAAACAATGCAGGAAGATGATAGAGTAATATCTCTAAAGTTTTGATAGACAAAAATATTGACCCCCAAATGTGATAACAGACAAATAATCATTCAAATGAGCTACAAAATGCTACAGTGAGCTAAGTGATTAGGATATATTTTATTGCTTAAAACTAAATAGGTTTGGGTTTTTTTTTTTCACGGAAAAAACATAATTTATAATTTTAAGGAATAATCCCAATTTTCTCTTTTTCCCGTGTTTTTTTTAATTGATGCATAATAGAAGTCCATAGTTTTGGGGTACATGTGAAAATTTAATACATTCATATAATTTGTAAAGATCAAATCAATGTACTTGGGATATTTATCACCTAAAATATCTGTCATTTCTTTATGCTGAAACTATTCAAACTCATCTCTTCTAGCTATGTTGAAATATCCAATAGATTACTGTAAACTATAGTAACCCTACTGATCTATCTAACACTAGGTTTTATTTCTTCTTTTCTTTTTTCTTTTTTTCAGATGGAGTCTCACTCTGTCACGCAGGCTGGAGTGCAGTGGCGCAATCTCGGCTCATTGCAACCTTGGCCTCCCAGGTTCAAGCGATTTGTAGTTCTAGTAGCTAATTTTTGTATTTCTAGCAGAGACAGGGTTTCACCATGTTGGCCAGGCTGGTCTCGAACTTCTGACCTCAAGTGATCCACCCACCTCGGCCTCCCAAAGTGCTGGGATTACAGCCACCACGCCTGACCTAGGTTTTATTTCTTCTATCAAACCATATATTTGTACTCATCAAACAACTTCTCTTCATCCCCTCTCCTGCTACCCTTCCCGGCTTCTGGTAACTACCAATCTACTAGGTCTTTTTTGTTTTTGTTTTTTGTTGTTGTTGTTGTTTTTTTAATAGCAAAACCAGGAACACAAATCCCAGATATGATCAATATGGGCGGTAGCTGTGAAGGAAAAGGATGCTGGGGAAATGCAGAGGAGGAGTAAAGAGGTTTTTTGAATGTATTAGATTTCTTATATCAACTAGAGCACATATATATATTCCTGATATTGTTTCAAAAAGATAACCTTAAGAATCTTTGTAAAATCTAAGAGTCATAAACAGGCTGGGTGCAATGGTTCACACCTGTAATCCCAACACTTTGGGAGGCCAAGGCAGGAGGATGGCTTAAGCCCAGGAGTTAGAGACTAGCCTGGTCAACCTCCACATCCTGACTAAAAATTAAAATAATAATAATAATAACAAAGTAATAGAAAGAGTTATAAGTAGACTAACAAAAGTAGAATTATAATTTACAATCCATTAAAAGAAAAAATTGAACAAAGAAAACTGGCAATCCCATCCCCTTGCCTTCACCTGGGTCTGGTGCTCCTGAACCCAGGCATCCTTAGCTTGACTGCTTCAAGGGAAGATATTGTTTCCTACCGGGATAGAGGAGGAGCAGTCATCTGACTACAGAGGCTGTGGATGAGTAACCTGATGGTCTAATCTTTACACAGACTTTCAACCCATTCTACATTTAGCTTTCTACCTGGCACTGTTTTTCAGAGGTACCTGGTGCTTTCATTCCTGAGCCTTACCAGTTTCTGGCAGGATCATCGTTCACTGCAGCCTTCTGGCACAATCATAGCTCACTGCAGCTTTGAATTCCTGGGTTCAAGTGATCCTCTGTCCTCAGCCTCCCAAGTAGCTAGGACTACAGACACATGCCACCATGTTTGGCTAATTAAAAAAAAATTTTTTTTTTGTAGAGACAAGTCTCACTATGTTGTCCAGTTTCGTCTGGAACTCCTGGCCTCAAGCTATCCTCCTGCCTTTGCCTCCCAAAGCGCTCGGATTATAGGCAATATTTCTTATCTTTATCTGCTCTTCTAGGTCAGCTGCTACAGCTGATAGCTCTCATTTTCTGTTGTCTTCTCTCTCAATTCCTTATTCTTATGGGTTTACACTTACATAGTTCCCGAAGGGAGCTCACAGAGGCATGTACATATCTAACAGCCTTCTCTGCAGCTAGAGAATACCTGCAGCCAATAATTCCCTGGGCTTATGTTTATCATTCCTAACCTCACTTTTGCTGAGTGAGCCCATGCCAAAACGAACCCATGCCAAAAATGTCAACATTCCTAGTGAACTTAGAGAAACTTAAAAGTCAGCCTTAAGGAAATATTAAATATAAACTGGAGAAAAGCAAATATATAAAAGTAATTAAAAAGATGATAATAGATACAGAAGATAATGTATGTAATTCAGCATTTCTATAACTGGGGTTGCTAAAGAAAAGAATCTAATAAACATTTCTTTATCCAAGCCCTCAGAAAACCCTCAGGAAAGAATTCAAAAACAAAATTGGAAAAGAAAAGTTTATTAAATAAATGAAGACTTGAATATTCACATTGAAAAGGAGAAATTGACAAATGCAACATATGCTAATGAAGGTACTGATTTTCAAACATAAATAAAGACTACTGTGGACAACCAGCCAGAAAAAGGGTAGTGGGGAGGCACCTACAAAGGGAGAGATAGGGGAATGATGTCATACAAAAACACTGAAGGCCAGGAGACAGTGAAGCAATGTCTACAAAATTCTCTTAGAAAGTAAAAGAAGACTACACACATATCTTCAAAGATACAAGATGCAAAGAGATGTAAGTCCTTATTTTTAAAAAACTAAAACTTCTTGGCAATTAAATCAGTTCAGCTAATAAATAAATCAAAATTAAGACCTCAGAAATAGAGAAGTCATGGTAAAGGAGCTTACAGAAAATATTGAATCCATTAAAAATAGAGCTACAGATGTAAGCAGCTGCAAGAATTTTGGCTACAGAATAGAATGTAAGCTGAATAAATTATAACAATGTAAAACACAATGGTATTTTTCACCAAACTCAGTGGTTGGTGGGGAAAAGGACAGAAAAGAAGAAACTTCTCTACTTTCAGGTTAGAAAGTCCAAAGTCAAAAAATCATGAAGTACATGTTTAAGAATATCATTTAAAATTTATTAATTTTTCAACAATATTTATTGGGTACCTGATATGTCCAGGCTTTTTTCTAGGTACTGAAGATATAAAATATAAACCACAATTAGAGACTTAAAACCAAACATAACTGAAATGTCAGTAAATATAAACAGAATAAATTATTAAAAGATAATCATTCTTAGATTGAGTAAAAAGCGAATCATCTTCTATTAGTCGGGATAGGCTAGGTAATAGTAATGCTACAGGAAGAACAAAAAAACAACATTTCAGCAACCTAACAAAAGTTCAATTCTTGTTCCATATAATGTTTAGGCTGACTTCTATTCTGTGCAATGGCTAAGAATTCCAGGCTGCCTCTATCTTATAGCACCTCCACCTCAACATAAAGCATTAGATTAGGACACAGAGAATTAGAACAGTGGCTCTGAAGTGTGTTGGACTGAAAGTAATACACAAAGCTTTTCATTATAACTCATTAGTCAGAGCTAGTCACATGACACTAGAGACTGGGAAATAATATTTTCCTTGTGTTTAAAAGGGAAAAGACAAGTAGAAATGCTAGTACGCACTAGTAATATTTATCCTACTCCTGTATGATGTATACAAAAAGCACATCAGGAATAAACAGACAAAAAAAGATTAAAGAAAATGTGGTCAAAAATAAACAAGGCAAATGAAAACCTAAAGATGTATGTATGTCTGTGTTTAAATACTGGGTTAATTTCCTTTAGAGTTATAGAACTATCAAAGTTTCTCATTTCTATTTGCATTTGTTTTGTTAGGTTTTATATTTCCAGATTTCTATAAATTTCCCCAAAGTTTTGGCTTTTTAATTTAAGTCTTTAACTGATTAGGAATTTATCTTTATATGAAATATTATGTAAACTATTGTTTACCTATGTTAAATTGTTGTTATAATTAATGCTATTAATTGTTATGTTATAATTAATGTATAATAATTGTTATGTGAACAATTTAACATAAACAATAGTTTAACATTAGGAAAATCCATACCTATAAGTTAACTATTGTCCAACATTATGTGCATTCTCGAATTGTTGGTGAAGAGTACTAGAAATACCTAATAAGTCAAGTTTGTTAACTACATTCTTTTACACCAGCAAGTATTTTCTGGCAGATATTAGAATTTTCCTGTAAGTTGAACTATTTGTCATTATGTAGTCATCTCTTTATCTCTAATAATTACTTTTTATTGCATTTTATATATATTTTTCCTGAGAATAATCTACATACTTCAACTTTCTCTTGGTTAGTATTTATTCACTAGATATTTTTCTATTTCTCTTCATTTTTTGATTGTTGATTGACAAAGTATAGAAACACAATTGATTTTTTTTAATATTGATCTTGAATCCTGCAACACTGTTGAATTCATTTATTGGTTCTAATTGTGTGTGTGTGTGTATGTGTGTGCAAAATTCTTAGGATTTTCTACATATAAGATCATGTCATCTGCAAATAGAGATGCTTTTACTTTTTCTGTTCCAATCTGGATGCCTTTTGTTTCTTTTGCAATTTCTCTTCTTAATTCTGTCCACTTTTGCATTACATATTTTTAGTCTATTTGGTTAGTTACATAAAAGTTCAAAATAGTTATAACTTTTTGCTATATGAATGTTGCATTATAAATTTTTAAATACTTTCATTATCATACTTCTTAAATTATTAACATCTTTTATCATTATCTTTTAGCATATAATTTACTAATATGATATCTTGATTGGTCATAAGATTTTTCTAGCTTTCTTTTTTTACAAATTCATTAGGTCATCAAAATATATACCTTTAGTAACTTCATTATCAAATAACATAATTGAAAGCTAATATTTGCCAACATCTTAATAAATGCAATATCATAAACAATTTTAATGATTTTTAACCTTGAGAAAGATCTTAATGATAAGTGTTGCTGGAGTTGCTAGGAGTATTTTATAGGTCATGACAACATTTGGATATATTTATCATAAATTGTTTTGAAATACAAGTTTTAGTACAACTAGAACTAATGACTCTTGTAATTTTTCTTACAGCATTTACCTTGTAATACAAATCAGTTCCATGTACATCTGAGTTTAATTTTAAATTTATACAATAGAATGTTAATGTTTCCTCTGAAATTTCCTGTAACTTATGGAGGTTGTGTAAAATATTAAAAGTGTCTTTTTGATTTGTATATATTTCAAAATATCTATGTACTCATTCTATTACTGTATCTTCAATTATAAGAAAAAATTAATTTCAATATTGTCCTAATTAATAATTGGTTTATCCAAAACTTCATTCGAAAATAGTGTTATTTCCTGTTGAATGCAAAAATCTTTCAAGTCTAATTTTTGTTTCTAAGCCTGTAGAGATTTGCCTTGTAATGTTGCAGCAGTGTCAAAACCAGAGGTTCTAACTTATTTGAAGAATTCTAACTCCTTGATATGCTTTATTGAAATGTCCACGTGAGGACTTTTTTTTTTTTTTTTTTGAGACGGAGTCTGGCTCTGACACCCAGGCTGGATTGCAGTGGCGCGATCTCGGCTCACTGCATCCTCTGCCTCCCGGGTTCAAGTGATTCTCCTGCCTCAGCCTCCTGAGTAGCTGGAATTACAAGCATGCACCACTAGGCCTGGCTAATTTTTGTGTTTTTAGTAGAGATGGGGTTTCGCCATGTTTGCCAGGCTGGTCTCGAACTCTTGACCTCAAATGATCTGCCCGCCTTGGCCTCCCAGTGTTGGGATTACAGGCGTGAGCCACTGTGCCCGGCCTGAATGCTTTTATTTGGTAATAATTTACTGACAAAGGTTACCGCCTGAGCACCAGCAGTTTCTGCCTCCACACAGATTTGCAAGTAAATATATGCAGCTGTCACAGGAATAAGCTCCGGGGACACACCAGCAAGTCAGCTTCCTCCACAGTTGCTACTACTTCTACTGCTGTTCCTGCTGCCACCACGAATCTGGCCCAGATCCTGGTCCTAGCTGCTCCCTTGGGACCCTGTGGCACCCCTGACTCCCCTTGGCATGCATGTGTGCACCAGGCACCCAAGTCTACAGTTTAGTACACACACTGTTTCATACCAGCCATGCCCATGGAACTGAGCAGCACACGCACACACTGCCGTTGGATACATGTCTTATGCTTCATTCACTCATTAGACTTCACTTTGAATACATAAGTTCAAAGATAAAAATATTCAGAATTTCAAGTCAGCAACAGCAGAGCATTAAGTAAAGGGTGGGGCCCATCTGAGAATGGACCACCAAGCCCGCCCAGACCCCCAGAGTTGTCCCACATCATTGTTCCTATTTGGTATTGCCAGTCTTTTTCATTTTAGCCATCTACTGAAGGTGGGCTGGTAACTCACTGTGTTCTTAATTATTTCCCCGATGACTTTTTAATGTGCTTTTTGATCATTCATTTATGTTCTTTTTGTGAAGAGCTTTGTCAAAGCCCTTTGCTCATTTTTATTGGGTTGTTGGTAACTTTTTTTTTTTGTTGAGAGAGGGTCTTGCTCTGTTGCTAATGCAATGGCACAATCATAGCTCACTGTAACCTGGAACTCCTGGGCTCAAGACCCTCCTGCCTCAGCCACCAAGTACCAAGGACTACAGGTATGCACCACCATAAAAGGACTACAGGCAGGCACCACCATACGAGCTAATTTTTAATAATTTTTTATAGAGATAGGATCTTGCTATGTTGCCCAGACTGGTCTCAAACTCCTAGCCTCAGGCAATCCTCCCGCCTGGGCCTCACAATGCCTAGTTGTTTGTAATTTTCAAGTTTTTTATATAACCTGAATACAAGGCCTTTTTCAAATATGCATATTAAAAATTATTTCTCCACTTTGGGAGGCCAAGGCAGGTGGATCACGGGTCAGGAGATCGAGACCATCCTGGCTAACATGGTGAAACCCCATTTCTACTAAAAATACAAAAAATTAGCTGGCCATGGTGGCGGGCACCTGTAGTCTCAGCTACTCGGGAGGCTGAGGCAGGAGAATGGCGTGAACCTGGGAGGCAGAGCTTGCAGTGAGTGGAGATCGTGCCATTGCACTCCAGCCTGGGTGACAGAGCGAGACTCTGTCTCAAAAAAAAAAAAATTATTTATCCCACTCAGGGGCTTTCCTATGCATTTTCTTAATGGTGCTTTTTGATGAGCAGAAATTTTTAGTTTATAGAGTCCAATTCATTAATTTTTCCTTTTATGGTTAATGGTTTGTGTGTTCTACCTAAGAAACTGCTGCCTACTCCAAAGTGACCAAAAAACGAATCTTTATTTTCATCTCAAAGCTTAAGAGTTTTAATTTTTACATTTGGGTCTATGATCCACCATGAATACATTTTTACATCTCCTAGAAAGTGTGGATACAGGTTTATTTTCCTCCCAAAACAGTTACTCAGTTGTTCCAGCATCATTTGTGGAAAGACTATCCTTTCGCTATAGGATTAAGTTGGCAACTTTGTCAAAAAATTCCGTTGATCATTTATATGTGCTTCTACTTCTATGCCATTGATTTGTTTGCCCATTCTAAGGCCAATATCACACTGCCTTGATTACTGAAATGTTATATTAGTTTTCTTAAATTCAGTTGTGTAGATTGGTCAAAAATTACATTTTTTTTCTTTTCCAAATTGTCTTGGTTATTCCAGGTCCTTTGTATTTACTTTCTAATTTTAGAATCACTTGTCAATACCTCCAAAGCCAGCTGGGATCTTGAATATATTGTAATAAATCTACAGATCAATTTGGGGAAAATGGATATCTTAGCAATATTGAGTTTTCTAAACCATTAGCATCATTTATCTCTCCATTTACTTAGGTATTCTTTAGTTTCTCTGAGATATTTTGTGCTCTTCAGTAGACATATTCTTGAATATTTTATTTTTGTACCATTAAAAATAACATTAATCTTAAATCCCTCTCCAATTTTTTTCTAGTACAAAAAATATAATTGATTTTGGTATAACTACCTTACGTTGTGTAACCTCGTTATTCTCATTTATTAGCTCTTACAAATTTTTATGATTTCTTTAGCACTTTAATCTACACAATTATAATCTTTATCTCTTGTCTTAATGCACTGACTAAAACATTCAATAAATTGTTTAAAAACAAAGAGCAAACATAATTGCCTTGTTCCCAACTTCAGAGGGAACATGTTCAATATTTCATCAGTAAGTATAATGATTATTTACAAGTTTTTTATAGAGGTCTCCTATCAGATTGAGGAAGCTCCTTTCTAGTCCTAGTTTGCTCAAATGTTGTATCATGAATGAGTACTGAATTTTGTCAATGATTTCTGTTCATCTATTAGGATTGTTGTGTCATTTTTCTCTTTTAGTTAATGTGGTAATTCAACCTGAATGGTCTTTAAATATTACACCAAACTGAAATTCCTTGAATAATTCACATTGGTAATGGGATATTATTTTCATATACTGCTATTTTTCATTTGTTAATATTTTGTCAACTATATTTATTCCTATGATCGTGATGGATATTGGTCTGCAATTCCCTGTTTTTATAATGTCTTTCTCAGATTTTGAGATCAGGGTTATGCTACCCTCAGGAAATGAGCTGGTGTTACTCATCCTGTCTTCTGAAATAGATGATTTATGGTTTACATAATTTCTTCATTGTTTCTTCCTTAAGTGCTTGGTAGAATTTAGCAATGAATCAATTTGGACCTGGAGTTTTCTTTCCGGAATGATTTTTTTTTCAAATTCATTTTCTTTCACAAATATAAGGCTATTCAGATATTATATTTCTTCTTGCTTCAGTTTTAGTACGTCTTTTCTCATAAGGAATTTACCCATTTCAGCTATGAGGTGAATTGATTACTTTATTATAATTTTAATGTCTCTAGATTCTCTAGTGGCATGCCCTCTTTAATTCTTGATGTTGCTAATTTGTATCATATCTCTTTTATTTTTATCAGTGCAGCCATGGGCTTACAAAGTTTATTAAATTTTTCAAAGGATTAACTTTCAGTTTTATCAATTTTCTCTATTATTTTTCTATTTGCTAATTCACTGATTTATCCTCTTATATTTATTTCTTCTCATTTTGTACTTAATTTGGGTTTAATTTTCACTTTTTTTTTTACCCTTTTAGGGTGGTAGCTTAAGTAATTGATTTTACACCTTTTTATTTTTCTAACATAATTTTCAAAGCTATGAATTTCCTTCTAAACACTGCTTTAGCTTCATCCATAAATTTTGATATAGCCAGCATTCATTATCATTTATTACAAAATATGTTCTTTCCTTTGTTATATCTTTTTTGGCCTACAACTCAAACAATGTTTATATTCTCTTCACTTTTTAATGATAAATTTACCAGATATATAATTCTAGGTGGAAAGGTATTTTTTTCTTTCTTTCAGCATTTTAAGATTTCATTGCAATTGTCTTCTTACTACAGTATTTGAATATAAGTCAGCCTTCATTCTTAGTTTGTTTTATCCAATGTAAAAATGTCTTTTTTTTTCTCTCTCTCTCTCTAGCTGACTTAAGACTTTATCTTTTGTTTCCAGTCATTTGACTATGATGTGCCTAAGTGTGGTCCTCTTTGTATTTAAAATGCTTGGGTTTCTTGCAGCTTCTAGGATCTGTGGCTTGATTTTTTCCCATCATATTTGGAAATTTTTCTGCCTTTATTTCTTAAAATGTTTTTATGCCACTTTTCTCTCTTCTCTCCATCTGGGACTCAACTACAAATATGACCTTGAATTTATTTTAGTTGGTGCATAAAATTATCTGCAATTTTATTTAAATTTGTATCTTTTGGTAGTTAATTTGAATCTGTTGACACCTTCAATGGAACCTTCTTTATGCAGCCTATTTTATTGAGAAAATACTCTCTCTAGAGACGTTGAGATTCCTGGTGAACTCAAGAAGAATCTGCTATGTGAATTTTGCTCTTTTTTTTTTTTTTACTGAAATCTTAAAATACTTAAGTACAATTATTTTCATTGTTTATTATCATTATTTCAGGGTTCGCCAGAGAAATAGAACCAAGGTTCACCAGAGGAACAGAACAGTGTGTTTAAACACACACACACACACACACACACACACACACACACACACACACTCACATGGAGAGGGAGGGAGGGAGAAAAGGAGGAAGGGAAAGAAAGAGAGAGACTTGAAGGTACTGGCTTACACGTTTGTGGGGGCTGTAAATCCAAAATGTATGTCCGATTGGCAGGCTGAAAACTCTTGGGCAGGAGCTGATGTTATTTACATGCAGTCTTGAGACAGTATTTTTTTCTTTTTCTGGGAAACATCAGTTTTGTTCTTAAGGCCCTTCAACTGATTTGATGAGGTCCACTTTCATGATAGAGGGTAACTCCTTTACTTAAAGTCAACTGATTGTAGGTGTTAATAACACCTACAAAATATCTTCAAAAATAAAATAAATATATAGAGTATCTTCATAGCAACACCTAGATAATTCTTTGATTAAATTACTGGGCACTATAGCCTAGCCAAATTGACACAACAAACTAACCATAAGTTATCATAGTCTACTCCCTCATCAACTTGGCACCCATACACATTTCCTTAAACCATACATAATCTCCATATAAAGATAATTTAAAAGTTTTAATTCTGATGTGCTGCTGGATTCGGTTTGCCAGTATTTTATTTAGGATTTTTGCATCAATGTTCATCAAGGATATTGATCTAAAATTCTCTTTTTTGGTTGTGTCTCTGCCCAGCTTTGGTATCAGGATGATGCTGGCCTCATAAAATGAGTTAGGGAGGAATCCCTCTTTTTCTATTGATTGGAATAGTTTCAGAAGGAATGGTACCAGTTCCTCCTTGTACCTCTGGTAGAATTCGGCTGTGAATCCTGGACTCTTTTTGGTTGGTAAGCTATTGATTATTGCCACAATTTCAGATCCTGTTATTGGTCTATTCAGAGATTCAACTTCTTCCTGGTTTAGTCTTGGGAGAGTGTATGTGTCGAGGAATTTATCCATTTCTTCTAGATTTTCTAGTTTATTTGCATAGAGGTGTTTGTAGTATTCTCTGATGGTAGTTTGTATTTCTGTGGGATCGGTGGTGATATCCCCTTTATCATTTTTTATTGCGTCTATTTGATTCTTCTCTCTTTTTTTCTTTATTAGTCTTGCTAGCGGCCTATCAATTTTGTTGATCCTTTCAAAAAACCAGCTCCTGGATTCATTAATTTTTTGAAGGGTTTTTTGTGTCTCTATCTCCTTCAGTTCTGCTCTGATTTTAGTTATTTCTTGCCTTCTGCTAGCTTTTGAATGTGTTTGCTCTTGCTTTTCTAGTTCTTTTAATTGTGATGTTAGGGTGTCAGTTTTGGATCTTTCCTGCTTTCTCTTGTGGGCATTTAGTGCTATAAATTTCCCTCTACACACTGCTTTGAATATGTCCCAGAGATTCTGGTATGTTTTGTCTTTGTTCTCGTTGGTTTCAAAGAACATCTTTATTTCTGCCTTCATTTTGTTATGTACCCAGTAGTCATTCAGGAGTAGGTTGTTCAGTTTCCATGTAGTTGAGCAGTTTTGAGTGAGTTTCTTAATCCTGAGTTCTAGTTTGATGGCACTGTGGTCTGAGATACAGTTTGTTATAATTTCTGTTCTTTTACATTTGCTGAGGAGAGCTTTACTTCCAACTATGTGGTCAATTTTGGAATAGGTGTGGTGTGGTGCTGGAAAAAAATGTATATTCTGTTGATTTGGGGTGGAGAGTTCTGTAGATGTCTATTAGGTCTGCTTGGTGCAGAGCTGAGTTCAATTCCTGGGTATGCTTGTTGACTTTCTGTCTCGTTGAAAAAAAAAAAAAGTTTTAATTCCACCTAACCTGACACAACTATCCTGGATGCAACTGAAGATGCACCCGCATTTTCCCCAGCAAAGTATACAAAGTCCTTGGGTAATATTCATGTTAATTCTTCTCTTTAAATACTGTGATGTAAAATTAACTATAATTAATATATCTTATCTTACAGGGGGATAAAAGAGGAAAAATATAAAAACTCCTAATAATTGCAGTCTTGGTTTCTGCAACTGGTCGTATATTTGTAGGTAGTATTTATAACTACCTTCTTCCACTACCCATTCCATAGTTTCTGTGCCCTAAGCAAGCACCTCAGCTTGCTTGTGGTTCTTTGCATAGCAGAAAAACCCAAACCTTTATTGCTGAAGGGTCTAGGCCAGCTGTGTCCAACCCTTTGAACATGAGGACTTTTTTGCTTATCTGTAGTGGTGGATATCATGAAAATTTTGCACAGACTTTTTTTTTTTAATAGCTCATCAGCTACTGTTAATGTTAGTGTATGGCCCAAGACAATTCTTCTTCTTCCAATGTGGCCCAGGGAAGCCAAAAGGCTGGAGACCCATGGTCTAGGCCATTAGTAGTTCTGCCTGAATTGGACTGTTGTAGTTTTCCATTGACTTTAATCACAGGGATTATAATACTAACAGACATGCTATAGGATCTTCTGCATTCCATACATACTCTTCCTTACCTCCATTATGTAGCAGCACTCCAATTTCTCCTTGGTAATCAGGATCAGTCCTTCCAGGCAGTACAGTAACTTCCTTGGCTGCCTGTTAATTCAGAGGCATCAGGAGTCTAAAGTGGCCAAGTGGAAGTCTGAACTTCCATCTCAATGAAATCATTGTTGTGTCTCCAGGTGGAAGCATACCTTTATAATTGAGACTCTAGACCAGCAGAACATAAAGTTGTGCAGACAAGAAAAAAATAGTGTGCATCAGTAAGGGTAATAGTAATGGCAAGTGACACTCCTATTTCCACTCCTTGATTCCTAGACCTATGAATCCTGGATATAGGAGAAAAAGTACCATATGTTGGATACTGATTTAGAGTATATGTGGCATCCTGGAGGACATTTCCCCAGATCTGCAATGTAGTGTCATCTAGCTGAAGCCGAGACTTCATAAGTCATTCCACTGTTCTATCAATCTACCTGCCTCAAAATGATAGGAAACAGTTACTATAATTTGATGAGCATGGGCCCATTTCCACTCTTCATTTGCTCTGGAGTTCCTTGAGCAGAAGCAATGCTACATGTAATGTCATGATAGTGAAAAAGGCATTTTGCAAATCCACAGATGGTAGTTTTGCCAGAAGTATGGTGTGTAGGGAAGACAAATCCGTATCTACAGTGTCTATTCCAGTAAGAATAAAAGTCCACCCCTTCCAAGATAAAAGCAGTCCAATGTAATCAAACTGACACCAAGTAGATAGTTGATCATTCCAGGGAATGGCTCCATATCAGGGACTCAGTGTTGGTCTCTGCTACAGGCCGATTGGGCACTGAGCAATAGCTGTAGCCATATCAGCCTTGGTGAGTGGAAGTCGATGTTGCTGAGCACATGCATAACCTCCATCTCTGCTACATAGCCACTTTGTTCATGAGCCCATTGGGGGATGATAGGGTTGGCTGAGGAGGAAAGTAAGCCGACTACTATCCACAGAATAGGCCATCTTATCCACTTGATTTTAAATATCCTCCTCTGTGCAGTTTACCCTTTGGTGAGCATTTACATGGAACACAAATACCTTCATTTTTTCCCCACTCAGAAAGGCTTATCTTTCCACAAGACATACGTCTTTCCCAGATGTCCCTGCCACCAATTTTTTCACTTCTGTTCCTTACAAGTACCTGACCATCCAGCCAAACCACTGGCCACAGTCCGTGTATCAATATATACTCATACCTCTAACCATCTCTCCTTCAAGCAAAATTAACAGCCAAATGCGCTCTGGGAGGACCTCCCTTCACTGCTGTCCCTCAGGGATGTCCTAGAAAGGGACTGTAGTGCTGTAGCTATCCACTTGTGGGTAGTGCTTGCACATAGTGCAGAACCACCTATAAACTAAGCCCTAGTTTTCTCTTCCTCAGTCAACTATCATAGGGAATTCCCCATGAAATCATAAGGGTGGGCTGGGGCAGAGAAGGTAATGTAGCAGGAGCAAGGACGATGGGCATTTGGGCCACTTCATGTAATTTACTGTGCCTTCAGAGCCTCCTCAAGCCAGATCCTGTATATATCACTGTTGTATGATGATGGAGTATTGCTCTGCACACCCAAGTTTATGGTTTGTTGGCTCAGACAACACTCAGGTTGTAAGAGTCAGTTCAGATCACATGGTAGCCCATGGTTAAGCATTCAGTTTCTAAGGCCCAGTAGATAGACAAAAGCTGTTTCTCAAAAGGAGGGTAGTTATCCACTGAGGATGGCAGGGCTTACCTCCAAAATTGTAAGGTTCTGCACTGTGATTCACCTATAGAAGCCTTACAAAGGCTACAGATAGCATCTCTATATGCCAGTGGTGCTCAGATCTCCTAGATCATACAGCTCAAGTGGCAGAGCAGCTTGTATGTCTGGACCTGCTGCAGAACCCTTCTCTTAACCAGGTCCCACTCAAAACCAGCAGTCGGGCTGGGCGCAGTGGCTTACGCCTGTAATCCCAGCACTTTGGGAGGCCGAGACAGGTGGATCATCTGAGGTCCGGAGTTCGAGACCAACTTGACCAACATAGCGAAACCCCATCACTACTAAAAATACAAATTAGCCAGGCGTGGTAGTGCATGCCTGTAACCCAAGCTACTAGGGAGGCTGAGGCAGGAGAATCGTTTGAACCCAGGAGGCAGAGGTTGCAATGAGCAGAGATCATGCCATTGCCCTCCAGCCTGGGCAACAAGAGCGAAACTTCATCTCATCATCATCAACAACAACAACAACAACAACAACAACAACAAAAACTAGCAGTTTTTCAGGTCACTTGGCAAATGTGCCAGAGTAGCATATCCAAATGAAAAATATGTCGCCTCTATCAGCGACGGCCACTAGGCATTGTACCTCATTTTTAGCTATAGGAAGAGACAGATGCAATCATTTATCCACAGAAATTTCACAGCTGTGGAAGTCCCAGTATTTTTGTGGGATCTATTTTCCATCCTCTTTGTTGTTGTTTTGAGATGGAGTCTCACTGCTGTCAGCCTGGGCTGGAGAGCAATAGCGCGATCTTGGCTCACTGCAACATCAGCCTCCCAGGTTCCAGTAATTCTCCTGCCTCAGCCTCCCAAGTAGCTGAGATTACAGGCACCTGCCAGCACACCCAGCTAATTGTTTGCATTTTTAGTAGAGACGGGTTTCACCATGTTGGCCAGGCTGGTCTCGAATTCCTGACCTCAGGTGATCTACCTGACTCGCTTCCCAAAGTGCTGGGATTATAGGTGTGAGTCACTGTGCCCGGCCCTCTTTGTTTTTAGGTAGATGGGGTCTCACTATGTTGATCAGGCTGGTCTTAAACTCCTGGCCATAAGCAATCCTCCCACCTTGACCTCCCAAATTGTTGGGATCACAGGCATGAGCCACCCTGCCCAGCCTATTTTCCACATTCTGACATAAAAATGTCTTACCAGTAAGTTAAGATTAGTTATAACTTCTTGCTCATTAAGTCCAGTCAGCATAATGTCATCAGTGTAATGAACCAGTGTGACGTCTTGTGGAATGGAAAGGCAAACAAAGTCCATGCAGACTCAATAATGATACAAGGCAGGACAGTTATATACCTCTGAGGTAGGACAGTAAAGGTATACTGCTGGCATTGTCAGCTAAAGCAAAACAACTTCTGGTGATATTTACTATAAAGTACGGAGGGGAAAAAAAAGCACTTGTTCAAGCAATAAAGTCACATCTGAAACAACAGCTGCAATTGGAATCACCACTGGTTAAGTTTACATCCTAAGTACATGCAGTCCTGGTGGCTTCCACTTGGCCTTTCCCACCATAATGGCCCTCACTCCACAGGTCAAGGAACCAATGTGGGAATTCTGCCAGTTGCTGAGTATTTCTTCCAATTATGCCCTCTGGAACTGGGGAAATAACAACAATATTGATCCAGAGACACGCTGAACACACTGTGAGATGTCTAAAATTCTATTGATCACCTGACCTCCGTAAGACAAAACTCTGACTGGTGGACCACAGTGAAATTTTGGGTCCTGTCAGTTCAGAGATAGTGTCCATTAATCCCCACAAAATACAATTTTTTCCTTTTGCCAAATGCACAGTCACCTAGTAAATGGCTTTAGTCTCCTGTGGGAAAGATAGGAGAAAGATTAACAGCACAAATTTTTGGCAGTTAAATCCTTTATCAAGGAGACCCAGCCTCCCATTCATCTAAAGGGTTCTGGGTCTACAAACTGGATCAAGTCTGGAAATTGATTGAGTGGCTGCAGCTCTCTATTTTGATGATTCAAGTTAAACTTCTGTATACTTGACCTAAAATTCTTCCACATATACAGTAAAATTTAGTAAAATTTCATAGTCTACACATGTATTTCTCTTGTAGAGACACCATAATCAAGTAGCCAATGCTAGATGGTTGGGTCTCTGCAATGGGTTTCTGCAAGTTAGAATATTCTTATTACTGTTTTGATTCTGGTAACCACACCCACCTTGTCTTTGGCAATTAAGTGTCACCGCATGACTTCTGTCACCCTAGGACTCAATTATCCCCATTTCAGTGGCAGAAGTTCCCACTGTAATTTCCAGCTTATAAAGAAAAGTGAACACAGAGATCTTCAAGGATGCTGGACCTTTTTCACAAATTCAATCCTCACAAATTTGGTGAAAGATGTGTCCTCTAGTCCTCTTGCTCTTGGTGGATATGCAAGTTTGACATAATGAACCCACCCTAACATTCTAATCCAGTATATATAACCTCATCTGCAATATATCAAGGCAGTTCTAGCATTTCGATTTCATTTAGTGTGGGCCAATTTTTGGTCCATGTTTCAGCCAACCAGCCAATCAAACTGTTAAAGCCCTTTCTAACGCTTTGAGATTCAACATTGAATCCAGAATCTCTGTTTAGTAAATCCATATCAGTAAATTCAGCCTGACCCAACTGTATTTTCTTTCCACCATTATCTCACAGCTTTAATATCCATTGCCACACATATTCCCCAAATTTCTATCGGTATAAACTGGAAAAATCATGTGGTCCTTTTGGTGTGTAACATTACTCTTCATGGTTTACAGTTTGTACCCAACCCACTGGGAACAACTAGGACTTAATTAAGTCTATGTATATGCCTAAAATCAAAAGGGGTATCTGGGATAAGTTTTGAGAATAATCAACAGTATCTTGCAAGGAAACAACCTCCAGGAAAACCATTACAGATTCCTTAGGAAAATCAGCTTAACTTATTCAGACAGGGGTAGGAAGGCTGCTTCTATTGGTAAAAAAGATTCAGCAGAATATAGGAGTTTAAAGACCCCAGCCAACTTCATCAGCATCTTCCTATATATCCCCATTCGAATTTTCAGGATCCCATTCCTAACTAATCAATGTCTGCACTTTAACAGAAGACACCTTGCAAAGCTGGAAATTCAATTTGCATTGTAATTTAGCCACTCGCAGAATGAAACTCTGGGTTTGGTTTTCAGAAATCTCAGTCCTACAGATACTGGAGATAAGGGTTTCCTTAAGGACAGACATTAAAACTTTCAGTTCCTTTAGGAAGGGCTTGAGCTGAGAATGTGAAGCTCTGAGATCATCCTTTTCTTTCCCCACTTTCTCCAGTGCAGTTAGGAGCAACTAGTCAACTGTATTATACTAGTTAAACTAATATGTTTTAAGGTATCAAATACATGGTCATGCAGGACATTGCCTTTCATAAGCATGTGTTTAAGAGTAACCAATGATAATATTTTGCGTATCTACTGCCACCTCACAGCATGGTCTATTAATACCCTCTTTACCACTGGAAATACAGTCATTTGTGCCTTTAAATATAATCAGATTAGAGAACCATTCCAGAAAACTCAAACTCAATTAATAAAACTCAACCTTAAGACTCTATTTCTACGGAATAACTCTTGCTACCAATATATCTATCTATCTATATATATATATAGATAGGTTAGAGTCCTGCGAGAAACAGAACCAGTAGGATTCTCTCTAACATCTATCTATCTGGCATATTTCAAGGAATTGGCTGTTAGAATTGTGGGGGCTGACAAGACCAACATCTGTATGGCAGGCCAGTAAGCTAGAAACTCCTGGGCAGGAGCTGATGTCAGTCTGGAGTTAGAACTTTTTCTTTCTGGGGGAAATCTTGTGTTTGCTGTTAAGGCAATTCAATTGATTGGATGAGACTCATCCATATTATAAAGGATAACTACTTTATTTAAAGCGAACTGATTGCAAATGTTAATAATCTTCACAAGTTATCTTCACAGCAACATCTAGATGACTGGGTATTGTATTGATTAATTAAATGATTGGGTATTGTAGTCCAGACAAATGGACATGACAAATTAACCATCACACATAGGTACTGTCTTTTTTTTTATTACTAAAGTTTTAGGGTACATGTGCACAACGTGCAGGTTTGTTACATATATATACATGTACCATGTTGGTGTGCTGCACCCATTAACTCGTCATTTACATTAGGTATATCTCCTAATGCTATCCCTCCCCCCCACCCCACAACAGGCCCCAGTGTGTGATGTTCCCCTTCCTATGTCCATGTGTTCTCATTGTTCAATTCCCACCTATGAGTGAGAACATGCGGTGTTTGGTTTTTTGTCCTTGCAATAGTTTGCTGAGAATGATGGTTTCCAGCTTCATCCATGTCCCTACAAAGGACATGAACTCATCATTTTTTATGGCTGCATAGTATTCCATGGTGTATATGTGCCACATTTTCTTAACCCAGTATATCATTGTTGGACATTTGGGTTGGTTCCAAGTCTTTGCTATTGTGAATGTGCCGCAATAAACATACGTGTGCATGTGTCTTTATAGCAGCATGATTTATAATCATTTGGGTATATACCCAGTAATGGGATTGCTGGGTCATATGGTATTTCTAGTTCTAGATCCCTGAGAAATCACCACACTGACTTCCACAATGGTTGAGCTAGTTTACAGTCCCACCAACAGTGTAAAAGTGTTCCTATTTCTCCACATCCTCTCCAGCATCTCTTGTTCCCTGACTTTTTAATGATCGCCATTCTAACTGGTGTAAGACGGTATCTCATAGTGGTTTTGCTTTCCATTTCTCTGATGGCCAGTGATGATGAGCATTTTTTCATGTGTCTGTTGGCTGCATAAATGTCTTATTTTGAGAAGTGTCTGTTCATATACTTTGCCCACTTGTTGATGGGGCTGCTTGTTTTTTTCTTGTAAATTTGTTTGAGTTCTTTGTAGATTCTGGATATTAGCCCTTTGTCAGATGAGTAGAGATTGCAAAAATTTTCTCTCATTCTGTAGGTTGCCTGTTCACTCTGATGGTAGTTTCTTTTGCTGTGCAGAAGCTCTTTAGTTTAATTAGATCCCATTTGTCAATTTTCGCTTTTGTTGCCATTGCTTTTGGTGTTTTAGACATGAAGTCCTTGCCCATGCCTATGTCCTGAATGGTATTGCCTAGGTTTTCTTCTAGGGTTTTTTATGGTTTTAGGTCTAACATGTAAGTCTTTAATCCATCTTGAATTAACTTTTGTATAAGATGTAAGGAAGGGATCCAGTTTCAGCTTTCTATATATGGCTAGCCAGTTTTCCCAGCACCATTTATTAAATAGGGAATCCTTTCCCCATTTCTTGTTTTTGTCAGGTTTGTCAAAGATCAGATAGTTGGAGATATGTGGTATTATTTCTGAGGGCTCTGTTCTGTTCCATTAGTCTATATATCTGTTTTGGTACTATTATCATGGTGTTTTGGTTATTGTAGCCTTGTAGTATAGTTTGAAGTCAGGTAGCATGATGCCTCCAGCTTTGTTCTTTTGGCCTAGGATTGACTTGGCAATGTGGGCTCTTTTTTGGTTCCATATGAACTTTAAAGTAGTTTTTTCCAATTCTGTGAAGAAAGTCATGGTAGCTTGACGGGGATGGCATTGAATCTACAAATTACCTTGGGCAGTATGGCCATTTTCACGATATTGATTCTTCCTATCCATGAGCATGGAATGTTTTTCCATTTGTTTGTATCCTCTTTTATTTCATTGAGCAATGGTTTGTAGTTCTCCTTGAAGAGGTGCTTCACATCCCTTGTAAGTTGGATTCCTAGGTATTTTATTCTCTTTGAAGCAATTGTGAATGGGAGTTCACTCATGATTTGGCTCTCTGTTTGTCTGTTATTGGTGTATAAGAATGCTTGTGATTTTTGCACATTGATTTTGTATCCTGAGACTTTGCTGAAGTTGCTTATCAGCTTAAGGAGATTTTGGACTGAGATAATGGGGTTTTCTAGATACACAATCATGTCATCTGCAAACAGGGACAATTTGACTTCCTCTTTTCCTAATTGAATCCCTTTATTTCTTTCTCCTGCCTGATTGCCCTGGCCAGAACTTCCAACACTACGTTGAATAGGAGTGGTGAGAGAGGGCATCCTTGTCTTGTGCCAGTTTTCAAAGGGAATGCTTCCAGTTTTTCTCCATTCAGTATGATATTGGCTGTGGGTTTGTCATAGATAACTCTTATTATTTTGAGATACGTCCCATCAATACCTAATTTATTGAGAGTTTTTAGCTTGAAGGGTTGTTGAATTTTGTCAAAGGCCTTTTCTGCATCTATTGAGATGATCGTGTGGTTTTTGTCTTTGGTTCTGTTTATATGCTGGATTACGTTTATTGATTTGCATATGTTGGACCAGACTTGCATCCCAGGGATGAAGCCTACTTGATCATGGTGGATAAGCTTTTTGAGGTGCTGCTGGATTCGGTTTACCAGTATTTTATTGAGGATTTTTGCATCTATGTTCATCAGGGATGTTGGTCTAAAATTCTCTTTTTTTGTTGTATCTCTGCCAGGCTTTGGTATCAGGATGATGCTGGCCTCATAAAATGAGTTAGGGAGGATTTCCTCTTTTTCTATTGATTGGAATAGTTTCAGAAGGAATGGTACCAGCTCCTCCTTGTACCTCTGGTAGAATTCGGATGTGAATCCATCTGGTCCTGGACTTTTTTTGGTTGGTAAGCTCTTAATTATTGCCTCAATTTCAAAGCCTGTTATTGGTCTATTCAGAGATTCAGCTTCTTCCTGGTTTAGTCTTGGGAGGGTGTATGTGTCAAGGAATTTATCCATTTCTTCTAGATTTTCAAGTTTATTTGCATAGAGATGTTTACAGTATTATCTGATGGTAGTTTGTATTTCTGTGGGATTGGTGGTGATATCCCCTTTATCATTTTTTATTGCCTCTATTTGATTCTTCTCTCTTTTCTTCATTAGTCTTGCTAGTGGTCTATCAATTTTGTTGATCTTTTCGAAAAACCAGCTCCTGGATTCATTGATTTTTTGAAGGGTTTTTTGTGTCTCTATCTCCTTCAGTTCTGCTCTGATTTTAGTTATTTCTTGCCTTTTGCTAGCTTTGGAATGTGATTGCTCTTGCTTCTCTAGTTCTTTTAATTGTGATGTTAGGGTGTCAATTTTAGATCTCTCCTGCTTTCTCTTGTGGGCATTTAGTGCTATAAATTTCCCTCTACACACTGCTTTAAATGTGTCCCAGAGATTCTGGTATGTTGTGTCTTTGTTCTCGTTGGTTTCAAAGAACATCTTTATTTCTGCCTTCATTTCCTTACGTACCCAGTAGTCATTCAGGAGCAGGTTGTTCAGTTTCCATGTAGTTGAGCAGTTTTGAGTGAGTTTCTTAATCCTGAGTTCTAGTTTGATTGCACTGTGGTCTGAGATAGTTTGTTATAATTTCTGTTCTTTTACATTTGCTGAGGAGTGCTTTACTTCCAACTATGTGGTCAGTTTTGGAGTAAGTGCGGTGTGGTGCTGAGAAGAATGTATATTCTGTTGATTTGGGGTGGAGAGTTCTGTAGATGTCTATTAGGTCTGCTTGGTGCAGAGCTGAGTTCAATTCCTGGATATCCTTGTTAACTTTCCGTCTCGTTGATCTGTCTAATGTTGACGGTGGGGTGTTAAAGTCTCCCATTATTATTGTGTGGGAGTCCAAGTCTCTTTGTAGGTCTCTAAGGACTTGCTTTATGAATCTGGGTGCTCCTGTATTGGGTGCATATATATTTAGGATAGTTAGCTCTTCTTGTTGAATTGATCCCTTTACCATTATGTAATGGCCTTCTTTGTCTCTTTTGATCTTTCTTGGTTTAAAGTCTGTTTTTTCAGAGACTAGGATTGCAACCCCTGCCTTTTTTTGTTTTCCATTTGCTTGGTAGATCTTCCTCCATCCCTTTATTTTGAGCCTATGTGTGTCTCTGCATGTGAGATGGGCTTCCTGAAAACAGCAGACTGATGGATCTTGACTCTTTATCCAATTTGCCAGTCTGTGTCTTTTAATTGGAGCATTTAGCCCATTTACATTTAAGGTTAGTATTGTTATGTGTGAATTTGATCCTGTCATTATGATGTTAGCTGGTTATCTTGCTCGTTAGTTGATGCAGTTTCTTCCTAGCTTCGATGGTCTTTACAATTTGGCATGTTTTTGCAGTGGCTGGTACCAGTTGTTCCTTTCCATGTTTAGCGCTTCCTTCAGGAGCTCTTTTAGGGCAGGCCTGGTGGTGACAAAATCTCTCAGCATTTGCTTGTCTGTAAAGGATTTTATTTCTCCTTCACTTATGAAGCTTAATTTGGCTGGATATGAAATTCTGGGTTGAGAATTCTTTTCTTTAAGAATGTTGAATATTGGCCCCCACTCTCTTCTGGCTTGTAGAGTTTCTGCCGAGAGATCAGCTGTTAGTCTGATGGGCTTCCCTTTGTGGGTAACCCGACCTTTCTCTCTGGCTGCCCTTAACATTTCTTCCTTCATTTCAACTTTAGTGAATCTGACAATTATGTGTCTTGGAGTTGCTGTTCTCAAGGAGTATCTTTGTGGCATTCTCTGTATTTCCTGAATTCGAATGTTGGCCTGCCTTGCTAGTTTGGGGAAGTTTTTCTGGATAATATCCTCAAGAGTGTTTTCCAACTTGGTTCCATTCTCCCCGTCACTTTCAGGTACACCAGTCGGACGTAGATTTGGTCTTTTCACATAGTCCCATGTTTCTTGGAGGCTTTGTTCATTTATTTTTATTCTTTTTTCTCTAAACTTCTCACTTCATTTCATTCATTTGATCTTCCATCACTGATAACCTTTCTTCCAGTTGATCGAATTGGCTACTGAAGCTTGTGCATTCATCACGTAGTTCTTGTGCCATGGTTTTCAGCTCCATCACGTCCTTTAAGGACTTCTCTGCATTGGTTATTCTAGTTAGCCATTCGTCTAATCTTTTTTCAAGGTTTTTAACTTCTTTGCGATGGTTCGAACTTCCTCCTTTAGCTCAGAGAAGTTTCATCGTCTGAAGCCTTCTTCTCTCAACTCGTCAAAGTCATTCTCTGTCCAGCTTTGTTCTGTTGCTGGTGAGGAGCTGCGTTCCTTTGGAGGAGGAGAGGTGCTCTGATTTTTAGAATTTTCAGTTTTTCTGCTCTGTTTTTTCCCCATCTTTGTGGTTTTATCTACCTTTGGTCTTTGATGATGGTGACATACAGATGGGGTTTTGGTGTGGATGTCCTTTCTGTTTGTTAGTTTTCCTTCTAACAGTCAGGACCCTCAGCTGCAGCTCTGTTGGAGTTTGCTGGAGGTGCACTCCAGATCCTGTTTGCCTGGGTATCAGCAGTGGAGGCTGCAAAACAGTGAATATTGGTGAACAGCAAATGTTGCTGCCTGATCATTCCTCTGGAAGTTTTGTCTCAGAGGAGTACCCCACTGTGTGAGGTGTCAGTCTGCCCCTACTGGGGCGTGCCTCCCAGTTAGGCTACTTGGGGGTCAGGGACCCACTTGAGGAGACAGTCTGTCCATTCTCAGAGCTCAAGCTGTGTGCTGGGAGAACCACTACTCTCTTCAAAGCTGTCAGACAGGGACATTTAAGTCTGCAGAGGTGTCTGTTGCCTTTTGTTTGGCTATGCCCTGCCCCCAGACGTGCAGTCTACAGAGGCAGGCAGGCCTCCTTGAGCTGTGGTGGGCTCCACCCAGTTCGAGCTTCCTGGCCGCTTTGTTTACCTACTCAAGCCTCAGCAATGGCGGGCTCCCCTCCCCCAGCCTCACTGCCACCTTGCAGTTTGATCTTAGACTGCTGTGCTAGCAATGAGCAAGGCTCCGTGGGCGTAGGACCCTCCAAGCCAGGCGCGGGATATAATCTCCTGGTGTGCCGTTTGCTAAGACCGTCGGAAAAGCGCAGTATTAGGGTGGGAGTGACCCGATTTTCCAGGTGCCATCTGTCACCCCTTTCCTTGGCTAGGAAAGGGAATTCCCTGACCCCTTGCACTTCCCAGATGAGGCGATGCCTCGCCCTGCTTCAGCTCACGCTTGGTGCACTGCACCCACTGTCCTGCACCCACTGTCCGACAGTCCCCAGTGAGATGAACCCGGTACCTCAGTTGGAAATGCAGAAATCATTCGTCTTCTGCATCGCTCACGCTGAGAGCTGTAGACTGGAGCTGTTCCTATTCGGCCATCTTGGAACCGCGCTGGTACTGTCTTCTTTACTTCATTCAGAGTATCATTCTTAAGAAACACTTGATAAAGCAAAACAAATAAAATAAGTAATCTCTAGTTCTAATTATCTTGAATGTTTTGCCAAACCAAATGAGATGCTGCAAAATAGGCATTTTCAATATTCCTTTCATTACAGAATATATATTTGTCCAAATAAAAATAGAAGCTTCAGACAGTTTCACTCTCATTGCCCAGGCTGGAGTACAGTGGCATGATCTCAGCTAGCTGCAACCTCCGCCTCCCGGATTCAAGCAATTCTCTTGCTTCAGCCTCCCAAGTAGCTGGGGTTACAGGTGTGCACCTCCATGCCCAGCTAATCTTGTATTTTTAATAGAGGCCAGGTTTCACCATATTGTTCAGGCTGCCCTCAAACTCCTGACCTAAAGTGATCCACCCACCTCAGCCTCCCAAGGTGCTGGGATTACAGGCGTGAGCCGCCATGCCCAGCCCAAAAATAATTCTTCTTACAAGTTCACATTCAAAAACACAATTATAAAATTTCTAATTTAAATCTTGTACAGTGTTTTATTCTCATAGCATATATTCACTTCCTTCCTCACTTTTGTAGTGACAATTTCAATGGCTTCTAATACAAATTTTGTTTTTAATAATTGAAATTTGTTAAAAGTTTCAAAACTTTAAGTTTGGTTGAAATTCTATCCAATAAACACTTTGATTAAAGATCCACAACTGATTTTGAACAAATTGCAACAAAAATGAATAGAGGACTCATTTACAAACTAGTTCAATACATTGTAAGGCACTAGATTGATTTTCAAAGTCTTTCTTCAAAGACAAGCATTTGTAAAATGTGACTGACTTTGGACAACAAACTAAAGTGCATACTTTCATGCTTCATTTTTTTTTTTTTTTTGAGACGAAGTCTCACTCTGTCACCCAGGCTGCCATGCAGTGGCACGATCTTGGCTCACTGCAACCTCTGCCTCCTGGGTTCAAGCAATTCTCCTTTCTCAGCCTCCAGAGTAGCTAGGACTACAGGCATGCACCACCATGTCCAGCTAATTTTTTGTATTTTTAGTAGAAACAGGGTTTCACCATATTAGCCAGGCTGCTCTCAAACTCCTGACCTCAAGTGATCCACCTGCCTTGGGCTCCCAAAGTGCTGGGATTACAGGTCTGAGCCACCGGGCCTGGCCATATGTCATCATTTTTTAATTCAACATTGATTTAATCACCAAATATTTGTCCTTCAATTACTTTAGATATTTTATTAGCTCATCTTCCTCCTTCTTCATGTTATTCCTCATGATTATTCACTTATATTTACAAAAAAGGGGTATTTTGCTTAATATAGGTTATAGTCCTGGCAAACCATCTAATTTAAATTTGTTTTGGATGCCTTATTTTAAATGAAGTATTATTATTGATAGTTGAATTAAAATAAGCAGGGACTGGTTTGATATACGTCTGTTTTTTGCTTTCTGATACTGCCATAGTCAGATCTACTGATGTGGATGACACAAGCGCACTGAATAGAATTCTCATTTTAACATCTGGTTAACCCTGAAGTACACCCACTGATAAACCACCTTTCTTCCAGATCTTTTTCAAATGCTATGTAATTAACACCTCTCTTTCAATGTCAACAGGTAGAGTGCTAAGTAAACTAAAGTGTGCTCAGATATGAGTGTTAGGGACAGCTATATCTTCATGGATTATCTAGTAGTAAAGCCAAACTAATCATTTTAATAAATAAGCCATGACATTTTAGTGGCTTATCACAATACAAATATATCTCTCACTCATGTAACAGTCACTACAGATGTTCCTGGTCAGTGACTAGGTATCCTGCCCATGATGCTTCAGGAACCCAGGTTCCTGCCAGCTTATGTACCACAGTTCAAGTAGGTTCCTCTGTCACCTATGTCTAGATGATGGGATGGGATAGAGCAATTCTTAAAGGTCTTGGTCTGGAAGAAACACCCATCACTTCCACTTATATTCTGTAGCTGATTACTGGTCACAAGGCCACACAAAGGAACAAAGGAGATTTGAAAATGTAATCCTTGATTGGACAGCCATATTTCAATTACAATTCCATATTATGATGGAAAGGGTAGCATAGTTTTCAGTTGGCAACTATCACTTAATGTCATTGATTCTTAACTGCCTACATTAAACTAAAATAAATTCCAGATGGATTAATATTTAAATTTTTAAAAAGCAGATAATTATTGTATTAGTCCATTAGTGCTGTTATAACAAAATATCTAAGATCCTGTTTACAAACAACAGGAATTTATTTCTTACAATTCTGGATGGGGGAAGTCCAAAATCAAGATGTTGGCAGGTTTGGTGTCTGGAGGGCCCAGCCTTTGCTTCCAAGTTGGTGCCTTGTTGCTGCACCCTCTGGAGGGAAGGAAGGCTATGTCCTCACCTGGCGAAAGAGTGGAAGGGCAAAAGGGCCTAGCTAGTTATCTCCAGCCCTTTTATAAGGTCACTAATCCCACTCATAAGAGGTCTACCATCATGACTTAATCACCCCTAAAGACTATCACATTGGGGTTTGAGTTCCAACCTTTGAATTTTGGAGGGACACATTCATTCAAATCGCAGCAATTATAATCACAAAAAAAGAAAAATTTGTTATGACAAAAAATGGAATTCATGAAAGAAAAGTATTCATTAATTGAATTGCAAAAATAAGCCATGGCAATGAGAAAAATGAGGGGAGAGGGGAGGCTTGTAACTCAGACCACAAGAAAAGTGGTCATTTCTTTAACATATAAATCAAGAAGAAAATCCCAAAATCCAATAGGAAAACTATTGAATGGAATAGGCACGCAAAAGATATGATAGTTCACTCAAAAAGGAAAGATAAGGATACTAAGCAGTACATTCAAAATTAAACCAAAGTAAGATGCCAGTGGCACAAACCACTTTGCTGACATTGTAGGATAGGCTGTGGCAAATTCATATATTGCTTATGAGGGTATAAATCAATACAACTTCTTTGGATTTTAATTTCTCAATAGCTCTAAAAATTTAAAAGAACCTATCCTTTGGCCTAGTGAATCCACTCTAAAGAATTATCTCTCACAGATATGGTTGCTGTGTACAGGTTAAAATATGATATTTATTTACTGAGCACTGTTTATAAAAGCAAATGACTAAACAATGTATGGGTCCATCAGTAAAATTCTGGCTAAATTATGTTTCATCCATACATTGGAAAAGTATAGAGCAGTTCAAAAAAATAAGATAAATCCATATGCACTGACATGTTCAAATCTTCTGCCACTGTAGATGAAAAATGTGATCTACATAACATGAATAGTGAAGTAGTATTTATGAAAAAGGTATATTTGCTATATCTTTGATATGCATGTATATGCATAGAAAGGGTTTGCAAGGATGTAGACCCACTTTTTAACACTTCTTTTAAGAGGAATGGGAGTGAAAGATTTTGATTTTTTTTTCCCCACTTTTCATTCTATGCATTTACTTCTTTTTACTAGGAGAATGTATGTACATGTTACACTTGTGGACAGAAAATAAAAATAATAACTAAGTCAAGTGTGTCAGATTCATAAAAGTCTTACTTGAAACTGTTACTGGGTGAATGCCAAGAAAGGTAAAATCTGTCACTCAGGACACGTGGAATTTCTGTGCCATTTGTGTGCATGGAAGAAACACCCACATTCTCCCAATAAATTGCGAGTCCATAGGATAGGCACGCATTTGATGGCCTTGAAGAAGCGTTCCTTGTATGTGCAGAACCCCTGAGAAACCAGGCACGCCACAAACACATTTCAGATTAGTTGGGCGACGGGGCAAACCACGTGCTCCCAACGCAGCCTCCGCTTCCGGAGCGCGGCTGGAGGGCAAACTCCCCTAGAATTTCTCCAGGAAACCGTTGGGTGGGGCCAGGAGAGCGTTGGGTGGGGCCAGGAAACCGTCTGGTGGGATCTCCGCAGCTGCTTTTCACCTGCTGTTCCTCCTGCGCTTCCTAAGAGGAAGAATCAATGCCGTGGGTGGAGCCCAAGCCCAGGCCGGGGCCGGAGCAGAAGCCCAAGCTCACCAAACCGGACTCTGCCACCGGGCCGCAGTGGTACCAGGAATCTCAGGAATCGGAGTCGGAAGGCAAGCAGCCACCCCCGGGACCCCTGGCACCCCCGAAATCCCCCGAACCCTCAGGACCCCTGGCGTCGGAGCAGGATGCACCCCTGCCAGAGGGGGACGATGCACCCCCCCGGCCGTCGATGCTGGACGATGCACCCCGCCTGCCGCTGGAGCTGGACGATGCACCCCTGCCGGAGGAGGAAACCCCCGAACCCACGGCCATCTGCAGGCACCGGCACCGCTGTCACACCGACTGCCTAGAGGGGCTGCTGTCCCGCACCTTCCAGTGGCTGGGGTGGCAGGTGGGCGCGCACCCCTGGATCTTCCTGCTGGCGCCCTTGATGCTGACAGCCGCGCTGGGCACCGGCTTCCTGTACCTACCCAAGGACGAAGAGGAAGACCTAGAGGAGCATTACACCCCTGTGGGGAGCCCGGCCAAGGCGGAGCGGCGCTTCGTGCAGGGCCATTTCACCACCAACGACTCCTACCGCTTCTCCGCCTCCAGGAGGAGCACCGAAGCCAATTTCGTCTCGCTTCTGGTGGTCTCCTACAGCGACTCACTGCTGGACCCAGCTACCTTTGCAGAAGTCAGCAAACTGGACGGCGCGGTGCAGGATCTGCGCGTGGCGCGGGAAAAGGGAAGCCAGATCCAGTACCAGCAGGTGTGCGCGAGGTACAGGGCGCTCTGCGTGCCCCCCAACCCGATCCTGTACGCCTGGCAGGTGAACAAAACGCTCAACCTGAGCAGCATCTCCTTCCCCGCCTACAACCACGGCAGGCATCCCCTCTACCTGACCGGCTTCTTCGGAGGATACATCTTGGGGGGCAGCCTAGGAATGGGCCAGTTACTCCTGCGGGCCAAAGCCATGCGGCTGCTGTACTACCTGAAGACCGAGGACCCTGAGTACGACGTGCAGAGCAAGCAGTGGCTCACCCATTTGCTCGATCAATTTACCAACATTAAGAACATCTTGGCCTTGAAAAAAATTGAGGTACCTGGTGGTGTGGGTTTACAGGGAGGCCAGGAGAAGGTGAGAGGGATGAGGAAGACTTGCTCCCCAGAATCGTAACAAAAGCACTTCCTGACTACTTTACGGGGCCCTTGCCTCTAGGCTGGGTGTGCTCTACTGTATTTGGTACTCAACCCAATTTTCTTAACACCGACGGATGCCAGAAATTGTGAATCCTTGGTAGCATTCTAGTCGATAACACAAATCCTATGTCCACCAGATGGGCCTGTTCAGTACAGACATTGATCTTCATGTTTAATTTTGGGGTTTGGTTTCTAATCAAATTACAGTATTCTGAAATTCTACTTTTAGTTAAAGTCTTCACTGGTTTGGGGGAACCCCTAAAACTTGCTTGGAGCTCATTGGGATTAAAAAACAAACCGTCTTTTAAGTAAAAGTTCCATAGCCTTAAGAAGATAACTAGCTTAGCATTTTTCAAGTTAGATACATACGAAGCAGCACCTGGCTTAGTGTGAGGTACATATTAGCTGTTCAGTTATTGGTGGATCTGCAACACTATTCAGATGTATAAATAAGCCTAGTGAAAGAGACACCTGCTGGAAAGAGCTTTCAAAGACCAGGCCCTCCTGAAATATTTATGCAACTGAAATAGTAAAAGACACTAACCTAATACAAATTTAGAAAAAGTTACAATTTCTGCAGCTATTAATGAGAACAAGATTAAACAGTTTTAGGCTGGGTGTGGTGGCTCACGCCTATAATCCCAGCATTTTGGGACACCAAGGCAGGTAGACTGCTTGAGTCCAGGGGTTCAAGACCAGCCTCGGCAACCTGGCAAAACCCCATCTCTACAAAAATTACAAAAGTTAGCCAGTCGTGGTGGTGCACACCTGTAGTCCCAGCTATTCGTAAGGCCAAGGCAGGAGGATGACTTGAGCCCAGGAGGTTGAGGGCCCTGTCTCAAAAAAAAAAAAGATTTCAAAGTTTTATATAAAATTCAGATTTTGTTTATTCAGGAGTTTTATTTAAACTTTGAATTTGAAAGAAACTTGGGGAATCCATAGATGTGTGGAAAGAAGCAAATCTACATTATTTTCTCTATTCTGAAGTCATAATCCATGTATTTTTATCTTTTGCTGAATTTTAACATACATATTGTTTCATCACTAAGATAAAGTGTTTCAATAGTTTTTGTAACTCACACACAAATATTGTAATTAAAAGCTATTTATCTGAGTATATTTTTGTGGCAGGTAGTCCACTTTACATCGCTTTCCAGACAACTGGAATTTGAGGCAACTTCTGTGACTGTGATCCCTGTGTTTCACCTGGCATACATTCTCATCATTCTGTTTGCAGTCACATCATGCTTTAGGTAAAAAGCTTTGATTAGTTTTTAAATCTCTTACTTTATGAAAAATACTTTATTGTGGTAAAATATAATAATATATATGACATAACATATGATGTTATAGCCACTCTTAAGTGTAAAATTCGGTGGCATTAATTACATCCACATTGGCATGCAACCATCACAATGATCTGTTTTCAAATATTTTGCATCATCCCAAACAAGAACTCTGTTAACATTTTGCAATAAATTCCCCATCACCACCACCACCCCCAACCCAGTGCCAGTTAACTTTAATCTACTTTGTCTCTGTGAATTTTCCTCAAGATTTCATATAGTGGAATCATATATTTATCTTTTTGTGACTGGCTCATTTCACTAGGCATAATATTTTCAAGGTTCATCCTTGTAGCGTGTATCAGAACTCCATTGCTTTTTATGGCTGAATAATACTGATTCCTTCAACTTTGTTGTTCTTCAAGATTATATAGATCATCCTAGACTCCTTGCAATTCCATATGAATTTTAGAATCAGCTTCTCTATTTCTGGGGGGGAAATGGTTGTTGGAATTTTGATGGGGATTGTGTTGAATCTGCAGATTGTTTTGAGTAGGACTGGCATTTTAAAAATATTGAGTCTGCCAACCCAGGAACTAAGGATCTTTCCATTTATCCAGGTCTTTTTAAGTTTCTTTTACCAATGTTTGCTGGTTTTCGGTGTGCAGATCCTTCACCTCCTTGGTTAAAATTATTCTTAGGTGTTTCATTCATTTAGAGCTATTTAAATAGAATTGCTTTCTTAATTTCCTTTTTGGGTTGTTCACTGCCTATGTATAGAAACACAACTAATTTTTTGGTGTTGCTCTTATATCCTGAAGCTGCGCTGAATTTGTTAACTCTAGTAGTTTTCTTCTGGATTCTTTGGTATTTTTCATATATACAATCATGTGATCTCTGAGGAGGGAGAGTTATATTTCTTCCCTTCCAATTTAGATGCTTTTTATTTTTTTTTTAATCTAATTGCTCTGGCTAGAACTTCCAGTACAACATCGCATATCAATGGGGAAAGTGGGAGTCTTTTCTGTCTTGTTTCTGATCTGATCTGATCTTAGAGGAAAGCTTTCATTCTTTCACCCTTGAGTATGATGTTAGTTTTACTATTTTTATAAATGCCTTTATTATTTTGAGGAATTTTCCTTCATATTCCTAGTTTTTTAGTGTTTTTATTATGAAAGGGTATTGGATTTTGTCAAGTGCCTTTTAAACATCTAGTGAGATGAACATGTGGTTATTGTCCTTTGTTCTATAAATATGGTATGTTACATTGACTGACTTTCTCCCGATGACCTTTCTGGGATAAATCCCAGCTGGCTATGATGTATAATCCTTTTAATACGTTTTGGATTGGACTTACTAGTATTTGTTTATGACTTTTGCACCTATATTCATGAGAGCTATTGGTTTGTAGTTTTCTTTTCTTATGATGTCATTGTCTGGTATTGTGTCAGTGTAATGATGGTCTCCCAGAGTGAGTTAGGAAATATTTCCTCGTCTTCAATTTTTTGGAAGAGTTTGAGAAGGATTCCTGTTACCTCCACTTTAGATGTTTGGTAGAATTCATCAGTGAAATCTGGTCCTGGACTTTTCTTTATTGGGAGTTTTTTTATTACTGGTTTAATCTTTTGTTATAGGCCTTGAGATTTTCTATTTCACCTTAAGTCAGTTTAGGTCATTTGTGTTTTTGTAGGAATTCATGCATTTCATCTAGGTTATCCAGTTTGTTGACATACAGTTTTTGATAATATTCTCTTATAAACTTTTCTATTTCTATAAGGTCAGTAGTAACGTCTCCGCTTTCATGTCAGCTTAAGTTATTTGTGTCTTCTCTTTTTCTTCGTGACACTAGGTAAAATTTAGTCAATTTTGTTGATATTTTCAAGTAACCAACTTTTGGATTGATTCATTCTATTGTTTTTCTATTCTGTATTCACCTCTGTTCTAATCTTTATTCTTTCCTTCCTTCTTCCTGTGGCCTGAATGTTTGTGTCCTCCCAAAATTCCTATGTGGAAACCTAATTCCTGGTGTGATAGTAATATGAGGTGGGGCCTTTGAGAGGTGATTAGAATGGGATTGATACTCTTAAAAATAATTCCGAGGGAGCTTATTAGCCCCTTCTACCATGTAAGGACATAGCAAGAAGGCACCATCTGTGGAGCAAAGAGCAAATCCTCACTGGACACCAAATCTTTGGCCCTGACCTTGGCTTTCTCAGCCTCTAGTACTGTAAGGAGCAATTTTCTGTTGTTTATAAGTTTCTCAGTCTAAGATATTTTGTTACAGTGGGCAGAACAGACTAACACACCTCTGTTAGCTTTGGGTTTGGTTTCCCTCCTTTCCCTAGATCCACAAGTTGTTATTGATTTGAAATCCTTTTTCTTTTTAATGTGGGTATTTAGCTATAAATTTCCCTCTGAGCACTATTATCACTGTATCTCATAAGTTATGGTATGTTGTGTGTTCATTTTCATTCTTAACTAAGTATTTTCTAATGTCTCTTGATTGTTTAATAGTGTATTGTTACATTTTTGTAGATTTGTTAATATTCCAGTTTTCCTATTATTGATTTTTAGCTTTATTCTATTGTTGGTTAGAAAAACGTACACTGTATAACTTCAATCATTTAAAATTTATTTAGACTTGTTTTACAGCTGAATGTATGATCTATCCTGGAGAATGTTCCATGGGCACTAGAGAAGAATGTATATTTTGCTGTCATTGGGTTGAGTCTTCTATATAATTCTGTAGGGTCTAATTGGTTTGTAGTGTTGTTCATTTCTCTATGTCCTTATTGATATTCTTCTCAGATGTTTCATGCATTGATGAAAGTGGTATATTGCATTCTCCAGTTTTTTTTCTTTTTTTTTTTTTTTTTTTTTTTGAGACAGAGTCTCACTCTGTCACCCAGGCAGAAGTGTAATGACACAATCTTGCCTCACTGTAACCTGTGCCTCCCAGGTTCAAGAAATTCTTCTGCTTCAGCCTCCTGAGTAGCTAGGATTACAGGTGTATATCACCATGCTCACCTGATTTTTGTATTTTTAGTAGAGATGGGGTTTCACCATGTTGACCAGGCTTGTCTCGAACTCCTGACCTCAAGTGATCCACCCACCTCAGCCTTCCAAAGTGCTGAAATTATAGGTGTAAGTCACCACGCCTAGTCCTCTCCAGCTATTATTGTAGAGCGCTCTATCTCCCCCTTCACTTCTGTCAATATTTACTTCATATATTTTGGGTATCTGTTATGCAGTACACATATGTTTACAGTTGTTATAGCTTCTTGGGGAATTGGCCCGTTTATCAATATATAATGTACTCCTTTGTCTCTAAGTCTGTTTTGCCTGATGTTAGTGTAGCCATTCCTGCTCTATTTTGGTTACTATTTGTGTAGAGTATCCTTTTATGTACTTTCAATCTACTTATATTTTTGGCAATAAAGTAAGTCTGTAAACAGCATATAGTTAGATCATGTTGTTTTATCCATTCTGCCAACCTGTCTTTTGATTGGAGAGTTTAATCTATTTACATTTAAGGTAATTGCTGACAAGAAAGAACTTGTAACATTTTTAAATTTATGTTCTATCTGTCTTATAACTTTTTTGTCCTTCATTTCCTCTATTATGCTTTCTTTTCTTCACATTTCTTTTTTCTTTTCAGACAGGGTCTTTTCCTGTTGCCCAGGCTGCTGTGGAGTGGCACAATCATAACTGACTGCAGCCTTGAACTCCTAAACTCAAGCAATCCTCCCACCTCAGCCTCCTGAGTAGCTGGAACTACAGGCACATGCCATCACATCTGGCTAATTTTTATTATTTTTTGTAGAGACAGGATCTTGCTGTGTTGCCTAGGCTGGTCTTGAACTCCTAGCCTCAAGTGATCCTCTCACCTCAACCTCCCAAAGTGGTGGGATTACACTGTGAGCCACCCCCATTGGTGCGTGCAGCATGAGCTACTATGCCTAGCCACATTTCAATTTTTTTTTTTTTTTTTGAGACGGAATCTCACTCTGTAGCCCAGGCTGGAGTGCAGTGGCACGATCTCGGCTCACTGCAAGCTCCACCTCCTGGGTTCACGCCATTCTCCTGCCTCAGCCTCCTGAGTAGCTGCGATTACAGGCGTGCGCCACCATGCCCAGCTAATTTTCATATACAATATTTTTTGAGTAAAATCTGCTCTGCCCCCTCCAGATCCAGTGAAACACTCTCACACTGGGAACTCAGGCTGTGACCACTTTATACTGCTGCTGCTTTGAGACTATGGCCGCTTTAAGAGTGTGACCACTTTAACACCCATGCCACTTTAAGACTTACTGCTTTAAGACTGCCACCATGCCAGAAAGGGGGGGCTTTTTTTTTTTTGGATTCATCATTCGCTTGGTTGCTGTAACTTTTCGACTATTTTCCAGGGTTCATAAAATTGGTTCTGACAGTTTCTGCTTGTTTTTTTTTTTTTTTGATAATTCTTTGAGAGGACAAGAGCTTTTTTTTCTGCCATTCTTCCTAACATCCAGTGCTAAACTCTTGTTTTTTAAACCTGGTGACTTTTAAAAACATTTTTTCCCATCAGCAATAGTGTCTAATCAAATGGAATAGTAAAAGAAATTGTGGCTGGTTTTGTTTGATTTGGCATATCTTTTTTACCTTACATATTGCATCAGTTATGATTAATTGTTCCATTTGGAAGGCAGATAAGTTGGTAGAACCAAGAAGCATGTCCTATTTCTGCTAATTTGAAATAGTACTTTTCACTATATAAAAAATTAAGTTCTAATTTAATTGACTTAAGTGTCTCCATCGTTCTGATGTGCAGTTTACCTTGTTAAGCACTTAAAAATTGTTCTCTAGGCATTAGGGGTAGTTTGTGTTCTTGAGTTCAAACTAAATATGAAAGATATCATCAAACAACAGAATTTAGATGTAGGAGGAACCCCATAGATTATATTCTAATTCTATTAAAATAAATAGATTATTTTACATCAGAGTCACCCAGAGAGCCATAAACCAGATATTCTCAGGCCCCGCCCTATCAAATTAAAATATCTTGGGGTTAAATCTGGAACTCTATATTTCAAAAATTTCTCTAGCTGATTCTTATGTGTAGGTAGGTTTAGGAACAAATAATATAATTTAACTATTTAGATGTAAGGAAAAGAAAGATGAAGTCTCAGTAGGTAAAGGGATGTGAAGACACTGGGGACCTCTTTAGGGTCAATGAACTACCTCATAATTTTGTTACTCTGGAAAGGAAGACCACATCACTTAGAAAACAAAGAAACTTTAAAAAGAAACAAAAAAACCCCACAAAATTCAGGCTATTAAAGTTAGTAGGATAAAGCATTTTAAAAATTCAGTCTACATGTTACCAATAATTGGTTTAACAAAACTTTTCTACTAGATAGTTGGTTTTGAAAATACAAACTCTAGTCAGTTCTTACATATCTTTACAAGTGATTTTGGACAATAATGCACAAAAATATTTTATTTAAGGGAATTGGAAAATGATTTATAGTTGTCTCCAAAGACTCTTCTATGCTTATGTAACCACCATATTGAACACAAGACTCATAAGGTATAAACATAAAGCAGTTGTATTTTTGTCTCCCTTTGTTTCCTGTAAGTTTGTAAGTTTACTAGGTAGAGCAAGTTCTTCCTCTGCCTCATGAAAATTCAGGCAATCCCTACGTTACGGTAATTCTTAGGCAAGACAAAAAGTCCTCCAGTCAGAATTAAAATGTCCATGTTCATGTTCATGTTCATGTCATAAACAAAAGTGGTAACTTGATTTGAAGCTAAGGTTTTTCCTCCTCTCCTAGCTGAAGCATGCTACATGGAATAGCCTTTAATGGGGAAAAAGGGATATTCCAGACCTCTCCTATCACTTCTCTCACTATCCATCTTGCTGAGTGGTTCACAGACTGGAGCATGCTCAAACAGTAGGAAAAATGGAATCGAAAAATTCTTAAGACATGAATGCTGCCATGACAGTCTAATATATGTCTTCTCTGGCTTTGAATATGAAACTGATCCTTCTGCAAGTATTGGTTTGTTTGGTGTTTTTTCTTTTTTGAGATGGAGTCTCACTCTGTCACCCAGCCTGGAGTGCAATGGCGCAATCTCGGCTCACTGAAACCTCTGCCTCCCAGGTTCAAGCGATTCTCCTGCCTCAGCCTCCTGAGTAGCTGGGATTACAGGCATGCACCACCACACCTGGCTTATTTTTGTATTTTTAGTAGAGGCGGGGTTTCACCATGTTGGACAGGCTGGTCTCGAACTCCCGACCTCAGGTGATCCGCCCACCTCAGTCTTCCAAAGTGCTGGGATTACAGGCGTGAGCCACCGCACCCGGCTGCCTGCAAGTGCTTTTGTAAGTTCCCTGGACACTTCTCGCTCCCTCTCTTTCCTTATCACAGAGGGTCTCATGTCCGTTCTGGGTGGAGCTTCCTAGACAGTTCTAGGACATATCCCCATTTTGCCTGTCTCACACACTCTCATATATGAAGGTTATACCTTGCATACCTGCCTTTAGCTCATTTAAGACACTTACTGAAACATATTTCAGGGTTCTATATTTATTGTCTTGCAATGAAGTCATTTAAATAAGACTTTTTCAAAAGTCTGTGCTCTAAATTGAACTCAATTATAGCTCATGCTATTTTATGTATAGTAATCCCCTGCTTTTCCACAGGAATACTATCCAAGACATACAACGGATGCCTGAAACCACAGATAGTCCTGAACTTTATTTATATCTAGCCAAAGTCTCTATAATCAATACTATACTTCACTCCCCTATCCTCTGAAAAATTCACACCTAAGAAATCCAGAAACTCAAAAGGAGGAATGGGCATAACCTTGTCATATATACCTTTTATCCTTTTATCCAAAATCTTTCTGATTTTGAAATTCATCTCTTTTACTTTCTTATCTTAAACTCCTATAAACCAATATTGTTGTTTTAAGAACGTATTATATTAGGCCGGGCACAGTGGCTCATGCCTGTAATCCCAGCACTTTGGGAGGCCGAGGCAGGCGGATCACCGGAGTTCAAGACCAGTCTGGCCAACATGGTGAGACCCCATCTCTACTAAAAATACAAAATTAGCCAGGTGTGGTGGCACATGCCTGTAATTCCAGCTACTCAGGTGGCTGAGGCAGGAGAATCACTTGAACCCGGGAGGCAGAGGTGGCAGTGAGCTAAGATTGCACCATTGCACTCCAGGCTGGGTGACAGAGTGAGACTCCAGCCTGGGCAAAAAAAGCAAAAGTCTGTCTCAAAAAAAAAAAAAAAAGAAAGAAAGAAAGAAAGAAAGAAAGAATTATAGTAAGAGATTTTATTATAACAAAGCAATTTACTTTTGCCCTGGAATTTATATGTGTATGTGTGTTGAGTTGGGGCCCCGACCTTAATTCATAGTACCAGGTTAAGAAAAAGTGAAATACAATAACAGTATAGACATTTTATTAAGAAGAAGAATTTTATCTATTTAAATGTGATCTCCCCTGCAGGTCTTCAGTCATGTTCCTGCTGTTTTGAAACCAGTGGCTCCAGTTCTTCAGCTCCTAGACTAAAATTCCAAACTTAGTTTCTCTCCCCTACTAAAATATCTGAATGCAGGTATCAGTCATTTGTTTTGAAGCAATTTCTAACAAGCAAAATCTAAAACCAGAGGTTGTTGCCAATCTTTTAAAAGGTAATGTTATGGTTGCTGAGGAGGTAAAGCACTGAATCATGCTTTAAAATATTTTGTATATAGTCCTGTTTCTGTTGGTTTGCCAAGGAAACAGGCACAGTTTGGGTCATTTAAAATATAGCACATTTTAATTTTTTCCAAATTCGTAGCAACTTTTCCACAGAGCCCACTTCACCAGTAGAGAAGAATCCTGAAAGTAACTTAAAAGACTTTCCTACTTTATGTTAACAACAATACACATTGTACTAACTTTGAAATACAGGAGGCATTTAATGTTGTGTTATGGCTAGTTAGAGACCAGGGATGGATAAAAAGATAATTGGATCTATGTTCTTTCTCTAGTACAGCTTGCTCTTCATTATCTGTTATATTCCATTCACACCCTTCTGAAGATCAGAGTGGAATTAGCCATTAGCAGTGTTTTAGTAATTCTTTGTGGTTCCAAAATGCTAGTCAGTGACTTAGTGCTTGGCTGGCTGCAAAGAATCACATATAGCAGAGTCGGTAGAAGTACAGATTTACAGATTTCTAACTTTTCTGCTCCCTTTCTTTCCTTTTTTTTTTTTCAGTTGTTCTGAGATAGTCCCTGGGAATTAAAGGTCTCCAGCAGATATGTGTGGAAATTACTGTCTTAGAGATTTATGACTAGGTGTCCAAGTCAAGAATGTTATCCATTGATGAAAGCTACCACCACAAATTCCATGATTTTTCCCTCCAAATTTACAGGTTTGACTGCATACGAAACAAAATGTGTGTTGCGGCCTTTGGAGTGATTTCTGCTTTCTTGGCAGTGGTGAGCGGCTTTGGCCTGCTGTTGCACATTGGGGTGCCATTTGTCATCATAGTTGCCAATTCACCATTTCTTATTCTAGGTGAGTAAAACAAAACGGGAGGCTGCACACCGTGTATGTGGTGGGGTAGGGGATATATATAAGGGAAAGAATTGTATTAAGGTGGCTCTACAGTTCAAAAATGAGGTGCCAGGAAACAGGGAAATGAAATTGAACTGGATATCTCTAGAGGTGGAAAGATCGAGTATCCTAATGGAAAAACAGACCATGTACGTGAACAGCAGTTCACATGTAAAAAACAAAATACGCGTCATTAAAAATACAGTCATGTATCACTTAACATTGAGGGTCTGAGAGATGCATCCACAGGCAATTTTAACATCGTGTAAACTTCCTAGAGTGTACTTACACAAACCTAGATTATATTTCCTACAACGCACCTAGGCTATGTGGGCCTCTTGCTCCTAGGCTACAATCCTGTACAGCATGTTACTACGCTGAAAACTATAGGTAACTGTCACACAATGGTAAGTATTTGTATATCTAAATATATCTAAACATAGAAAAGGTACAGTAAAAATATGGTAGAAAATATGAAAAATGGTCCACCTGTATAGGGCACTTATCACGAATGGAGCTTGCAAGACTGGAAGTTGCTTTGGGTGTCAGTGAATGAATGTTGAGTGAACATAAGGTATAGGACATTCCTGTACACTACTGCAGACTTTATAAACACTGGACACTTAAGCTATGCTACATTTATTTAAAAATGTATTTTTCTTTCTTCAATAATAAATTAACCTTAGCTTACTATAATTTCATTATTTTATAAACTTTAAAGTTTCTTTTAAACTTTTTTACTTTTTGTGATAACACAGCTTAAAACACAAACACAATGGACAGCTGTACAATAGTATTTTCTTTCCTTATGTCCTGGTGTAAACAAACGTGTTGCTCTGCCAGTCTTATGAAAGTATAGCACATACAATTATGTACACAACATAATAATAAACAATTGTTACTGCTTTATGTATTCACTATGCTAAATTTTATGTCATTATTTTAGAGTGTACTCTAACTTATGAAAAAAATAGTTAACTGTAAAATAGCTTCATGTAGGTTATTCAGAAAATATTTCAGAAGAAGGCATTGTTATCATAGGAGACAATTCCACGTGTCCTGAAGACCTTCCAGTGGGACAGGATGTGGAGATGGAAGACAGTGATAGCGATGATTCTGACCCTATGTAGGCCTAGACTAATGTGTGTGGTTTTTGGTTTGTTTGTTTGTTTTTTGAGACGGAGTCTCACTCTGTCACCCAGGCTGAAGTGCAGTGGCTCAATCTCAGCTCACTGCAACCTCCGCCTCCCGGGTTCAAGCTGTTCTCCTGCCTCAGCCTCCCGAGTAGCTGGGACTACAGGCATGCACTACTATGCTCATATGTGTTTTTGTATCTTAGTTTTTAATAAAAAGTTTAGAAAGTAAAAAAATAAAATAAAAATAAAGATTTTTTATTTTATTTATTTATTTATTTATTTATTTATTTTTTTGAGACAGAGTCTCGCTCTGTCGCCCAGGCTGGAGTGCAGTGGCGTGATCTTGGCTCACTGCAAGCTCCACCTCCCGGGTTCACGCCGTTCTCCTCCCTCAGCCTCCCGAGTAGCTGGGACTACAGGCGTCCGTCACCACGCCTGGCTAATTTCTTTTTGTATTTTTAGTAGAGACAAGGTTTCACCATATTAGCCAGGATTGTCTCGATCTCCTGACCTCGTGATCCGCCCACCTTGGCCTCCCAAAGTGCTGGGATTACAGGCGTGAGCCACCGTGCCCAGCCATAAATAAAGATTTTTAAAAATAGAAAAAGGCTTATAGATTAAAGATATAAGTAAAGAAAATATTTTGTACAGCTGTCCAATGTTTTTGTATTTTAAGCTGTGTTATCATAAAAAGCCAAAAACTTTTTTAAAAACTTAAAAGTTTATAAAATAATAAAGTTACAGTAAGCTAAGGTTAATTTATTATTGAAGAAAAATATATTTTAAAATAATTTTAAATTTTAAATTTAATAATTTAATTTTAAAATTTAAATTTTAAATTTTAAAAATAACCTAAGTATCTGGTGTTTATAAAGTCTACAGTTATATACAGGAATGTCCTAGGCCTCCCTGCAAACTCTACAAAATGGCTTACATTAAATCAATTATATATATCTTAACTATAGTTATTTATGGCTGTGGGGTACACTGGATGATTAGGTGTGAGTGCATACGAGGAAGGTATGCCTTGAAAAGCTAGAATAAATAAGCTAATATCCAGTACACAACTCACTATCTCCCCCAGAAAACCAAATATTAGTTTTTCCAAGATGCTTACTTTCCAAAATATAAACACCTTTATTTTCTAATGCTTACTAAAATAAATTCTGAGCTTACCAAAAATACAAAGAAAAATGGAAAACAACTGTAATTCCACCCTTCAGGGATAATTCCTGCTAATATCTTTATGTATATCCATCCAGAATTTGGTCTATGCAAATATACACATATAGCTCTCTCTCCATTTCAAATATCTTATTTTATAACAAGAAATGTTCATTTAACATTGAATATCTACCTCTTTTTAAAAAGACTGAATATGACTCTAATCTAACACTATGTTTGATTTGGCCAACCTCATATTGTTATGGGATTATGTTGTTTTCTATATTTTCCTACTATAAATTACACCAAACACTTGTCCTACTTTTGAGCATTTGTCCAATTAGGACAAATTCCTAGAAGTAGATTTGATAGTCAAAGGTACTCCCTTTTTAAGTCTTTTGCTTTGTTGCAAACTTGGACTGAAAAATTGTGTGCCAATTTCCATTTCTCCTTAGTAGACTATGAGTGTCTTCATTTGCAGAAAAACTTCCAAAAATCCTCAGTCTTGCTAATATTGATTAATAAGAAAACCAAGTGTCTCACTTGTGGTTTAATTTGCATCCCTTGATTAACTGAAAGGTCAAATATTTTTTTCTTATACCATTATGCACTACATAGCAATGTTTTGGTCAAAGATAGACTGCGTATACAAAGCAGACCACATATACAACAGTAGTCCCAGAAGGTTATAATGGAGCTGAAAAATTCCTATCATCTATTGTTATCATAGCCATCCTATTGTCATAACTCAATTCATTACTCACATGTCTGGTAGGAAGTTGGAGGGAGGTGAAATTTATCTGCAACATGCTCATGCTGCACTTTCCAGTTCCCTTTTTTTGTAATCCTCCTTCCCCAGGCTTCAGTCATGACTTGAAAATCCTCAGATGCTCTATTCCAACCAATCTGAAACATCACTGAGGAAAGGAGCTAATTATCTAGTAGGCATTAATATGTAAAGAATTCTTAAGATTTACCTTGACACATATTTCTGATCTCATTATAATGAACTGGGCAAGTGAAATTTGAATACCAACATTCTAGGTATCAGAAACAAACTAGCAGGAAAACTACATCTGTGCATGTGCCTATGTGTGTCTATAAACTATGTGGTGCCTCTCAAATCATACCACAGAGACAGCCAGATGCTAACTGTAGAACACGTTAAGTCCAGCTTATATTTCAAGCAACAGAATGTTGGCTGGCTGTGTCTGTACATGAGCATGAAATATCTTACAAGAGAAAATGATCTCTCTAGCAATCTATTGGAATCAAAGATACACGTTGCCAATGCTGCTTTGACCAATACCCATGAAGCCAGGTTTCCTGACCTCATCATGGAAACACCCTAAGTGAAGAGTAGAGTATACTGTGCTATGTGCAATAATAGGAGTATGTACAAAGCAAAGACTTATTACAAAGGAAGGAGTGATGAGTTCTGTCGTAAATTCAGAGGCAACCAGGGAAAGCATCACAGAGAAGGTAGTATTTAATCAGAGGTTGGACAAGATAAATAAAACCTTAAGAGACAGAAAAAGAAAATGGTTTGAATCAACCTGTTTAATTTTTAATGGATACTAATATGTATGAAGATGAAGATTCTGTTTCTTTTCTTTTTTTTTTTTTTTACAGGTGTTGGGGTCGATGACATGTTTATCATGATTTCTGCCTGGCATAAGACCAACCTTGCAGATGACATACGAGAGCGGATGTCCAATGTCTATTCAAAAGCGGCAGTGTCTATTACAATCACCACCATCACTAACATCCTGGCCTTATATACAGGGATTATGAGCTCTTTTAGGTCTGTACAATGTTTTTGCATCTATACAGGAATGACCCTGTTATTTTGCTATTTTTATAACATCACGTGTTTTGGAGCATTTATGGCCTTGGATGGTAAAAGAGAAGTAGTCTGCCTATGCTGGTTGAAAAAGGCTGACCCAAAATGGCCCTCATTTAAAAAGTTCTGCTGTTTCCCATTTGGTTCTGTCCCAGATGAACATGGAACTGATATCCATCCAATAAGTTTGTTTTTTAGAGACTATTTTGGCCCCTTTCTCACAAGGAGTGAGTCCAAGTATTTTGTAGTCTTTATATATGTTTTGTACATCATAAGCAGTATATATGGGTGTTTCCATGTGCAGGAAGGTTTAGACCTTCGAAATCTGGCAAGTGACGATTCCTACATCACACCATATTTTAACGTAGAGGAGAATTATTTTTCAGATTATGGTCCCAGGGTTATGGTTATTGTTACTAAAAAAGTTGACTACTGGGATAAAGATGTTAGGCAAAAACTGGAAAACTGTACTAAAATTTTTGAAAAAAATGTCTATGTAGATAAAAATCTTACAGAGTTTTGGTTAGATGCATATGTGCAATATTTAAAAGGTAACAGCCAAGATCCTAATGAGAAGAATACTTTTATGAACAATATTCCTGATTTTTTAAGCAATTTTCCAAATTTTCAGCATGATATTAATATTTCTTCATCAAATGAAATCATTTCTTCCCGGGGCTTCATTCAGACAACAGATGTTTCTTCCTCAGCCAAAAAGAAAATATTGTTATTCTAATTACGACGCATAGCTGAAGACTGTCAAATTCCCCTAATGGTGTATAACCAGGCATTTATATATTTTGATCAGTATGCTGCAATATTAGAAGACACTGTTAGAAATGTATTGGTTGCATCAGCAGCTATGTTCATTGTTTCCTTATTGTTAATCCCTTATCCATTGTGTTCCTTGTGGGTGACTTTTGCTATTGGTTCTGTGATTGTAGGGGTAACGGGTTTCATGGCATTCTGGAAAGTCAATCTTGATTCCATATCCATGATTAATCTTGTCATTTGTATAGGGTTTTCTTTCGATTTTTCTGTACACATTTCCTATGCATTTGTTTCTAGTTCTCAACCCTCAGTAAACCAAAAATCAGTTGAGGCATTGTATCTTCTAGGCTACCCAGTGTTACAAAGTGCAATTTCAACAATAATAGGGGTGTGTGTTTTAGCTGCAGCGAAAGCATACATCTTCAGAACATTTTTTAAGATTATGTTTCTTGTTATGATATTTGGGGCAGCTCATGGCCTAATTTTTATTCCAGTATTCTTAACCTTTTTTGGAAGGTTTATTTGAATATCCACTAACAAGTCAAAGACCAATTCTAGAATTCCTGATTGCCCTATTCCAATCTGATTTTTTTAAATGCACTATTAAGAATAGTCAACAAACTACTGGGAGGCCAAGGTGGGTGGATCACCTGAGGTCAAGAATTCGAGACCAGCCTGGCCAACATGGTGAAACCTCGACACTACTGAAAATACAAAAATTATCCAGGCATGGTGGCGTGCACCTATAATCCCAGCTACCTGGGAGGCTGAGGCAGGAGAATCGCTTGAACCTGGGAGATGGAGGTTGCAGTGAGCTGGAGTGCACCAGGCACTCCAGCCTGGGTGACAAGAATGAGACTCCGTCTCAGAAAAAAAAAAAAAAGTCAACAAACCAAAAACAAGGGCATGTTTCCTTGACTTGGAAATCCCATTTTAAATTATTATTTAAAATATACTGATAAAAATTAATTAGTCTTATGTTAAAATATCTTCACTAAATTAGGAAGTGTTATCTTTCTTACAGTCTTTACAATCAAGTACAAGGTACAACTTTTCTGTTATTTTTTCCCTTTATATTTATGCCTGAAATTCAACTATTGTATGTATTGTTCATACTATAAATGGAATATTATTTTCATTGCACTTGCTACATGCATTCATATGTGAAAATGCATCTTATCATTTATTTTCCCATTCAGGGGCTTTTCTATGCATTTTGTTAATGGTATATTTCGATAAGAAGTTTTTAAAGTTTATAAATCCAATTTATCATATTTTTTTCATGGTTAGTGCCTTCTTATCCTAAGAAATATTTTGACTACTCCAAGGTTACAATTAAAGTCATCTCTGTTTTCTCCTCTAAGCTAATAGTTTTGATCTTACATTTAGGCCTGTGATCCATACGCATGTATTTGTTGGGCAGTATCGATAGAGGTCCATTCCCTTTTCATAAAAGCTGCCCATTTGTCTCAGCATCATTTGTGAAAAGACTGTCATTCAGGATAGGATTAACTTGGCATCTATATAAAAAAAAAATCAGTTGACAATATATGTGTGGTTCTAATTCTGTGCCATCGATCTGTTTGTCTGCTCTAAGGCCAATACCACCACACAGCCTTCATTACTGAAGCTTTTTATTAATTACTGAAATTAGGCTGTGTATGTTGTCCACTTTTATTTTTATTAATCTTTCTGATTTCAAAGTTTATCTTTGTTACGTTCTTTTTTTTTTTTTTTTTTTTTTTGAGACAGAGTCTCACCCTGTCACTAAGGCTGGAGTGCAGTGGTGCGATCATAGCTCACTGCACCTAAAACTCCTGGGCTCATGTGATCCTCCTGCCTCAGCCTCTGAGTAGCTGGGACTACAGTCATGCCATTACATCTGACTAATTTTTTGTTTTAATTTTTTTTTAAGAGACAGGGTCTTTCTGCATTGGCCAGGCTGGTCTTGAACTCTTGGCCTCAAGCAATTCTTCCGCCTCAGCCTCCAAAACTGCTGGGATTACAGGTGTGAGCCACCATACCAACACTTGGTTACTTTTTTATCTTAAACTCTATAAACCAACATTGCTTTTTTTAAAGAAGGTATTCATCATCATAAAACTATACTGTAACAAAGCAATTCACTTTTACCCTGGAACTTGTTGGTTTTGGGCCTTGAATTTAACTCATCACACCAACCAATGGGTTGGGAAAAGTGAAAAACAGCAACAGTGTAGAAGTTGTATTAATGATTAGAAACGCTGGCTATTTAAATGTGACCTTGCCTAAAGGCTTTAGCCATGTTTTTGCTGTTTTGCAATCAGTGGCTCCAGCTCCTTAGTTATCTCTCCTAGACGTCAATTCCAAATTAGTTTCTTTTCCTCACCAAAAATATTTGGGGTGATGTCAGCATAAACGGGGTAGAATGTAGCTCCAAGAGCCCATTTCATCACAAAAATAAAAAAATTGAAAAATGCAACAACTGTTAGAAAAGACTCTAATTGAACTCTGAAAACGGTCCAAGGTTTACACCAACCAAGTGGACACCAAATCAGAAAAAAAGCAACTTAAAAATGGTAGGAAAATTTTGTGGCGTTTTTATTTGCCCTTGTCTCACACCCCCCTCCCTGGCTTGATAGTGATGGTGGTCCTAAGAAGGTAGCCTAGGCCAGGCAGGGTGGCTCAGGCCTGTAATCCCAACACTTTGGGAGGTCGAAGAGGGGGGTGGATCACCTGAGGTCAGGAGTTCGAGACCAGCTTGCCAACATGGTGAAACCCCATCTCTACTAAAAATACAAAAATTAGCCAGGTGTGGTGGCACGCGCACCTGTAATTGCAGCTACTCGGAGGCTGAAGCAGGAGAATTGCTTGAGACCCGGGAGGCAGAGGTTGCAGAGAGCTGAGATCGCGCTACTGCACTCCAGCCTGGGTGACAGAGCAAGACTCGGTCTCAAAAAAAAAAAAAAAAAAAAAAAAGGTAGCCTACCTACCTTTTTTCATTCCTACCACGTGTGGGACCCAGGTTCCTACTTCCAGAGGGAGAAAAGACCTCATTCACAAAGAGTTTTTCTGTTTAAACATGTCTACGAGCTATCGGAAGACTGACACAAAGCACTTATCCTTGTTTCACCTTCCCCAGAACTCACTCATGGTGAAAAGGGAGCAAGAATTTCCTTAAAACATTGTAAGCCAAATAAACAGCCCACAAGCATCAGGAGCAAAACGTTACTGTTGAGGTATTCAATAGTGCCCTATAAGCCAGGGAGGAAAGGCTGGGCAAAGAGTTTCTTTGTCAAATTAAGGCATTCAAAAGCACCTTTATGTACTGGGAATTTTTTTTTTTTTTTTTTTGTCTTTGAGACAGAGTCTTACTCTGTCACCCAGGCTGGAGTGCAGTGGTGTGATCTTGGCTCTCTGCAACCTTTGCCTCCTGGGTTCAAGCAATTCTCCTGCCTCAGCCTCCTGAGTAGCTAGGACTATAGACGGGCGCCACCACGCCCAGCTAAGTTTTATATTTTTAGTAGAGATGGGGTTTTGCCATGTTGGCCAGGCTGGTCTTGAACTACCGACCTCAGGTGATCTGTATACTAGAAATTTTAAAGCCATGCACATGCTCAGGGCAGGACACGTACTCAGAAAATAACTGCACAAACTCAAAGCTTTAACCTCTGGCTAATCACTACAGTCCAGCAGGAAGTGAAGGGGATGCTGTGGCTCCCTTGGGGTATGCCTACCAAGGCGATGCTTCCCTGGGGTACTTCTCCTGTATGGGATTGCACAAGGGTAGGGGACAGGACCAAGGAATACCAGGGTGCTGGGTCTCTCTAGTGGCACTAGTAGTCTCCATGAACAAACGGCTGTATTCCCAGAAGAGGCCAAGCTACTCATAGGGGATACTGTAGCTCTTCCTGCGGCTACCTAGGGCCCAAGATTCAAACACATGCCTTCCAAAAATATGGCATCATTTAGTGATGGCTCTGTGAAACTAAAAGCAGATGGGGTTCATTGGGCTGCAAAGGTGGATGGCCATCGTTTGACTCAGACTGAATACAGATGTTACAACCAACCGGCCAAACTACCTGCAGTGGTGATGGTCAAGCAGGGCCACCCCTACCACCATATTGCTACATTTTCACTGAGTCATGGGCCATTGCCAGCAGCCTAGCTAAAATGTCAGGAGAACAGCGGCTCAGTGACCAGGCTATTAAAGGATCCCCTGTGTGAGGACGAGGACTATGCCAACAGCTTCCTGTCTTAAAGGGACAAATACATGTCACTCATAGGAATACCATAGTCACCCTTGAGATAACTTATCTCATGTTTTTTGGATACTCTGTGAGATGTCCCATTAACCAAACAGCATACTTCACTGCCCAAGCAACATGACACGGGCTACACTTTCAGAGGATATGATCACAAGATATGATGGGCTTTCCATACACTCTATTATGCACAGGCCAGTGAAACCGTTAAATGATGGAACAGCTGATTCACACAGCAACTGAAGAGAGAACATCAAGACAACCTGCTGGTGGGGTGGTACCCCCACCTGACTAGGGTAATATGGGCACTAAACACAAGGAAAACACAGCATTGCAACGCATGTTGAGAAACACTGAACTTGGTAAGGGTGGTGGTGGACCAGGCAGCTCCCTAATTGGCCTGAGCCTGCAAAATCCTCATGTTTCCAACAATTCTTTTTTCGCTTTAGAGAGCATATCCTGTGGGTGGTTTGCAGTTCAGGCTGCCACAGTACCCCCAGACAGGGGGCCCTCTGACTCTAATCTGGAGGCAATGCTTCCCTTTGGTGCCTCCCTTCCCCTCTATGTGATCCCACAAGGGTGGGCGACAAAACCAAGGAATACAAGGGTGCTAGGGTCCCTCTAGAGGCAGTAGGGACATCTGATCCTTCCAGTCAAGTGGGCAGTGTTATCAGGCATGTTAAGTTTGTACAGGACATGATCTCTCTTCCTACACTGGACAACTGAGGCCAAAAGGTCTGGGTTAAGCAGCAAGGGCAAGGGGTGTCCTCAGAAGTGGCAGCCTCAGGAGAGGGACAGACAGGCTACGTCACTACACCACCTCAGCCCAATTCATATCTGATGGGTAGGAAACACCTGGGCCTCCTGGAAGGGGTAGGGGTGGGGCACGAACCTGTCAGTCTGCTTTTCCACAAGGATGTGGCAGCAGAAGCCTGGAATTGTAATGCTTTGGTGGGCTCTTTCAAGCTATGGCCATGGCAGGCAACCTGACGAAGTGTTGGATCTGCCACCCTGGACCTCCTCCTGTCACAGACCACAGCAACCTTCTCCTTCTGCCAGTGGTAAACTAAACCATTAGTCTGTTCTCATGCTGCTAATAAAGACATATCCAAGACTAGGTAATTTTTAAAGAAAAAGTGGTTTAATGAATTCACAGTTCCATGGCTGGGGAAGCCTCACAATGATGACAGAAGGTGAAAGAGAAGAAAGGCACGTCTTACATGGCGGCAGGCAAGAGAGAGAACATGTGCAGGGGAACTCCCCTTTATAAGACCATCATATCTCATGAGACTCATTCACTGTCATGAAAACAGCACAGGAAAAAACCCACCCTCATGATTCAATTACCTCCCACCAGGTCTTCCATGACACATGGGAATTATGGGAGCTACAGTTCAAGATTTGGGTGGGGATACAACCAAACTATATCAACCATTATTCCCTGAGTATTGTCAGAGTGTAAGGCAATAACACCTGAGCGTGGCTTACTAAGCAAGGATCTGGCACCTGCCACATGACAGGGAACTGGAGGTGCCCTATTAACTGACTCTGTGGCAAAATGTCACAACCACAACTAACAAAACCTTGGTGGGCAGGTACTTTCATGGACACACTCCTTTGATTACATGGACTACAAGTGTCCCAGTAGTGATAATGAAAACAAAGACCAGACTACCCCTAGCGCTCTGTGTAGGATTCATGAACAATATTGTATGGGAGAAACTGAGCTCATGCAACTATGCTATCAATCAGACTTGGCTGGTGAAAGCCAATGCATCTATCCCCTTGTATGGGCCACTGAACAATAAAATGAGGAAAGGTAAGTTATGTGCAGCCGAGGGCTACATCTTTCTCTGCAGATGGTCTGGCAGTAACCCAAATATAGGATGGGCATTGTCATGCCTGAAACTTTCTCTGCAGATGGTCTGGCAGTAACCCAAATACAGGTCGGGCTTTGTCATGCCTGAAAATCTGTAAGATAGAGGGATCCTGCATGTTGCATGTACTGGGGGTGCCCCAAGATACCACCCCTGGGAATAATGAGATGCCCCCATTTGGGCCTGCAGCCCAAAGCCATACACCAGACTTACTAGGAACCTTCCAGGAGGTAGAACTGACTGTGGGCTTATGTCCTTTATGAGATCTTTGAGACCATGCATCAGAGTCAGTGCTTAGGAAAAAGTGATAAGAAATCTGTCCCTGACCATGGCAGATATTGCTTCCTCCACTGTCACTGCCTTGACAGCCCAACAGACATCCCTCAACTCCCTCAGGAAGGCTGTTTCAGATGATATAAGTTACCTAGACTTTCTTTTAACCCAACTGGGAGGAGTGCATGCAATTGGCAATACTGCCTGCCATACCTGGATTAATACCACAGGTATGATGGAAACAAAAGTGAAGGAGATTCAGAAGCAGGTTCACTGGCCACAGACTGGAACCACCTGAAGAATTCCTCTTTCACCTCTTTGGCAATTTCTTACCTAGATTGTTTGGATTCTGGGCTAGGTCACTACTCCAGGCAGGCTTGGTCATGCTTGTGGTCGTAGTCCTCCTGAGCCTAGTGAAATGTATTCTGGCTATGGCCCAAAGGTGTTGCACTGAATGAAGATGTGTTGGTCAAGATGTTACACAAATCTGATAAGACAAACCTCCACCTCCAGATTTGGGCATATGGTTGGTGAGCATATGATATGGACTGGCTTTGCTAAGGGTAATATCTTGCGGAAGTGAGGTGGGGTGCACTGCAAGACAGTTCTCTAGGTGTCCTTGGACCAACCCCATTCTTCATCTTCCCTTACTCCCTCATAGTTCTCAAGAAGAACTGTAGAATGTGCTGGGAATGCAACACCTTGAGATGAGAGGGAGTTTGCCGGAATAGCTCAGGCTCATTCCAGCCCCATTCTAAAAACAGAATGTCCATCAATGCTTCAGCCCAATGTGGAACAATAAAATGAGGAAAGGGATATTATATGCATCCAAGGGCTACAGCTTTTATACCCCAATGTTGCCCCTGGGATACAAAACCCAGAGTGGGTTGCTTTCTGGAGTCCCTCAGCTGCAGTACAAGTAGGGCATGCACAGTCAAGGCTTCATCCATCCCAGGAAGCTTTCCAAGCCTTGGGGGGACTGACTCACAATGAATCCCAGGCATCTGCTGTCTGTTATTGCCTATCCTTAAGTAATAAATCCACTTAATGTAGCTTGTTGCATATGAGTACGTTCTGTCTCACTGGACTCAGATGACTTGATAAACCAGTACACAGTAAATTTGCTTCACAAAAACATGCAAGAATAAAAGAGTAATGTAAGCAGACATGGAATTCTAAGAAATAATCCAAAAGAAATGGAATTGTAACAGAAATGAAGAATGCCCTCAGTAGTCATATTGGTAGACTGGACACAGTTGAGGAAAGAATTTCTAAGCTTAAGGATATATCCATAAAACTTCTCAAACTGAAAAGCAAAGAGAAAAAAAGACTGGGGGAAAAAAAAGAATAGGCTGTCAAAGAACTGTGGGACAACTACAAAAGTTGTAACACATGCATAATGAGAATACCAGAAGGAGAAGAAAGAGAGAAGGGAACGAAGAAATTGTTGAAGCAATAATGACTTAAAATCTCCCCAAATTGATGTCAGACACCAAACCACAGACCCAAGAAACTCAGAGAATACCAAACAGGATAAATGTCAGTAATTATAATAATAATACTACACCAAGCACCTCATATTCAAACATCAGAAAAACAAAGAGAAAAACAAGAAAGAATCTAAAGGAGAAAACTACTTTACCTATTGAGGAGTAAAGATAAGAATTACATTCAACTCATCCTCAGAAACTATCCAAGCAACAAGAGAGTGGAGTGAAATATTTAGAGTGTTGAGAGTTCAAAACACCAACCTAGAATTTTGTATCCTGCAAAATTATCCTTCAAAAGTGAAAGAGACAAAAATTGAGGGGATTTATTGGCAGCAGACCTGCCTTGCAAGAAATCTTAATGTTCTTTGGAGAGGAGGAAAATGATATAGGTTGGGAACTCCTATCTACGTAAAGAAAGGAAGAGCACTGTAGAAGGAATAAGTAAAGGTAAAATGAAAATTTTTATTTTTTATTCTTATCTAACAGATAACAGTTTGTTCAAAATAAAAATAAAAACAATATATTTGGCAGTTATAGCTTACACATAAGTGAAACAAATAGCAGAAATGATTAAAGGAATGAAGGACAGAATTAGGAATACATTATTCTTATAAGATATTTACACTACCACTGAAGCAGAATAATGTTATCTGAAAGTAGACTTGTATTCGTTGTAAATGTGTATTACAAACTCTAGGGCAACCATTTAAAAGTGTTTTAAAAGAAGTATAATTGGACATTAGTAAGATGGTGGAATAGAAGGTAATGCACTCCTAACCCCCTAATAAGGATTCTATACCTATTCACAGTCAAAAGTCTCTCTGCAGGAGCCTCATTATTCGGGTTGGAGTTTGTGAAACCCCAGTGAGCCCAAGACCTATGAGAGTCATTTTGAGATTGCAGACCAACAGCCAGGTAGCTAATCCATTGAGTGTGCTCCCAAGTTCAAGCACAGAAATGGCCCAGTCCCACAAGGGCTTTGACTACAGCCCTGTTTGGCCTTGAGCCTACAACCAAAACCATCTTCCAAAGGTCCAGGAGGAATTGTACATACTAGGATCTTGGTGGAAAGGCTCACCTGCCTGCTGACATCAGTTCTGGCAGTGAACCTGAAAGTTGCTCTGTGGCTCAGCATTAGCCCCCCTCAGCTGAGGCCCAGCTCAGAACTGCTCACACAAGGACCCAGAGGGACACTTGCCCATATCTCACAGCTCAAGAGCCTGAGCTTCCCTGAAAGTTTTGCCAACTTCTGTCTCACAGCAGATTCCAAGGAGGCCCGGTCTCAGCTCCTGCTGCCATCAGGTAACTGTCCCATCTATGCTGAAACGTGTTGGGAAACAAAGTGCCCCCCTGATTCTTCGATATGGGCTCTCCAGCCTCCATCCCACAGCAGATCCCAAGGGGGTCCAATTCCAGCTCTGGCCTCTCTTGTTGCACAAGATCCTTGTGCAATCTCATTCCTTGGTATTTGGCCAGATGTGCTGAAAACTTATGTCCACACAAAAACCTGCACACAGATGTTCATAGCAGCTTTATTCATAATTTCAAGAACTTGGAAGCAACCAAGACATCCTTCAACAGGCAAATGGGTAAACCGTGGTACATCAGTGTTATATTATTCCATGCTAAAAAGAAACAAGCTCTCAAGCCATGAAAGACATGAAGGAACTTTAAATATATCTTAAGTGAAAGAAGCCAATCTGAAAAGCCTACATATTGTATGATTCCTACCGTAGGACATTCTGGAAAAGGCAAAACTTTGGAGACAGTGAAAAGATCAATTGTTGCCAGGGGTTTGGGAGAGGGAGGGATAAATAGGCCGAGCACAGAGGAGTTTCAGGACAGTGAAACTGTTCTGTACAATATTGTAATGGTAGATACAAGTCATTTTGCATTTGTCAAAACCCATAGAATGTACAACACCAAGAGTAAACCCTAATGTAAACTATAGGATTCAGGTGATAATAATGTGTTAATGTAAATTCATCTTCTGTAACAAAAGTACCACTCTAGTGTGGTAGGTTGCTAGTGTGAGAGCCTGCAAGTGGGAAGGTCAGGGGGCAGGGGCTATATGGGAACTCACTGTACTTTCTGCTCAACTTCACCATGAACCTAAAATTGCCCTAAACAAAATATAAAGTATATTTTAAAAATTTCTCAAGTCATATATTTTAAATACCTTTGTTTGATAAGAATCAAAACAAAGTCCATAGTTAATGTGTCTCTTAAGACTCTTAGTCTACAAATTCTCCCTCCTCTTTTTATTTCTCCCTCTTGTAGTTTATTTCTTAAAGAAACCAGGTCATTTGTCCTGGAGAGTTAGAATCCTACATTTTGGCTTTTGTTGATGGCATTATGTTTTAGCACATTCCTCTGACCCCTTGACATGGGTAAGACAGGTTTGATCAGAGATGTGCTTCGTTTTGTTTGCTGTTTGTTTTTGCAAGGTGGCATTGTGGGCTTTCAATCCATTATGTTAGGAGGTGCTTAACGACTGGCTCTCTGTTTAAGATGGTAAAATTCACTAATGTGTTTAGGTATTGTCAGCCTGGTCCAACCATTACAAAATACTTCATCAGTTTTTTCACTTAATTATTTTAACAGCTTTGGGAGGCAGAATAATACAATAATACCCTCCAAATATGTCCAGTTTTTTTTTTTTTTTTTTGAAATGGAATGACATTCTGTCGCCCAGGCTGGAGTGCAGTGGCGCAATCTCGGCTCACTACTGCAAACTCCGCCTCCTGGGTTCAAGCGATTCTCCTGCCTCAGCCTCTCAGTCTCCCGAGTAGCTGGGATTACAGGCACGCCCCACCATGCCTGGCTAATTTTTGTATTTTCAGTAGAGACAGAGTTTCACCACGTTGGCCAGACTGGTCTCAAACTCCTGACCTCAGGTGATCAGCCTGCCTCGGCCTCCCAAACAGCCGGGATTACAGACACACACACCATCATGCCCAGCTAATTTTTGTATTTTTAGTAGAGACGGGGTTTCACCATGTTGGCCAGGCTGGTCTTGAACTCCTGACCTCAAGTGATCCACCACCTCGGCCTCCCAAAGTGCTGGGATTACAGACGTGAGCCACCGTGCCCAGCCTTAATGGGTTTTTACTATCTTGAAGTTTCTCATGAGATTTAGTCAGATGTCAGCTGAGAATGCACACATATGAAGGTTTGACTGGGGCTGGAATCAGATCCATTTTCAAGATGGCTAACTCATATGACTGTCAAGTTGTGCTGGCTATTTGTGGGAGACCCCAGTTCCTCTCCATATGGGCCCCATCACAGGGCTGTTCCTGACAGCTGCCGGATTCCCCTGGACCAAGTGATCCAAGAGAATGGAAGCCAAAATGTCCTTTATGCTCTAGCTTAGGATGCCACACGGAATCATATCTGCTACTCCACTGGTCACACAGACCAGTTCTAATTCAATGTGCAAAGAAACAAAGTAATGAATACCAGGAGGTGATAAAAATTAGGGACCATCATAGAGGCTGGCTGTGAGTTTGTATGGATTAATTTTATCCCAGTTATGGTCACATTTTCCTTCTTCACATGTCTGGTACGTTTTTATTGGATGCTCCTTATGGAATATATGTCGTTGAGTACTAGATTTTGTTGCTTTCTCTAAATACTATTGGATCTGACAAAGTTATCTGTGTATCAGGTTGGTCTTTTCAAAGCTCATTTTTAGGACTTCTTAGGATGAATCTAGAACAGTCTTTAGTTCTAGGCTAGCTTTGCCCTACTACTAGGCACAACCCTCTGGGGTTTCTACTGAATCTCCCAGGTTTTCAATGAGGAATCTACATTCTGCCTGATCAAAAGTTAAACATCTCCCAGCTCTGTGAGAATGCTGGAGATTTAGGGTATACCTCTCTGGTTATGCTTTGCCTTGTCTCATAGAACTTCATCCTCTGCATGTGCCATATGTGGCTAAGTATTTAGTAATAGATTCTCTGGTCAAGCTTTGCAAAGCCTGACTTCATGGACATTTATCTTACACAGAGGTGACAAGGTATTTAGAGACATGCTAAAAGGGGCCCCGTGCAGATTTAGGAAGTGCTTTATCCCCATGGTACCTTCTACTCTGGCACTTTGACTTACATATTTTAGCCTGCCCAGAGCCCCTAAACTCTGCCCTATAAAGAAAATGCCATGCTCTGCCTGGATTTACCTTCATATTCTGTGGTTTGGAAAATGTCTCCATGAAGAAAATGAGGATGATTATAGGACTCACTTCATTTGTTTTCTGTCTTTCAGGGATCATAATTCTTCACTGTCTCTTGTCCGGTGCCTCAAAATCATTGTTTGACACACTTTGTCCAGTTCTTTTTTTTTTTTTTTTTTTTTTGAGACAAGGTCTCACTCTGTTGCCCAGGCTTAAGTGCAGTAGCACAATCATGACTCACTGCAGCCTCAACCTCCCAGGCTCGAGCAATCCTCCCGCCTCAGCCTCCAGAGTAGCTGGGACTCCAGGCGCATGCCACCACACTCGGCTAATTTTTGTAGAGATGGGGTTTCTTCATTTTGCCCAGGCTGGTCTTGAACTCCTGGGCTCAGTTTCCCAAAGTGGTGGGATTACAGACATGAGCCACCACACCCAGTCTTGCCCAGTTATTAACAATAACAGGACAAGCTCTCTTCCAATTATCTCATCATGGCTGGAAACAGATGTCCTCTATCTTTTTGTTTTCATGTTTATATCATTCATTTTGTTGTCTAACTTTACAGTCTGATTTTCTGTAGTCCATCTCCTTGAAGCAACCTTTGAAGTAAATATGAAACTTCAAATATCTGGAAATTCCCTTTTTTCTCTTAATAAATTAATAGAAATATGATACTACAAATATTTTTGTGGTTTCCTAGATAGGCTCTTAAGTCTCCTTAAATTTTTTTAAAAAACTTCCTGAACAAAGTAAGTAGGCTTTCAACACCACTGCAAAAGACACTGATACATACTATACCAATTGCCCAGAAAATTCAAAGGGAATCTTCCAAGTAACACTTTTGCCTCAAAATTTCAGAATAATTCACCACTGAAAATATTATCCTTTTATGCTGCAAGTGTGCAAGAAAGCATGACTCTCCTCCTCCATTCCCTGTATACACACGCATTCTTCCCTTCTCTGAAGGAAGATCTTTGATGTGGATGAGCAATTTAAGTATAAATTTGTTGGTTAATGTCTGTCAAAATATGTAGTTATGCTTTCTAAAGTTAAAGGATTTGCTGGCCATATAAGAATCAAATTGTAACACATTCATAAACAACACACACATTTATAATTATCATTTTGCTTTGATATTAAGTCCATTTATTAGTCCGTTTTCACATTGCTGATAAAGACATGCCTGAGACTGGGCAATTTACAAAAGAAAGAGGTTTATTGGATTCACAGTTCCATGTGCCTGGGGAGGCCTCATAATCATGATGGAAGGTGAAAGTCACGTCTCACATGGCGGCAGGCAAGAGAAGAGAGAACTCATGCAGGGGAACTCCTCTTTATAAAACAATCAGATCTTGTGAGACTTATTCACTATCATAAGAACAGAACGGGAAGGACTTCCCCCCATGATTCAATTATCTCCCACCGGGTCCCTCCCACATCACATGGGAATTCAAGATGAGATTTGGCTGGGGACACAGCCAAATCATATCAGTCTGTAAATGATATATGTTATTTTTTACATATATTGTGGTTAAAAATGAAAATAAAACACTTATCATCTAATGCTGTGCAGAAGGGAGCTGATGTTCCTGGCAACTGTCAATGTAAAATAACTTACTTTTTATTTTTCTAATATCAATAAAGAATTATGGAGTTCATTTTCTCTTTTCATATAGATAATTGAAAAGAAGATATTCCTTTCTTTGAAAAGAGAAAGGTTTTGAGAGTTCTAAAGTTCAGAATGTTCTCAAAGGGGATCTGGCCTGAACCCTTGTCATAGACTGGAAGCTACTGCAGGTCTCATCACCCTCACTTTGCATGGATGATGCCCTGAGATGCCATCCTTCTGCCTAGACTTTCTTCAGGTCAAGAGGCAGGGCAGGGACTGGCAGATGAAGTCACCAACCGGGAATGGCTAACATTTCTTGTTAGCTATCTCTGTCCTGCCAGAAACAATGAATTTAAAGAATCCCCTACATTAGAAAAGGGAGGTCAGAAGCTGAGTGGTTGGTAACACTTCCTTCTTTTTAATCACAGTAGTGGTGGACTTCCTTCCCAGTGCTAAATGCCTACTGTTAGACACCTAGTGTTAAAAGTGTATGATTCATTCATGCCTTTTACAAATATTTCTCAAGTGTTTACATTGTGACCGATACTCTTCCAGGCACTGATTACAAAGCAATGAACAAATAAACAGAAGTCTTCCCCCACCTCATCCCCACAAAGGAAATTACATTCTAGTGCCTAAGGAAGAAAGCACACAAGATACATAAGTAAATAGGTAGTATGTTAGGAGGTGGTAACTATCATGGAGAAATGTACAAACAATTAGCATGAAAGTCAGCAAGCTAATGTAAAGTCCTCATCACTAAACAGGCAAGTGTGTGCAAGTACACACGTGTTAGTGTCCATGCATGTGCACAGCATGTGCTGATGGAAGGGCAGGTCATTGCCGCTACATCGTAGGACCAAACTGGGGAGAAATGAAAACTTATTCTTATAAGCCTATTACATATATAAACCTGGAAAATAAATTAGGAAAAAGGAAGTACAGTACTCCTACATATTATCAATCATGGTTATTGTTGTATTCTCTTTTCTAAAATGGCTTGGGCTCAGCATCAACCTTCTGGGTATTAACAAGGACACTGATTTTGAATTATAAAGTATAAACAATTATTTTAACAGAATTCATTATATTTAAGGGTTCACTGTAAGGACTTCAGTTTTGAGTAAGCAGAAAAACAATAATGAGAACTGATATTCCAGGGGGGGATTTTATAATAAAAAGCCCACACCTCATTATTTTGCCATAACAAAAGTCTTCACTCACCGGACACCCCAGCCAAGCCCTCTAGATGTTAGGCCCACTGTGTGCTGGAAGATATTATTGTATGTGCAGGAATCATTAAACTGGCTTTATGGAGAACTATGTTTTTGAAAGGAGACAGCAGAGAAAACTAAAGGAATTTCATAATGTGACACCAAAATCCAATCAAAGGGATAGTTTTCCCAATTCCATGTAGTATCTGCCCCCTAAGCCATTGCAAAGAATCAGTGTATCAGACACTACAAAGCATACAGAAGTAGACTGACTTTGGGGATATGCAAAATCTAATATCTAGCAGCCAAGAAATATTGTGAAAAGCCTGGTAATATGCTTCAAGGGAAAAATAGGTTTGCGACCAGCCTGGCCAACATGGTGAAACCCCACCTCTACTAAAAATACAAAAATTACCCAGGCGTGGTGGTGGGTGCCTGTAATCCCAGCTACTCCGGAGGCTGAGGCAGGAGAATAGCTTGAACCCAGGAGGCGGAGGTTGCAGTGAGCTGAGATTGCACCACTGCACGCCACCCTGGGCAAAACAGCAAGATGCCGTCTCAAAATAAAATAAAATAAAATAAAATAAAGAAAAGGAAAGAAAAGAAAAAGAAAAATAGGTGTTTATGTTTTGTCCAGGTATACTAAATGTCCAGAGACTTCCTTAAGCGATTCAGAATGGTGCAATTTATTTCTTCCTCTGTTGTAACATCGGTTCAACAAAATGAAACACGCTTAAAGCTTGGGTTGAGTAAATTGAGTAATCCATGTGTTTATCAAGTCCTTCAACTAATAACTATCATCAATAACACAGTAAGGAAAATCACCAAGGTCATGATTTTAAAAGATCTTGAAAAAAAATCAATAAAATGAAATAAATAAGTCTTTTTCCTCCAAAACATAAACTACATTCCAGGTGTTAAACTGCTATGGAAATCATAAAAGAAATGTTAATAGGAAAAACATACAACTCGTCAATAAAAACCTAAAGCCAACTAAAGCTTGAGCCAAGAATCAATTGTGGGCCATGATGAAGCTGTTGAGGATTTTTTAAGAATCATTTATGGAAGAAACAGACATTTGGAATAAAGCAGGTTGAGCCTAATACACTCTTAGGAGATTGCATGATTTTTTTGTAGATGTTACTAGTAAAGGTGGCAGCCATTACTCACACACACACAAACATACGTGCATGCACGTACACATGCAAACACATACACCCCCTCACAACACAGATGATTGCAATGGCAAACTACATCCCTCAAATTTATTAATACTTTGAGGTTTTATTTTCCGTTTTTCTCTTTATACTGAATTATTTGTCTCATAATGGTCTTCTCTATAAATGCTTTATTTCTCTGAACTGGGCAACAAATGAAATCATACAAATATATACCGACGTAAACAAACACAAGGTTTTGCGCTCTCAGCTTCTGTCTTCTACCTACACTGATTACACCTCAAGAGCAGTCTTTTATAATGTTATTCAAATAACAGGCTACCAGATACTGTTCCCTCTGAAAGTGCACCTGTATCTTTCATCAACTTTAACGGAAATTATGTGCAAGCAAACTCCTACTGCTAGTTCAAGAGTCAAAGAGGGGACAAGGCATTATGAATTTTTCATATTGCTGACCAAGAAATATCATTCATTTCCTCCATTATCAATATTGTTTAAAATGAAAGTCACTGTATTTCTGAGGCAGAAATATGGGAACTTAAAAAAAAAACAATAGCTTATTTTTATTTCACAGCTTTTTTGGGGGCTGGTATTTAAAAGGAAACACTTTACTGAGGCCCACTGCCAACAATTTTTCAGTAATAAAATGAATAAAACTAGGACATTACAGAATTTCTTCACCTATGAGTAGTGAATAAGTATTATCTATGATTTTAATACCCTTTTCAGTAATATTTGCAGACTTTCCACCCAATTGATGGCTTATTTTATCCTCACACAAATATTTTCAACATGAGCCCTAGCCCAACTGTCCTTTCTTATTTTCTTGCTGAAACGTAATGAAATGCTAACTTTCAGGAATGTTGAGAAATACTGTTTTGTCTGTCCTCTAAGAAATAGCTTCGTTGTTTCCTTCCTATGAACTCTGCTCCCAATTAATTGACTTTTGTAAACATGTTTTGAGACCAGATACTGTTCAGCAGATTGTTTTTTACTAGGGTAAAGCTCTATTTATCACATGGTGTGTTTTTCTCGCTCTGTCCCCTTTGTCACTGGTTAGAAGGAAACAGTGAATTTTGAAAGTTACTAATCAACAGTGGCTATTTGCCTTAGTTTAGCCAAGTCATCCTCAACTGACCAAAGAAAGAAATCGTCAGATCACTGATGATTGGCAGCACAAAGGGGTGCGTATGTAAGATCCAAGATCAACACAGGATACGTTGTACTGCGTACTGCTTTACCACATTTCTTCTGGGTTTAACTAGGCTGGGAGCAGTTGGGCACATACTCTTACAAATGAAGCTTGGAGATGCCTGTATTTACATCTATGTGTTCAGAAGAGCAGAGCTGATAACTCTATCTGTGTCTTTAAAGAAGATCCGAGAGAGTCAACCTATGTAAGGATGGTCATATGGACTTTCCTCGCTTTTGGTCACCTCTCCTGGCTATCTCCAGCCACAGATCTGCACAGACCAATGCCACTTTATACAGAGACAGTGTCCACAGATAAAGGAAGAAATGACTGTATCTACTGCTACAGTGACCCCATTTTATTTCCTAAAGATCAGGGAACAACCCACATTTAGGATACTGCAACAAATCCTAAGGACAAAATGGCAAAATACATACATTGCTTATTCACGGTTAAGAGACACGGACTTTGACCTTTTGTTTTGTTTTTTGGCATGTGGTATTTATTCTGACAGGTAGGAGGCTCCTCTCCTAAAGCCAGAGTTTATTATTTTAAACTATAAATGTGACATATTAAGGGTTTTAAGAGTTGCATTATATTTTTTCCCTCCAATTTACTCTTCCATTACTCCTTTCCTCATCCTGTGGCCAGCTCCTCCAGAGGCTATGGCAGAGGGAGACGACACACAGTTGGAAATTCCTGCTGTTACCATAACATGGCTGTTGCTCACTCTGTGAAGGCAGGCTTTCTCTGTGAATCCCGTCTGTGGTTGTTTGGGTTTTTTTGTTTTTTTTTTTTTAACATTCCCCAATGCAGATACTCTCCAAGTGACTTCTCCCATCAGCTTTATTGAGATATAATCGGCTTTTTAAAAACTGCACATAGGTACATATACACCATGGAATACTATGCAGCCATAAAAAAGAATGAAATAATTTCCTTTGCAGCAACATGGATGGAGTCGGAGGCTATAATCCTAAGCGAATTAACACAGGAACAGAAAACCAAATGCCACATGTTCTCACATATAAGTGGGGGCTAAGCATTGAGCACACACAGACATAAACACAGTAACAATAGACACTGGACTACTAGAGGGTGGAGGGAGGTGGGCAGGTGGGTGGAAAAACTACCTATCAGGTACTGTGCTCACTACCTGGGTGACAGGATCCATACCCTAAACCTCAGCAACACACAATATTCCTATGTAACAAACCTGCACACATACCCCTTGTATCAAAAATAAAAATGGAAAATTAACAAGCAAAGAACAACCCCACTACAATGTAGGAAAGGACATGAACAGACACTTTTCAAGAGAAGACATATATGTGGCCAAAAAGCACATAAAAAATGTTCAAGATCACTAATCATTAGACAAATGCAAATCAAAACCACAAAGAGATACCATCTCACACCAGTCAGAATGGTTATTATTAAAAAGTCAAAAAATAACAGATGCTGGCAAGGCTGCAGAGAAAAGCTAATGCTGACAGGAGTGTAAATTAGTTCAACCACTGCAGAAAGTAGTTTGGTGATGTCTCAAAGAATTTAGAACTACCATTTGACCCAGGAATCCCATTATTGGGTATAACCAAAGGAATATAGATTGTTCTACCATAAAGACTCAGGCACACATATGTTCATCACAGCACTATTCACAATAGCAAAGACATGGAATCAACCTAAATGCTCATCAACAGTAGATTGGATAAAGAAAATGTGGTACATACACACCATGGAATACTATGCAGCCATAAAAAAGAACAAGGTCATGTCCTTTGCAGCAATGTGATGGAGCCAGAGGCCATTATCCTAAGGGAACTAATTCAGGAACAGAAAACCAAACACCTCATCTTCTCACTTGTGAGTCACATCTAAACACCGAGTACACATGGACACAAAGAAAGGAATAGTAGACACCGGGGCCTACTTGAGGGTGGAGGTGGGAGGAGGGTGAAAATTGAAAAGCTACTTACTGAGTTTCATTCATGCTGTGTTTATTACCTGGGTGATGAAATACTCTGTACACCAAACCCCCAGAACATGCAGTTTATCTGTAGAACAAACCTGCATGTGTCCCCCTGAAACAAAAATAAAAGTTAAAAATAAATAAAAGTTGAGGCTGGGCACAGTGGCTCACACCTGTAATCCCAGCAATTGGGAGGCCAAGGTGGGCAGATCATTTGAGGTCAGGAGTTTGAAACCAGCCTGGCCAAAATGATGAAACCCTGTCTCTACTAAAAATACAAAAATTAGCTGGGCATGGTGGTGGGTGCCTGTAATCCCAGCTACTCGGGAGGCTGAGGCAGGAGAATTGCTTGAGCCCGGGAGGCGGAGGTTGCAGTGAGCAGAGATTGCACCATTGCACTCTAGCCTGGGTGACAGAGCAGACTCCATCTCAATAAATAAATAAATAAAAGTTGGAATTAAATAAATTAAAAACTTCACATAATTAATGTATATAATATGGCGAGCTTGGACATATGTATACACTCATGTGATCATCACCACAATCGAAGTAACAAGTATATCCATCATCTCCAAAAGTTTCTTTGTGTCCCTTTGTTGCTTCAGTATTGCTGTTTTCATGGTAAGAACACCTAACATGAGAGAGTATGCCGCCATTGCCACCACCACCACCATTGCCATGAACAATGTCGTACAGACTCACACACACATGGAGCTTCAATCGTATGATCAATGCTTCAGTTGTTGGTTTGTGGAGAAGCTTCTCAAGGGCGACAGCTCTGGGGAGCCGTGCTCCAACCTCTTCAAGCATTACCTGCAGTGTGTTCAGAAAGCAACAACAGAGAGAATCTCTGTTGAAGGACTGAGTTCACGGGCCATGGTGAAGAAAAGTATGAAGAGTCTTCTTGACCTTGATGGTCACCTTGAAAATGGATTCTTCAAATCAAGAAATTGAGAACTCTGGATTTTGTCAACTAAGTCTGTGAAGACAGCCATCAGATTTGATGAGGAATTTAGGCAAGGCGAGTTTCGTTTCCTTCTTCTTGATGTTTTCCTCTCACTTGTAGAAGATGATGATTTCGGCCCGGGCATGGTGGCTCATGCCTGTAATCCCAGCACTTTGAGTGGCCAAGGCAGGAAGATCATGATGTCAAGAGATCGAGACCATCCTGGCCAACATGGTGAGACCTCGTCTCTATTAAAAATACAAAAATTAGCTGGGCATGGTGGCACGTGCCTGTAGTCCCATCTACTCAGGAGGCCGAGGCAGGAGAACCCTTGAACCAGGGAGGCGGAGGTTGCAGTGAGCTGAGATAGTGCTACTGCACACTCCAGCCTGGCAACAGAGCGAGACTCTGTCTCAACAACAACAAAAAAAGATGATGATTTCTCACTTGCTCTGGTATCTTCTAGGAACCCAGGGTGCTAAAACTGAACAATTTCTTGGGATTATGATTGCAATACTTAGTCTGGGATCAGCTGTAAATATACCTTGTATGAAAATAATGATAAACTAGTCAGGATGATCAAGGTTGCCTGACCTCTTGATTTTTGCTACAAGTGACATTATGTACACTTGTACTGGGGTCATTGTTCATGAAAGCAATTGGTTAGGACCTCCTTTTTCTCTCAGGGAACTAATGCTCTGAAAGGGATCTGGGCACAACAGTTTCAGTCAGTGCTTCAGAGCAGAATTTTATTTTTACATGGTAACTTGCAGTTAAGATTGCTGGCAGCCTGGATAAGCAAAGAAGAAGCTTTTAAAACAATCCCCTGCCTTAACAAGAGGTTAAGATGTGAAAGCTTCAAGAATGTTGCAGTGAACACCATTTCAGAGCTCACAGTGTAGTTCAGGAATAAAGATATTCAGAGTGGCTATGGAGGAAAAGTCTAAATTGCACAGTTTGCTGCTGGCAGCTTTCAACTCAAGTCAAGAATTAAGTCAACCTGCAGATCATAAAAAATGTCAAACTGCTGCATATGGTTAAATGGGGGAAAAGGTGTTTGCTTTATTTGCCTTGTTTACTCACCCTGTCCTATAATGTCTGAAATCATGGAGATGGAATAAAGTGTAACATTTCATTTCTATCATTATTTGCCCTTGGAATTCAGTACAGAACAACTATTACCCTGTTACTCCACATATCTCATATATGAACTAAGGAGAGTTTTATCTTTTACAATCTAAAGGTGAAGAAAGAGTAATTTGTCTCAGCTAAGTGGTATGGCATGGCAATTAGAAACCTCACTGATTTCTAACATGTATTTCCAGAATAGGCTACACAAATACCTTAAAATAAATTTACATTATGGAACCAAAAATGTCAAGATCAAGAAAATATTTACATGCTTTAGAGTGTCATGTAATCCCCAAAAGTGCATCTCTTGAGTAACTTGGTTTAATTTATTAGATGCCAAAGAAAAGTACAAAACTTGATTTACTGGCCAGGCACGGTGGCTTATGCCTGTAGTCACAGCTACTCAGGAAGCTGAGATGGGAGAATTGCTTGAGCTCAAAGAGGTTGAGGCTACAGTGAGCCAAGATTACACCACTGCACTCCAGCCTGGGTAACATAGTAAAGACCCTGTCTCAAAACACACACGCAAAAAAAAAAAAAAAAAAAAAACCCACCCTTGATTTACTGAAAACCTAAATTCTATTATCTTGTCTCTACCAGTTACAATTACTACTTCATATTTAATGTTACCAGCTCTTAATGTCATTTCAAAACATTCTTCATGGATATTTTCTGACTGGTTGGGGTTCATTATTCAAGGATTATAACAGATACATGGAACCCAGCCGAAGGAGGCAGGCAACAAGCTAAAGGACATTTGTCCTAAACTCAGACTGGCCACAAGCAAAATAGCTCTACAGAGATCAGAAGTGCAGGCTGTTATATCACATAATGGCAAAGATAACAGGATTCTTTATTCCTTACCGTAAATGGCTGTCCATGTGCCTTACCCTTGCATTACCAGTTGAATGTAATTACTACAAAATACCCTGTAGCCTCTTGAACCTTGCCACAAACTGTCCCGTGGAGTCTTCAAAATAAACCAGCTCCAAGCCAACAATGTTCTTTTAATAAGTCGTATTGAGAGGTCTGTGTGTGGAAGCTGCATATGCCAGCCCAGAAATTCACTTCTGAACCTGACTTTTGGGGAAAATTGTAGGAAATACCTTGAACAAACCTTCTCAGTTTCAATTGACGGGGTGAGAAGGATGTTCTAATTCATTAATTGCCAGGACAGATTTTAGATTCCTGGAGTACAACTAAAAAGCTCAAGCAGTGGGTATCTAACCCTATCCATACTACAGTTAAGTCTTAAAGGCCAGCTATTAGTGACTACCTTGCTTTATGAATACATCCTACTGAAAGGAAAAACATCTTACCTTGCCGAAAATAATTCTTTCTGAATGCTCCTTACCCTATCTTGACTTCATCCTCCCCATAAAGTGACTCCAACTACCTCAGCTACTTTAAAGGTTTTTAATTTTGATGAGAAATTAGTTGCCCTTTCAGAGGGATTTTATAACTTCTACTACTGTTTCTTCTTCCTAATTCTTAATAGTTACAAGATGGTTTTAATTCCAAAAACCAGTAAAGCCAATACTATAAGAAAAAAAGGAACACTTATCATGAGATCTACTGTCCTAACAAATGTTTAAGTGCACAATGCCTTATTGCCAACTGTAGATACTAAGTTGCACAGCAGATCTCTGGAATTTACTCATCTTGTATAACTGTAACTTTACATGCATTGAACAACAACTTCCTGTATCTCCCTAACTCCGTTTCTTGGTAACCACCATTCTATTGTCTACTTCTATATGTTTTTCTATTTTATTTTATTTTATTTTGTTGAGATGGAGTTCTGCTCTGTCACCTAGGCTGGAGTACAGTGGCGCGATCCCAGCTCACTGCAACCTCCACCTCCTGGGTTCAAGCTATTCTCCTGCCTCAACCTCTTGAGTAGCTGGGATTACAGGCACCTGCCCCCACAACCGGCTAATTTTTGTATTTTTAGTAGAAATGGGGTTACACCACGTTGGCCTGGCTGGTCTTGAACTTCTGACCTCAGGTGATCCTCCTGCCTCAGCCTCCCAAAGTGCTGGGATTACAGGCGTGAGCCACTGTGCCCAGCTACTTATCCTAATATTATTTTCCTATCAAATAATGTTTTTTAAAAACTGATATTTAGGTATCCCTCATAAGCACTCAGAAAAATATATGAACAATGTTTCTTAACCAGCTTTTGCCCAATAATAACTAAGTCTTAGTGAATGTAAAAATCATCCAGGGTTAGGAAAAATCATGTAAAAATAGCTTTTGTTTGCAAATTCAAGAAGCATGCCTGCTTCTTGAGGAAACCAGATGATAAAGAGAATGTATGGCATACATAGGAGGTTCTCATGACTGTAGCTAGAAAATTAGCACTTATAGGCCAGGCGTGGTAACTCACACCTGTAATCCCAGCACTTTGGTGGATCACGTGAGGTCGGGAGTTCAAGACCAGCCTGGCCAACATGGTGAAACCCCGTCTCCACTAAAAATAAAACAATTAGCTGAGCATGGTGGCACATGCCTGTAATCCCAGCTACTCAGGAGGCTGAGGCAGGAGAATCACTTGAATCTGGGAAGTCGATATTGCAGTGAGCTGAAATTGTGCCACTGCACTCCAGCCTGGGTGACAAAGAGAGACTCTGTCTCAAAAAAGAAAAATTAACACTTATGACAAGAAGTTAGGTGGTTCCTCACTGGTTCCCTTCATTCACTTTTTGAAGGCCTGAGGACAGTTGGCCAAGCCGGAATATGTCAGCAAAGTCAGACCGCAGCTGAGAAGTAGGTGGAGTTGTCTTGTATATTTTTGTTTCTCCCTTGGGCATGTTTCTCCTCCCCTATCCTCTTCTTTCTTCCTCCTCAAACTCCCACAGTACTCCCATCACTTTAAAATACTGTTTCCAGGAGATCCTAACTTTGAGTACAGCTCTTTGACTTCTTTTTTGAGACAGGATCTCACTCTGGTTGCCCAGGCTGGAGTGCAGTGTTGCAATCATGGCTCACTACAGCCGCAACCTCTCGGACTCAGGTGTTTCTCCTTCAGCCTCCTGAGTAGCTGGGACTACAGGTGCACGGCCATGCCTGGCTAATTTTTTTGTATTTTTAGTAGAGACAGGGTTTCTCTGTGTTGCCCAGGCTTGTCTCAAACTCCTGGACTCAGGCAATCCACCTGCCTCAGCCTCCAAAAATGCTGAGATTACGGGCATGAGCCACTGCACCCTTCTCACCCTGGCAATAGGCTCAGCCAACTCATACCCTTGGACTTAGCCGGGGAACTCCTGGCCAAAACCACTTTATATTTGGCTTCTCTTTGCATAAACCCATTTAGATTGCCTACTTGCCTATTTGCCTGCAAAACTCCAAGAGATACTCCTTTCTCTTCCATTGAGATTCCAAGTATTTTAATCCCACCCTTGTAACAAAGCACACTTCTACATGCTGTGGCACTTGCCTTCAGAATATACTCCTTCTACATGAACTCAAATAGATCAAGCACTTTGGGAGGCAGAGGCGGCTGGATCACATGAGGTCAGGAGTTTGAGACCAACCTGGTCAACATGGTGAAACCCTGTCTCTACTAAAAATACAAAAATAAGCTAGCAATCGCTTGAACCCCCGGAGGCGGAGGTTGCAGTGAGCTGAGATCATGCCACTGCACTCCAGCCTGGGTGACAGAGTGAGACTCCTTCTAAAAAAAAAAAAAAAAAAAAAAAAAAAAGCCAGGTGCAGTGGCTCACGCCTATAATCCCAGCACTTTGGGAGGCCGAGGTGGGCAGATCGCAAGGTCAGGAGATCGAGACCATCCTGGCCAACATGGTGAAACCCTGTCTCTACTAAAAATACAAAAATTAGTTGGGCGTGGTGGTGCACACCTGTAGTCCCAGCTACTCAGGAAGCTGAGGCAGGAGAATCGCTTGAACCCGGGAGGCGGAGGTTGCAGTGAGCCAAGATTGTGCCACTGCACTCCAGCCTGGAGACAGAGTGAGACTCCGTCTCAAAAAAAAAAATTGTATTCTAAGGAAAAGAAAAGGACAATTATGACCCTTGTCCACATTTAGGCAACACGTCTCCTACTAAACCCTTTGCATGAATTATAGATAATATTTGATATTATTTATTATCCTTAATCAGACATTTTCTAAATTAATCCAGACATCTCCTCATTAATTCAATCATACTCACTTTGGAACCAATCATCCTTCACTTGAATAGCCCTCTGATCTCTTTACCAGGCATGGACCATGAAGTGCCTGCATTTAATAGTAATCCCAGGTTACCACATTTCACCTGTGCAATCCCTGCTGTTTACCTGGCACAAGCTATTTATTTTACTCTAATCCAGAGAAAAGAAAACTCATAGATGATCACATAATGTTCTGTGCCAGCTTATTTTTGAAAGTAATGTGAACAGCTAAGATGGTTCCCTGTTACCTCTAAAAATGAAAGAATACAAAAGGATTAACATGAATTAGAAAAGAAGATACCATTTGATAAGCCCCAAAACAACACTTGCAGTAGTAGCTTTCCCGTAGATCCTACAGTATTGGCCTTAACCACCATGTGCAACAATATTTTAAGAGCTATCATTAGGCACGCAGGTTAGGAATTCTTTGTCAGCATAAGCAGTGTTTACAAGCTCTGAGAAGAACAGACTCCGGTAACATCTGTCTTAAATTTCAGATCTTTTTGTTCATTTTACCAATGTCTATTGAGAGCTAAGCATGAGTCACAGAGATGAATAAAACATATTCCATGCACTCAATAAGTTCATAACATAATGAGTCATATGAACACGCATAGGATTAATCGATATTATTGGTCAGTCTTTGAATTAAAGCATTGAAAGTCCAGTAGGTAATATCAAGTCCCTAAATTACAACAAACACGAAGGATATTCAGGAAAGATGAGTTTCCAGGGTAGGGTGTAAGAAAGTTCTGGAATGTACACAGATGCTGGAGAAGAACTGGAGAACTGGTATCTCAACTGAGAGATACCAGTGAGGATAAATAAAGAAAAGATATGTGAGATGCCACCAGAGAAAATTCTGCCTACATAATTTTACCAGTGTTTGCCCTAAGTAAGAATGCAAGTGATGACCCAGTCACCGACCTGTTAGCTTTGTCATTTTCCAAAGATTTTAAAATTGTCACTCGAAGAATAATATTTTCAAGGTATGAAGAACCCCTCTGTATTAGTCTGTTTTCACATTGCTGATAAAGACATACCCCAGACTGGGTAATTTATAAAGAAAAAGAGGTTTAATGGACTCACAGTTCCATATGGCTGGGGAGGCCTCACAATCATGGCGGAAGGTGGAAGGCACATCTAACATGGCAGCAGACAAACAGCAAATGAGAACCAAGCAAACGGGGATTCCCCTTATAAAGCCATCAGATCTCGTGAGACTTACTTCCACGAGAAGCATATGAGTGAAACCGCCCCCTTAATTAAATTATCTCCCTCCAGGCCCCTCCCACAACATGTAGGAATTATGGGAGCTACAATTCAAGATGAAATTTGGATGGGGAGAGAGCCAAACCATATCAACCTCTGAACTCAGTATATTTTATGCTTAGGCTCAGGGCTATATAAAACCTTTCTAGAATTAGATTTTGCCACATCCATTCTGATAACAGCCCTCCTAGCTTAACTTGCAGATTATTCCTTCTTCAATCTAGTTCACGTGCGCTAGGTGGGCTCTATTGCTGCCTCAGGCGTGGACCACATGTCTCAGGCCCAAGCCAGTAAGCACATCACGTTCCCCTGGCCTTGGTGCTTGCAGACACAAGAATAATTCCTAGCCTTGTAAGCAAAAGAGCTCCCTGTTTCCTACTGGGCTTACATCTTGGACTCACCTGAGCTTAGGACTGCTGCAGTCATCTTGTCATAAAGCACAGAGAGCCTAGAAGTTCCAGAAGTGATGACGAGGAGGTTGCACATGAATTCAATCCAGCGGGAGGCAGAGAGGAGAAACACAGAAAAAAAAAAAAAAAAAAAAAAAAAACACCCAAGCCCTAACGATATTGTTTGAGCCCAGAATCCAACTATACTGGCAGCAAGGCTACCTGTGGACTTTTTCAGTTAAGTGAGAAAATAAATTCCATCTTTGCCTGAAGTCTTTTGGAGCAGATGTTCTAACACCTGTAAATTAATACAGAAATAAGTATATAACAGACACGTTTAATCTGATGCCATCTCATTTCCAGGCCCCCTCCCAAACTCACCAGAGGCTAGAGTCTCAGAGCAATAAAACTGACACAGAAGGATTTCACAATTTCAAGTCACTTTAAAACCAACATCACAGAAAATGTGATCATAGAATGTTTGGCCAAATTCTATTTTGTAGGCATTTTCAGAAATGCAAATCCCATTTATGGGATAATCAAGAAAAACTACCAAGAGAGTAATTACATGCAATCTGCTTTGATTATTGGTCTTGGCCATCAAAACTCATAAATGCATTAGAAATCATATAACAAAGACAACACATATAGCCTGATCCTGAAGCATGCAAACAGATATCCAAAGTGCTTCCTGCTTTTAATTGGCTGGGTGGTGAATAGGTGTAGTCATACAGTTTTTTCCTTTTCAAGAACAAAGATCTGAGGACTTTGCATGAGAGAAGCCTCATAAAATTGCCAATATGTGGCTTTGGGTTTGAAACTTACTCTGGAACTTAACATTTGTGAAGAAATGCACTAAGCATTCGTCCTTATTCATTAGAGTCACTCCTTCCACATTGAAGTCGTGATACAGAGAATGCAAATTACAAACCTAATTGCACATATGGATTCTTACTTAATGCAATGGCCCTAGTTTTATAGTCTAGGAGTCCATATTTGAGGGAAGGTGGTAACCAAACCTCACCCAACAGCTTGTAATCTTGGAAAAATATGTAAAAAATGAAAAACACCCATATGCCAAGCTTTTAAATGGGAAATTGGTGCCATCTTGTGGTTACAAATATGTAAAAATAAAAAATTTTACCTTTTTTTTTTAGAGATGGTTTCGCTCTGTCACCTAGGCTTATGAAGTGCAGTGGCTTGATTATAGCTGTCACTGCAATTCAAACTCCTGGGCTCAAGTGATCCTCCTGCCTCAGCCTCCCAAGCAGCTAGAAATAAAGCTGCACACCACCGTGCCCGGCTAATGTATTTATTTATTTTTCGAGACAGTCTCACTGTGTTGCCCAAGTTGGTCTCGAACTCCTAGCCTCAAGTGATTCTCCTGCCTCGGCCTCCCAAATAGCTGGGACTACAGGTGCACACCACCATGCCTGGCCGAATTATTTTAAAAATTTGTATAAAAGTGGGGTCTCACTATGCTGCCCAGGTTGGTCTCCAACTCCTGGGCTCAAACAATCCTCCTGCTTTAGCCTCCCAAAGCACTGGGTTTACAGTCATGAGCCACCACACCCGGCCTCACTTTTTTCATATATTAAATAATCATTGCCAAAATCAGGCCCATTTTAAGTAATCATTTCCCTCAGTATTCTGATACACCCCAATAAAGCTTCTTTGTTTCTTCTTTAGAATATTTGTTAAAAGTGTAGACACCTTTCCTTGACAGTCAATTTCACTGCTTTTTCAGCTAGGAAACTCCGATTTCCTGTAAAAATCGTGTCCATGATTACACTTTAATTTTTGGATCAGAGGCAGGCTTTAATTCTGAAAGCTGAGACGATGCATTCATGGAAGAAAAGAAAAGAAAAAAAAAAAAAGCTCAAACCAATTTTTAGACATTAACACAGTAATCAGCGAATGTCTTGAGAGATGGCCCAGGACATTAGAAACAGCACATAACTTGACTTTCAACAGTCCCTGAAAATGCAGATTGACTTCCAGAAGACATAGTGCTCTGAGAAGAGAAGAGTCAAACACCTTCTCAGAAATTGTTGGATTGTTTAAAAAAAAAAAAAAAGCCAAGATAGGCATGAGCCAAGATGTCATCCGAAATACCTCATATTTTGTGGAACTTTTCCTACACAAATGCAAGTGGGGCTAGACTGGAGGAAGTGCCAAGGGCGGACTCACTATGAATGTCAAGTGGTGCCACGGAAAAGCCGGCCGGGCGCAGTGGCTCACGCCTGTCATCCCATCACTTTGGGAGGCTGAGGTGGGCAGATCACTTCAGATCAGGAGTTCGAGATCAGCCTGGCCAACATGGTGAAACCCTGTCTCTACTAATAATACAAAAATTAGCCGGACATGGTGGCACTCACCTGTAATTCCACTACTCAGTAGGCTGAGGCACAAGAATCGCTTGAACTTGGGAGGTGGAGACTGCAGTGAGAAGAGATCGAGCCACTGCACTCCAGCCTGGGTGACAGAGTGAGACTCTATCTCAAAAAATAAATAAATAAATAAAATTAAAAAAATAAAATTACAAATAAAATATATTTTTAAAAAAGAAAGAAAAGCAGAGAAGGCTTTCCTCTGCATTACAAAGACAGTCTGGTAAACCCATGGGCAGATCAGGTCATGAAAATTAAAGGAATTTCCCCAAAAGCAATAATGTTTGGATGGCTTGTATTTATACTAGGAGATAGGACGTCAGTCTAAATTGATATCATAATTTAAATAATTTATTTTTAAGTTTAATAACATACCTCAATATTTAATAGAAAATTCTTTATAAGAACAAAACATAAATATAGAAATTAACTGCCTGGTAGAGTTATTGATAGAAAAGATGGGAATCAAAATAGACCACGATTTAGAGCATGATTGTGGAAATGGCCACATCAAAGAGAAAGAGAGAGAAGTGAGGAATGAGAGAGTGGGGTTTGGGGAGAAGAAGTGGAAGAGAAAAAGAGAAAGTGAGAAGGTCTTATGTAAGCGTAGGGTAAACGCATGTGCCTTAGATTATATGCGGCTGAGCAGAATAAGAGAAATAATAAGGCTGGTTGCAGTGGCTCACACCTGTAATCCCAGCACTTTGGGAGGCTGAGGTAGGAGGATTGCCTGAGGCCAGGAGTTAAAGACCAGCCTGGCCAAGATGGTGAAACTCTGTCTCTACTAACAATACAGATGGTGGGAATCTGTAATCCCAGTTGCTTAGGAGGCTGAGGCAGAGAATTGCTTCAACCTGGGGGGCGGAGGTTGCAGTGAACCGAGATTGCACCACTGCACTCCAGCCTGGGCAACAGAGCGAGACTCTGTCTCAAAAAAAAATGTTTTAAAAATCAGCCAGGCATGGTGGTATGCACCTGAAGTCCCAGCTACTTGGGAGGTTGAGGCAGGAGAATCACTTGAAAAAAAGAATCGTTACCCAAAAAAAAGTTTTCTAAAAAATTAGCCTGCTGTGGTGATGCATACCTGTAGTCCTAGCTACTCAGGAGACTGAGGCAGGAGGATGGCTTGAGCCCCACAGTTCGAGGATGCAGTGAGCTATGATGGTACCACTGCCCTCCGGCCTGGGCAGCAAAGTGAGACTCTCAAAAAAAAAAACAAAAAAAACAAAAAGGAGTAATAGTAACAAAAGGCAACATTTTTTGGACACTCACCCCATGCCAGGTGGAATAGTAAACTCTAGTTATGCAACATTTCATTTAATCCTGTTTGGAAAAAAAAAAAAAAACAACAACAATGTGATTTTCCCCAACACTACTAGACTTTGGCAGCTAGATGAGACTTTTCATAGAATTTTTTTCCAACTTAAAAAAATCTACAGATCACTTTAAATATGTATGGCATTCTTCATCAGCACCTGCCATAATGCACATTCATTAATCAAATGAATATGCCAGATATTTTTCAAAAAGTCTGAAACATTTTTAGAAGTAGAATACTATTGGATTCAATGGCCATGTAATCACAGATTCTTTAAATGTCTCTTCCCCCCAAAGTGAATCTAAAAAGTAAAAACATTGAGAAGCATGTAATTCCATACTGAAGCTAGAAACAGGTCCAAACTTATACCACAAACCTAGAACCAAATTTAGATAAAATAACTGAACTGGAAAAGTGACTCACTTTCAAGAAAGAAGTATGCAAAGAAGAAGCAAATAAAAGAAATGTGGGTAAACCCCACTTAGTATGGGCAGTTCAGGAGGCAGAAAGAACATAGTGGGTTTCCAGCCTATTTCCCAGGGCCCACACTGGAAGAGCTGGCAAATTTATCCTCCACTTTGGTCCAAGGTGAAAACACTGATCACCACTTTTATACACCTGGTAATGGAGGATGCAAACAAAGATTGTACTACGAGAGGAAAGTTCTTAGGGTTTTTTTTCCACACTTTAATATTTCTAAGTTCAAGCTGCTTTAAAAATCTACAGCAAAACAAACTTTCCATCGTACAGATGGAAGAGTAAGTGATAATATAATCATCATTTCCTGTGCTTTTTCTTACCTTTGAATAGAAGACTTATCTTGTGTTACATCTTTTAAATTTTTACTCTAAATGTGGGTCTCTAATTATTTCTTTGGATGCCCTCAAAAGATTACGCCAGTGAGGCATTCTTAGCATAGAACTATCATGTATACATTAACCATCATAAAGAAATATTTGTTCTAATAAAATAGTTGCCCTTGTATTCTCTTTTGTGGATTTTTCTGGGACCTTCTGGGATCTTTCTTTGTGCTGAAAGAATTAGATTTTGCTCCAGACTCTGATGTGGAACAGGATTGTATATTAATTGAAGTCATTAAGGTCATTGATGGCCATTCTGAATTTAAAGCTGAAACTTCATTTCTGTTCTATTTCATATTTCAGATTTTGTCCAGCTATATATTGCCCAATATAGCCCTCAAAGTTTATGCTATGAGATTAAATAACAACACTAAAATATTCCAACCATCATATGTTAATACATACTGATGCTCTAAAGTTAAATATAATCTCCCTCCCATTAATAATTTCCAATGATATGATTAAATTCAAATATGAAAACCTTTAAAAAATTAAAATCCCAAATATCTAATTTAAAGTCTAAAAGGGTGAAAATCTGAAAGAAAAAAAAAACCTGCTGTCTTTGTTGTGTGGTATGAATCCAAATAAATGAAAGTCCCAAATCCCAACCTTAAATGCAAAATCATTCTCCCCAGCTTCTCATTCTGTTCAATTTCAATTCTATGAATTCTCCACCTGCATTTTTTCAGGGACTGCAGCCTGACTGTCTTTCTGTGGAGTGGGTGCAGTTCCTTCTGGACCTCAGAAATTGTGTCTGTTTGCTGCTAAGTCCCTCAGGAGCCTCCCTTTTTAAGGATCCAAAGCATTCACAGAGCATACAAAATTAGACCTCACTGTGTTCCACATCTACAGATTTTAGAAAATATAGCAATCTCCAATTCCTAGAACATAATCATGTTCCAGAACCCAGCACTCCCTGTTGTCAAGATCATAACAGAAACTGAAAAGTACCTAAAAATAAAATACTGGTTTCAGATTTACTCAATTGCTGATCAACCCATGATGGTTGCCTGGGATCCATGATCGTCGCCCTAAAAATCAATAAGGACTGTGCAAGAATGTTTGGAGCAGCATTACGCAAAATAGACAAAAAAAAAAAAAAAAAAAGAAGCAATTCAATGCCTATCAGCTGATGAATGGATAAACAAAACTGTGATCTATCCAAAAACTATTCAGCTATAAAAATGAATTTATGTTGCTACATGCTACAATATAGATGAGCCTTGAAAACATTGTGCTAAGTGAGAGAAGCCAGGCACAAAAGACCATATATTTTATGATTCCATTTATATGAAATGTCCACAATAGGTATATTCATAGAGACAAAAAGTAGATTCGTGGTTGCCAGGAGATGGGAGGAAGGGAGAATTGGGACTGACTGCTAATAGGTACAGGGTTTCTTTTGGGGATGATGGAAATACTCTGGAGTTAGATAATAGTGATGGTTGTGCAACGTAGTTAATATACTAAAAATCAGTGAATTTTTTGTTCTTCTAAATTTACAGTAGCATCTAAAATAATGTCAGGAATTTCACCTTTGACAGGATGAAAAGCTATACTTTGATTCCATAAAAAGGATTAAAAGCAACCTATTATTAGAATTAACTGCTCTTTAATTTGAAGCATCTCGTGACATCAGTATGGTAGTGACATTATTTCACAGTGTGAACAATTCTCTTTGGGGTATTCCAGACAACCTCTTACAGCTATCACTTAATTTTTTTATATGCCAAGAATTTACAATCTAAAGTGAACAAAATTAATTTAGAGAAACAGTCAATCTAAATAAATATGAAACATTTTTTGCAGTGTAATAGGTAAATGTACTTTACATATTTTCATGTTTTACGTTCTTTATAGGCATAGGTTCCTTAAAATAACTATCACATGTTCAAGTTTATGATAACACTTTTTTAAGAGACATGTGTCTTCTATATTTATGTGGTCAGTGATATCACTATAGACCCTTAGTGGATGAGGCTATAAACATTTTACATAGGTTATATATTTATCATCTGCTTTCTTGAGAATGGAAATCCAGTTATGTGTTTATTTTCAAACCAAAATGTACTTTTTTAGATCATTTGTACGGCAAGGATTATTGCAAAAAAAGTTACAAACAGTAAAATAAATAATTACAGTTTTTTTCTACACAGAGTCACTATAGCGAGGTCTTCTTTGCCTGCATTTGTTTTCTTGCACTTAACCTGTAGTTTCGCGGGTGTCCCTCTGACCATTCCACCTGGCCTTGTGCATCTCCAGGCCCTAGCAAGGACTGTGGCTCAAGCAGCCGAGGTGAGCTGAGGTCGAGCTGTGGGAGCACCAGGGACAGCAGCTGACTCTCCCACCTCCACCCAGGCGTGGAAGGATTCTGCTATCCCAGGCATCGGTGTCAGTGCACAACCTCATTACAGCCACAGGCACCCTTCGTGAGGCCAGTGACACTGAGATGCTAGGTCAGTTTGGAAAGAGGGGCAGAAGCCAGAAGTGAAAAGGGAACAGTATTAAAATCCATCCTAGAGTATTTTTAAGGCAGCAGTTAAATATTTTATTTTATTTTAAATGAGAAAACATCACTATTCATGCCAATGCCAAATGGACAGGGGGTGGTTCAAGAGCTATAAACCCAGACTGTGCAGGACAAGCAAGTTATGACGTTTCTAGGACTTAGACAAAAGGAGGTTGTTATCTTGCGTTATTTCAAGGTACTGATGGGGCAAATGACATTTCTGTTGTTATTGGCAACAACAAAGACTGCCTTTTTTGGTTTCTGTCCCACAGCCTCTTCTGAAAGTGCCTCTTCCACTCTTTAAGTATGCTCTTTGGGAATGAATCTAGCCTTGACTCTCAGGGTTTAAAGCTCATGGGGTTTCTCCTAATCCATGCCCCTGTAGGACATTTCATCAGGAGCCTCCACTTACCTAGTTACATGGCTTGAAAGATGATCTGAATTCTGAAATGAGACGCCACCCCGAGCAGAGGGCCCAGCCAACCTGTGCCCAGATTCCTGACCCACAGAACTATGAGATAATTCATTTGTGTTGTTTTAAGCTGGTAAATTTGCGGTACTCAAAAACCAATGCAACTTTAAATAAGTATATCAACTGGAATAAACTAATTGTATTTATATATGTGTATTTATTTGTGTATCTGTGTATGTATACAAACAACGACAAAGAGGCTGTCCCTAACAAAACTCTAGACAGGCTTCTCTGAGCTCTTTTTTGACTAGGCCTCATCCTTAGAGTGTTCTCCAGAGCCCAGTTTTAGCAAGACTCCTGCCAAGTTGGTTTTGCCAGAATCTCCCACCCTTGATATCTGATCCAATTCCTTATTCCCCACCATTTCCCCAGTGATTATCTTATCACCCCAGCTTGCATTCAGCAAGAATCTTGTCAAGTCCATTTAGCCAGAAATCCTTCACCTGAAGTAGCTTCATGTGGTTTGTGTGCATTTTCAAATATTTAAAAGTGATCCACACTTTATACATGGTTCTAAATGCTTCTGTAAGATCTCAGGTTTCTTTTAGTTTGAACCTTTAATGTATTGCTTAAGCAAGTGGGTGAGGGAAGTGTGAATCCTGCCTGCCTTCTCTCAGCTCTCCCTCACTGAAGATGGGAATGCAGCCCTACTCAGTGGCACCTGGGACCCCTGGCTGCAGTGCCCAGGTGACATTCCTGTGGAGAAAAGCACTTTAGGACCAGCCTGCAGACACCCTCTCATGAATCTTCTGCTTTACCCTGAAGCCTGGGAGAAAACAAAGGGGAAAAATGTGAGAAGAACTACGCTGCCCTTCCCGAATAGAAACCTGTTGTGCAGAGGCACATGCAGCTGAGGACAGAGCTGCGCCATCTTACTGCACCTGCCTTTCTCTGCTCCCAGTGCATCCTGAGAGCTCAGATCCTTCTCTCTCTCCACGAAAGCCTCTTCTCTCCTCACCAAACTAATTGTATTAAATTTGCACATAGTTTCTGTGACCTCATCTGACAGACTGTTTTTGAGCTCCCTGTTGCCAATCTGTCTACTTTCCTGTTCACTTAAACCTAAGGGAATACATCAGCTGCAAGAGGTGACTCTGTTGCACTGTTGCTCCTGTATCCTCTTACAGATGTCACAATGACACTGATATCACACAGTGACATGAACCTTGATGTATGATACATGCAGAAAAAGAATGTGCCATGGTTAGCCCAGCAGTCGTTAAATGAGCTAAAATTGTGATAAGGGAAAAAGAAACACGTGTCAAACACCACATTCAAGGTACCCAGAAGTGAAAATGGAATAATCTTGACCGATTCATGATGGCAAAGCCACATTGCCTGTGTCATCCATGATCCTTCTCTATGATCAGTGTTTATGGAGTAGATCTATATGTAGCCTCTCTTACATAGAATAAGGTTCAATTGAAGGTGACAGAGAATCCCCAAAATAACAGTCCCTTAGAGAAGTTAGCATACTTCTTGCTCATGTAAAATCAGGCAGAGGCTTGGCCATCCAGGTTTGCTGTGGCAGCTCCGCTTCATGAGCCATCAAAATTCCGCACTCCCCAGCTGTGCCCAGGGCACAGCTCACTTCCTCATAGTCACATACGACTGCTGGAGCTCCAGGAAACACAACTGCATCCCAAGCTACAGTCATGAAAAAGGAGTAGAAAAAACAAAAGACCTCCTCCCATAAGGAAAGTCCCTGGAAGTCACAGACAAACAATTCCGCCTCTACCTCACTTTCCTGACTTTAGTTCCATGGCCACACTGACCTGCAAGGGAGGCTAAGAAGTGTAGTATCTACATGGATGATGATGTTAGCAACTGAATATGTGGGGCTGTAGTTACTAAGAAAAAATGGGAGAAAAAAATACCCGGAAGAAACTAGGATTCTTAGACACACAAAACACTTCATTCCATAATTGTAATGATTCCTTTTTAAGAAACTATTTTACATTAACAAGAAAAGACTTGGGAAATCCAACAGAACACCGAGAAGCATATGAATAGGTAATTCAAAGTAGGAAAAACTTTAATAGTTAAAAATATGTGAAGGGGAACTCAGAAAAATTAGTCATGAGATAAATGACACAAAAGAGCACTTTATATCAATTTATTAATTTTAGAAATTTGGATTATGCCATAATTAGTGGAAATGTAGGTGGACATGTTCATGCTTTATCTCAAAGATTCAGACACACTTGGAGATTTTCTTCGCACTTAGTGAAAATAATTATGCGTATACTTTATGTCCCAACCATCACATCCTGGGAATATTCCCCAGAGAAGAAGCCATGGAGGACATTTTCAAAGATCTTATTTGCAACATTTATTGCACAGCAAAGTTTACTAAATTTAGATGCCCTTTACTTGGAGATTTTTTGCATAAAACAGGGTTGTATTTATTGTATACATTTATATTTATATATGTATATATATTTCTAACTATATATCATAGCTTTTACAAACGATTTCACATAAATATATTTGCAGGTGGCAAGAGGGCCCAATGATCCCTAGTATAAATGTATTTGCATCTGTTTTTTGTTTGTGTGTGTTTATTTTCTGGCTGTGTTTGTTTTATACATTTATATTTATAGATGTATATATTTTTCTCTATTATAGAGATTACACTCAATTTCATCATGATGTAATATAGCTATATTAACTGTATATTCTATATGAAATATATATATGTGCACATATATACATACATACATACAAACAAAGCACTATCGGTAGGCCTCAAAAACAGTGGGTGTTTACCATCTGCAAAGGGGCCATGTAATGTGGCTTTTTGGCTCCCTGCCAGTAGGTGGCAGCATTGCCCAACAGCCAGGAGTGTAAAAGTACGTGCATCTGTGTGTGGGAGGGTGTGTGTCTTTGTGTGAGATTTTTGGGTTATGTACAGTTTATGTGTGTGTGTGTGTGTGTGTATGCCCACATGCTTGGGGGTGTATAATTTATATATGAATATACATACATACAAATATTTATATATGAATATATGTACATACATACATCCATATTTGTATATAAATCTATGTGGTTATGTATGTTTACTAAGTAATACATGTTTTTACGTATTAATTTACATATGTAGGCTTTCTTGTTCCTGCCTGGAGGCACAGCACCACAAAGGGAAAGAGCTCTAAAAAGTTCCATGCATAAATATCTATGTTTTAATTTGTATTTATGTATATGTTGATGCAAATATTTATATATGTTATCTATTTCTTCGTATATTAAAAATATAGACATGGATTTGTGTATGTGTTTATTTGAGTTATGCCTTAGCTGGTGCCCTGTATGTGTGAAGCACTCCAGACCGGCAGACCGCACTGCTCCATTCTCCAGAGCAGCAGTTTCCACACACTGAGCCCCACCAATTGTTTACCTTCTGGGAGAGTGGAAGGCACAGCTGTTCCATCTGGTTGCTACCTCCCTGAGCTTCAAAAAACAGAAGAGATAGGGCTTTCTTTTGGGTGTAAGGCGATACATTTTTCAGCCTAGACTTGGCGACCCGAAGTCTGTGCAGAAAGCTAGCACTGCTGCTGTCCCAAGGCCAGATGCCAGGCCCGGAACCTCAGGGCTCCCTGGGGACTCCCCACTTGTGCGCGTGCAGTTCAGCCTCCTGGGATGGACCTGCGTCACCCACAAGCTGGACCCGAATTCTCTGAAAGGCATCATCCATCCCCTGTGGATGGCCATATCTAGCATCTACCTCTGACCTGGTTTTCCTCGTTTGCCACCTACACTGTGGACCAGAAAGTTTTGTCAAGCCAGACCCGTTTCCATGATTCTCTAAGTTTTGGACGAAGCCTCGAGCCCATAGGCTCCCAGGTGTCTTTTTTTTTTTTTAATTATTATTTTAGATGGAGTCTCGCTCTGTCGCTCAGGCTGGATATAGTGGTGCGATCTTGTCCCGCTGCAACCTCCGCCTTCCAGGTTCAAGTGATTCTTCTGCCTCAGCCTCCTGAGTAGCTGGGATTACAGGCACCCACCACCATGCCCCGCTAGTTTTTTTATAGTTTTAGTAGAGATGGGTTTTCCCCACGTTGGCCAGGCTGGTCTCGAACTCCTGACCTCAAGTGATCCGCCCGCCTTGGCCTCCCTCTCAGGTGTCTTTAATCCAAGTGTTCTCCGGGTCTGCCCTGGTTTCTCGAGATGCAGCTGGGGCCTGTGGTAACAGGCTCATGCAGGTCTGTGCAGTCTTCAGAATAAATTGGGGGTCACTTTCCTGTTCCCCAAATGCTCTCAGGAGCACTCAGAGCCATCCTGTCCTGGCCTCGCTGTCCCTCTGGCCCAAGAGCCCTTTACCCCACCCAGATTCACGCTGCACCCAGTGCCTCCTGTGTGTTCAGACCTAGCCTGTTTTCATCCTCCTGGAAAGCCTCCCCTGCCTCCACCCAAACTGAGACGCCTCTCTATGTCCCCACCTCAACTATCAAAAGAGGAGGCCCTGTCCTGACTGACAGCTTCTGCATAAGTGGGCAGCTTTCCCACTAGAAGACGATGGCCCTTGACTGGATCTGGTCAAAGGGCCATGTTCAGGTGTTTGTCATTTGTGGAGGCTCACACGGAACTGGCAGAAAGGAGGCTTCAGGCCTTTTGTTCACTCCACTGCCAGTCTGCAGTAAGGGGGCCCAACGGCTTCTAGTATAAGTGCAAGTGCATCTGTGTGGACTTGGGGTGACATGTTTGGGTTATGTTTATTTTATACATAGAGACTTGTACATATATACCTATATTTATATATTTGTTCACGTTTTTCTATATATAAATATAGATAATTACACAGAATATTTACATTCACTTATGTATATAAATATGTCTGTATTTATGTGTGTGGATGGATAGATAGATAGATAGATAGATAGATAGATAGATAGATAGATACATAGGGAGATAGGTTTTCTTCTTGCCTAAATGGAGAAACACCACCATGGACAGGCAGAAAGCACTACACAGTTTCCTGTATGAATATATATATGTATATATATGAATCTTTATTTATATGCTGACACATATATTCACATGTCACACATGCCCTTCTATCTTTAACAAACACACATTTCTGTGTGTGGATATATCTATTTCTCGCTATGTCTTAGCTGGGGCCCTGCATGTGTGAAACACTCCAGATCGACAGCCTGGGGCTCCCTGTTCCTCCAGATCAGTGATTCCCAAAGCTCAGGCCCCATCCAGTGTTGATTCTCTGGCCCAGAGGGAAGATGCAGCTGTGCATTTGACTTTGGGCGTCAGGACCATTGCTTCCCTCGGTGTTTGGGGGAAGTCACGCTGCTGCTCTTGGTCCCCAAGGCACTTGCTCTCAAAGGCACTCGGTGCAGTCTCACTGTGGCCTGCCTGTCCCTCCACCCTGCGCCATCTTACTGCACCTGCCTTTCTCCGCTCCCAGTGCATCCTGAGGGTCAGACCCTTCTTTCTCTCCATGGAAAGCCTCTTCTCTCCTCACCAAACTAATCATATTGCCCACACCTGAAGTGTTCCAAAGAAGCCCAGCTAACCTGATGCACAAGTTCTGGGAAACTGCCCATTTTTCTCAATGGAGGGTGATGGCCCTTGGACTGCCTCTTGTTAAAGGGCAATGGCCAGGTGTTTCCCATCCACGACCAGTGACATGGACCTGGCAGGAAAGGACTCCTGCTGGCCTTAGGGTTTCCTAGGCTGCTAGTAGGTGGCATGAAGGCCCCAGGGGACCAATGGCCCCTAATATTCACGCAGGTACATCTGTTTGTAGCACATGTGGGTTTTTCAGTGAGTTTTGGATAATGATTATTTTATACATAGGTGTTTGTATTTACATGCTTATTTTAAATATATTGTTTGTATTTATATATTTATTTTAAATATATCTATTTATATATAAATCTATATAATTATACCAAATATTCAAATTTATTCCTTCATAAGAATATGTATATTTTATGTTTTGTAATCACCTGCATGGAGAAACACCAAGGTAGACTGGTGGAGAGTGCAGCAAAGATCTACGTCGACACATGTATATTTCAATTTATTTGTTGATACACATGTTTACATGCTACACACTTTCTGGGTTGTACTGTCATAAAGAAGGGCACCTCAGAATACCTTTAAATGTAAACACATTTATGTGTGCGAGTATATTTATTTCTAGTTATATCATAGGTGGTGCCCTGTATGTATGAGACATTTCAGACTAGCAGACTGGGCTGCACTGTTTCTGCAGATCAGTGATTTTAAAACACTGAGACCCACTGAGTGTTGATCGTCTGGTCACGTGAGAAGACGCAGCTTCACGCTGGACGTCCAGATCAGAGACATTATTTCCCTTGGTGTTTGGGCCAGCTTGCACTCAGAGTTTTGGAGATCAACAGGGAGTGCTGACCAGCTGTGTTGGCATGAATGGGAGCGTCCAAAGCCTACGATAGCTGATCACATTAGGTGTTCTTCCATTCAAGTTCCACCCGGTCACCGTCTCTCTGAAGGTCTAATAACAGAAGAGATCATTCATTTTTTCAGCTTGTGCAGCCATGCATTTTCCAGCCTTGTTTTGGCAAGCGCAAGCCAGCCAGGAAGCTAACAGTGTTCGCGGCCCAAGTCCTGAGGGTTGTCGGTAGCATCCCTACTTGAGCAAGCGCACTTGAATCCACCACAATGGACAGCCTCAACCACAAGCTGGGCCCTGGCTTGGGGACAGGCATTACTCATCTTCATCCATCTGGGAAGGCAGTGCCCAGCAGTCTGCCACTGAACTGTTCTTCCTTGTCAACCACCTGTATTGCAGTCCAGGGGGTTTTGTTAAGCCGGACCCCTATTTCCCTGCTGCTCACACTAGTGTCAGGTCTCAGGCTCATGGCTGTCCTACTGCCTTTCACCCAGGTATTCCTCAGGCCCGTGAGACCCTGTTCTAACAGGCTTTCTCAGTTTGCGTAGGCTTAGGCATCCAGAAGCTCTCAGGGGCACCCCACCCAGTCCTCCTACGCCCCTCTGGCCATGTACCACCATAACCCCCCACAACTGCACTGCCCCCAGCACATTCTGCAAGCTCAGACCCAGCATTTTCTCTTCTCCCAGGAAAGCCTCTTCTTCACCCACCGCATGTGGGACACCATTGGATGCAACCACCTTATGTACTCAAAACATGGGTGCCTAGCCTCATTGAGAGGTTCTGGAGGTGTGGGCAGCTTTTCCACTAGAGGGCAATGGCCACTGGGCTTGCTCTGGTTAAAGGCCAATGGCCAGGCATTTGCCAACTATAAAATGCCTTATAAAACTGGCAGAAAAAGACTCCTGTGGGCTTTTTGGCTCCCTGTGCTGCCACAAGGTGACAGAAAGGCACAGTGTCTCCCAGGGAACATGGAAGTGCATCTGCGTGTGTATGTGTGTGTGTGTGTGTGCACGTACGTGCGTGTGTGTGTGTGTTATGTGAGATCCTCCAGGGAACTTGGGAGTGCATCTGTGTGTGTGCGTGTGTGCATGTGTGTGTGTGTGTGTGTTTATGTGAGATCCTCCAGTGAACATGGAAGTGTGTGTGTGTGTGTGTGCATGTGTGTGTTTGTGTGTATGTGAGATCCTCCAGGGAATGTGGAATTGCATCTACGGTGGGCAGGAGGGACATGTGTGATTATGTGAGATTTGGGGATTATGTTTTTTTAATAAATAAATATTTATCTTTATATATACAGAGGAATACATGTTCATACATGTAATTATATGTAGTATCTCTAGTTATATATACATAAGTTGCCTCTCACCTACATGAAGAAACACCACCTCAGAATAAAAGACAGCATCACATACTTTATGTGTAAATATCTCTATTTTAATTCTTATTTACTTATATGTTTACCATATATTTACATGTGGTATATATTTCTTTATATATTTTAAAATATACACATTAACATGTGTGTGTATCGGTTTATTTCTAGTTATATTTTGGCTGGCGCCCTCTATGTGTAAAACACTCTGATTGACAGACTGAGCCTCACTGTTTCTCCAGATCAGTGATTTTAAAACCCTGGGACCCCACCCAGTGTTGATCTTCTGGTCCAGCAGGAAGATGCAGCTGCACACTGGACTTCGAGCACCAGGACCATTTCCTCCCTTCGTGGTTGGGAGAAGTCAGTCTCCCACCAAAGGAGAGGTCAGAGAGTGTTGCCTGGCTGTTTTAGGGAAAAGAGAGATTTCAAAAGACTGCAGGACCCAGTACAATTCATTAGTATTTCATTCCAGTCCTATCTAGCCGCTACCTACCTGAGCTTCTAAGAAGAGATGAGGATACTATGGGCTAGCACAGTGAAGTAAATACAAATATTTCACCCCACTTTTAAAGGAACCTCTACCATCTACCCTCTCTGAGGGCTGTTGGCTGTAAAGTATCATCTATATAACAAGACCTCATTTGCAAGCCGGGCCTTCTCTTCTCTCTTATAGCCTGCCTTGCCACTATAACCTGATCTTGCCATCACTTGTTTCTGGCCATGCTGTGAGCCCCCATTGTTTCCGTGGCCTCTAGGTGGTAGCTGTGCTAAGCACTATTGGAGGTTGGGGTCAGCACTTTATGGTTCTCCCTTGCGCACATCAATAGCCCTGCATGCCATTTCTCCTCTTAATCTGCACTTGGCCAGTCGATTTTTCAGTGAAACTTTAGAGCGCAAAGGGGAAGTGCTCCCTTGTGCTCTATCATTTTGTGGCTGTGAGCAGAATACCGAAGCCTGCTCTTCCGGAAGCTGCAGCCAAGAGAACCCAGGACCGGAGCAGCTGGCAGAAGAGTAAGAAATTCTTACCAGCCAGGCTGCCGGCCTCTGTGTGGAATCTGTTTGAGCAGGTGGTGAAAACTGTTGTCTTTTCTTTCTCCATAAAATCCTGATTAGTGGAAGAAAAAGATTTGTGTGACTAGTCGTGCATGTAGCGACTCTTGTGTAGTCTTTGGCATGAATAATCATGTTGTTTGATCCCTTTTCCTCCTAGAAATAGTCTCTCACTCTCTGTTTGTCTCTCTGGGTTGTACTGTCATAAAGAAGGGCACCTCAGAATAGAACAGGGGTCCAGAACCCCTAGAAACACGATTTCGAGCCACCTCTGAAGACTGGTCAGATTTACGGCTCTGATCAGACTGGTGTCTATTCAGGCAAACTTTACTATTTGTTCCCCAAATAAAACCACATGAAGTTTCCCTCCGATCTTGTTTCATGTCCTTGAGAGCTTGGCTTTTAACCAAGTGGGAGCACAGTTGGTCTCCACCATCTGAGAAGTGTGATGTTTGGGTCCCATCCAGTGGCCAGTCTAAAATTGGCTGGGGACCTCAGACACATCAGTTTTTAGGCAGCACACTTTTTGTTTCAAATGTGTCAAGCTCTCAGGAGAGTTTGTCTTAAGAAGTCCTATCCCTATGGGGCTTCTGTCATATGAACGCTTGTTGCCCGGTTAGTCCTGGGAAAGTACACTTTCAGGAGGGCCTCCCTGGTATCACAGATTAAGGCATCCGTGATTGGCAGTCCCCCAGTAATTTGTGGGTTACTGGAGGTACTATGTGCACAAACACCATTCTTAACCATCTGTGGCAACAAGAGCTCTTGCCATCTTAAGCCTATTTCTGAGAGTAAATTTTTTGAGGATCATTAGCCTCATCTATGCTGTCTCCAGGAATACCTTTTGCTTATATGGTAAAAGTTATTTTAAACCTGTGTAATTGCCTTCTGGGCTTTTCATGAACAGGCTTGCTGGACAGAGTCACTATTGAAATAAGTTCACCATTGGAAATTCTAATCATTACTGGTTAGAAAACTGATCCTTCATGTCAGAAAGACTCCTAAATTTAGAAAAAGAGATCTCTTATTCTAAACAGTTGCCTCATTTGTATTTATGGAAAGATTAATTTAAAGTAAAGACTCATGGTGGTTTCATGGCTAGCCTTAGAAATTCTTTTGACTAAATTAAAGAATGAAAATCTGGCCCAAAGCAAAGTTTAAAGTTTTCGTATGCTCAAAGTGCCTGCTGTGAATCTCCTGCAGAATTTGCAGTGCTGGCCACTGCACCTTGCAGCCTGGTTAAAATTCCATCCTTTCACTGCCGTAGCCTGGGTTTGAGTCTTGGTGGGGAATTAGTCACTTTGGTTGGATATTTGTGTGATTTTTATCTTTTGGGGGACCATTTGTTATCCATCCTTTTCCCTCCAATGGACATATATTTTTTTTACTTTTATTTCAGGTTCAGTGTGTACATGTGCTGTTTTGCTACATGGGTGAATTGTATGTCACTGAGGTTTGGTGTACAAATGATTTCATCACCCAGGTAGTGAGCATAGAATCTAAGAGGTAGGCTTTTTAACCCTCACCATTCTCCTCCCCTCCCTTTTCAAGTGGGTCCCAGTGTCTATTTTTTCCATCTTTTTATTTCTCGTCTTTTTCTGTCTGTGGGGGCACACAGAGATTTAGGGCCTTTGTGTGTAGATGGTCAGCTGAGAAGTTGACGCCCTAGAGATGTGAGTTGTATCCTATTTGCAGGTAGCAAAACTTTCCTTTCCTTGGGCTGTCTTTGGGGTGGTTCTGGATCTTGCGAGGACTGGTCTGCACCTCTTTGGAGATTCCATGTGCAACCTCAAATAAGCCATAACCTTAGTTAAGGCCTACTGAATTTGGTGAGTCACTTGAAGGAGTACCATTGGTTTAAAAAGGTTCAAAGCCAGCTGGGCGCAGTGGCTCATGCCTGTAATCCCAACACTTTGGGAAGCTAAGGCGGGTGGATCATGAAGTCAGGAGTTCACGACCAGCCTGGCCAAGATGGTGAAATCCCATCTCTAGTAAAAATACAAAAAATTAGCTGTGTGCAGTGGCAGGCACTTGTAATCGCAGCTACCTGGGAGGCTGAGGCAGGAGAATTGCTTGAACTTGGAGGGACAGGTTGCAGTGAGCCGAAATCAAGCCACTGCACTCCAGCCTGGGCGACAGAGTGAGACTCTGTCTAAAAAAAAAAAAAAAAGTTCAAAGCCAGGAATATTAGCTGCTTGCCCTGGCTAAAAAGACACGCAGTAACAAATGCTGGCGAGGATGTGGAGGACAGGGAACCCTTTGGACACTGGTGGTGGGAATGTAGTTTAGTGCAACCACTATGGAGAACAGTTTGGAGGTTCCTCAAAAAACAAAAAATTGAGCTACCGTATGAATCAGCAATCCCACTGTTGGGTATACATCCAAAAGAAAGGAAACCAGTATATCAAAAAGATACCTGCACTCCTAAGTTTGTTGTAGGACTGTTTACAATAGCTAAGATTTAAAAACAACCTAAGTGTCCATCAGCAGATGAATGGATTAAAAAATGTGGTACTTATGCAAAACAGAGTACTATTCAGCCTTAAAAAGAATGAGATCCTGTCATTTGCAGCATCATAGGTGGACCTGGAAATAATTAAGTGAAATAAGTCAGGCACAGAAAGACAAACATCACATGTTCTCACTTAATTGTGGGATCTAAAAATCAAAACAACTGAACTCATGAACAGAGAGCATAGAAGGATGGTTACCAGAGACCGGGAACGGCAGTGGAGAGCTTGGGATGTGGGCATGGTTAGTGGGTAAAAAAAAAAGTTCAGAAAAATAAATAAGACTTACTATTTGATAGCACATCAGGGTGACTATAGTCAATAATAACTTTGTTGTACATTTTTAAAAGACTTCAAAAGTGTGACTAAATTGTTTGTAACACAAAGGATAAATGCTTGAGGGAATGGATACCCCATTCTCCATGATGTGCTTATTTCACATTTCACATCATCAAAACATCTCATGAATCTTACGAATATAGACACCTACTGTGCACCCACAAAAGTTAAAAACGAAAAATAATAAAAGAAAAATAGTCTAATCATAATTTGCAGATACCAGTTGTTTTCTGTCACCACTAAATCAGTCTCCATTAAATACAAAATATACACAAAGTACGTATAAAGCTTATATATATTTGCTATTTCTGAATAAAATAAAATCAATCAGCTACATCTTATACATTATTACAGGGATGGAGGTATTTTAGAACTACCTCTACTAATCCTAGAAATGTGTCAACTCCTGTAGAAAAGATAGAACAGCTATCAGATTAATTTTCAAATTATACTAGAGAACCTTCAGAAAACAAATTCTGTGGCATCATACATCAAAATCCAACAATGACATCAGTGAGAATTACATACAATTCATTTAGGAACAGTTATGAATTGGTTTATGATCTTGGACATCCGTTATTTCCACACAGGTTAACTCACGACTCTGTAATTATTTCCTCTTTCCTGAATGGATTTGTCCCTGGTCAGTTCGTGACCCAGAATTTTTTTTCCAGAAAAGAGCACGTATTCTGTCTATTGATCCACAGACAATAGACTCTGCCCACAGACTGAAATATAAACTACTTGCTTGATTTCCTTCTGCTGCTGGGACAATGGGCTCAGGTTTATGTTCACAACAGCCGATGAGTGCATAGAGGTCTGAGATATGGGCTTGTGATCCTGTGACTTTACTTCCCCAGAGAACTACAATTGTCATCTCACTTGTAGACACAAGGACAGTACATATTTGATGACTTAAAATTATTTTGGAAAAACTTTGTCTTCGTTTCCAATTACCAAAAAAAATGACAACTTTCTACCAAGCATCTTCAAAGACATGAAAATGGGAGAGGCTCTGTTTTTCCATGATCCCTGGAGGCAGATAGGGGCTCACATGGAGAGAACAGGACATGCCGAGTCTGAGACATGAGATACTGACAGCAAAGCACATGTCTCTTACCGGATTCCGTGCTTCCCTGAGATCTGCCTCTGCTGAAAATCTGACTGCAGTTAACCCCCAAATTCCTGAGCCAAACTATTAGTGAATTGTAAATAGATGGGACCACACAAAGAGCTTGAGAAGGAGGTGTCAACAGGTTACAGTGCAGAGAAGAACTTAAAGACAAATATTAAAATGAAAAATAGGGACAAAATTGTGTGATTCGATGCAAATTAACATTAAAATGTGGCTCATATATAGTCTAGGAATATGTATTTTTAGATACTTACGGAGATAGAGATGCTAAATTAAATAATATTCATAGAAAAAACAACATTTATTAAAGATTTGTTTTCCGCACAAGAGAGCACCAAATTTATATTGTCCAGAAGAAAATTTTACTCATGAACTAATTAATATACCAATACTCTTAAACTATTTAAAAGTTATAAAGTAACCAATCTTCCCAATCGTTTCCAGGAAGGATATAAAAGTGATATGGGCAGAGCTCAGCTGCGCGCCATGGCCGTGTTGCTGGCGGGGCTGGGCCCGGCAGGCAGGGTGGGCGCCTGGGTCCGGCCTTGCGCCACATGGCTCCTGGGCGCGACCACCCCCTGTGCCCCGCTGCCCCTGGCCCTGGCCCTGCTCCTGCCCAGGCCAGATGCCCGGCTGCTCCGCACAGCCGTGGGGACTGCCGCGGCAGCCAGGACCTCAGCCAGGCCACGGAGAGAACAGGCAGCAGCGTCAGCTGCACAGAGGAGAAAAAGCAAAGCAAGTCACAGCAACTGAAAAAGATTTTTCAAGAATATGACACTGTTGGCGTGTCGTTGTACACTGGAATCTCATTCATTTCCTTGGTCATATTTTACATGGTTGTGTCAAGTGGTGTGGACATGTCTGCAGTCCTGCTGAAACTCGGATTTAAAGAGTCCCTCGTACAGTCAAAAATGGCAGCAGGCACAAGTACCTTTGTGGTGGCCTATGCAATCCACAAGCTGTTTGCGCCAGTGAGAATCAGCATTACGTTAGTCTCTGTGCCCTTGATCGTCAGATAGTTTCGAAAAGTGGGATTTTTTAAAACCTCCAGCTGCAAAACCTTAATGAACTCTTCAGTCGTAGGCACTGAAAACCTATTTCTTCTAAATTACACAATTTGGATTGGTTTTAGGGTTGTAGGGTTTCTTTTGGAGGGGTAAGGGGCTAATTGCTATGTTCTCATGGATAAACTTTGCCAGCAAAAATCAGGCTTTTGAACAATTTTAATTTTTTTGCTTCACAAATTTTGTGAATGCTATTCATTATAGGACTTGTATATATAATCTAAAATGTCAGCAAGACATCACAGATGGGTTTACATCTCAAAACAAAATAGCCTACAGATGTTCCTTCTGGGAGATTTTTGGCAAGGGTCTGTCTGTAAAAGCTCCAGGGGATTAATCGTGACTCAGGTTCCTAAAAAACAATGATTAATTTAACTGGCTTTTAAATATCCCCTTCCGCTGATATTTGTTGTCAGCTGCCTACAGTTTAATATGCAGTGTTCTGCAAAACAGCTGCCAGTGCTACAATCAATGAAGCAAAACTTAATATGTATTCACAATCTAAATTAGTATCAATACTTTGACATTCATTACATTTGTTTTGGGGGAAGAAAAGTATTTCTGGTATGTTTCATTGGTCCCCAAACACCTTCCAATCTGGACATGATGGGGCTGATTCCAGATGGCTTTTCTGAAATTTTATTAAAGTAGGTCAGTGTCATTTGTTTAGATAAAATATGAAAACTCTGCCCAGTAGCAGTGGCATCACTTGATTCCTGATGCCCATGTTCCAGATACCACATATAAACAGTTAAGACAATCTTAGCTTTTCTTAGACAATCTTTATCTCAAACTTCAGACATTCCAGAATTGTCATGATGTTTACACTATCTCATTATTTTGAGTTAAAAATCCTGTTCAAGAAAAAAATTGTGTATCACTTCCTAAAAAGGAAAATTCATAGCACTTGTCACAAGTGGAAGGCAACTATACAAGCCAGGGAGGGGCTTGTATTACACAGGAAGGTGTAATTAGTCTGCCTAGCCAGTTTTATCCAATGAAAGGCATGTGTGTTAGAGAGATTAGCTAAGGGTAGAAATTCAAGCATAGAGGCCGGGTGCGGTGGCTTATGTCTGTAATCCCAGCACTTTGGGAAGTTGAGGCAGGTGGATTACTTGAGCTCAGGAGTTTGAGACCAGCCTGGCCAACATGATGAAGCCCTGTCTCTACTATAAGTACAAAAATTAGTCGGGCATGGTGGCACACACCTGTAGTCCCAGCTACTGGGGAGGCTGAGGTAGGAGAATTGCTTGAACCCAGGAGGTGGAGGTTGCAGTGAGCCAAGATTGCACCACTGCACTCCAGCCTGGGTGACAGAGGGAAACTCCATCTCCAGAAAAAAAAAAAGAAGAAAGAAAGAAAGAAATGAACAAGAAAGAGAGAAAGAAAGAAAGAAAGAAAGAAAGAAAGAGAGAGAAAGAAAGAAAGAAGGAAAGATAGAAAGAAAGAAACAAAGAAAGAAAGAAAGAAAGAAAGAAAAGAAAGAAAGAAAGAAAGAAAGAAAGAAAGAAAGAAAGAAAAGAAAGAAAGAAAGAAAGAAAGAAAGGAAAGAAAGAAAGGAAAGAAAAGACAAGTAAATCCGAGTGTAGATCCAAACTGAGACACTGAGACTTCTTCCTTATAGTAGTCAGGAGCAGGCGATTGAAGTAATTCTGTCCTGTGGGGTTCAGCATCATGCAAGTTCCCCCTGGGCCGTTCTGCATCTGCAAGTGCAAATGCAGGGCACTTGCTCCACACTCTGGGAACCCAGATTAATCAGTCTGCCGTGTCACACAGTTGAAGGAGTTGCATTTATCTTTCTGGCTCCCAATTCCTTTAAAATTACATTTGTTGCAGAACCTCCACAAGGCTAAATAAAATAAAATTACATTTGTGGTCATCAGAGAACTGAAGGAACTATTAACTGGCTGTCCTGTGTTTGCTGAGATCTGGCTGTTGACAGTTCCTGGTTGGCCCCCAGTTACCCATGTCAGTTATCTCTGTTAACATTTCCAAGAATCTTTGTAGGACAATTCTCCACTTGCAAGGTCTTTAAAGTAGAACTCTGGTTTTTTTTTTTTTTCAAGGCAATTGGCCCATTGCCAAAAGGTTTTACTGTCTTAAAGCCAGAACTGTCTTTCTGAGATCTAATTCCAAGGACTCCTCCACAGCTAAGTGAGATGCCTCACACCAGTATTAGGTGATTCTTTGTGTGGATGGAACAGAGCATTTTCATCTTGTGTTTAAAGCAATTTGTTGGCTTCGGCTCCTCAGCACTTTCTACACCAGTCTCCCATTCACATCCCTAGTAATGCCTATGCGAAAAGAAAAAAAAGAAAAAGAAAAAAGAAAGAAAGAGAGAGAGAGAAAGAGAGAGAGAAAGAAAGAAAGAGAAAGAAAGAGGAAATGAAGGAAGGAAGGAAGGAAGGAAGGAAGGAAGGAAGGAAGGAAGGAAGGAAAGAAAGAGAAAGAAAGAAAGAAAGAAAGAAAGAAAGAAAGAAAGAAAGAAAGAAAGAAAGAAAGAAAGAAAGAAAAAGCTGATGGTGAAACCTACAGGTTTAAGGACTTAAACCTCAAGCTTTGTGTTAGGAGTAACGGGAGTGTGCTGAGAGGGCAAACGAGTCATACCAAAAAGCCACATTGCTCTCTCCTAAGCACCAAACCTACTCCACTCCTGAGGCCAGTGGTTCAAACAGAAAATAACTGGAGAAGACGAGGAGGTCAAAGGATCAGGGAACTAAGCATTATGTGAATTCACCAGAAAGATGTACAAAGCGCTTGTGTTTACATTGTTTTTATGGTACTAGCAGAATAAAACTGAACTATTTTAAAAATGAAAAAAACTGATATGATAACTTTACTTGTTTGATGCCGCATGGAGTATTATACATAATTAGAGCATATTAATATGAAAGTAAAATTTTTGAATGTTAAAAACCATTGTGCCAACCCTTTAAAATATTAGATCATTAGGAAGTCCATTTATTCCAGAAATGCAGGTGAGACTCATCGCGTTAGGAAATTCATTAACACAACAAATTATGTTAATTGAATTAATGAGAATGTCTTGTGTTCATAGATGGAAAAGAGATAATGCCAACATTTTAAAGAAAATTATTTAAAATAATTTAATTAGTATGGAATTGGTGCGAAATGTTTCTTAAAAACCTAAAAATAGATTTGTATAAATGAAAAATTATGACATTACATGATTAGGCAGGGTCAACATTATTAAGACATCAAAAGTACTTTAATTAATAAGTTGATTTTATGGCTGTATGGTATTCCATGGTGTATATGTACCTTTGCAAGGGCATGGACGGAGGTGGAGACCATTATCTTGCAAAGGAATTCAGGAACAGAAAACCAAATACAGCATGTTCTCACTTGTAAGTGGGAGCTAAATGATGAGAACACATGGACACATAGAGGGAAACAACACACACTGGGGCCTATCGGAGGGTGGAAGGTGGAAGGAGAGAGAGGATCGGGAAAAAAAACTAATGGACACCAGGCTTAACACCTGGGTGATGAAATAATCTGTACAACAACCCCGCCCTGCTGACAGACATTTCCCTATGTAACAAACCTGTACATCCTGCACATGTGCCCCTGAGATTAAAATAAAAGTCAAAAAATAAAAAAAATAAAATAAGTTGATTTTAACTCCAATATAGATAACATCTGTGTTCTGGATATAGAAATTTTATTGTAAAGAAGAGCAAACAAATTAAAATATCCATGAAAAGTCTGAGAATTAAAAGAGAGTGACTTCCCCTTTAAAATATTGTAGAGACTTGGAAATTAAAATTGTGTTGTGTTGTTTCATCATTAGTCTGAAAGACCAATGGAATACAACATTCAAAAATGGAATAAAACATATGTAAAAAAGTACTGTGCAATAAAAGCAGGAGTGTAGAAAGAAGAGGCGAAAGCTTGCTGCGTCTCATTGGGCACTGAAGCTCACAGACAGGCAGCAGGCTTTGTCTCTCACCACGTGTGCTTTCTGCAAGTCTGGTATTGCCACATGTGCAGGAAGGACAGTTACCATTTGAGCAAGAGCATTTTGGGGCTAATATGTGATTAATGTGACTTTTTCTGCCTCAATATTCATTGTAACCTGTTCTCATAGCCCACAGTATGTTTCCTGCTGAGCTGAGATGTTACTGCCATTAATAAAGCTGTATTGCCTGCAACTGTCCCCCTTTCTATGTTTGGGAGCTTTGAGAACAGTCACACATGATTGTGTAATTCTTTAGTTCGTCACTTGCCTGGTGAAAGACTTTCTGGGGGGCTCCTCTCCCTACTGGGCCCACAGGGGTAAAAAGCTAGTGAAGAGTTCTGGGACAGAACACTGCATGGGAACAGTGAGATGGGACACTTCAAGGTACAATGCTCTTAACTTATACCCAAACTGATGCAGACAGAAAGTTCCGCATGCCATCAGAAAATGAGAAAAAAAAAACACGTTTGGAAGGTGAAATCATCTTTGGTTGTGAAAAACACTATCTTCTTCAGAGGATGTGCTAAAATCAAAACTAACAGATGATCTATGTCTGGAATAAAAGTGGTCATTTGTTAACAGATGCTGGCGAGGCTGCAAAGGAAACTCCTATTCACTGTCTCTGGGAATGTAAATTAGGTCAGCCACTGTGGAAAGCAGTTTGGGGATTTCTCAAAAGATGTAAAACACAGCTACTAATTGACCCAGCAATCTCATTACTGGGAATATCCCCAAAAGAAAATACAACATTCTACCAAAAAGACACACGCAAACCTGCACACGCAGCACCTCTATCTAATACAAAAGTTGGCATTATTTTAAAAAGTTTTTATTTGTGAAAACTTTTCACCCATGGTAGGGATGAAAAAGTACATTCTCACTAAAGTCAAGAGGCACACACCCAAAGCAGCCCCGGGGGCAGGGCTGGGAAAGCCAGCAGCACCAGCATCCTCAGCACATGCCAGCAGGTGTTGGCTGAAGCAACAGGTGTCCTGGGGAAATGGAAAGGAGTTACTTAGACACAGTTGCTGATTCTCGAATTTCCTATTTTTCCCAGGATGTCTTTATCATTTTCTTACCCTCCTGTCTATGTTTAGACACATGGCCCTCAGAGGTGACTTGTTGGCTGCAGAACGAGGAATTCATCACTGTCCTTTGGTCAAGGTAGAGGGAGTTATGTAATTTCATAAACTGTCCATATGTGATGATGGAAATAAAAAAAGAACTGAAGAGATGGAGAAGATACATCATATTCATGAATAGAATAACTCAGTATCATCAGGATGTCATTTCTTACCAATGTACAGATTCAATGCACTTCTAATCAAAATGGAAGCAAATTATTTTATGGATATAGAAAAAGTAATTCTAAAGCTTATATGGGGAAGAAAAAGACCTTGAATAGCTAACACAATATTGAAGGAGAACAAAGCTGGAGGACAGACAGGCACTACTCAACTTCAAGACTTACTGTAAGGCTACGGTAATCAAGGCAGTATCATATTGATGAAAGAATAGACAGGTTAATGAAACAAGACAGAGAGTTTAGAAATAGCGACACATCGATATATTTAATTAATCTTTGATGAAAAAGTAAAGGCAACATGATGAAACAAAGGTTGGTTTCTTCAGAAAGTGGTGCTGGAACAACTGAATACCCACATGTAAAAAAAATGAATCAGATCTTACCTTCTCACAAAAATTAAGTCAAAATGAATCACGGACCTAAATGTCAAATACAAAACTATAAAACTTCTGGAAAATAACAGGAGAAAATCTAGACTCTCTTGGGTTTGATGATCTCTAGAAAAAAATGCCAAAGTTACAGTACATAAAAGAAATAAGTTCCTGATGGAATATAGATTAAAAATTTTTAATATACAAAATGAAAAAAAATCAGAAGAAAATATAAATGCCTATTTACACAGATACATTTTTATGTTGACAAAACCTTTCTAAGACTCTCAGAAATAAGCATTGTGAAGGTTAATTTAGCAAAACAAAAATTACCCTGCATTTGAGAAAAAATAAAAGGCAGCATACTTGTAAAATATTTACTACACATGTATGTGCATGTGTGTATATATAGCAGATTTAAAAATCTTCATTTTACAGAGAATTCACTCAAATCAACAAAAAAATCCTCTATTTAAAATTGGGCAATTTAAATTAGAGATGTAAATTGCAGATCTAAGAAAAGTACTTTGCCTCTAATTTAAAATTGGGCAAACTCCTTCTTCTAGATCTGCAAGTGACTTATGCACACAGGAAACAATATTTAGTGTTCCTCGTTAGAGAAGGCATTTAAGTTAAAACAGGAATCAAATACTGTTTTCTATCCACAAAGTTTATGAGGATAAAGAGCAGTGATATTTATACTGCTGCTTAAAGTTTAAGTTGCAGATGACTTTTCAAATAGACAATTTGGTGGTAAGTACCATATTTAAAAAATTGTATATGCCTGTTGGTGATCAATTCTATTACATTAAGATATTTTTAGAAAATAAGGAAACATACACACAATTTCTTTTTTGAGCGCTGCTTAAAATATCAGTGTATTAAGAAGAATCCATACAATGGCTTTTATAAATACATTTCAGTGAATTTACAGCGTGGGATAAAATGTGACCACTGAATGTAGAAACATATACAGAAGTATGTTGACATTTGAAAATGTATTTTGGTGTACCAAGTAAGGGTAAAGTTCAGTTTGTTTATACATACAGATGATGGTCTTGTGTTATCTGAAATTATGTACGAAATATGATAAAATTTGTTATTTGAGGGCATTTGTTTTAATATAAAATGTTTTTCCTTTTTATTATCTTTGATTTCTGCATTGAACAAGTACAATGTTATTAGTAAAAGTTTATTATTAATGAAATAATTTTGGGGAAGAGCAGGAATATGAATTTTGCACAGATTAAAATAATTTTTCACTTTCTATATTTTAATTTTTATTTTTTGTGGATTAGTATATTCTGTGAACTTTTAGCATTTTCAGAAGAGAAACTTTTTATCTGTGCTTGTTGATTTACATGTACATTTTATTAGAAACATATTTTTATTATATCTAGATTTATTATATATATGTCAATAATTACAGATTAATCATTTTAGTGTAGTTTTGTTATTAGGAAAATAAAGTAGCAAATATAAGTGCTTTATTTATAGCAGTTTTTTAAGATATTGAACTTCCCAACTATATTTATCCATTCTTTGAATCCATTTATCACATGTAAGCTGAATGCCTATTATGTAGAAGACACATTCTATTAACTCTCAAGACCCTTTCATCCTTAAAAATTTCACATTTACCTGCTCAGCCTCAGCAACATGAGAGGCTTAAAATTGGAGTAATAGGACTGAATCTCAATTGAAGCTTTTCCTCTCATCTTTCAAACAAAAATACTTCTGAAGTGAGAAATTAGTAAAAGATAACTACCAACCACGATTTTGGAAATTTATAACAGCTTTAAATAGTAATATGAATAATTGGAAATACCTAATTTACATGTACTCCCTCCATAAATCTAAATATGAATTAATATACATTCTGTAAATCTAAATACAAAATAAAATGAGCCATACCTATTCATTTGAATCCCAAGTTTTCTTTGGCTTGAAGTTTTTAAAATATTAAAGGAGTACTTTGTTTTAACAATTTGTTGTTTTTATTTCAACTCTCCTTTTGCGTAGTACTCTTAAAAGCTAAAATTTCTTTAAGTGTAAATCCTGTGATTAGGACTACCATCGTCCTGTTGTATATACCATATTCCACTTCATGGAAGGCACCCTGAATTGTGTGATGCCTCCTTATTTTATGTACCAATAAAAGATTGTTTAAATTTTTGCCAAATATAGTTCTAATAAATAATGAATTGTAAGTGGCATTTCAATGTCAGAGATGCTAAAATATGAGAAATTGAGCATCTTAGAACCGTTAAAATACAGTGTTATCTGTAACCTTTAAAACACACCACAAAGTAGGCATGATTGTATTATTTTACTTAAAATGTTGTCTTTGTTAAGTAGAAGTTATAATTATAATATCTAACAATTACTGAGCTGTTACATGTGCTAAAAACTCTTCAAAATACTTTGCATAGATTCTCATCGAGGCATCACAGTGATGTCCTGTGAGATAACTGCTGTATTCATCTTCACTTTATTGATGAGAAAATTGAGGCACAGAGAGGTTAAGAGACAGCTAGTAAGTGAAAGACCGTAAAGTTTATTCAAGCCCAAGTTGAACTGAGTCCAAAGGCCAAGCTCTTTCTATTCAAATAGGCCACTCTTTCATTAATGTAGTGAGTAATAAGAGTGAATGAATGTTGTACTTTCTTAAGGAGAATATTAAATATTTGTTTTGAAGGCAGAGAAAGAGCATGGTATTTAATGTTTACAATTGTATAAATCATTGTATGTTTTGAGACAATGGACTAAACTTTCCTAAAAAGTCCTCTCACTCTCATAGGACTGCTCTACATGGGGCCTGTGTCAACAGCCATGTGGAAGTAATAACACTTCTGGCAGACAGAAAGTGCCGGCTTGATGTCCGTGACAGTGAAAACAGGACACCTCTGATGAAGGTAAATAGTAGCCAGTCCTTTCAGCAGGAGATGGATTTGGTTTAAATACGTGGAATAAAAATGAATTTATCTCATTGAAATACAACTAGTTTCTGAAACCTGTGAAATATTTATTTTGATTTCCTATAATTTATAATTCACTTCTTGCTTTAATACTGACAGGCTCTACAATGCTGGAGGGAGGCTTATGCAAATATTCTGGTAGATTCTGGTCCCAGTCCAAATATTGTAGATGTGTATGGCAACATGGCTCTCCATTATGCTGTTTATAGTGAGAATTTGTCAGTGGTGGCAAAACTGCTGTCACGTGGTGCAGACATCCAAGTGAAAAACAAGGTAGACCTTAACCAATGTTATTTTCAAAATATTTGAAATCTGTTTGTTTTAACATTAACATATGCAAGTTTTTTTATATTTGGAAGCTCAAACATTCCTCAAATGAAAATAGTTTGAAAGAACTTGTCTAAGATTTTACTTTAATATTAATATTTTTACAAGAACTATTAGAGAGTATGGCTTTTCTGTGCACTTATGATAAATATTTGAATTTGTTAAAGGTAAAACTTATTCAAACATTTTTTCCCACCCAAGTTTTTTTTTCTTTCCAATTAGTGTAAAACTACAAGAAAGCAAAATTTGCCTGCATAAATTAAGTCACCGTGTAAAATTTAGGAGACATGCAGAAATCTGGATTTCCTCTTAAAGGATAGAATCTGGTGTCTCTTGAGCCCATATGACTGGTATGCTCTGAAGAGGTTCTAGCTTTACACAAAGCATATGTTTCCAGTTTGCTGCTGTGCCCACCTAGGCACATCACTTACTCAACTTACCCCTTTTGCCTCTGTAAATACTTCAGTTATCAATTCCTCTCTCATAGTATATTATGGTAAAGATTTCAAGGTGTTCAAGACAGTTGATAGGTGTTTATAATATATAGTTTATATTTTACATTAAATCATTAATAATGGCATTAACGTCTAGAATTTAGATTTTTTAAACAATGATTTTTCCTTATATAAACCATAAATAATCATCTTCTATTAGAAGGCCTTTAAGCCTTTTTAGATTAATCATGGTTATATTTGAATAGGTTATGCCTATTGCAGAAAATATTATATCTTTCTCCTCAGAATTGTCCCTTAAAATTCAAGTGATTTTGTGGCTTCTATTATGCTAATCTATATAGATGAGTTAGAACTTTCATTAATAAGCCATTTTATTCATATTTCTGATATTTTCCCAAAAATTAAGTAGCAATTACAATACAAACCAGAATCAAAATGGATTATTGCATTTTAAGAATTAGATATGCATTAGGGTGCTAGTATTATCATTATAATTGAGAATAAACTTTTATACTGAATTTCTAATAGCTGAGATAAAATTCTATTGTCTTGTAATAGGAGAAACCCCATGGACCACTTATAATAAGCAATCAAAGTTCATTTAAAGCCAATCTCTTTTAATTTAGAGCCTACTTCTTTAGTGACCCATTTAGAGCAGGAGTGCCTGACACTGGCATCTGGGATCTTAGGATCATTGATAGAAGAGAATCAGCGAGTTTGTATCACCAGAGGAAACCTCCATTTTTCTTGGGAAGCTTTCAAAACCGTATCCCTGAAATTCTAATTTGTCAAATATTAATGTCTGCCACAAAAATATATTGTCAAATAAGGATTAGGCAAAGTTCAGGTCATTTCTTGGATAACGGACATTTAATTCACAGTTTTATAATATTTCTTGAACATAGATAATGTGGAATCTGTTGGGGTACAATGCTTCTGGTAAGGTAATTATTCTCTGGAATATAGTTTAAGAAACACTGCTCTACAGGTAATAATTTAGATTAGTAATTTAATAAAAAACAAAGTATTTACTACTGTATCTTGGGGTTTAAGGATATAGAGATAAAAGACACAGCCCCTCTCCTCAAGAAGCTCTTGCTTTAGATGGGAAACAATAAAACCATTAGAATATAAAGATTCTTGGGGATAACCAGAGTTAATGTGGTGATGCAGAGGCTGAATGTTTCCAAGGGAAGGTGCAGTGCATGGGAAAGCACAGAAAAGGGAGAAAGAAGGGGCTGCTATTGATTTACTTTCTATTTTAAGTTTAAGTTCATAGGATATTATACAAGGTATTCAGTTCAGCTGAGAAATATGTAATTTCATGAATTATAAATTGTCTTTGCTGTTTTACAGGCTTGCCTCACACCACTTTTACTGGTCATAACGAAAAGAAGCGAGGAAATTGTGGAATTTTTAGTGACAAAAAATGCCAGTGCAAATGCAGTTGATAAGTTTAAATGGTATAGTAGTTCTTTTTTTATTAAAAAACACTTGAGTAGTGTTCTAGAGTAATAACACTCAAGTCAGAAATATTAATAACCTTTACTTAAAATTATTAAATTATAGTGAAAACTATCAACACAAATTATCAGTTAGGAAGAAAAGCAATTATTTGGACTGGTCAACATAAAGAACAGTATATAGTAGGATTTATCTTCTCTTATTATACTGACTGATTCTTATTTTTAATCTGATGTTTTTGGTTGCATTATTTTCTATTGGCTAAATATTGAATGATTAACACATTTATAGTATTTTTCTAACTTCTGTTTTTTATACACTTTTTAAAAAATGCAATATTTGCTGGGCATGGTAGCTCTCGCCTGTTATCCCAGCATTTTGGGAGGCCAAGGTGGTTGGAACACTTGAGGCCAGGAGTTCAAGACCAGCCTAGCCAACATGGTGAAACCCCATCTCTACTAAAAATACAAAAATTAGCCGGGCATGGTTGTACATGCCTGTAGTTCCAGCTACTCAGGAGGCTGAGGCACGAAAATCACTTGAACCAGGGAGGCAGAGGTTGAAGTGAGCTAAGATTGTGCCACCGCACTCCAGCCTGGGTAACAGAGCAAGACTCTGTCTCAAAAAAAAAAAAAAAAAAAAGCAATATTAATCTGAAATAGGAGTTTAAAATCATTTTGTCTTTAGGATGACTGTTTGCTTTAAGTTGTTTTCTTTGAAGAATATTAATTTTACGTTTTCCCTACATGACTATTAATTGCTATCATCAGATATTGTGAATTTCTCATTTTTTTCCTTTTTTATTCGTAGTGTATTATTATTTCTAATTTGTATAGGTAGAGGGAAGAAAGACATCTTTAATTGGATTAACATTTTAGTTAATTAAGATAATCCAGCCGGGCGCGGTGGCTCACGCCAGTAATCCCAGCACTTTGGGAAGCCGACGCAGGTGGATCGCCTGAGGTAAGGTGTTCAAGACCAACCTGGGTAACACGGTGAAACCCTGTTCCTATTAAAAATACAAAAAATTAGCCAGGTGTGATGGCGGGTGGCTGTCATCCCAGCTACTTGGGAGGCTGAGGCAGGAGAATCACTTGAACCCGGGAGGCGGAGGTTGCAGTGAGCTGAGATTGTGCCATTGCACTCCAGCTTGTACAATAAGAGCAAAAATCCGTCTCAAAAAAAAAAAAAAAAAAAAAAGACAAGCCATAGGTGAGTGATAAAAACAGATAGGCTTTTGACTCACATAAGAATGGATTCATGTCTAGCTTCCTCACTTGATATGTTTGATTTTGCAAACATTACTTAATACCAAGTATGATTTTCTATATGAAAAGGGGAATAATAATATGTCCTTTAAGGACAGTTGTGTGGGAATAACATTATGAATATCAACAGCATTTAATTCAATGTCTCACACGTTCTTATCAGCATCATTAACTGAACTTACTATGACTAATACTAATATCATTACTCCTAATATTGTTTTAAGCCTTCAGAGTGCTCTCATTTGTCTGACTTCTAGCTGATTTTGAAGAACAAAATATTTTATCAGACTAAGGAAGAAATAAAGATTTCTTCACTTAAATTTTTGCCTCTTTAAGATTCGTGAACAGAGCATATTTTCTTGCCCCTCAAAGGACTTTATGTTAGCCACTTCTAGTATGCCATATCCCAGTGGGACATGAGTCTTTTTGCTCCTTCCTTTTAGCCTTGGTGGTGATTTACAAGGATAAACACTTGAGCACTCAATATACTTAGCTTTGTTAGTACATGTAAATGGTTAATTCTACACTGACACGCACATATTAAATTGGTTCTGTTCCTAATAATGAAGTTATCTCTTTGTTATTTTAGCACAGCCCTCATGCTTGCTGTATGTCATGGATCATTAGAGAGAGTCAGCATTCTTCTTCAGCAAGATATTGACATCTGTGCTGAAGATATGTGTGGAATGACTGCAGGAGGTTATGCTGTTGCTAGTAGATTTAATCCGTAAATGTTTACATTTAAAGGCTAGGTGAGATTTCATAGTTTGTTTCAGGTAATTTTTGAATGTCAGTGAGTTAGTTCACTTCATCAGCCAGAAACTAGGCAAAAAGCTAGACTAGTTGGAAGGAGTAATGGGCCAGGATTCTTTATTTTAGGACTTTCAACAGCTTTATCCCTAGGGATCCTAATGTTGTCTACTTGATTTGCAGTATATCCCCTATGCATGGGATAAACATAGTGTCACAATTTTGATTTTTCTAATTAGTTATTTGGGTCTTGAAATGTCCACTTTAGCAGAAAACCTGATAGTGTCCCTGGGGCTGTCTTCCATACCTTCATCCTTGAAATTTTAAAAGAATCTAAGGGGTTCCCTAAGTCCAAGGAAGACATTCCTTTTGTTTAAGTCAGAAAGACTGGAGGGGTGGGAAATGGCCATTCTCTTCATTTTGTTGTTTCCATTGATGCTGTTGCTGCATTGTTGCCGTTGAAACTACTCCTGCAGTCTGATAATGATTGACCTTTGCTACCAGGATGCTCTTACTAATACAGATCCCTCAGTCTTCATGGTGATCCACATGTAGACTTCAAAGTTATTTCATTTTTTTACAGTTCACATACATATTCTCAGCCATTGTTTCCGAAGTACCAGCACCCTGCTCTGGCAGCTAGGACATTTAGCTTTAGCCACACACATAGTAAACAAATTGACTCTTCTCCTCACACTCAAAACCTGATGTGAAACCCACATCTTAGCCTGGACTTGGCCTAGACCTTCATGGTAAGTTATCCTTTGAGTGGCTTCTTTCTATTTTCTCTAGCAAATATTAGTTTGAAACTGTAAGTCAGGTTGAAATAATGTTACAGGAAGAAATTAGAGATCCCTTTTTATTTTGTTACCACAACTACATCCCTGGACCTTTATAATCTGTGTAGCACCATTTTGTAGGTAGTGGAAGGTCTCATCTTATTCTGTAAGATCCCATGTCATCTTTCTCAAGTTATAGTGGGTTCCAACTCGTGCTCCTCCCCTCAAGTGATTCTTTTTTGCTAAAAGTAAAAATCTCCCATGCTACCTGCATCCCTACCTCGAGTTTTTAAAATATTTTCAAATTCTGCATCACCATGAAGCCATTCAATAGACTTCACAAAACCCCAAGTAAGTTGGTTAGATTTAACAGAGCTAAGCCTCATCCATGACTGATCAGTCTTCAGGTATAAAAGTAGGGATTCGTGCTGGCATCAGCTGTACATATAGTAAAATTGAAACAACTTCGAGAAGATCAGCATGGTCCCTGCACGAGGATGACACACAGATTTGTGAAGTGTTGCATATTTCTTGCAGTTTCCAAAAGGACATTTGACTACTTTCTAACTAGCTCCAAGGAAATGGTGTGAGTCAAAGCAAAATGGGTGTCACCCAGTATTGCAGTTGTGATTTTCATACAAGAAATATTGATGCAAGGTGATATATGAAATGAGATGTGGTAACACATAGGATCTTGTGTGCAATATGCTCTTAGTGCATCTCAGAAATGAGGAAATACCAACTTGCATCTTTGTGGAACTTACAAAAAATAAAGGTAGGGTTTTTTCTTCCACAGCAGCTGGAAATGAGCATAGTGACTAAGCATCATTCTAACAAAGATTTGTTGATTCAGAGTTTCAGGAGGTAGATAAAGAGTAGTAATAGTCCAAGCCAGATGCTGACATCTATTAGTTTTCTGCCCTTGGTGTGATTGATGAGCTCAGTAATAGAGGCTAATCAGGTTATCCAATTTAATGAATTAATATATTTATAAGTAAATTTCATTACAAATTATAAAATAGCTTAGATGCCTTGAATTACAAGCCACAAAGAATAGAACATCTAATAACCAAAAGTAGGAGTTAATAACAGAAAAGTGCAACATTTGAACATTATAACATATGAAGAAACACTTTTTTTTGTTCTTTTGTTTTTTGTAATTTATTTATGTTTTGCAGAGACAGGGTATCCCTATGTTGCCCAGGCTGGTCTTGAACTTCTGGGCTCAAGCAGTCCTCCTGTCTCAGCATCCCAAAGTGCTTATGTCACAGGCATGAGCCACTGCACCAGGCTAACACATTGGATTTTATTGAGAATTTAAAAATAGCTTCAGCAATAAGATTCAAGAACAAATTATTTCATTGCTTCACTATTTGAGCATTAAAAAATGTTATCTTGTTAAATCTTTATAATAACCTAGTGAAATAAGGCTCTAAAATTCTCATTTTTAGAAGACGTTGAGCCTAAGAGAAGCAACTTGTTCCAGAAAAAATACCTGTTGGTTACTGCGCTAGGACTTATTCTGAGTTAAGGACATTTTCCATTATGCCAAGCTAACTCTAGTGAATGTACGGAGTTACCCTGCCCTGAATTCATGAGTATTTCATCTACTTTCTTTCTTCTTTAATTAGCAGATTAATAAATTCATAGAGCTTACAAACTTAAAGTAATAGAATAAGTAATATTCTGATGTTAGCTCTGATATTGTCTGAAATACTCTAAGAACTTAATAAATTTGGTAAATGTTTTTATATCAGTGTTAAAATAATAGTTTTATTTATTACATTTTTATACATAGCATTCATCAACACCTTTTGGAATATAAACAAAAGATATCTAAAAATCCTCAAAATAGCAATCCAGGTAAGACTTCTGATAGTAAACTACTCTTGGTGGTGCTACCATAAGGTTATGGAAATGTTGATCATACAACAGCAATTAAAAAAGCAATGTGGAAATAGGATGTGTTTACATATATACATATGTGTGTGTGTACATATATATATAGCTTTGATTTAATTTTTTTAGTTTATTATTCAGAATTAGTTAAGAATTTAGTTGTACGTAGTTTATAATCTCAGAAATTATCCGAAAAAAATTTTCTTAATTATGTTCCCTAAAATTTTATATAATACTTTTGTATAAATAAGTAAAACAATTTTTAAGTTTGTATATTGTATGTTTCCTCAATTGTCATAACAACTTAGGTTTGTGATAAAATGTATAACACTTGGTGTGATTGATGAGCTTGGTAATAGGGGATAATCAGGTTATCCAATTTAATAAATTAATATTTATAAATAAATTTTATTACAAATTATAAAGTAGCTTAGATGCCCTGAATTACAAGCCACAAAGAATGGAACATCTAATAATGAAAAGTAGGAATTAATAACAAAAACTGCAACATTTCAGTATTATAACCTATGAAGAAATAATTATGTATGTATGTATGTATGTATGTATGTATGTATGTATTTATTTATTTAATTGTAGAGACAGGGTCTCCTTATGTTGCCTAGGCTGGTCTTGAACTTCTGGGCTCTATTTAATTTTTACAATAAATGGTTTACATTTAGTAAATGAGAATTAATTACAGTTGAGTCTTGAGTAACATGAGAGTTAGGGTGCCGATCCCCCAAGCAGCTGAAAATCTGCTTTATAGGAAAATCTGTTTCTTTTGACTCCTCCAAAACTCTACTAATAGTCTACTGTTGACCTGGAGCCTTACTGAAAGCATAAACAGTGAATTAACACATAGTTTCTATGTCATATGTACTATATACTGTATTCTTACAATAAAGTGAGCTGGAGAAAAGAAACTGTTTTAAGGAGGAAAAAATATATTCACTATTTATTAAATGGAAGTGAATTATTATTCATAAAGTTCTTCATTCTCATTGCCTTCATGTTGAGTAGGCTGATAAGGGAGAGGGAGAGGAGAGATTTGTCTTGCTATCTTGCAGCAGCAAAGGAAAAGATAAATCTGTCTATTAGTGGGTTCCTACAGTAAAACCCTTATTCAAGGATCAACTGTGTGACATAGTGACTTGTGTCACAGAAAAGTAAGTATCTTTAGAATTTGGAACTCAATAATACTTTTCTGACACCATAAACAAATGTCAACAAGAATTACAAAACTTAGCCAGGGTGCATCAGTACCAATAGGATATCATTTTTCAAAGATACCTACTGAGTGCAGAAGTGAGAAAAGCAAATCTTTGTTGAGAAGCGCAGGTTATGTTACACAGTCTTGTACCAAAAGATCTCACTATTTTCAACTTCATTCCCTCTAAGTTGAAACCAAATAAGATATATTTACTTCATTAGAACAAGATGTGTTGTTCTATCTGCTGGATAATTAGTGTGTTAATAGTAATTTTGTTACAAAAAGATACTCTGTTCCTGCTGGCCAAAATATTAACATTATAAGTATTCAAATAGCTTAACTCTAGGCTCAACAAATTATAATAAAAATACAAAAATTTTTCACAATAGCAAAAGTGTCACTGTGATACCTAAATGTGACACAATGCATTGTTCAATATGAACGGTATGAGCATATCTTTATTATATATTTATCAAAGAACTTCTATAAGTTAGGTTTTTGCAAGTTGCAGGAGACAAATATGGAATACACATATTCCATATGTCTTTAAGGTGCTCATAATACAGTAGAGCTGTCTCTACTGAATTTCTGCATTTTTCCAACAAAATTTTCTAAAAAAATGTTTTTTATTCATTTATCCACTTGTCCACTTAACAAATAAATGCCAAGCATCTTTAAGGTACTAAGCATTGTCCTTGTTATTATCATTGTCATTTTTTATTATTTACTACTTATTAAGGTACTAAGCATTTTTCTTGTTATTATTTTTTTCTAATATTTACTAATTTATTAATGTTCACTCTGTGCCAGAACCCCTTTGGGAGCTTATAATTATCACTTATTATGTCATTACCATATTCAGTATGTGTCAGACATTTTATATCCAAGGTGACAATTAAAGCCTTAACAAGTTTGGTAGTGTCCAGAAGTGGTGGCTCACTCCTGTAACCCTAGCATTTTGGAGGCCAAGGTGGACAGATTGCTTGAGCTCAGGAGTTTGGGACCAGCATGACTAACATGGTGAAACCCGTTTCTACTATATACGAAAAATTAGCCAGGCGTGTAGCGTGCGCCTGTGATGCCAGCTACTTGGGAGGCTGAGGTAGGAGAATCGCTTGAACCCGGGAGGCGGAGGTTGCAGTGAGCTGATATCGTGCCATTGCACTCTAGCGTGGGCGACAGAGCAAGACTCCATCTAAAAAAAATAAATAAATAAATAAATAAATAAATAGAAGAAGGAGAAAAGTTTGGTAGTATTTAAGGAAAGCATGCAGAATGAGTAGAAGTTTGCCAGATAAAGAGTCAGAAGGATGATATTTAGCAGAAGGAAAATTTAACCACGTTGTGTGTTTGGCAGAAGGAACATCTGAAGGAACGCCTGACGAGTCTGAACCCTTGGCGGAAAGAAGCCTGAGTAGGCTGAACACTTGGTGGAGGGAGCGCCTGATGAGGCTGCACGCTTGGCGAAAAGAACACCCAACGAGGCTACACCCTTCGTAGAGGGAACATCTGAGATTATCGCATATCCTAGAAAAGAAACATCTACAAAAGCAAATACAAATGGTAAGATGCGTGAGTGAATTTTGTAGGGTTTATTGGCACTTTGGGTTTCCAAGCGGAAATAGTGTGATATGGGAGTAGTTGGGAATGACTTGAATATGTAGATAAGGCAAGCTTAGGCAACACTTTTTAATAGTATAGGAACGAGTAGATCTTATTCTGTAGGCCCCGGAAAAATTCTTACAATAATTCTGGCTGTAAATACTAGATGAACAAACAATGGCTAAAAACATAGGAACCAAATTTGTTTTGGTGGTCCAGGGATATCATAGGATTCTGCTATTTTTTTTTTTTTTTTTTTTTTTTTGAGACAGAGTCTCTCACTGTCACCTGGGCTGGAGTGCAATGGTGCAATCTCAGCTCACTGCAACCTCTGTCTCCCGGGTTCACACAATTCTCCTGCTTCAGTCTCCCGAGGAGCTAGGATTACAGGCGCCCACCACCACCCTTGGCTAATATTTTATATTTTTACAGGGTTTCACTATGTTGGCCAGAGTCGAACTCCTGACCTTGTGATCCACCCACCTCGGCCTCCAAAAGTGCTGGGATTACAGGCGTGAGCCACTGTGCCTGGCCAGGATTCCACTTTTGGTGACTAATTAGCAACAGCTCCAATCATCATGCTCTCTCAAGACAATATTTGAAGGCTGGAAGGGCTGCTTTTGTTCACCTGTTTCTTTTAAATAGGGAGAAAACTTGTAAGCTTGCAGTAATCTTCCTGTAACATTTTATTGGCTGGATTATACCACATGCTCCTTTCAAAACCAGTCACTAGGAAACCAAATGTAATTACTGTGATTAGCTTAGAATAATTGGAGATGGGGTGGGGGTAATGGAATAATAAATATCTAAATAAACTTGTGTTTCTGCAGCAAGAAAGAATAAATAATGGCTATGCATAGGAAGTCAACAATGTTTTCTGCAGGGATTCATTGGAGAAGTTTGAGAAGGGGAGTCACAAGATTAGATTTGAGTATCAGGGCATTCTGGTCATGGTATAAAGCAGAGATTGGCAAACTTTTCCTGTAAAGCACCAGATAGGAAATATGGTAGGCCATGTGGTCTCTATCACAGCTATTCAACCCTGCATTGTAGGGTGAGAGCAGTCATAGATAACGTGTGAGCAAAGACCTGCATGATTGCACTGCAATAAAACTTTGTATAGAAAAATTTCATAAGCTGAATTTGGCCTGTGGCCTCCAGTTTGCTGGTCCGTCATATAGAAGATAGATGGAGAGTATCACATAAAAAGATTTAAAGACAGTCTTGGAGTGGTGGCTCACGCCTGAAATCCCAGCACTCTGGGGGCCGAGGCGGGCGGATCATGAGGTCAGGAGATCGAGAACATCCTGGCTAACACAGTGAAACCCCGTCTCTACTAAAAATACAAAAAAATTAGCTGGGCATGGTGGCGGGTATCTGTAGTCCCAGCTACTTGGGAGGCTGAGGCAGGAGAACGGCATGAACCCAGGAGGCAGAGTTTGCAGTGAGTCGAGATCGTGCCACTGCACTCCAGCCTGGGCCACAGAGTGAGGCTCTGTCTCAAAGAAAAAAAAAAAAGATTTAAAGACAAAGGAAGCTTTTGTAGTAGTTCATGCTATAGTCTTTTTTTTTTTTTTTTGTCACCAATCTGTGGCCTAGTATCAATCTATTATGAAAGTTTGACCCATCCAAGGTAAAATGAATCAAGTTCAGAAGTTCAATTTACACATTTAAACATGTAGGTCTTTCTTTGCCATTATTTTATTTTGATTTGTTTTACTGAATTTTTTAACTTAAAATATAACAATAGTATTTGGTAGGGTTTCCTTTTCCCTATAAAAGCCATCAGTTAAGGGGCCGTGTTTAACCAGGAAATAAAAATATAAAATAAATAAGTTTGTATTCCAGTGGCAATGGAAACATAAAGTAAAGGCAGAAAAGAGGTACAGTTAATATGGCTTAGTGATTATTGAATTTAAAAAGCTAGGGGACAGAGAAAATCTCAGGTCATTCATACGTTTCCAGATTGTGCATGAACATTTACAATGCTCATGGGGAAGGAGTAGGAAATTGTCAGGTCAGCAGCGAAGTGCAAACAGTCATGGGACAGACCAGCAGTTTTCTTTACATGTTGAGTTCAGTGAAACAATCATGTGGGATATTTTCAGTAGGTAATTGGATTATAGGCATTTCTAGCTGGAGATAGAAATCTGGTTGGAGATGCAGGCTTAGAATAATTTTATTATAATTATTAGGCAAAGTCATAGATCTCAATGAGCTTATCCATGATGCAGAAGATGTCTAATTTCTGGAAGAAAAACAATAAATTAAGATAAATCTATCCAGTATTTTAACTTTTCATTTTAATCAGTAACAGACCACCAGTAATTAATTTTATCCATGGAATAAGTGCAAGAACACAAGACTGAGAGTTGCTCTGGAAAGTTCTAAAGTCCACAATACCTTAAGTATATTCCACAATGTGAAAAGGAAGTAGAAAGAATGATACTTGCAGAGCTAGAAGTGAATCAGGGGAATCAGAAAGCTAGTTTTCCACCAATAAAAGAGAAACCATTTTCTGCACTGTTCATTTAAAATGGCAAAGTCATCCTTACAAATAAATATTTATAACACAATTTCAGATCAAGAAGAAGCACAAAAGTGAAACTGATTAAGAGCTTTTATATAATGTACTAAAAAAAAACACACACCTACAAAAAAAGAATAGCTTAACAAAACTCTGCAGGGCTTAAGGCTTGTATTTGTACTTCAATGGTGCATGTGAGTACCAGCATAAGATGCTTTCAAATACATTTAATCCAGATGGGAGATGGCTTTTTGAACCGTGGAATCCCTGCATTTGGGCACTAGAAAAGACCAAAAGGGTCATTTAGTTCAGAAGTTTCTAAACAGAGAAACAGTTCAGCAAAATGTTAATAGTAATGACTTAAACAAAACAACAAAACACTGCAGTCAACTATTTGGAAATTGGTGCATTAAATAAAATTAAGCCAATGTCTTCACCATAGCACTTCTCACAACTGGAATGACCTGGATCAGCCCTCTCACATTACAGATAAAAAAATTGAGGTTCACCTAGAAGAAAATATAGGCAATACCATTTAGGACATAGTCATGGGCAAAGACTTCATGAAAAAATTGCCAAAAGCAATTTCAACAAAAGCAAAAATTGACAAATGGGATCTAATTAAACAAAAGAGCTTCTGTGCAGCAAAAGAAGTCATCATTAGAGTGAAGAGACAACCTACAGAAGGAGAGAAAATTTTTGCAATCTTTCCATCTGACAAAGGTCTAATATCCAGAATCTATAAAGAACTTAAGAAATTTACAAGAAAAAAAACAAAACATCCCATTAAAAAGTGGGCAAAGGATATGAACCAACACTCCTCAAAAGAAGACACACATGCAGCCAACAAACATGAAAAAGAGCTCAACATCACTGATCATTAGAGAAATGCAAATCAAAACCACAAGGAGATACCATCTCATGCCAATCAGAATGCCTATTACTAAACAGTCAAAAAACAACAGATGCTGGCAAGGTTGTGGAGAAAAAGGAACACTTTTACACTGCTGGTGAAAGTGTCAATAGCTCAACCATTGTGGAAGGCAGTGTGGTGATTCCTTAAAGATCCAGAGGTAGAAATACCATTTGATCCAGGAATCCCATTACTGGGTATATACCCAGGGTGATATAAATCATTCCATTGTAAAGATACATAGATGTGTGCGTTCACCGCAGCACTCTTTACAATAGAAAGTCATGGAATCAACCTAAATACCTATCAATCATAGACTGAGTAAAGAAAATGTGGTATATACACACCATGCAATACTGTGCAGCCATAGAAAGGAATAACATATGTCCTTTACAGGGACATGGATAGAGCTGGAAGCCATTACCTTCAGCAAACTAACACAGGAACAGAAAACCAAACACTGCATCTTCTCATTTATAAGTTGGAGCTGACTGAGAACACATGGACACGCCAGGGGGAACAACACACACTGGGCACCTGTAGGGGGTTAAGGGGTAGGAGAGCATCAGCAAGAATAGCTAATGGATGCTGGGCTTAATAACTGGGTGATGGGCATGATGGCTCACGCCTGTAATCCTAGAACTTTGGGAGGCTGAGGTGGGCAGATCACTTGAGATCAGGAGTTAGATACCAGTCTGACAAACATGGTGAAACCCCATCTGTACTAAAAATTAAAAAAAAAAAAAAAAGGCAGGCGTGGTGGCACACGCCTGTAATCCCAGCTACTTGAGAGGCTGAGGCAGGAGAATTGCTTGAACCCAAGAGACGGAGGTTGCAGTGAGCTGAGATCGTGCCACTGCACTCCAGCTTGGGTAACAGAGCAAGGCTCCATCTCAAAAATAAATAAATAAATAAATAAATAAATAAATAAATAAATAAATAACTGGGTGATGGTGTGATCTGTGTGGTAAACTACCAAGGCACACGTTTAAACAAACCTGCACATACTGCACACATACCCCTGAACTTATAAGTTGAAAAGAAAAAGAAATTGTGCTTCAAGTTTGTCACAGGTGACCCTTAAAGTCCTCCTAATGGCTTGTATTACTTTGCCTCTTAGCCTACAGGAACTTGAAGAAGAAAGGAAATAACTAACCCAGCAAGCCAGAACCTGATGTTATAATAATTGTAATAGTTAACATGTTAAGCACTTTTCATATATTTCCTAATTTAATCTTACACCAACCCTATGATACTTTACTATTTATCTTAGAAATAGTTCCTGAGCAAACCAGCATTACCAAAAAAACCCCCAAACGACCAGAGAGTGTTAATCTTATCTAGCTTACAGGAAAGTCACAGAAATTCAACAATTGGTCCTATGTTCCTGTTTCTTTTTTCAATTAGTCAGATACCATACCCTGAACTTGTTTCAACGTCTCGCTTTATTTCCAGAATATTCCTTAATTGCTTCCTGATTTCTGCAGCACAAATAACACCCCCAAGGAATCTTGATTTACTCCCATTCTAGTAGTTGTACAACTTTGTTCTATGGCTATCTTGATATAATTATAATCTATTTATAGATTATATTATATACATTATATATTTGTCCTTCTTTTTATCCCTTTTGTTTGTTTATTTTTTGAGACAGGATCTCACTCTGTCACCCAGGCTGCAGTGCAGTGTCACAGCTTTGGCTCACTGCAACCTCTGCCTCCCAGACCCAAGCGATCCTCCCACTTTAGCCACCCAAATAGCTGGGTCCACAGGCACGCATCACCATGCTCGGCTAATTTTTGTAGAGCCAGGGTTTCGTCATGTTACGCAGGCTGGTCTTGAACTCCTAGGCTCAAGCGATCTGCCTGCCTCGGCCTCCCAAAGTGCTGGGATTATAGGCATGAGCCACTGTACCCGGCTTATTTGTCCTTTTATACTGACACATTGTACTGCTTCATTTTGCCAAAATGTCTTGCCAAAAGTGCACTGAATGAGTTCTCTAGTAATAATCCACAGAAATTTTTTATCTATGCTGCCCCAGTATTCTCAGTTCCATTCAAAGAATTAGGCTCTAGCTTTAGCACAGCAAGAAATCACATCAGCTAACCTATAAACATCATCTGATGACATACTCCTTTAGGTACATCTTGCTGAACTCCCAATGCACTATTTTAAAAATTAATGCACAATAATTTCCTTAGTAGGACAGCATTTCCATCAAATAATTCTATTTGCATAAGGGAAGTGGTGCTGTTGCTACTCTTACCTGCTGGCCCCCATATGGATGAGCCAGTGGAATGGATCCAAACACTGTCTTTTCGCCACTTACAAGCTGGATAAAATCGTCTGTTTCTGAGACAGATAAATCAAGGTCCAAAATATCTTCTAGAACTTCCTGAGGCAGGGAAAACAAATTTACAAACCGACGTCATCTTTCAGTTTTTGTTGTTTTTGTTGTTGTTGTTGTTGTTGTAGTTGTTTATTTTCTGAGACACAGGCTCACTCTGTCACCCAGACTGGAGTGCAGAGAAACAATCATGGCTCACTGCAGCCTTAAACTCCTGGGCTCAAGTGATACTCCCGCTTCGGCCTCCCAAAATGCTATGATTACAGTAGTGAGCTACTGCGCTCAGCCTAATAATTTTTAAGAATGCAGATTTAATGGCCGGGCGCGGTGGCTCACGCTTTTAATCCTAGTACTTTGGAAGGCCTAGGCGGGCAGATCACGAGGTCAGAAGACCGAGACCGTCCTGGCTAACACGGTGAAACCCAGTCTCTACTAAAAATACAAAAAAAAAAATTAGCCGGGAGTGTTGGCAGGTGCCTGTAGTCCCAGCTACTCCGGAGGCTGAGGCTGCAGGATGGCGTGAACCCTCGAGGCGGAGCTTGCAGTGAGTGGAGATCGTGCCACTGCATTCCAGCCTGGGCAACACAGCGAGACTCCGTCTCAAACAAACAAACAAAAGAAAGAATAGACAGTTAATGGAAGAAAATTCAAAAAATAAACCTCTTCTGAAAATATTAATATTTTTTCATAAGAGATGTACCATACATTCCATGATTATTTATGCTATTTAGGAAAAATTAGTTCTATTAGATAGTTCTAAAAATTTTATTAGTTTCTTATGATGCATGGTAAAATAATATTTTTCCTAGGACAAATTCATTTAAGGAACTAGAAAAAAGTAAACATCTTATTTTTAGCCCAAATTCATTTATATCATGAGAGAACAATGTAGAATTTGTTAGAGACCATTAGATAAAGGATATCTAAGATAACAATTTAATTCATTTTCCTCTTTTTCACAAAAGCATATTTTCCTTGTAAGACAATGTTAAGATGAAACTATCAGAGTGTGATTTCTAAGAATGACATCTCCAAGTATTTGAAATTTAAACACAGATAGTCATTTATAATTAGACTAATAATATTAACTCTAAAAATTATTTTAAACAAATGTTTTAGTGAGTTTAGTATTTGTGTTGTGAAAAAATAATGGCTAACCTTTGAAACTGCTACAAGAGGTACTCTTGATTTGAAAGGAGTTGGGAAGGCAATTGAAAAAAGTTTTCCCTTTAAGAACATAAAATTTTCTTTCACAGGATCAACAGGCAACATAGCTGATAAAACAAAACAGCCTTCTTAATGTTCTCATTTGTTGCATATACAGCACTAACATCCCTTAGAAAGGCTATGGTTCTTCCAGAAACTCAAGTCACTATTTTCTTCATGCTTTGTTATTTAAAGGCTACTTTGCCATTTCAACACGATCTAGCCAACATTCATTTAGGACAGTACATGGAACTGTTCAAGAGGTTAGGAAATGGAAAAAGTTTAAAACAGGAAGACACATACCCTGTCTTCAAAGATCTTCACTCATGGAAGGCAAATTAAATTGCAACATATTTATAAATAAAAATACATATTTTTAAATGGAGGTGAGCTGCATTACAGAATTACAAGTATAGTACTAGTTAATTCAATGGAACCAAAATCCATTAGGCACATAATCACATGCGTTCTGCCCTTTGGAAACACAATTAGCTAAAGGAAACAGATATACAAGAGACATAAATAACTTTAAGACCAGGCAATACATGGCTTACTAGCTGCACAAAACTGCTGTAGATCCCACATTTGATAGATGCCCCACCGCAAAGCTAAAAGTTTAGAAATTGCCTCTGCAGAGACAAACTATGTCTCATAATGTCCATACACTAAAACACATGTACCGCATTTTAAAAGCTGTAGAGGAAAAGAAAGCTTTGACCACGTTTTAGATTCTCAGAACATATTTAGTCTTATTTTATATACAATATCTAAACTCTTAATCTGTTTTTCCAATCCAAAGCAATTAAAACAATAACCAAATAGAAGAGGGTAGGTGTATTAATACAACTATAAGACTAAGGGACAAAAAAGCCCTGTTTCTGGATAGAGATTTATTGTTAAAATGTGTCACCAAATTATTTAATAAACATAATAGGAATCAAATTAACATCCTAACAGGATTTTTTTGAAGAAATAGACAATCTTAATGTGCAAATCTGCAAAAATGAACAGATAACATTTTTTTAAGTAAGAGAAACAAGTTTGCTTATATTAAAAATTATAAGACTGCAGTAACTAAAAATATTGCTATCCTAAAAATAGATGCAATAGACGCAAAGATCAATGGAGCTCAATAAAAAGCACAGAAACAACCCGAAGCTATAAAGAATTTCCTATATAGTGAAAATGACATTTCAAATCAGTGGAGAAAGGTAGCATTATGACAATTTGCTCCACTGTCTGGAGTAACGCCAATTTATTCCATCCAGGCTTAAGTGAACTAAATATCAGTTACAACAGCAATTTTCTATCTTCCTCAAATGAGTAATAAAAACAGGCTAATATGGGCCATATGGCCACATTTAGCCCTTTATATGTTCCCTTAAGACCATGATGTATTATAAGGTAGCATCCTGGGGGAATAAATGTGTACTCAATCAAAAAATGGCAGATTTTAACATTCATACCAGAAAACCAGACAATATGATTATAAGTGGAAGATCAACAGTATGTTTTCTTCTTTTGTAGGAGAGCCTCTGTGTGGAATTAACTAGATTATATAATTAACGCAATATCCTTTATAATGTTCTAACATTGGTATGGCAGGGGCAGCATATCACGTTCCATTAGTGGTTATCATTTTGTACCACTTGATGCATATTCTGGCAAGATAGCTGCTTGGGCAATACGTGTGTTCACCAGCCATGGAACAAAAAAGGCTATTTCAGGCATATTCAACCCTCACCTATGTGATGCTTTAACAAGCTAAGAAGTCATTGACTAAAAACCCCAGAGAAATCTCAGGAAGATCAGTACTGGCAACATTAAATTCTTTAGAATTCAGTTTTGCATAAGACTATGAAATCCACAAAAACTTCTAACCTTTCACTGCAAATGTTTGAACCTATTCTCTCAATAAATGTTCTTACCAGAGTAAGATAATTCGGATAATTTATTGATCATTTATCTAGTAACGTCAGGATGAGACGTTTTACACAGTACTGTGAACCAAGACGCAGTAATGCATAGGATTATTTATTTATTTATTTGGAGACAGACAGTGCCTCACTCTTTCATCCAGGCTGGACTGCAGTGGCACGATCACAACTCACTGCAGCCTCGAACTCTCGAACTTCTGGGCTCAAGCAACCTTCCCCGCCTCAGCCTCCTGAGTAGCTAGGGCTACAGGTACACACCACCACACCTGGCTAATTTTATTTTGTAGAGACAGGGTCTTGCTTATGTTGCCTAGGCTGGTCTCGACATCCTGGCCTCAAGCGATCCTCCCACCTCGGTCTCCCAAGGTTCTTGGATTACAGGTATGACCCACTGTGCCTGGCCTGGTATTATATTTACAATTTCTTTGGCTATAAAACCTGGTACTATTGTAGATATTATGTTTTAAATACTACCATCAATACGGCAAGAAAATGTCTTCGAGGGTAGCTAACACTCCAACATCAAAACGACAACCTTGATCACTTTCAGTTACACATAGGCCATTTTTATACATCTGTACTGGCTCTTTTCATTTGTCTAAGGGCAGCAAAATAGACTAAAGTTGTTTTCAGACTGCATAAGAGAAGTCTGTTCTTTAGCAGTTACCTGCACAATTCACATAATGTTTTTAACTTCCTCAACTCATGCTTGGCCTAGTTGTGTCAAAAGAACTACTTGTGAATTCCATATGTCCAATTGGTAGGTTACTGTTTTTTCTCAAGAGTTTAGCTATACAGTAATGTTGAAAGTCTTGAGGAACTTCATCTGCTGACCCTACTTAGCCTTGCAATACTACAGCACCTTTTTATTTATTTATTTATTAAAGACAGAATCTCGTTTTGTCACCTAGACTAGAGTGCAGTGGCGCAATCTCGGCTCACTGCAACCTCTGCCTCCTGGGTTCAAGCAATTCTCTTGCTTCAGCTTCCCAAATAGCTGGGAATACAGACATGCACCACCATGCCCAGCTAATTTTTGTATTTTTGGTAGAGGTTTAGTAGAGGTTTCACCATGTTGGCCAGGCTTGTCTGGAACTCCTGACCTAAAGTGATCCACCCCTCTCGGCCTCCCAAAGTGCTGGGATAACAGGCGTGAGCCACCCCACCTGGCCTACAGCATCATTTTAAAAGCAACATTTTCTGTTTTAATGTGGCCAAGCAATCTCTATATGAAAATGGCCTGACAAAATTGTGTAGTGCCATACTTGCCAACTGTGTGAGCTTGAGTGTGATACTTATTTGACAATATGGTATTTCCTCTATGTGTTTCCTTATCTTTAAAAAATAAAAAAAGGACAAATGATAATGTCTTAGTCATAGGATTGTCAAGTACAATCTGAGTGCTTATTGCTACACTCTACTTGGCAAATTATACCTGTTGGATGTTTCTTAACATATAAACCTAATCTAAACCAGGTAAGCTACAGGTACTTATTAACAATCTTTGCTTGTAAAGCACTTTGCATATTTTTACATACTATTCTTCAAGATGCAAAAAACACCATCAAACTGGCTTATTTTCTCAGATGTCTTTACATGGTCTATGATGTCTTCATTCCATAAAAAAACCCACACGATTAAATATGAAATTAATGTACCCAGCTATGAGGCTATCGCATTCTTTAATGCAAGAAGAATAAGAAAATACATGAATCAGAGAACTGCAGTTACGTACTTGCTGGTCTGTTTCCTCATTAGAGTGAATTTTTTGAGGACTAAATTGCATTTCTGTATCTCTAATGCTTACCCATTATCTCACTGGCTCTGTGTGTTTGAGTGCATGCGCTGAGTCCTTAATTATATCACTTATTTTCTGTTAGAAACACGCTGTCTCTCAGCACCGGAACAGCACCCGTAGATCTGGCCTTGGAGCTAAGGAAAGAAGGTCTCTCTAACCCATAAGGGGTACCAATCCTGTACAGACCCCGATATCTCCCGGGCTGGGTACACGCAGGTTCACACCCAGGTGTGAGCGAGATTGCCAAACTATACCTATAAGGCATTCAGAGGAGAGAGTCCAAAAGTCGAGAGAACGGACTAATTTAGCTAATTTCACAATAGCCCTGATCGTGGTCGGACTTGTTCCTAGGAAGATGCGAGAGGCTGGCCCTTCCTTCAAGAGCAGATTGCAAAAGGCAGCAGACCAAGTCAAGGCAGGTCACTGCCAAGAGAAGCAGAAGCGGAAACCATCGCCTCTGGCTTAGGCTGCAGAGCGGGAACCCGATTCTCTGAGTCATGTTTCTACCTAAACACGGAGAACAAAAGAGTTAGTGACTGTAAGGGTGGCGCGCCGTGCTATTTCTTGCTACTGAATGGTCCCCACTGGGACATTTTTGCTATGATTGCAGGCGTGGCCAGTGCCCCTGCACGGATTCCGGGAAGGGGTGGGGATAGGAGGTTCGCCCCGGGGAAGGTCACGCTCGGCGGACCCCGGGCTGGGCCTCCCCTCGCCCCTGCCCCGCCGCCTCCCCAGAGCGGCCGCTGTCCCCGCTGGCTGCGGACGGGCGGGCGCCAGAGGTCCCCAGTGCTGGCAGCCTGGTCGCACGCGGGGAAGAGCGAACCGCGGCCCTGGGCGCGGCCGAAGCGCCACTACTGTCTCCTCAAACTATATCTTTTCTTCAAATAAGGAGGAAATTCTTTCGCAAGACAAATAATGAGAAAAACACACTCAAAAATCACATTGAATCAGTGTTTGAAAGGAAGACAGAAAATACTCAGTTTGACTAAACTGTGTATAAAATACCACCTTGTTTAGTTATTTTAGGCAATACCAAACCTTTGTTTTAACCAATTAAAAAAAATCTTGGCCCAGTATGGTGGCTCTCGCCTGTAATCCCAGCACTTTGGGAGGCCAAGGTGGCTGGATCTCTTGAGCCCAGGAGTTTGAGACCAGCCTGGGTAATGTGGCAAAACCCTGTTTCTACAAAACAAAATTCAAAACTAAGCCAAGTGTGGTGACATGCACCAGTAGTCCTAGCTACTCAGGAGGCTGAAGTGGGAGGATCCCTTGAGCCTAGGAGGCGGAGGTTGCAGTGAGCCGCTGGACTCCAGCCTGGGCGACAGAGCCAGACCTTGTCTCAAAAGAAAAAATATATATATTGGCTGGGCACATGGTTCATGCCTGTAATCTCAGTACTTTGGGAGGCAAAGAGGGGAGGATCGCTGGATCCCAGGAGTTTGAGACCAGGCTGGGCAGCGTAGCAGGACCTCATCTCTAAAAAAACAATAATAATAAAATAGCCAGGCACGGTGGTGCACACCTGTTTTCTTTTCCTTTGCAGCACTTATCTCCTAATATTCGATATAACTTATTTGTTTTGTTAATTTGTCTCTCCTACTAGACGTAAGCATCTTGCGGCCACAATTATTTTTCCTGGTTTTTTTTTGTTGTTGTTGTTGTTTCCATTGCTGTGCCCTTAGCACTTAGAACAGTGTCTGGCACACAATGAGCACCTAAGTACTCAATAAATATTTAATAAATATTTGTTGAATGCATGAACTCTGCAGGGAAAAACAGGTACAAACCTGATAGAGACAAGGGTGGGAGCAAGATGGCTTAATGAATATCATTTTATATCACTTTGATTTTGAACTATATAACTGTATTACCAATATATTTTTAAATTAAGGAAACCATAGATGGAATGTAAAATTTTTATCTTTATTGAAACAATATTTTTGCTACCGGGGTTAATAAAATCACTATATACCTTGACTTCCATCTGGAATCTTGTTGTACTGAAAACAGGGTCAATTTTAGATTGGAGGAGTTGGGGGAGAGGAAGGGTAGGAAGAGAAATATATTTTGTCTTCCAGCAAATACATTAGAGACACAGAAATGTTTAAAATGTTGTCCCTGGCTTCCAGGAGCTCAATGACTAGTAGTTGGATCAATCAGTATTTAACGTTCAATATAATACTAATGTACTCAGAATATTATTCTTGCTTATTCATATATATACATATGATATTTCAATTTAAGCAATTATAAACATTGCAAATTTTTCTATTTATTCTTTATTGCTGCATTAAAAAAAAAGCAACCATGTTCCTTTTTCTCTTCAGTCGAAATTCAGAATAAGAGACCACGCAGTAGATAGACAGAGATTAAAATATCAGCTTACTACGGATAAAAGCTAGCCTGGAGAATATGGCTCAGGCGGTAGATAAAGAGGCATGATGATATGTTACATGCAAATGAATATCAATCAACTGTTGGAGCAAAATAAAAACTGTACTAACAGTTATGCAAAGATTCAGAGAATATATCACCTATCCATCCTGTTTGGGCAAAACACTTAAGAAAATAATCAAGACAGGGACTTGAAGATGGAACCATGAAAAAAGGGTGGTGGTGAGCAGAGAAATGGGGGAGTGTCAAAGGCAAAGACACTTTAAACAGAACAGATACACTTCAAGGGAAAAACTAATAATCTGAAGTTCAAAATATTAAACTATCTCAGCAAAATCTAGCAGCTACGTAACTAGATGCAAAACATAAAAACATTCTAAAGGTCTCATCTATTGGGATGAAGGGGAAAGCAATGGACAAATAGAATCTTAGTGAGGAAAAAATCGAAAAACTTGTTTTCCCATGAAAGTGGCAAATAAAGAAGATAACTATGAATGGAATTGTAGAATTGTTTTTCAGTCAAGTTTCCAAATCAACAGCAGTGTGGGGTATCGGGGAAAAGAGTGGATTTCAAATCAGAAAAAGATAAGAAAGTCTAGGGGAGGCCAACAGTAAAATAAAGATGAAGCACAATGTAAGACAGAAGGAATAAATCACATATATCAATTGTTATAATAAATGTGATCAGTCTGCGTACTTCTATTAGGACGGAAACTATCACATTAATCAGAATATGTTTATACCATGTTTGTTTTTATAAGAAGAACACTTTAAAACAAATAAAGATAGGTAGATAAAGGTAAAAAAAAGGTGAGAACAAAGCAAACTCAACAAAAAGAAAGCACGAATGGCAATATTAATGTCAGGTGAATTGAAATCAATAGTTATAAGTATAAATCAGAATAAATAGAATCATTGTTAAGATAAAAGCTATTTTTTGAAGAAAATATAAGTAAAAAATCTGTATGTACAATAATACACAGTAAAATGTGTACATTTTAAACAATTAAAAAAAAAACTTGGATAAAAATATAATTAAAGTAGGAGCTTTTAATACACATCTCTTAAGAACCTAACTTATCTCTGTAATCCCAGCATTTTGGGAGGCCAAGGCAGGCAGATCACCTGAGGTCAGGGGTTTGAGACCAGCCTGGCCCACATGGTGAAACCCCGTCTTACCAAAAGTACAAAAAAATTAGCTGGGCATGGTGGCAGGTGCCTGTAATCCCAGCTACTCGGGAGGCTGAGGCAGGAGAATAGCTTGAACCTGGGAGGCGGAGACTGCAGTGAGTAGAGATTGCACCACTGCACTCCAGGCTGGGTGACAGAGCGAGACTCCGTCTCAAAAAAAAAAAAAAAAAAAAAAAATTGTTTTACTTATTTATACAAAAGTATTATATAAAATTTTAGGGACCATAATTAAAAACATATTTTTTCAGATAATATTTTCTGAGATTATAAACTACCTATAACTAATTCTGAATTATAAACTAAAAAATTGAATCAAAGCTATATATATATATGTACACACACACATATGTATATATGTAAACACATCCTATTTCCACATTGCTTTTTTAATTGCTATTGTATGATCAACATTTCCATAACCTTATGGTAGCACCACCAAGAGTAGTTTACTATCAGAAGTCTTACCTGGATTGCTATTTTGAGGATTTTTAGATATCTTTTGTTTATATTCCAAAAGACATTGATGAATGCTATGTATAAAAATGTAATAAATAAAATTACTATTTTAACATTTACCAAATTTTCCAAATTTATTAAGTTCTTAGACTATTTCAGACAATATCAGAGCTAACAGCAGAACATTACTTATTCCAGAGACTTTAAGTTTGTAAGCTCTAGGAACTTATTAAGCTGCTAATAAAAGAAGAAAGAAAGTAAGATGAAATACTCATGAATTGAGGTCAGCATAATTCCGTAAATTAACTAGAGTTAGCTTGGCATAATGGAAAATGTCCTTAATTCAGAATAAGTCCTAGTGTGGTAACCAACAGGTATTTTTTCTTGAACAAGTTGCTTGTTAGGCTCAACGTCTTCTAAAAATGAGAATTTTAGAGCCTGATTTCACTAGCTTATTATAAAGATTCAACATGATAATGTTTTTAAAATGCTCGAATAAATAGTGAAGCAATGAAATACCTTGTTGTTCAACCTTATTGCTGAAACTATTTTAAAATTCCCAATAAAATCCAATGTTTTGGCCTGGTGCAGTGGCTCATGCCTGTGATGCAAGCACTTTAGGATGCTGAGACAGGATGACAACTTGAGCCCAGAAATTCAAGACCAGCCTGGGCAACATAGGGATACCCTGTCTCTACAAAACATAAATAAATTTCAAAAAAAAGTTTCTTCGTAGGTTATAATGTTCAAAAGTTGCACTTTTCTGTTATTAACTCCTACTTTTGGTTATTAGATGTTCTATTCTTTGTGGCTTGTAATTCAAGGCATCTAAGCTATTTTATAATTTGTAATGAAATTTATTTATAAATATATGAATTCATTAAATTGGATAACCTGATTAGCCTCTATTACTGAGCTCATCAATCACACCAAGGGCAGAAAACTAATAGATGTCAGCATCTGGCTTGGACTATTACTACTCTTTATCTACCTCCTGAAACTCTGAATCAACAAATCTTTGTTAGAATGATGCTTAGTCACTATGCTCATTTCCAGCTGCTGTGGAAGAAAAAACGCTACCTTTATTTTTTGTAAGTTCCACAAGGAAGATGCAAGTTGGTATTTCCTCATTTCTGAGATGCACTAACAGCATATTGCACACAAGATCCTATGTGTTACCACATCTCATTTCATATATCACCTTGCATCAATATTTCTTGTATGAAAATCACAACTGCAATACTGGGTGACAACCATTTTGCTTTGACTCACACCATTTCCTTGGAGCTAGTTAGAAAGTAGTCACATGCCCTTTTGGAAACTGCAAGAAATATACAACACTTCACAGATCTGTGTGTCATCCTCGTGCAGGGGCCATGCTGATCTTCTCAAAGTTGTTTCAATTTTACTATATGTACTGCTGATGCCAGCATGAATCCCTACTTTTATACCTGAAGACTGATCAGTGATGGATGAGGCTTAGCTCTGTTAAATCTAACCAACTTACCTGGGGTTTTGTGAAGTCTATTGAATGGCTTCATGGTGATGCAGAATTTGAAAATATTTTAAAAACTTGAGGTAGAGATGCAGGTAGCATGGGAGATTTTTACTTTTAGGAAAAAAAGAATCACTTGAGGGGACAAGCACAAGTTGGAACCCACTGTAACTTGAGAAAGATGACATGGGATCTTCCAGAATAAGATGAGACCTTCCACTACCTACAAAATGGTGCTATACAGATTATAAAGGTCCAGGGATATAGATGTGGTAACAAAATAAAAAGGATCTCTAATTTCTTCCTGTAATTATTTCAACCTGACTTACAGTTTCCAACTATCACAACTAATATTTGCTAGAGAAAACAGAAAAAAGCCACTCAAAGGATAACTTACCATGAAGGTCTAGGCCAAGTCCAGGCTAAGATGTGGGTTTCACATCAGGTTTTGAGTGGGAGGAGAAGGGTCAATTTGCTTACTATGTGTGTGGCTAAAGCTAAACGTCCTAGCTGCCAGAGCAGGGTGCTGGTACTTTGGAAACAATGGCTGAGAATATGTATGTGAACTTTAAAAAAATGAAATAACTTTGAAGTCTACATATGGATCACCATGAAGACTGAGGGATCTGTATTAGTAAGAGCATCCTGGTGGCAAAGGTCAATCATTACCAGACTGCAAGAGTAGTTTCAATGGCACCAATGCAGCAACAGAATCAATGGAAACAACAAAATGAAGAGAACGGGCATTTCCCACCCGCCCCCAATCCTTCTGACTTAAACAAAAGGAATGTCTTCCTTGGACTTAGGGAACCCCTTAGATTCTTTTTAAAAATTCAAGGATGAAGGTATGGAAGACAGCCCCCAGGGACACTATCAGGTTTTCTGCTGAAGTGGACATTTCAAGACCCAAATAACTAATTAGAAAAATCAAAATTGTGACACTATGTTTATCCCATGGATGGGGGTTATACTGCAAATCAAGTAGACAACATTAGGATCCCTAGGGATAAAGTTGTTGGAAGTCCTAAAATAAAGAATCCTGGACCCATTACTCCTTCCGACTAGTTTAGCTTTTTGCCTAGTTTCTGGCTGATGAAGTGAACTAACTCACTGACATTCAAAAATTACCTGAAACAAACTATGAAATCTCACCTACCCTTTAAATATAAACACTAATGGATTAAATCTACTAGCAACAGCATAACCTCCTGCAGTCATTCCACACATATCTTCAGCACAGATGTCAATATTTTGCTGAAGAAGAATGCCGACTATCTCTGATGATCCATGACATACGGCAAGCATGAGGGCTGTGCTAAAATAACAAAGATATAACTTCATTATTAGGAACAGAACCAATTTAATATGTGCCTGTCAGTGTAGAATTAACCATTTACGTGTACTAATAAACATAAGTATGTTGAGTGCTCAAGTGTTTATCCTTGTAAATCACCACCAAGGCTGAAAGGAAGGGGCAGAAAGACTCACGTCCCACTGGGATATGGCATACTAGAAGTGGCTAACATAAAGTCCTTTGAAGGGCAAGAAAATATGCTCTGTTCACGAATCTTAAAGACGCAAAGATTTAAGTGAAGAATTCTCTATTTCTTCCTTAGTCTGATAAAATATTTTGTTCTTCAAAATCAGCTAGAAGTCAGACAAATGAGAGCCATCTGAAGGCTTAAAACAATATTAGGAGTAATGATATTAGTAGTAGTCATAGCAAGTTCAGTTAATGATGCTAATGAGAATGTATGAGACACTGAATTAAATGCTGCTAATATTCATAATGTTATTCCCACAAAACTGTCCTTAAAGGACATATTATTATTCTCCTTTTTGTATAGAAAATCATACTTGGTGTTAAGTAATGTTTGCAAAGTCACACCTGCGAAGTGAGGAAGCTAGAAATTAAACCCAGTCTTGTGTGAATCAAAAGCCTATCTGTTTTCTCTTTATTGCTCACCTATGGCTTACCTTTTTTTTTGTTTGTCTTTCGAGATGGAGTTTCGCTCTTATTGCACAAGCTGGAGTGCAGTGGCACAGTCTTGGCTCACTGCAACCTCTGCCTCCTGGGGTTCAAGCTTTAGCAACCTGAGTAGCTGGGATTACAGGCGCCTGCAGCCACACCTTGCTAAATTTTTGTATTTTTAGTAGAAATGGGGCTTCACCATGTTAGCCAGGCTGGTCTCTAACTCCTGACCTCAGCCAATCCCACCACCTTGGCCTCCCAAAGTGCTGGGATTACAGGCGTGAGCCACTTCGCAGGCGGGCTTATCTAATGAACTAAAATGTTAATCCAATTAAAGATGTCTTTCTTCCCTCTACCTATACAAATTAAAAATAAAAATACACTATGAATTAAAAAAAGATAAATTCACAGTATCTGGTGACAGCAATTAATAGTCACGTAGGGATAACCTAAAATTAATATTCTTCAAAGAAAACAACTTAAAGCAAACTGTCGTCCTAAAGACAAAATGATTTTAAACAAAATGATTTTAAAATGATTTTTAAAATTTATATATATTTATATATATATAAATATATAAATATATAATATATATAATATAATATATAAATATATAAAATATAATATATAAATATGTAAAATAATATATTTTATATAAATATACAATATATAATTATATATTTATTATATATATCATATTAAATATTATATATTTATATATATTATATATTGGCCAGGATATATATATTATATATAAATATATAACATAGATATATATATTATATATAAATATATAACATATTTATATATATAAATATATAACATATATAAACATTAGTGGCTCACGCCTGTAATCTCAGCACTTTGGGAGGCCACAGCGGGCGGATCACGAGGTTAGGAGATCGAGAACATCCTGGCCAACATGTTGAAACCCCATCTCTACTAAAAATACAAAAAATTAGCGGGGCGTGGTGGCACATGCCTGTAGTCCCAGCTATGCGGGAGGCTAAGGCAGAGGAATCGCTTGAACCTGGGAGGTGGAGACTGCAGTGAGCCGAGACTGGGCCACTGCACTCCAGCCTGGCGACAGAGCAAGACTCCGTCTTAAAAAAAAAAAATTAACTAGACTACAAAATAGTGGATTGTTGGCAAACTATCAAGTTTTTTTGTTGTTGTTTTGTTTTGCTTTTTTGTGACGGAGTCTCGCTCTGTCCCCCAGGCTGGAGCGCAGTGGCGCAATCTCGGCTCACCGCAAGCTCCGCCTCCCGGGTTCACGCCATTCTCCTGCCTCAGCCTCCCGAGTAGCTGGGACTACAGGCGCCCGCCAGGACGCCCGGCTAATTTTTTGTATTTTTTAGTAGAGACAGGGTTTCACCCTGTTAGCCAGGATGGTCTCGATCTCCTGACCTCGTGATCCACCCGCGTCGGCATCCCAAAGTGCTGGGATTACAGGCGTGAGCCACTGCGCCCGGCCAACTATCAAGTTTTTATCAGGGAATTTAGACAAGTCTATTGGGTCACAGAAGAAGGTTTATAAATTGGAGGACTGAAAGTGGATTTTGAGTTCATGGTCAGTCTAGTAACTCATCCTTGCTTTTAGATGCCGTGGCTTAAAGACCTCAGCTCTTGAGGATATATTATCACACTGGCTTCAGAAAAGGGTTGAGGAGCTCCCCTTTCAAAGAACTGGCCTACACCAGTGCTTTTCTGTTCAGCTTTTCTGGTGATTACTTAAAGATTAAGGGATAAAGGATGCTATTTAGTGTCCTTGCCTCTCCTGGTCCAATTTCAAAGAATTCTAAAGCCAGAGTCCAAGAGTCAGTGCTACCTCAAAAGGAAGGGAAGGTTACTCAGTGTCCGGGTACCAGATGCAGTGAAAGAGGTGTGCCTCATGGCCAGGAAACTCAGGTCAGCGTCCTGGAAGGGATGGTTCACACTCAGAGCTGGAGTCAAAGCAGAATCCACTGGGCCGTCAAACAAATGCCCAGCACTTGTTTCTGGGCCCATTTAACTCTCACTAGCATGCTTATGTTTTCATGTGCTTCTAGAAGTGTCATTGGACAGGATGATTTTGGCCCAGGTCAGTGCTCCTGTTTGAGACAAGAACTTCTTTGCATGGTTAAAGCTACTCATAGATTCTCACTGATCTCATTGCCTTGAAATAACTAAAGATAAGCTTAATTCAATATATTTTTTATACCGAGTATCTCTTATGTGCCAAATGTTACTCATGGTATTACAGAAGATTCTAAAAATAATAAGGTACATTGTAGAGAAATAAGTTCTAGAGCGTTTCTGTTCAAACCAGTAGCCACTTGCCTATGTGTATCTATTGAACACTTAATATGTGGTTAGTCCAAATTAAGATGTACCTTAACTATATAATGTACAATGGATTTCAAAGACTTAGTATGAAAAATATGTAATATTTCATTAATAATTTTACATTGGCTATACATTGAAATCATTCTATTTTAGATAAAATTAAAATATTACTAAACTTGTTATCCCTACATTTTTTACCTTTTCAAATATGGCTACTAGAAAATTTTAAATGACATAAGTCACTCACATTATGTTTCTATTGGATACCATTGCTCTAGAGGGAAAAGACTGTCATAAATTTTTAGGTGGGATTACAAACTAGATTGTGCAAAATGCTATAACTGAGACTTTTTTAATGCACTAGAAGAGTAGGAAGAAGTTCTTAAGTCATGGACAGGAAAAGAAGGGATTTGCTCTGTGCTCTAAAGCATGGGTAAATCTGAATATTACACAAGTATAAAAACTCTGAAAACTTAAATAATTTATCTCAATCTTCCTTACACACAGCACCTGCTGCCCTGCACTAAACTTTTCTCCTGCCAATACATCATACAATTTTCTCCTATGATTTGGAAAATTCTATTGCTGATTAAATTTTATTGTTATTATTTCAAGGGATCATATGTCTTATGGTTTTATTTTTAAAACTTTTTTCAATAATATTGTCACCAATACCAATATGGTTATCACACTGTTTCATCATCATTAGTTTTTTTTGTTTGTCTTTTTGAGACACAACCTAGCTCTGTCTCCTAGGCTGGAGTGCAGTGTCAGGATCTTGGCCCACTGCAACCTCCATCTCCCAGGTTCAAGCAATTCTCATGTTTCAGCCTCCCTAGTAGCTAAGACTACAGGTGCACCCCACCACACCCAGCTAATTTTTATATCTTTAGGAGAGAGGAGGTTTCACCATGTTAGCCAGGCTGGTTTCTAACTCCTGGCCTCATGTGATCGACCCCCCTCGGCCTCCTGAGGTGCTGGGATTACAGGCATGAGCCATTGCCCCCAGTCGTCATTGGAATTTAATACATAATCAACTTGTCTTGGATACTCAGTAACAATGGAATACAAGCATTCTCTTGCTAAATTAAAGAGAAACTCCTTTAGTTAACAATCTAAAAATAGAATCTCTGATGCTATTTATAATAGATATTTGTGCTCCCTTCCTCTGTAAAGATCACTGGGATCTAAAATTAACCAAAATCTGCAACAGAGACCACTCACTTTTAAATCCTACTCTAGGGACCAAGTTTCTCTATTAATTCTAACCACTTCACTATTTGCACCAGGTTATTCTAGCTTGATTGGTAACCACCTTGAAAATATACCAGGCCGGGCGCAGTGGCTCACGCCTGTAATCCCAGCTCTTTGGGAGGCCAAAGCGGGCAGATCACGATGTCAGGAGATCGAGACCGTCCTGGCTAACATGGTGAAACTCTGTCTCTACTAAAAATACAAAAAAATTAGCCTGGGCGGTGGCAGGCGCCTGTAGTCCCAGCTACTCGGGAGACTGAGGCAGGAGAATGGCATGAACCCGGGAGGTGGAGCTTGCAGTGAGCCAAGATAGCGCCACTGCAGTCCCGCCTGGGCGACACAGAGAGACTCTGTCTCTCATAAACCTTGGAATCCAAAATTGCTAGTCCTCATTTTCATTTTATAAAACATACATTTTGATCCTCATAAATTGAACAATTTGCTGAAAATTGCCGCTTTGGGAGGCCGAGGCGGGCGGATCACGAGGTCAGGAGTTTCAGACCAGCCTGACCAACCTGGTGAAACCCCGTCTCTACTAAAAATACAAAAATTAGCTGGGCATGGTGGCGGGCGCCTGTAATCCCGCTACTCAGGAGGCTGAGGCAGGAGAATTGTTTGAAACCGGGAGGCAGTGATTGCAGTGAGCCGAGATCGCACCACTGCCCTTGAGCTTGGGCAACCGAGCGAGACTTCATCTCAAAAAAAAAAAAAACCTAAAATTTTGTGATCTATCAAATGATCTCTAATTTCACTGAAATAGGAAGGGTCTATCCTCTACACCACATGTTTAATACAGGTATACTGATGTGTGCCCTTGTCCAAGACATGGTTCCTCATGTATAAAACTTTGAAGGCTTTCATGGTAGTCCACTTTTGTGGTCAGGACTTCTTTCAGTATGGACCTTCTGATTAGTCTCTAGTTGGAGGTGCTAATCCATTATTCCTTTTTGCTTCAGTCTCATTAGAAGAGGGCACCAGACTGCTTTTCAATGTAGAAGCAAGAGGCAGCATAGGAAGGAAAGGGGGAGGCAACACTTTCTGAGAGCCTTGCTTCATGTCAGAAGCTGCCACTACACAAAGCTCTATTTTATCAATTTGGAATGAAATCTCAGAAAGATCAAGTATGTGTCAGAGAGCAAGTAAGTGGAAATGGGCTTCAAGCATGGTTCCATGTAGCTCTTAACCACCCTCTGTTCTTTTATCGTCTGTTAATATATGAAAGCACATATTTGTGTGTTTTTTGAAAGTGTTTTCAGAATCAGTGATAGGAGGAAATTTGTTGAAATGGTAAATACAGAACCTAGGCATCCCTGGGACTTTGCATGCTCAGGCCTGGTGCTGAGATCAGGAGGTGATTTTCCTCATTTCACAGCAGCCCTTGGAAGTGCAGGTGATGACATCCTGGACGCCGCCCATCTCCAGGCTCTGCTTTGAATTTGTTTCCATCTGAGGCTAATATTAGGTCAAATTTCCAATCTTCAGACTTTCCATTTTTAGCAATAAAAACCAAGTTTTACAATATCTGTTTTGTTCAAACTCTTCTCTGAGGTGATTCAATACCTAGCACATCTGGAAAACTAAAATTGCTTAAACTAACTGATTAAATGAAACAAAAAAACTCAATTTTTAGGCACCACCTGTTAATTTATTGGTTTGGATGTCTTAGTGTTGTTCTAATAAACGATTTGTTAGGTCTTGGTATGTGGTTAAGTTGGAATACAAGTAAGATACCTCCACACCAAAGGTCTAAAAAAATTCAGCAGATGGGTTCTTGGCTATTTTCCAAAACAACACAGTAATGTGAACACGTCAATAAATGTAACTTTTGAAAACCTTTTGAGCATACATGGCCTCCATGTAAATGGCATTTTTGGCACCGTCTAAAGTCATCATGTTGTAATAGTGTGGTACCAGCTGTGCACATACATTTATATCAGGGGATTACTAATGTCTGATTAGAATTCTTGCTTATTAATAAGATTTAGGGTAGAATAGAATGTGAATTATAGAAAGAGAAGCACAAGTATACAAACTTTTGAGAAAATGCCTTCACTGTTTCTAAATTAAATTTAATTTTCTTGTTTCACAGATGAGAAAATCAAAGCCCGTATCATCTGCTTCACGTCCCGCATTTACTTAACGCTGTAAGCATAGAACGTTGTTCCCAGTGACTACCCCTCCATCCCCAGTTCTGTGATTTCAGAGACAGTCGTGGTATCCTTGAGGGCAGAGACAGTAGTGGTATCCTTGAGGGCAGGAATTGTTTTTATTTTATTTTATTTTATTTTTACAATATTTAGCTTATTCCTAGTAGAGAGCAGTCAATGGATACGTTTTCCAAATTGAATTGACTTCATGTAAGTGAATTTTTTAATAACCACATAGCAAATTTACACAGTGAATATTACCTTTTCATAATGTCTGTTTTTTTATATTAATATTGATTTATCACCATTATACCTCTGTTAAAAACTCTTCGTAAATGAAGGATTTTGACACTGAAAATAAACTAATACATAGCATAGCACTGAAGTTTAAGAAAATTGTATGAAGCATTCAGTAAAAGCAAGCACTTACTACCCTGTCAGTCCAGAATGTAGTATTGTGCAATAGCCTTTAAAATGTATTGTTATAAAAATGTTGCTTAACTGGGCCCTTAGGAATTAATAATGGTTCTGAAAATAAACTAAATGGCTTCTTTTCCTTGGCCTCCATTTTTTTTTTTTTTTTTTTTTTTTGAGACAGAGTCTTGCTCTGTCACCCAGGCTGGAGTACAGTGGCGCGATCTCCGCTCACTGCAAGCTCTGCCTTCCGGGTTCACGCCATTCTCCTGCCTCAGCCTCTCGAGTAGCTGGGACTACAGGCGCCCACCGCCACACCCGGCTAATTTTTTGTATTCTTAGTAGAGATGGAGTTTCACTGTGTTAGTCAGGAGGTCTCGATCTCCTGACCTGGTGATCCACCCGCCTTGGCCTCCCGAAGTGCTGGGATTACAGGCGTGAGCCACCGCACCCAGCCTCCTTGGCCTCCATTTTATGTCCTAAATGGTATTTCTGTGTTCAGTCATCTTTTTTACTGCGAAAATTTGTCTAACATCTTGGAATTGCTTTGGGAAAGGATATTCTACCCATACAGTTGAATTTCTTTTTTTCTCAGAAGAGAGGAAATTGGGTTACCCACACCACCACTATTCTCATTCCAGACCAGGCCTTCTTTTTCTTGAAGTGCTCTTTGAGCCTATGTGGTTCCAGCATGAGTCTCCTTGGGGGATATGTTAGGGGATGCTGTCAGAACAACTACTTCTTGAGAAGTCCAAGGAACCGGCAGAAACCTTTACCAAAAAGATGATCAACTCAGATACTGCTGCAGTGCAAAAGGACAGGCAAGGAGAAAGTGTGAGTTACATACATGGTTCAGGCCAGCCAACTCAGGGTAATTTGAGTCTATCCATGCGAATACTAGCCACTCGCATTTTCACATAGTCCAAGAGTTGATCTGGGCTAGCAAAATTAATCTTATTTACTACAAGGAAAAATCTACGTTCTTAAAATCCATTTTGAACAAAAGTTTGAGTATACCCAGGTTGGAATGTGCTCAAGAGCAGGTATTAAGTCTTTTTAAGATTATTAGGCCATAAAGAGGTCTGCACATTAAATTCTACTGAGTTTTCCTAGAATGCTTTTTCTGACATTAAATTTGTAAATATGTTTTAAAGGTAAAAATATTGTTTGCTATTTCAAAAATAAATTATTTTTAGAAATTTTAAAGACTGTATTTTCATGTTAATAATTTACAGTTAAATCTCACCTCATTATCCTCATCTGTAAAATGGGATAGTAATAAATTTTGGTTGTAAAAATGAGGACTAAATGGTTTTTGCCATTATCACTTAGAACAGTGACTTGCAACGTAAGTTCTTCTTACTCAGCTCCTCACTCCCTGCAGTCACTGGAACTTTAATTTCCCTGGCCTATCAGGGGCCTTCAAGGGTCTCAGGAACACCCCCCAACACACACACACAAAAATAATACCTGAGGATTCAAATGAAAAAGGATGATTTGAAACAAACTGGATATTTTATCCACTCAGATGAGCTCTGGAGACATCCTGACAGCTTCTTTTTATTACTATTATTATTATTATCATACTTTAAGTTTTAGGGTACATGTGTACAATGTTCAGGTTACATATGTATACATGTGCCATGTTAGTGTGCTGCACCCATCAACTCGTCATTTAGCATTAGGTATATCTCCTAATGCTATCCCTCCCCACTCCCCCCACCCCACAACAGTCCCCGGTGTGTGATGTTCCCCTTCCTGTGTCCATGTGTTCTCATTGTTCAGTTCCCACCTATGAGTGAGAACATGCGGTGTTTGGTTTTTTGTCCTTGCGATAGTTTGCTGAGAATGATGGTTTCCAGTTTCATCCATGTCCCTACAAAGGACATGAACTCATCATTTTTTATGGCTGCATAGTATTCCATGGTGTATATGTGCCACATTTTCTTAATCCAGTCTATCATTGTTGGACATTTGGGTTGGTTCCAAGTCTTTGCTATTGTGAATAGTGCCACAATATACATATGTGAGCATGTGTCTTTATAGCAGCATGATTTATAATCCTTTGGGTATATACCCAGTAATGGGATGGCTGGGTCAAATGGTATTTCTAGTTCTAGATCCCTGAGGAATCGCCACACCGACTTCCACAATGGTTGAACTAGTTTACAGTCCCACCAACAGTGTAAAAGTGTTCCTATTTCTCCACATCCTCTCCAGCACCTGTTGTTTCCTGACTTTTTAATGATCGCCATTCTAACTGGTGTGAGATGGTATCTCATTGTGGTTTTGATTTGCATTTATCTGATGGTCAGTGATGATGAGCATTTTTTCATGTGTCTGTTGGCCGCATAAATGTCTTATTTTGAGAAGTGTCTGTTCATATACTTTGCCCACTTTTTGATGGGGTTGTTTTTTTTTCTTGTAAATTTGTTTGAGATTATTGTAGATTCCGGATATTAGCCCTTTGTCAGATGAGTAGGTTGCAAAAATTTTCTCCCATTCTGTAGGTTCCCTGTTCACTCTGATGGTGGTTTCTTTTGCTGTTCAGAAGCTCTTTAATTAGATCCCATTTGTCAATTTTGGCTTTTGTTGCCATTGCTTTTGGTGTTTCAGACATGAAGTCCTTGCCCATGCCTATGTCCTGAATGGTATTGCCTAGGTTTTCTTCTAGGGTTTTTATGGTTTTAGGTCTAACATGTAAGTCTTTAATCCATCTTGAATTAATTTTTGTATAAGGTGTAAGGAAGGGATCCAGTTTCAGCTTTCTACATATGGCTAGCCAGTCTTCCCAGCAACATTTATTAAATAGGGGATCCTTTCCCCATTTCTTGTTTCTGTCAGGTTTGTCAAAGATCAGATAGTTGTAGATATGTGGCATTATTTCTGAGGGCTCTGTTCTCTTCCATTGGTCTATATCTCTGTTTTGGTACCAGTACCATGCTGTTTTGGTTACTGTAGCCTTGTAGTATAGTTTGAAGTCAGGTAGCGTGATACCTCCAGCTTTGTTCTTTTGGCTTAGGATTGACTTGGCAACGTGGGTTCTTTTTTGGTTCCATATGAACTTTAAAGTAGTTTTTTCCAATTCTGTGAAGAAAGTCATGGTAGCTTGATGGGGATGGCATTGAATCTACAAATTACCTTGGGCAGTATGGCCATTTTCACGACATTGATTCCTCCTACCCATGAGCATGGACTGTTCTTCCATTTGTTTGTATCCTCTTTTATTTCATTGAGCAGTGGTTTGTAGTTCTCCTTGAAGAGGTGCTTCACATCCCTTGTAAGTTGGATTCCTAGGTATTTTATTCTCTTTGAAGCAATTGTGAATGGGAGTTCACTCATGATTTGGCTCTCTGTTTGTCTGTTATTGGTGTATAAGAATGCTTGTGATTGTTGCACATTGATTTTGTATCCTGAGACTTTGCTGAAGTTGCTTATCAGCTTAAGGAGATTTTGGGTTGAGACGATGGGGTTTTCTAGATATACAATTATGTCATCTGCAAACAGGGACGATTTGACTTCCTCTTTTCCTAATTGAATGCCCTTTATTTCCTTCTCCTGCCTGACTGCCCTGGCCAGAACTTCCAACACTATGTTGAATAGGAGTGGTGAGAGAGGGCATCCCTGTCTTGTGCCAGTTTTCAAAGGGAATGCTTCCAGTTTTTGCCCATTCAGTATGATATTGGCTGTGGCTTTGTCATAGATAACTCTTATTATTTTGAGATATGTCCCATCAATACCTAATTTATTGAGAGTTTTTAGCATGAAGTGTTGTTGAATTTTGTCAAAGGCCTTTTCTGCATCTATTGAGATAATCATGTGGTTTTTGTCTTTGGTTCTGTTTATATGCTGGATTATGTTTATTGATTTGCATATGTTGAACCAGCCTTGCATCCCAGGGATGAAGCCCACTTGATCATGGTGGATAAGCTTTTTGAGGTGCTGCTGGATTCAGTTTGCCAATATTTTATTGAGGATTGTTGCATCAATGTTCATCAAGAATATTGGTCTAAAATTCTCTTTTTTGGTTGTGTCTCTGACAGGCTTTGGTATCAGGATGATGCTGGCCTCATAAAATGAGTTAGGGAGGATTCCCTCTTTTTCTATTGATTGGAATAGTTTCAGAAGGAATGGTACCAGCTCCTCCCTCATACCTCTGGTAGAATTTGGCTGTGAATCCATCTGGTCCTGGACTTTTATTGGTTGGTAAGCTATTAATTATTGCCTCAATTTCAGAGCCTGTTATTGCTCTATTCAGAGACTCAACTTCTTCCTGGTTTAGTCTTGGGAGGGTATAGGTGTCGAGGAATTTATCCATTTCTTCTAGATTTTCTAGTTTATTTGTGTAGAGGCGTTTATAGCATTCTCTGATGGTAGTCTGTATTTCTGTGGGATCGGTGGTGATATCCCCTTTGTCATTTTTTTTTGCGTCTATTTGATTCTTCTCTCTTTTCTTCATTAGTCTTGCTAGCGGTCTATCAATTTTGTTGATCTCCTCAAAAAACCAGCTCCTGGATTGATTTTTTGAAGGGTTTTTTGTGTCTCTATTTCCTTCAGTTCTGCTCTGATCTTAGTTATTTCTTGCCTTCTGCTAGCTTTTGAATGTGTTTGCTCTTGCTTCTCTAGTTCTTTTAATTGTGATGTTAGGGTGTCAATTTTAGATCTTTCCTGCTTTTTCTTGTGGGCATTTAGTGCTATAAATTTCCCTCTACACACTGCTTTGAATGTGTCCCAGAGATTCTGGTATGTTGTGTCTTTGTTCTCGTTGTTTTCAAAGAACATCTTTATCTCTGCCTTCATTTCGTTATGTACCCAGTAGTCATTCAGGAGCAGGTTGTTCAGTTTCCATGTAGTTGAGCGGTTTTGAGTGATTTCTTAATCCTGAGTTTTAGTTTGATTGCACTGTGGTCTGAGAGACAGTTTGTTATTATTTCTGTTCTTTTACATTTGCTGAGGAGTGCTTTACTTCCTACTATGTGGTCAGTTTTGGAATAGGTGTGGTGTGATGCTGAAAAGAATGTATATTCTGTTGATTTGGGGTGGAGAGTTCTGTAGATGTCTATTAGGTCTGCTTAGTGCAGAGCTGAGTTCAATTCCTGGATATCCTTGTTAACTTTCTGTCTCGTTGATCTGTCTAATGTTGACAGTGGGGTCTTAAAGTCTCCCATTATTATTGTGTGGGAGTCTAAGTCTCTTTGTAGGTCACTAAGGACTTGCTTTATGAATCTGGGTGCTCCTGTATTGGGTGCATATATATTTAGGATAGTTAGCTCTTCTTGTTGAATTGATCCCTTTACCATTATGTAATGGCCTTCTTTGTCTCTTTTGATCTTTCTTGGTTTAAAGTCTGTTTTTTCAGAGACTAGGATTGCAACCCCTGCCTTTTTTTGTTTTCCATTTGCTTGGTAGATCTTCCTCCATCCCTTTATTTTGAGCCTATGTGTGTCTCTGCACATGAGATGGGTTTCCTGAATACAGCACACTGATGGGTCTTGACTCTTTATCCGATTTGCCAGTCTGTGTCTTTTAATTGGAGCATTTAGCCCATTTACACTTAAGGTTACTATTGTTATGTGTGAATTTGATCCTGTCATTATGATGTTAGCTGGTTATTTTGCTTGTTAGTTGATGCAGTTTTGTCCTAGCTTCGATGGTCTTTACAATTTGGCATGTTTTTGCAGTGGCTGGTACCAGCTGTTCCTTTCCATGTTTAGTGCTTCCTTCAGGAGCTCTTTTAGGGCAGGCCTGGTGGTGACAAAATCTCTCAGCATTTGCTTGTCTGTAAAGGATTTTATTTCTCCTCCACTTATGAAGCTTAGTTTCTCTGGATATGAAATTCTGGGTTGAAAATTCTTTTCTTTAAGAATGTTGATTATTGGCCCCCACTTTCTTCTGGCTTGTAGAATTTCTGCCGAGAGATCAGCTGTTAGTCTGATGGGCTTCCCTTTGTGGGTAACCCGACCTTTCTCTCTGGCTGCCCTTAACATATTTTCCTTCATTTCAACTTTGGTGAATCTGACAATTATGTGTCTTGGAGTTGCTCTTCTCAAGGAGTATCTTTGTGACATTCTCTGTATTCCCTGAATTTGAATGTTGGCCTGCCTTGCTAGATTGGGGAAGTTCTCCTGGATAATATCCTAAAGAGTGTTTTCCAACCTGGTTCCATTTTCACTGTCACTTTCAGGTACACCAATCAGACGTAGATTTGGTCTTTTCACATAGTCCCATATTTCTTGGAGGCTTTGTTCGTTCCTTTTTATTCTTTTTTCTCTAAACTTCTCTTCTCACTTCATTTCATTCATTTCGTCTTCCATCACTGATACCCTGTCTTCCAGTTGTTCGCATCAGCTACTGAGGCTTGTACATTCGTCACGTAGTTCTCATGCCATGGTTTTCAGCTCCATCAGGTCCTTTAAGGACTTCTCTGCATTGGTTATTCTAGTTAGCCATTTGTCTAATTTTTTTTCAAGGTTTTTAACTTCTTTACCATTGGTTCAAACTTCCTCCTTTAGCTCGGAGTAGTTTGATCTTCTGAAGCCTTCTTCTCTCAACTCGTCAAAGTCATTCTCCGTCCAGCTTTGTTCCATTGCTGGTGAGGAGCTGTGTTCCTTTGGAGGAGGAGAGGTGCTCTGATTTTTAGAGTTTCCAGTTTTTCTGCTCTGTTTCTTCCCCATCTTTGTGGTTTTATCTACCTTTGGTCTTTGATGATGGTGATGTACAGATGGGTTTTTGGTGTGGATGTCCTTTCTGTTTGTTAGTTTTCCTTCTAACAGTCAGGACCCTCAGCGGCAGGTCTGTTGGAGTTTGCTGGAGGTCCACTCCAGATCCTGTTTTCCTGGGTATCAGCAGCGGTGGCTGCAGAACAGTGGATATTGGTGAACCGCAAATGCTGCTGCCTGATCATTCCTCTGGAAGTTTTGTCTCAGAGGAGTACCTGGCCGTGTGAGGTGTCAGTCCGCCCCTACTGGGGGGTGCCTCCCAGTTAGGCTACTTGGGGGCCAGGGACCCACTTGAGGAGGCAGTCTGCCTGTTCTCAGATCTGAAGCTGTGTGCTGGGAGAACCACTACTCTCTTCAAAGCCGTCAGACAGGGACATTTAAATCTGCAGAGGTTACTGCTGCCTTTTGTCTGTGCCCTGCCCCTGGAGGTGGAGCCTACAGAGGCAGGCAGGCCTCCTTGAGCTGCGGTGGGCTCCACCTAGTTTGAGCTTCCCAGCAGCTTTGTTTACCTACTCAAGCCTCGGCAATGGCGGGCACCCCTCCCCCAGCCTCGCTGCCACCTTGCAGTTTGATTTCGGACTGCTGTGCTAGCAATGAGTGAGGCTCCGTGGGCGTAGGACCCCCCGAGCCATGTGCGGGATATAATCTCCTGGTGTGCCATTTGTTAAGCCTGTTGGAAAAGCGCAGTATTAGGGTGGGAGTGACCCAATTTTCCAGGTGCCGTCTGTCACCCCTTTCTTTGACTAGGAAAGGGAATTCCCTGACCCCTTGCACTTCCTGGGTGAGGCGATGCCTCGCCCTGCTTCAGCTCACACAGGGTGCGCTGCACCCACTGTCCCACACCCACTGTCCGGCACTCCCCAGTGAGATGAACCCGGTATCTCACTTGGAAATGCAGAAATCACCCGTCTTCTGCATCGCTCATGCTGGGAGCCATAGACTGGAGCTGTTCTTATTCGGCCATCTTGGCTCCATCTCAAAAATCTTATATATGTCTTGGCATGTGTATAGAACTCCCTATTAGTGCTATCAAAAATGTAAATGTGCATTCTCTTTGACTCAAGCAATTCCATTTCAAAGAATCCATCCTATAGAAATAATGCACATATCCAAAGAATATGTAAAAATATTAGCTGCAGTATTGTTTGTAGTAACAAAAAGTGATTTGAGGGACAACTTAAATGTTATCAATAAGGCAATTGCTCAATAAATTAATGATATATACCTTTAATGAAATACTATGTAGTAATTAAAAGGAGTGAGGCAGATATGAAAGATCACCAAGACAGAATATTAAATATAAAAAGCAAAATGTAGAATAATAGTAGGATTTCATTTATGTATATAAATGATATATGTATATGTATATGTATATAAACAGAGAAATATCTGGAAGGGGCTTTCACTTTGCATGGCTTGAAGTTTTATATTAAGCATATATGAGTGTGCTATTTGTATAATATTTAAAGATTTTAAACACAGAAGGGAGTAAGGGAAACGGGAAGAATACCACGTGCTTCTGCTATGTCCTGTGTCACAGAAACATCAGCAGCCACAACCAGACAGCCACACCCACCCCGGGAGCAAGAGCTGGGAAGAACCACAGCCCTGCGAGAGAAATCTCACAGGCCAATGGACCAAAAAGGGACATGCAGTTTAATATTTTTCCTGCAAAATGCAATTTTAAATAATGACAATAGATCTATAGAGAGATATAAAATGAAAAATCATTTATACCAAATCTTATGCCTCTTATTCACTCCTTAACTCATATACTAAAAATTCTTCAGCATGCAGGCTCTGTAACAGGCCATGAGTGTGCGTTTTTAAAACAGAAAGCAAAGCAGCCTAGCACATTATAGAAACTGGGAACCAGCCAGTACCACTACTCTTCTCCAATCTACTTAGCTTTCTCAAATGAATTTTAGGGGAAAAGCATATTTTAAGGAACAAAAATAAGTGTTGTTGCAAAAACATGGGGCAAGAAATTCCCCGAAAAGATCTACTACATAAAACTGCCTTAGATATCACAGTTCATGCCAATCAAAAATCTTACAAATAACTAGATGGGTATGTGTATCATCAGTATGCTCTAGCTGTGCTGGCTCATAGCACACGTTCATGAATAAACACATGAGTGAGTGAATGAATGAATGAGTTAAAGCTTAAGGGAACTCCCCTGAGATTTTCAATATTGTCATTTTTCAGTCGTTAAGTTGACGTGGTAGCATAGTGCTAGCTAGTGGTCATATAAACTGTTATGAGTCAGTAGCATTGTGTTATCATACTGATCTAATTGTCTTTACTCTGCTTTTTCTCCACACGTATTTACTTATGAATGCCAAGAGGCAAGGAAAGCTTAAAGCTCAAGAATTTAAATACAGATTCCCCTTTGGGAATGACGGAGATGAGCTTCTCCATTTCTTCCACAATCTCCTTTATAACAAAAATAAAAGATGACAAATTCTTTTGTGGGCAATATAACCATACAAGTAACACACATTACCAATAATCCAAATACTTAAAATGCATTCATTTCTTACACTACAATATTTATGAAAACATAAATGCAGATTCTGAGTAGACTTTTTTTAGCTGATGGAATTTAAATATCTTATGATTTCAAACATGGCAATTTTAAAAAAATAGTCACAAAAGTTGTCCTATTCGTTTGTCACTGACTTTTTTAAGAAAGCTCAACCCGCTCTCCCTCTCCCTCTCCCTCTCCCTCTCCCCACAGTCTCCCTCTCTTTCCACGGTCTCCCTCTCATGCGGAGCCAAAGCTGGACTGTACTGCTGCCATCTCGGCTCACTGCAACCTCCCTGCCTGATTCTCCTGCCTCAGCCTGCCGAGTGCCTGCGATTGCAGGCACGCGCCGCCACGCCTGACTGGTTTTGGTGGAGACGGGGTTTTGCTGTGTTGGCCGGGCCAGTCTCCAGCCCCTAACCGCGAGTGATCTGCCAGCCTCGGCCTCCCGAGGTGCCGGGATTGCAGACGGAGTCTCATTCACTCAGTGCTCAATGGTGCCCAGGCTGGAGTGCAGTGGCCTGATCTCAGCTCGCTACAACCTACACCTCCCAGCCGCCTGCCTTGGCCTCCCAAAGTGCCGAGATTGCAGCCTCTGCCCGGCCGCCACCCCGTCTGGGAAGTGAGGAGTGTCTCTGCCTGGCCAACCATCGTCTGGGATGTGAGGAGCCCCTCTGCCTGGCTGCCCAGTCTGGAAAGTGAGGAGCGTCTCTGCCCGGCCGCCATCCCATCTAGGAAGTGAGGAGCACCTCTTCCCGGCCGTCATCACATCTAGGAAGTGAGGAGCGTCTCTGCCCGGCCGCCCATCGTCTGAGATGTGGGGAGCGCCTCTGCCCCACTGCCCCGTCTGGGATGTGAGGAGCGCCTCTGCCCGGCCACGACCCCGTCTGGGAGGTGAGGAGCGTCTCTGCCCGGCCGCCCCATCTGAGAAGTGAGGAGACCCTCTGCCTGGCAACCACCCCGTCTGAGAAGTGAGGAGCCCCTCCGCCCGGCAGCTGCCCCGTCTGAGAAGTGAGGAGCCTCTCCGCCCGGCAGCCACCCCATCTGGGAAGTGAGGAGCGTCTCCGCCTGGCCAGCCGCCCTGTCCGGGAGGGAGGTGGGGGGGTCAGCCCCCCGCCCGGCCACCCGCCCCATCCGGGAGGGAGGTGGGGGGGTCAGCCCCCCGCCCGGCCAGCCGCCCCGTCTGGGAGGTGAGGGGCACCTCTGCCCGGCCACCCCTACTGGGAAGTGAAGAGCCCCTCTGCCCAGCAAGACGCCCCGTCCGGGAGGGAGGTGGGGGGGTCAGCCCCCTGCCCGGCCAGCTGCCCCATCCGGGAGGGAGGTGGGGGGGTCAGCCCCCCACCCGGCCAGCCGCCCTGTCCAGGAGGGAGGTGGGGGGGTCAGCCCCCCGCCCGGCCAGCCGCCCCATCCGGGAGGTGAGGGGTGCCTCTGCCCGGCCGCCCCTACTGGGAAGTGAGGAGCCCCTCTGCCCGGCCAGCCGCCCTGTCCGGGAGGGAGGTGGGGGGTCAGCCCCCCGCCCGGCCAGCCGCCCCGTCCGGGAGGTGAGGGGCGCCTCTGCCCGGCCGCCCCTACTGGGAAGTGAGGAGCCCCTCTGCCCAGCCACCACCCCGTCTGGGAGGTGTGCCCAACAGCTCATTGAGAACGGGCCAGGATGACAATGGCGGCTTTGTGGAATAGAAAGGCAGGAAAGGTGGGGAAAAGATTGAGAAATCGGATGGTTGCCGTGTCTGTGTAGAAAGAAGTAGACATGGGAGACTTTTCATTTTGTTCTGCACTAAGAAAAATTCTTCTGCCTTGGGATCCTGTTGATCTGTGACCTTACCCCCAACCCTGTGCTCTCTGAAACAAGTGCTGTGTCCACTCAGGGTTAAATGGATTAAGGGCGGTGCAAGATGTGCTTTGTTAAACAGATGCTTGAAGGCAGCATGCTCGTTAAGAGTCATCACCACTCCCTAATCTCAAGTAATCAGGGACACAAACACTGCGGAAGGCCGCAGGGTCCTCTGCCTAGGAAAACCAGATACCTTTGTTCACTTGTTTATCTGCTGACCTTCCCTCCACTATTGTCCCATGACCCTGCCAAATCCCCCTCTGTGAGAAACACCCAAGAATTATCAATAAAAAAAAAATTAAAAAAAAAAAAAAAAAGAAAGCTCAACCCACATCAATGTAGCAACACATGTACTAACTTAAAGAATGTTTCTCAGGAACATGGTACTCATTTGCCTTTCTAACTACTGGAGTTGATTTGAGTGGATGAACAGGGACCATCGTTTTCCATTTTTGAAATACTCTTTTTAACAAGAATAACTCTGTGCCATCACGTTCTTTTCTATTTTTTTTTTAAGTAAAGACAGCAGAAGAGCACCGTCTAATATGGCCTTCCAAACATGAATACTGAGTTCCTTTATGGGAAGGGCTCCCTGTTGACTCTCACTCAAATGAAGAAATCCAAACAAGAGAAAGACAGGAAGATACAACAGTAGGTTCTGCAGGCCTCCTGGGTCCTGAATTTCTTGACAGTGGAACCAAACAACCAGGCAATGGGCAATAAAGATAGAAGCCTGGACTCAGTCCTGCAGCTGCCTTCTGTGTGTCCTGGAGCAAAGAATTTCTCAGCTTTTCCACCAATGAAACAAGGATCAAACTACCTGCCACTCCATACCCAAAACTCAAGTAATGGGAAAGGAATTGAATTAACTGTAATTGATTGCAAAGTACATCAAATTCCTACAACAAAAACTCACACAACTTCCAATTACCACTCGAAAGCACGCTTTAAGCCCAGGGGTGTGTGTGTGTGTGTGTGTGTGTGTGTATGTGTATGTATTTATGTGTGTGTGTGTGTTTAATCAGTTTACGTAAGATCATTAAGGAACTGAGCCCCACAAATGCAGTCTTTAACAAAGGGTTTCAAGTCTGAAAAATGTCCTTGCCAAGAATCCACCTCCAGAGAAGAAACCCAAAACCTACCAGGGAGAGAGCTCTGGGAGTCCCTTCTGAAGTTGGCAGCCCGGTGGCATTTCTGATGTGAATGTCTTTTAGATGCCACTCAGGAATAGAGTATTGACCACTGCTAAGCTGGGATCCACCAGGCATCTGGTGGCCTGAAAATTCTCAATTTATGGTTACAGAGCAGAAGCATGGCAAGCAATGTGGCTCATGTGAAAGGTGAAATCAACTCCAGTGTTTGATGAATTTGATGATATAGGACAAACAAATTAGGCTTATGCTACCCCTCACCAACCCATCGTGGGTCAGGGGTGAGGATGAATGTGTGGTAATGGCCATCCTTTCTACCAGTGTAAACCCGTTGTCACTGTCTTCTCATCCCTTCCCATTAGATTCACTTGGCACACCACCTGCTGCTGGATTCATCTTTCCAAATCAGTGCTTTCATCATCCCTTTCCCCACTCTCCCACCTGGACTCTGATCAAAATCCCAGGTACAGAAGCTGGCATCCCACAGGGAGGAGGTACACGTGGAGAAATGGCCCTGGGAATGAGCCCTAGAGGCCTCCATCATTGCAGCAAGTACTCAGGAATAAGACAGGCTGGATGAAGCATTTCAGAGTATGGGCAGATATCCAACTGTGCTTGCCAATGTAACCCTTCGTGAGCCTAGAGCTGGTGCCTGGATAATACGGGCATCTTACCCTCTAGTGACAGCTCTAGGAAATATCTTCAAGGGAAAGAAAGCATAATTCTAGGCCCAGCCTCTGAAATGCCTCTAAACTACCAAAAAGCTGACAACCAACCATGTTCTTGGCATTATTCTAGTCTTCTCAGTTTCTTCTTGGATTTACTGATCCTATAAGTGTTAAATACTATATCCACTCTACCTTCAATCCACATTGAAATGGATTTCTTTTTTGTTTTTTTGTTTGTTTGTTTGTTTTTGAGACGGAGTCTTGCTCTGTCGCCCAGGCTGGAGGGACGTGGCACCATCTCAGCTCACTGCAACCTCTGCCTCCTGGTTCAAGAGATTCCCCTTCCTCAGCCTCCCAAGTAGCTGGGACTACAGGTGCATGCCACCATTCCCAGTTAATTTTTTGTATTTTAGTAGAGACGGGGTTTCACCATGGTCTGGATGGTCTCAATCTCCTGACCTCGTGATCTGCCCGCCTTGGCCTCCCAAAGTGCTGGGATTACATGAAATGGATTTCAACATGTTTTTGACTTTGGGTCCAGAAATTCTTTTTCATTATAATGTGTATAAAATGCAAACCTACTTATAATTATGACCTTTCAACATTTTACCCCACTCTACTGCAGAATACCCATTTGTATGAATTTATAACATAGAGTACTTGTAACTAATATTTATTTCCACATTTCCAAACAAAGAAAATATCCTACATCCCTTCTCGTATTTCACAAAGGGGCTCTCCACATACCTTATTTAGAAATGAGCATGATTTCACTGAAGTTTTAGAGAGACTCATAGATTTAGTATGGAGCATAGAGACATTAACAAACCATCTCCTTTAATCGCTAGAAGTGATCAAAAGCAAGACATTTTCCTTGCAAGATTTTAAAACAATCTTGGCCAAGGGAGAAAATAATATCCATATAAAGTCAGCAAATACAGCAATCAACTAGTATGTCTACAAGAAAGACGGCAGGAAAAGGAAGAGAGAGGGATGCAAAAAAAGTAGGAAAGAAGTCAACAGCAGAAGGAAAGACAGGCTCAGAGGCAGGAAGAACTGCTTTCAGGGGGCTGAGAGTGAAGAACAGCAAAGCCCTGCCACTAAGGAACCTCGCTCTCTCCCCTTCGCACCATTAGGGCAGAGGTAGGGAGGCGAGCCTGTGCACATTAGCAAGATGCCCTGCGAGATACAGCAATAAATTTAATGTGATCTCTCTACTCAAGAAGTAGGTAGTAAGACAGACAACCTGAACCATCAGGATGGCAGAAGGCAGAACATAAGTGCTTATCAGTAAGGTAGCTGAAAAGGGGGTTCCTTGCTTCCTTTAGAATTAGGGTACAGCATCATCAGCTATGGGAGAGAGAAGAAGCTGGAAGGTTGGTGAGTAAAAATGTGATACATTCATTAATTTAAAAATTAAATTGTGTTCAAAAAATCCAGATGAAAAGAATATATACATATATAAAACTTGCAGGTTGAAATTAACATATGTCAAACCAAATAATTAAATACAAACTATTTTGATGTGCCAAGATATGAGCTCATAGCTCTGGACAATTAATAAGCTATAGTTCATTGACCTGTCTGGGTATTAATGAGCTCATTAAATCTCTTTTTTTTCCCCAACAATCACAGACATTACTTAGAAAATGGTAAATAGAAAGTCAGGTCAACATGAACATTTCTCTGCTAGCTTAAATCTACATTTAAATCATAATTTCATAAATTAAAATGTTAAGTGTATTTATTTTGAGATTGCCTAGAGACATTCAACTTTGCATTTCATAGACTTCTAGTATCATTTTATGTCTCCAGATAGAATATTTATCTGTGTCGAAAACCTTGAAATCATTTAAAGATATACTTTTCCTTTTATTGGCTACATGAAGAATATTTACCTGTGGGAACTATAAGAATTCCAAGCAATTTACTGTCTGGCCAAGAGTATCACATTTGCACATGATTTATTGATGAATAACTCGTGCAAATTTAAGTAGCACTTCATCAATAAATGTTTTTTTTAGCTGTACTGGGACAGAAATAGTGCATCTCTTTTTGGCCTAATGCTACCTGGACTTATCCTAAATAGTTGAAAAACTCAAGACAGTTATCCAGTAATTAGGCTATTATGAGAAACTCTCTTTGCCATGTTCACTGGGAGGGTATTATTGCGGCTGTTCACTCTCTCACTCTGTGCCTGCCCCATTAAATCCTAAGGGAGAAAATTCTTCCTGCTCTTAGCACCAGGATCAGTTATACTCACTGGCAACTGGTTTGTTTTTATTTTAAGACGTTGAGAGACTTTCCCTCCCTGTATTAACTCACTCTATTTCCCCCCTTTTATTGGTTGCTAGAGAACTGAAAGTAAAAGTTGAAGGCCACCTGCACGAGTCAGTTAAGTCTCCATGCCACACATTTGCTACAATAATAATAAGCAATAGCAATGATTATTATTGCCAACAGTTACTACTTTGTGCTAAGCACTTTACATGTGTTGTATTTCATTTAACATTCTTAATAATCCTAATATAAGAGAACTTTTATTTTTCCACCTTCACCAATGAGGAAACTGAAGCTTAGAGGGGTTAGTCAACTCATCCAAGGCTATTGAGTAAGTGGCAGAATTTCAACTCAACTGGTCTTTCCAACGTCAAAGATCGTGCTTCTAATTACTCTGGTATTCTGCTTCCTAGCCCATCTTTTGCTTCTGCCATTTTGACTCTGTTTCCTTTTGCTAATGAAATAAAGATAATGGACCAGGACTCCTGGGAAAAACTCAGGCCTCTCTTAATTCATCTTCTGAAAGGCTATGTCTTGGACGGGTGTAGAGGCTCATGCCTGCAATCCCAGCACTTTGGGAGCCAAGGTGGGAAGACTGCTTGAGGCCAGGAGTTCAGGATCAGCCTAGGAAAGAGAAAAGGAAAGAGGGGAGGGGAGGAGAGGGGAGGAGAGGGGAGGAGAGGGGAGGAGAGGAAAGGAGAGGAAAGGAGAGGAAGAAGGGCGGACCATGTCTAAGCCTCAGTCACCCTGTCTAGAGCTGCCCGCCTCAGAGAGAGAGTGGTGTTGGCAAAGTTCTCCACTGCCAGTTTTGTTTTTTTTTCCCCAGATGGCATGCTTTTTAGAAGTCCAGGAGAGGTAATTACAGGAGGCCCTGGGGTTCAGTAAAGATGCAGAGGCACTGTTGCAAGGTTGTCCTAAATGTCCCAAGGCTGGACATGGTCGCCATGTGTGCCAGGCGGGACCTCTGTGTTGAACTATGTGGTTTGTGCACAAATACTCCTGCCAAAGGGGAGTGCAGAAACGTGTGGCCTGAATCTAGCCTGTGCTCCATGCTAGTGTTTCCAAATTCCCGACAGGTTCATCTTCAAGATTCAGGAATATACAATCAAAATTCCTAGGAATTTTCATGAGTTCCCAAAATTATATTATTCTGTATTTTTCCTAACATTTAATTTACATGTCTTTAAATAATAATGAATGCCTGTAATAATAGTGAATCATTTCTATCATAATAAACAGTGAATCATTTTTTGTGGTAGAGTTATGCTAAAAATTTCAGAGGTTTTCTGTAAAAAAAAAAAACTTATGTAATAAATGCATGATTTATTATTATTATGAGCCAAAATATGTGACATAATTATATACTGCAACAACATGTAACAACAATGTGCACCTGATATAGGAATTTCATAATATGAAACACTAAATGAGGGAAACATTAACACAAAATAAATGCCAAATAAAAAACATTTTAAAAATTGACAGATGCCATAAAAATATTTAATATTTATGAAGTATCACGCTTAACATGAAATTTTAAAACTCACAAAATATTAACTGTTCTCTCCAGTAGTCTAGAGGTTTGTTTCATGACAAACAGTCCAGACCAAAAAACAATATTTTTCATTTTGCATTGATGTTGGTAAAATCATTAAGAGCCTGCCAAAAGGATCTCCAAGTTGAGCATTAGGGCTTGTTTTGTATAAGCTCATGTCCTTTCTGAAATACAAAATTTTATTTATTTTACTTTTTGAGATGGAGTTTTGCTCTTGTCACCCAGGCTGGAGTGCAATGGTGCGATCTTGGCTCACTGCAACCTCCGCCTCCTGGGTTCAAGCGATTCTCCTGCCTCAGCCTCCCAAGTAGCTGGGATTACAGGCGTCCACCACCACACTCGGCTAATTTTTTTGTATTTTTAGTAGAGACAGGGTTTCACCATGTTGGCCAGGCTAGTCTTGATCTCCTGACCTCAGATGATCCACCCACCTCGGCCTCCCTAAGTGCTGGGATTACAGGCGTGAGCCACCACGCCCAGCCAAAATACAAATTATTTTTAATTGACAAAGAATAATTGTGTATTTTTGTGGAGTACAATGTGATATTTTGATAAATGTTTACACTGCAATGATTGAATCAAGCAAAGCCACTGGCAAATGCCCTTGGTTGATTTGACCAAAGACATGGAAAAGCAGAAAGAAAACATGAGTTGAGTCAAATGCTTTTTCAAATACTCTGGACGTCGACTTTACACAAGGCCTAGATATCATCAATACTTGCTATCTGACATCAGAAATGAATATTAATCTGGGTTTTGGTGAGTCATTCCCCTTGCCCTCCTGCAAATTCAAGTACTTAAATACATTACGTGGCCAATTATTATGTAAAATATTCTCATATATGCTATCTGACTTGAGAGAAATGAAAATGAACCAATCCACATTATAAACACCCACAATGTCTCAGAAACCACGCTGTATGTTTCAAGTGTGTTTTCTTAAACTTTATAATAGTCCTGTAGTACAGGTATATTAATTTTATTCCAAGTGTTGAGAAAATTAGGGCTCAAAACTGTAACGTTTCAACAGCTACGTTGCTAGTAAGGGAAACAGCCTGGAGTTTAACCAAAGTCCGCTTTAAAAATCCATGTTATTTCTTCCATACCATACTACAAATCATAAAATGGCAGCAAGTCTCAGTGTCAGCTGTTTACCATGGGCACTCCCCAGCCAGGAGAGAGGGTTGGTACCAGGCAGCCTGGTTGCTCCATGAGGATGAATCTTGCATCCTCAGGGTAATAAGACCTTTCCCTGCACACACTTAGATAAAACAACAGGAATGCTTACTACTCTTATTTGAAAGAAACATAAACTTGGAATCAGCATATACATCCTTGGGAAAGTATTTTAAATGAACATTGCAAACATACTACCACAGGCCTTTCTTACCTTTAAATATTTCACCAGCTTCTGAATTTGCCAATATTCTGATGGCAAATCTGCACTTGCTTCCTGACGATGGTCAGGTGGTTCTTCATCTTCCTCACTTTCTGAGGAGCTATCGCTAACAGTTTCCTCAATCTTTTCAGCACTCTTCCTAAGAACAATAACAACACACATACACATGTAAGCTACAGTGTGGAGATGGTTATAATCATATTTTGGCAACATGGGCACAAGCAATGGATCAGATACCAACACCTTCTGAGTTCTAGTAGATCTCTGTTAAGATCTACATGAGGCCAGGTGCAGTGGTTCATGCCTATAATCTCAGTGCTTTGGGAGGCTGAGGTGGGAGGATCACTTGAGGCCAAGAGTTCAATGCTAGCCTGGACAACATAGCAAGACTCTGTCTCTACAAAAACAAATTTTAATTAGCCAGACATGGTGGTGCATGCCTGTAATCCCAGCTACTCAGGAGGCTTGACGCAGGAGGATCGCTTGAGCCCAGAAGTTTGAGCTGCAGTAAACCATTATTACATTATCATACCACTGCACTCCAGCCTGGAAGACAGAGTAAGACTCTCTCTCAAAAATAAAATAAAATAAAATAAAAAGGAACTGCGTGAGGTGAATAAACCTGTCTCTATTGCAGGTGCAATTGCTCTGGGTGCAATAATCATAATAAAGAAAACAGTGAGAAATAAACAAGGGTATTCAGTGAATGTCTTAAGGCTGCACTTTTCAATAAGACTGCCACTCATTGCATGTGGTCGTCTATAGTTACAGATATTTGAACTTATTTATTTAACTAAAATTAAAGAAAATTAAAAATCCAGTTCTCCAATCACACTAGCCACATTCAAGTGCTCAATGGCCCACGTGTCTCGTGGTTACCATACTGGACAGCTCAGATATTGACTATTTCTATTATTCCAGTAAGTTCAACTGGGCAGTGCCACAAGGCCCTAAAGTGAAAGAGTCTCTTTTACCAAAGAGAGTCAATATTCAGCACATCCCTCCATAATGCCTACACTGAAGTACTTGCAAGGGCACAAGGTGCCAAAGAACAGCAATAACATGAACATAATCAGGTTCAGGACCAAAGAGTTAGCCACCAACTCTGAGAGACATTACCATGCAAAGTGTTGAGTTCCACAGAAGTACACCACATTCTATGGTTTGATGCATGGACAACAGTATTACAAGAGCCTTCTGGAATCCAATATATGCCCTATGTCCCTGCAGAGGTCCCTCATGCACATGCACACTCATCACACCAACTTGTCTCCACCTCCCACTGCCGGATGCCAGGTTACTGCCATTGGGTCACCAAATCCACAGTGATGTCTCAGGAACTACTCATCCATCACTCACATGTGGAGAGGTGCTGAACCCAGGATATTTATCCTGATATTGTTTCCCACATATTCCTCATCTCACAGGACAGAAGCAAACTTTTAAATCTTCTAGCTATTTTTAATATTAAATAATACCAACAGCAGCCACCATTTTTGTGTAGGTTGGTCTATTTTGTCCTAGGTACTTTTTTTTTTTTTGTGAGATGGAGTCTCACTCTGTCGCCCTGGCTGGAGTGCACTGGCACAATCTTGGCTCACTGCAACCTCCGCCACCCGGGTTCAAGTGATTCTCCTGCCTCAGCCTCCTGAGTAGCTGGGCTTATAGGCATGCGCCACCACGTCTGGCTAATTTTTTTATTTTTAGTAGTGACGGGGTTTCACCATGTTGGTCAGGCTGGTCTCAAACTCTTGACCTCGTGATCCTCCCGTCTCGGCCTCCCAAAGTGCTGGTATTACAGGTATGAGCCACTGCGCCCGGCCTGTCCCAGGCACTTTATATTTATTATTTCTAAACCTCACAACCACTTTGCAAAGCAGGCTCTATCATCCACATTCTACAAGCAAGGAAACCTCAGAGAAATTAAGAGGAGAAAAAAAACCATTCACATTGAAGGATCCAAAATTACTTAAAATGTGGCCCTTGCCAATCACATATTAAGGTGTCCTTAAATATCAAAGTCATAAAGTCAATGACCATTATAGATCACACAAGTCCACAATACTTTTCCTCTAATTCTGAAATTGAAAAATCTCTGAAAACTGATTTTTTTCCCCACTGGACTTAACTTGTTGCTAAAGACTTATATGAATTGATACTAGACTATTTATGGTCTTTATTCCTCTCATTCAGTGTGAATATTCATGTTTCACTACAGAAATGCTCATGTTTTTGATTATAGGGTATTGGCTCACACTCCAATAGAGGTTATCATATAATATATATTATATGAATTTCATTACCCTTTTTTAAAGTGAGTTTTTCAGAACCGCATGCATTTGGCCACGAGAGTTCAGGACAACAGACTGTGGGTTAAATGTCTCATTTTAATTCACTCAACAATCTATGAGGTTGTTATTACTCTCATTATAGAGACAATGAGTTAAAAATAATTTGGGCCGGGTGTGGTGGGCTCACACCTGTAATCCCAGCACTTTGGGAGGCCGAGGTGAGTGGATTGCTTGAGGTTGGGAGTTTGAGACCAGCCTAGCCAACATGGTGAAACCCTGTCTCTACTAAAAATACAAAAATTAGCTGGGTGTAGTGGCATGTGCCTCTTGTCCCAGTTACTCAGGAGGCTGAGGTAGGAAAATCACTTGAACCTGGGAGGCAGAGGTTGCCGTGAGGCAAAATTGCGCTACCGCACTCCAGCCTGGATGACAGAGCAAGATTCTGTAATAATAACAATTTGAACAAAGCTCCATGGTTAGTAAAGTGGCTGTGTTAAAACAAATATTCGTAATGAGAGCTGTTCATCTTGGTTCCTAGAGGAGCTGGGGTAGTCATTTAACTTGTGCGTGCCTCGGTTTCCTCACCTGCAAATTGAGGATGATAACAGCAGTTAGTATGTAAAAAGCTTATAACAGTGCCTGGCATACAAAAAGCATGAAATACGTGTTAGATAGTTCTGTATTATCATGCATATTCATTCACCACACATGCATGGAGGGCCTGCTGGCTGCCAGGTATCAAGGGAATGCTATTGAAGAATACTGTATTTCAGTATCTTTGTTAAACTCCAAGGAAAAGGTGTGGTTTTGTCTTTGAAGATCTGATCTGTTTTCATCTTAAGGACCACATAAATTAAGTAACTGGTTAGGTTTTTGTGTTTACCTCGATGTTCAGCAAGAACAGAATCAAATCTGTGGTCTATGAGTAATTACCTAAGTTCCCATTATTTTGTAGCTCAGTACCTTGTCCACTTTGGTCACCATCAGAAAATTTTTATTTCTGTGTTTTCTTGTAGTGTCTTCGTAAGTTCCATGAAGGCAAGGACCGTTTCTGTCTTTTATACTTTTTATACTGTCTCCCCTAGCACAAGGAAGTCAGTAAATAATTGCTACAAGAATTAATAAATTAAAGCAGGTATGAATAAGTGAATGAACAAAATTCAGTCTAGGTTTAGATTTTGGAAGAAGGGTACTTCTGGTGATAATTCCAGGAGGTGGCAGTAGCAGCAGCTTGATGGAGAGGAGGCAACAGTCAGTGAGACTGAAACCAGGGAGTGCGCAGGCCAAGATTTGGTATTGGTTTTCCTCCTGGGGTTTCAGGTTTTTCAAGATGATGATGGGACATAGGATGAAAGTGATAGTGAGTCAATGTCAAAATCGTCAGTGACAATGGGTCCATAGAAAACAGCAACCAGGAAAGACAGAGGGTTACATCAGCCTCATAGAAAAGGAGATCTAATCTGAAGAGTAAGGTAGTTTGAAGCAATAAAGAGGAGATTTCCGCCTACGGTCCCCATGCCCTGTGGTTACACAGAGCCTAGGGAAAAGAAGATCTGAAGGAGAATCGCTGCTGTCATGGAAAAGTTTCAATAAATGCAAGAAAGGAGAGAGTGGAGGCTTTGGTGCATAGGGTTAGGATATAAGAAAATTCATTTCCTTGTAGTATGAGGTGGGGGCAAGGAAAAAAATGTAGAAGAGAGAGCAAAGTGGAAGAATGATTCATTTGGGCTATTGCAGAGCAAGATACAGAGGAGAGTCCAGGAGGAGACAGGACTCATTCGAGTTTGCATTTAGAGTGGTGTCTGTGGGAAAGAGGAACCCAAGGACCCTGCCAGCCACCCCCTGGAGTAGTGTATTCATTCTGGGCTCCCATTAATCTTTAGAAAACATATCTGGGTCCCCAGTAATCCATAAAAAGGTTATTGACACAGTGCAAACCTGGAGTGAAATCAACCAGGGCTGAAAACGGGCCATCTGCAGATGTTTAACTTGGATTTACAAAAATAGAATTAGTGGAATCACGATCATTGTGGTCTAATTATAAAAAGACTTATGAGAAAGTACACTTTATTCCTCATCGCTCTAGAAGTTTCTAACTCAACATTAAGCTCATGGGCAAGGACTAGTCCATTTAAGCCTTCATGCTCATATCAATTCATTCTCATTTTCTTTGTTTCTCTCCCTCCTCTCCTCTCTCCAACTCCCAGTGGGTTCTCATCCATAAAAGTCTTTTCTAGTCTATTCCATTTCGGAGCATAGAAAGAGGATGGGCAATTTTTAAATTTTATTAATTTGTAAGGTTCCATGATTTTCTTAATTTCTTACAGTTTTTTTGGCACAGAGAACCCCCAATTTCTGCGCTTCCAAAAGCCAATTTGTGTGTAAAACACTATGATTATGCTCTCTGGACCCTGGAAGAGGGAAAGCCTGAATTCAAGCATCTGTTCCCATTTAATGAGCCACCTGAGTGAAGTTTCCAGTATATCAGGCCTTATTCAAGAAGTGACTTAAACTTAACTCAAAGATTCCAGATTGAAGCATATAGTAGAATAAGCCTAAATTCTTTGGGGAAAGCCTAAATTTACCTTCCCTTAGTCTAACAAGCTCCTGGAGTTGAGGGCAGAGTGAATTAGGTCTACCCAATCACTCCACAATCCCATTTTAAAAAGCAGCGCCCCAAAGAAAAGCTTTTTTTTTCCAATTGATGAATCCTTTGATAGCTAACTTTAAAATGCTTTTCCTATTTGATATGATTCTTTCCAATCCTGTTCCATGGCAACTACATATTCAGGAGTTAAAAAGAAGCAAATGTCAACATTGAATTGATCTACAAACTCCACCTTAAGAAATACTTCTCTACCACAGAATTCTATCCACTTAGGCAAGATTAGACACAGAGAAGTTTCATTTTTATCATTGAGTAATAGCTGTTGCTTAGATATGTTACAACTTTACCTTATCTACTACCCTGAAGCTCTCTAACTCACTAAAAATTGAAATACTTTTGGCCCAATATCTGTTTCAGGAAAGATGAAGTAGATATACTTTTCCCTATTTCTCCCACCAAGCACAACTAAAAATCTGGATATTGTATATAAAACAAACATAAGGTGACTCTGAAAGGTAGAGAAAAAGAAGAGCACTACCTAGGGATCTGAAGACCTGTGGCTCAACACAGCGGTGCATTCCCTGGGTTTTCTTTTTGTCTCATTCTTCCTAGACTGGGTACTGGAAAAGCCGGCAAAGCAGAAACTCCAGGAGGTGCAGGCAAAAAAAGGACCTAAGAAAGTCCTGCTCTGTCTAATTCAAAGGGCCAGAAAAGGAAAGCCTAATAAGACAGAAAATGTTTAGACAACAAATGATCTATGTCAATCAAGACCACACATAACAGCGTGGCCCAAGTCTACCTCTTATAGCAAAGGCCAAGTGAAGAGCCTAGGGCTCTACCTTTATCAGACTGTAAGAAAGCGCTGCAACCCACCTGCTGGGGTGGCCTCAGAGAAGGCCTGACAGGGAGTCAGATGCTCACTACATCGTGGCAAAAATGAAGTCACTTATCCGAACTGTGATATCAGTAGAGCCCACTGACAAAGTAACGAAGGACTCCCCCGTCACACTGTCCGGCTGGTATCACCAGAGGCATAGGTGGAGCATGAACTCCCACTACCCTCCAGAAATAATGAGGACTCCCTTGCCTGACCCCCCAGGCATCAGTGAAGGCCAATGGGAAAACCTGCTATTTCAATTCCTCACCAGCCTGGAGAAGCAACACATACCTCATCCTGCCAATATGGTGGCAGAGAAGGCCTTCTAAAATAAAAGATTTAGGCCAGGTGCAGTGGCTCACATCTGTAATCCCAGCACTTTGGGAGGCCGAGGCAGGCAGATCACTTGAGGTCAGGAGTGCAAGACCAGCCTGGCCAACATGGCAAAACCCCGTATCTACTAAAAATAAAAAAATTAGCTGAGTGTGGTAGCGCACGCCTGTAATTGCATCTACTCAGGAGGCTGAGGCAGAAGAACTGCCTGAACTCGGGAGGCGGAGGTTGCACTGAGCCAAGATTGTACCACTGCACTCCAGCCTGGGTGACAGACAAGACTCTGTCTCAAATAAATAAATAAATAATTTAAATAAGATCCAGTGTCTCATAATAACCAAAATGTCTACATTTCAACTGAAAATTATTTGTCATACCAAGAATGGGGAAGATCTCATCTTAAATGAGAAAAGACAATTTTAAAATGCCAATATCAAGGTGACGAAGAAGTATGAATTATCTGACAAAGATATGAAAGGCACCATCATAACAATATTTCAACAAGCTATATGAACATGCTTGAAACAAATGAAGAAAATAGAAAGTCTCAGCAAAGAAAGAGAAGATAGAAAAGAAAAACCAAATGGAAATTTTGGAACTAAAAATTATAAGTGAAATTAAAAACTCACTGAATGAAATTAGCAGAAGAATAGGACAGAAGAAAAAATAAATGAACTTGAAGATAGAACAACAGAATTGGCTCAATCTGAACAACGTAGAGAAAAAAATAACTGAAAAAATCAGTGAACGCAGCCTCAAGGAACTGTGAGATTGTAACAAAAGCGCTAATATCCACCACTCTGAAGCTAATAAAAGTGGCTGACCCTTATCTTCCAGACATGTCACTTTTTTTGTCAAACTGAAAATCAAGTAAAAATTTACTAGTTGGCCTCATATTCAATTTTTAATTGTTTTCGTTAGCAATAACATAGACCACTTCAAAATCGGCAGTCTTTTGTGATCAGCAAAGGGAGGCTCAGACAGATACATAACTTTGCCAGGACATGATTGTTCAGAGGCAAGACATCAGTTAAGAGCCCAGTGTTCCTAAACTTAGTTCACTGCTCTTTGCATTAAATACATTTCTTTTCCCACAGTCAACTAATACTAGTAAATCACTGTATTTTGGGTAACTGCATTAGAAGAATATCTTGAAAAAGTATTTAAAGAAATCCAGTGTGACCACTTTTACTAACATTCCTAGTAACCGTCAGTGTAAACATCTGGGGACCCTAATAGGAAGGATGCCATTAATTTGCATGCTCAGTAGCCCACTGCGTGAGGGTGGCTTTAGGGAACTCGTCTTGCTGACCAGAAACATACCGAAGTAATTGTGCTCTTCCGTGTGAAACAGATGGTCTTGGTTTTTCAAGTTTTCCTGTGTGTTTGTCCTCTTGGATTTCTTTTGCTGAGCCTTTGCTTTAAAAAAATATACAAATATATTAGCTTTATTGCTTTATGCTAATTAATAAAAAATAAAAGATGGCAATGTAGATATATACTCCGTTATTTCCATGTGCTCAAATGATGTGTGTTCCTGACAAGAGTTCCAGCCTCATTCTGACACTCGGAGCTGTCTTTTTCACTCTTTCAGCACAGCCCTATGTTTTACATATTGAAGAAACTTTCTGTCCAGCACCTAGGAACAGGTCTTCACAGGCTGCCACTGTTGGTGTGAATCCTGCATCCAATGCCTTCTACTCTAGGTACGGATTGCCCCCAATTATAGTTTTCTATTTTCTTATCTTCCCCACCCAACGTTGCAACAGGGCCTGCACCTGGTTTTCCAGGTATTCGCAGGCTTTGCATAGTCCTTGGCATTCTGTGTTCTCCCTTGAATACCTGCTAAGGAATCTCATGCTTGAAAGAGTAAGAATATGGAAAAAGCAACTCACTTGCCAGTCAACAGAGTTGCCCATGCATTTTTCATTTTCACATTGACTCTTTCAAACAGAGCCACAAAAGTCAAACACCCCAAAATTGATGAGAATCAATCAGAGGAGCCAGTGTCTCCCCTCTCCACATGACTCCGTTCTTCAAACAGCTCTCTGGGTTTGCTTCCAAAACACAATCACTCTGTGGTTCTCAGAATCCCTGCAGGAGAAGGTCCCCGTGTGATCAACCAGGAGTCAGTTCTTAACCCAAAAATGGGACAACATAGAATATCACCTACAGGCCGCGACTTGTAAACTATTTGTTAAATTTTAAAAAGTGGGTTGGGTGCAGTGGCTCACACCTGTAATCCCAGCACTTTGGGAGGCTGAAGTGGGCGGATTACTTGAGCTCAGGAGTTCGAAACTAGCCTGGCCAACATGGCAAAACGCCATCTCTACTAAAAATACAAAAATTAGCCAGCCGTGGTGTCACACACCTGTAATCCCAGCTACTCGGGAGGCTGAAGCAAGAGAATCGCTTGCACCTGGGAGTCAGAGGTTGCAGTGAGCCAATTCATGCCGCTGCACTCCAGCCTGGGTGACAGCAAGACTTTGTCTCAATAAATAAATAAATAAATAATGCTCAAGGTATTTCAGACTGCCCCAGCATTTAAGTAGCATTGGCCCTCAATTTTTGCTTTGATGCCTGTTTATAGAGGGTCCTAAATGGCACTTGTTTTGTATATTTCATACATTCATTAAGCCAGTGTCCACTTTATATAGGCCCATTCATATTTTTGAGACTCTAGCCTTTTCATAGTATTAAAGTTCTGTTAGACATTCTCTCTATGACAGTTTCCCTGACTAACTCCATATCATTTTCATCATTCCACATTCTCCCAGTGCTTACTTAATCAGGTCCCTACCATGATTTTTACATTTCTCCTGTGACTTCTCCATGTGTTTTATCATCTTTTCTGCATATTATTTGTCCCGACTCACCAACTATATAAAAGTGAATTGTGTTCTTCCCTTCCCTTCATGGTGCTCCACACACAAACTCTATCAAATCTTTCTGCTTGGAATACAAAAAGGAGCAGAAAGGAATAAACCTGTTCCTTGGAGGGACATGTAACTATCTACTCGGTATTTTTCTATTATAAAATAAAGTTCTGGCCGGATGCAGTGTCTCACACCTGTAATCCCAGCACTTTGGGAGGCCAAGGTGGGCAGATCACTTGAGGGCAGGAGTTTGAGAGCAGTCTGGCCAACAAGTTGTAACCCTGTCTCTACTAAAATTACAAAAAAAAAAAAAAAAAGGTTAGCCAGGCGTAGTGGCACATGCCTGTAATCCCAGCTACTCAGGAGGCTGAGGCAGGAGAATCACTTGAACCTGGGAGGCGGAGGTTGCAGTGAGCTAAGATTGCACCAGTGCACTCCAGCCTGGCCAACAGAGCAAGACTCCATCTCAAAAATAAATAAATAAAGTTATGTGAAACATTAGGTGAATATTGTTACTAAAGATGCATCTGAAAGCAAATGCAAATGTCTACATAGTCTTTGTAATTAACAGTGGTCTTCCAGTTTAAGCTTGGTTCCCATCTCTTGGTCATTTGATTCCTCCAAAAATTAATTTGGTTCTTCTCCAGTGACCTCTTGCCTGAACCAGAAATGTCTTTGTGGAGGGCAGCTGCTTTTTCCTTCTTGGGGGCTTTGCCAAGCTGATCCTTTTCCTTTTGCTGGTCTTCATTGAAGCTAATCCCCTTTATTGAAAAAATGAGGATAATTTTTAATGATATCTGAATTATCTAGTGTTCTCTGTAGATTAACGCCAGTGGTAAATTCAGGAAAGGAAGTCTCGGATGCATCTAACTTGTGGTCCTTAGTAACAGCTAAATAAGGGAAATGTCAAGACTAAGGCTTCTGTTGGAGTTAGGTGGACAGGAACATGATGTTCCTAAACTCACACCTCTGCTGCAGCACAACAGATACAACAGCAGGGCTGGACCTGCTCATTCCTCACCACCACCAAAAAATTCAACCAAAAGCCTCTATTGACTAAAACACATCATATTTAAATGGCTTGAACCAAAGATAAAGGGAACATCTTGAAGGTAGACAGGTATGACATATTAAATACAGAGGAATGAACATAAGAATTTTAAGAGACCTCTCATCAGAAACACCGCAAACCAGAAGAAAAGAGAGTAACATCTTTAAAGCGTTAAAAATGAAAAAAAAAAAAACCATGTCAACCCAAAATTCTATACTAAAACAAAAATCTTTCAAAAATGAAAGCAAAATAAAAACCTTCACAGATGAACAAAAACAGAGAATTCACTGCCAGAAGACCTGTGCTAGAAATGTTAAATAAAATTATTCTGTCGGGAGTAATACCATGCCAGCCAGAAACATGGATCTATGCAAAAAATTAAAAGCTGCAGAAATGGTAAAAAATAAATATACAGGACTTTGTGTATTTTTTTAATCATTCTAAAATATAATTGACTGTCTAAAGCAAAAATAGTAACAACGTTTTGAAGGGTTTATGACGTAGAAATAAAATGTGTGAAAACAATAACACAAAGTATAGGGAGGGGTATTCAAGGAATATTGTTGTAAGTTTCTTAAACTATTTGTGAATTTCAGAATTTTACTTAAAGGAGACGTGATAAGTTTGAGATATATATCATAAGCCAGAGGGCAGCTAAGAAACTTTTAGTAAGAAATATAAGCAGTAAATTAATAGCATAAATAAAATGGAATCATTTTTAAAAGCTCAATTCAAAACGGGCAGAGAAAGGAAAAAAACCACAAAGAACAGATGAAACAAATAGAAAACAAGTAGCAAGATAGTAAATTGAAATTTAACTGTATTAGTAGTTACATCAAATGAAAATGGTTTACACACATCAATTAAATGAGAAATCATCAAATTGGATGAAAAAGGAGACCTATTTGTGGCCTAAAGAAACTATTTTATATATAAAGATACAAATACATCAGAAGTAAATGGCCAGAGAAGAATAGTTCATGCAAATAATAATCAAAAGAAAGCAGGAATGGCCATATTAAAATCAGACAATATCGACTCCAAAGCAAATAATATTAACAGGGACAAAGAGGAGCACACATACCAATAAAGGATCAATTAGCACACAATTGTAAATGTATATTCACCAAACAACAGAATTTCATAATATATGAATGAAACACAGAGCTAAAAGGAAAAGTAGATAAATCCGTAATTGGTAGACTTCAAAACTCTCTCAGCAATCAATAAAATTAGCAAACAAAAGATCAATAATGATATAGAAGACCTGAGCAACACAATCAGACAACTTGACTTAATTGACATTTAAAAGACACACAACTCAGTAACACCAGAATACACAGTCTCTTCAAATGTGCAAGGAAAAAATCACCAAAATAGCCCATATTCTGGGCCATAAAATGAACATTAACAAGTTTAAAGTAACTAAAGTCATATAAAATATCTTCATACATTGGAATTGAACTAGGAATTAGTAAAAGAAAGATCTACAGAAACTCCTCATATATATTGAATAAAAACATCATATATCAAAATCTGTGGAACACAGTTTATACAATGCTCATAAAGAAATTTGCAGCATGAAATCTTATGTCCAAAATAACTAAATAAAGAGACTGAGACAGGCAGATCACTTGAAGCCAGAAGTTCGAGACCAGCCTGGCCAACATAGTGAAATCTCATCTCTACCAAAAATAAAATAATTTATTTTGAGTTCAGGGGTACATATGCAGGTTTATTATACAGATAAACTCATGTCACAGGGGTTTGTTGTACGGATGATTTCATCATTCAGGTACTAAGCCTAGTACCCAATAGTTATTTTTTCTGATCTTCTCCCTCCTCCCACCCTCCATCCTTAAGGAGGCCCAAGGGTCTATTGTTCCCCTTTGTGTCCATGTGTTCTCATCATTTAGCTCCCATTTGTAAGTGAGAACATGTGGTAATTGGTTTTCTTCCTAAAGAGGACATGATCACATTCTTTTTTATGGCTGTATAGTATTCCATGACATATATGTACCACATTTTCTTTATCCAGTCTACCACTGATGGGGATTTAGGTTGATTTAATGTCTTTGCTACTGTGAATAGTGCTGCAATGAACTTATGTGTGCATGTGTCTTTATGTGATGATTTATATTTCTTTGGGTATATGCCCAGTAATGAAATTGCTGAGTTAAATGGTTTTTCTATTTTTAGCTCCTTGAGGAATTGCCACACTGCTTTCCACGATTGAACTAATTTACACTCCCACAACAGTGTATAAGCATTCTCTTTTTTCTGCAACTTCACCAGCATTTGCTGTTTTTTGACTTTTTCATAATAGCCATTCTGACTAGTGTGAGATGATATTTCATTGTGGTTTTGATTTTCATTGCTCTAATAATCAGTGACATTGAGCTTTTCCCACTTGTTTATTGGCCACATATATGTCTTCTTTTGAAAAATATCTGTTCATGTCCTTTGACCACTTTTTAATGGGGTTGTTTTTTTCTTGTAAATCCATTCCTTATGTACACTGCATATTAAACCTTTGTCAGATGCATAGTTTGCAAATATTTTCTCCCATTCTGTGGTTTGTCTGCTTATTCTGTTGATAGTTTGTTGTGCAGAAGCTCTTATGTTTAATTAGATCCCACTTGTCAATTTTTGCTTTTGTTGCGATTGCTTTTGGCATCTTTTGTCATGAAATCTTTGCCAGTTTCTATGTCAAAAATGGTATTGCCTAGGTCATCTTCCAGGGTTTTTATAGTTTTTAGTTTTACATTTAAGCCTTTTATCCCTCTTGAGTTGATTTTTGTATATAGCATAAGAAGGGTCCAGTTTCAATCTTCTGCATATGGCTCATCAGTTATCCCAGCACCATTTATTGAACAGGGAACCTTTCCCCATTGTTTGTTTTTGTCAGCTTTGTTGTAGATCAGATGGTTGTAGGTATGTAACCTTGTTTCTGGGCTCTCTATTCTGTTCCATTGGTCTATGTGTCTGCTTTTTATGCCAATACCGTGTTGTTTTGGTTACTGTAGCCCTGTGGTATAGTCTGAAGTTGGGTAGCGTGATACCTCCAGCTTTGTGGTTTTTGTTTTGTTTTTGTTTCTTTTTTTTTTTTTTTTTTTGCTTAGGATTGCCTTGGCTATTCAGGTTCTTTTCTGGTTCCATGTGAATTTTAAAATAGTTTTTTCTAGTTCTATGAGAATGTTGTTGGTAATCTGACAGGAATAGCATTGAATCTATAAATTGCTTCAGGCAGTATGGCCATTTGAATGATATTTATTCTCTGAATCCATGAGCATAGGATGTTTTTCTATTTGGGTGTCATCTCTGATTTCTTTGTAGTGTTTTATAATTCTCATTGTAGAGATCTTTCACCTTTCTGGTTAGCTGTATTCCTAGGTATTTTATTCTTTTTGTGATAATTGTGAATGGGATTGCATTCCTGATTTGGCTCTTGGCTTGGCTGTTGTTGATGTACAGGAATTCTGGTGATTTTTGTACATTGATTTTGTATCCAGAAACGTTGCTGAAGTTGTTTATCAGCTAAAGGAGCTTTTAGGCTGAGGACGCCTTGTTTTATATGCTCCAAGTAAAACATTATTCACAACTGAATTCATCAAAATTTCTTCAAATGCAAATATGACTACATTAAATTAAATGTATCCTGACATTTTTAAAAAACTAGAGAAATAAATCAATAAAACCCAAAATTAAGATACATAAATATCAAAGTAAAGTGGAAAAGATAAAAATTGAAGTTAGTTCCTTGAGAAAATGTAGTAAATCTGTAGTCCTATAGCTATAGGTGGATCAAAATAAAAAAACCACAAATGGCCAATATTAGGAATGAGAGAGGTAACAATGACTACGAATTCTGCAGATATTAAAAGGTCAGTAAGAGAATACTATGAACGAGTTTATGCCAATAAATCTGATAACTTACACAAAATGAACAAATTCCTTTAAGGACAATCTAATCTACCAAAGCTCCCTCAGGAAGAAATACATAACCTGTATAGTGCCATAACTATCAAAGAAATTGAATTTGTACTTAAAATTTTTCCCATAAAGAATATTCCAGTCCCAGATGGCTTTCACCAAACATTACTACCAAACATTTAATAAACCTACCAAACATTTAATAAACAAACAATATTAATTCTATACAAACTCTTCCAAAAAATTGAAGAGGAGATTAAACTTTCCAAATCATTCTATAATGTCAGTATTACTTCAATACCAAAACCAGACAAAGATACTAAAGAAAACTACACACTAATAACCTTATGAATATAAGTGCAAAACTTCTTAACAAAATCTTGGCAAATTAAATCTGATAATGTATATAAAAGATACAAGTGGGGTTTGTCTCAGAAATGTAAGGTTGGTTTGTCACTTGAAAAATTAATCAATGTAATTAATCACATTAACAAACTAAAAGGAAAAAAACAAGATTCTCTCCATAGTACACAAAGAAACATTTGATAAAATCCAACATTCATTCCTAATAAAAGTTCTCAGTGACTCAGAATAGAAGCCTTAACCTTGTAAATGGTTAGCATCAAACTTAACTGAAACATTTCCCTTTAATATCAGGAACAAGAGATCATTTCTATTCAATTTTTTACTGGTGGTTCCAGCTAGTGCATTAAGGAAAAAAAAAAGAAATACAAATAAGTTGAGATTGGGAAGGAAGAGTTGAGATTAGAAAGGAAGAAGTAAGAAAATGAACTTTATTCACTGACAATAAGATCATCTACATAGACAACCCTCTGGAATGTACAAACAAGATACCAGAACTAATAAGTGAATTTAGCAAAATTTCAGGATATAAAATCAGTATGCAAAAATCAAGTGTATTTTTATACAATAGCAACAAATGATTAGAAATGGAAAATTTAAAACTCATTAACAATAGCCCCAAAATATGAAATACAGATAAGTTTCAAAAGAGATGTATAAGACCTGTATATTGAAAGCTACAAAACATTAGTGAGAGAAATTAAATAAGACCTAAATAAATTGAGAGACATACTATGTTCATGGATTAGAAAATTCAATATTGTTAAGATGTCCATTTTTCCTAAATTCGTCTATAAATTCAAGGCAATATCATCAGTCATAATTCCATCAGGTATTTTTTTAAGAAATTGACATGCTGGCTCTAATATTCTTATAGACTTGCAAAAGACCTAGAATAGCCAAAAAACTTTTTAAAAAGAACACCATTGGAGGATTTAAACTACCCAACTTCAAGACTTATCATAAAGCTAGAGTAATCAAAACAGTGTGGTATTGGTGTAAAAATAGAGAAATCAAAGTTACAGTAGGAAGTGTTCAGAAATACATTCACAGACAAATAGACAACTAATTTTTGACAAAGTTATAAAGGTAATTCAGTGGAGAAACAATAGGTTTATTTTTGACAAATGATGCTGGAACAACTAGGTAAGCAAAAGAAAAAAATGAACTTTGATCCATACCTCATATACACAAACCAAATTAAAGTGGATCACAGACATAGATTGGAAAGGTAAAACTGAAAAACCTCTAGAAGAAAATATTGGAGAAATTCTTCATTATACTGGGTTTGGAAAAGCATTATAAGATAAAACACTATAAGGAAAAAATAAGTTGTACTTTATCAAAATTGAAGACACTTGTTTTTTGAAAGACACTGTTTGGAGAATAAAAATATGAGACCCAGATTGGGACAAAATATTTATAAATCATATATCTGACAGAATATATAAGCCAAGAACATATATAAAGATCTGTCGCAACTCAATAAAAAACTGAATAGCCCAATAAAAAAATGGATAAAGAGTCTGAATAGACACTTTACCACATAAGATATGTGAATGGACAATAAACACATGAAAAGATGCATTCAACAACTGCAAATTAAAACCAAATGAGATACCAGTACACACCTATTAGAATGTCTGTAGTTAAAGGACTGACCATATCAGTTAATGATGAGTATGTGGAAGAACTGGGACTCTCATACATTGCCAACATCAATGTAAAATATTGCAACCACTATGGAAAGCAGTTTACCAGTTGCTTAAAAAGTTAAACATACAACTACCATATGACCTTACCATTTCACTCTTAGGTTTTTATCTAGGCATAATGAAACTATATGATCATACAAATCCTTGCACAAAAATGTTCTTGGTAGTTTTATTTGTAATAGCCCAAAACCTGAAATAACCACACACCCGTTAACAGGAGAGTGGATAAACAAATTGTGGCATACCCATACAATGGAATAATACACATCCATAAAAGCAATAAATTAATGATAGATGCAAAAGCATAGATGAATCTCAAAAACAAACAAAAATCTGCATAAACCATACCACAAAAATTACAGAACACCAAGGAAGTCCCTAAAAGCTTCCAAAGAGGGGAAAAAGCCAAAACAAACAGTTCACATGGAAACATAAGCCTTTGAAATGCTAACTAAAAATTAATTTCAAACCATTACTCTAGAAACAACTGAGAGAAAATAATAAAGGTATTCTCTAACATGCGAATCCTCAATTTTTTCCCTCCCATGTGCGTCTTTTACTCAGGAGGGTCTAACAAATGATGGGTGCACCAAGAAAAGGAAAACTGGGGCCGGGCATGGTAGCTCACACATGTAACCTCAGAACTTTGGGAGGCCAAGACAGGTGGATCACCTGAGGTCAGGAGTTCCAGACCAGCTTGGCCAACACGGCAAAACCCCATATCTACTAAAAACACAAAAATTAGCCTGGTGTGGTGGTGTGCACCTGGAATCCCAGCTACTAGGGAGACTGAGGCAGAAGAATCGCATGAACTCGGGAGGCGGAGGTTGCAGTGAGCCAAGACCACACCACTGCACTCCAGCCTGGGTGACAGAGCAAGACTCTGTCTCAAAAAAAGAAAAGAAAAGGAAAACTGAATAGAAGGCAACTTCCTCAACATGCTAAAGGCCATATAGGAAAATCCCACAGCTAACATCGGGCTCAATGGTGAAAGCCTAAAAGATTTTCAATTAAGATCAGGAGTCAGGCTAAGCATGGTGGCTCACAGCTGTAATCCCAGCACTTTGGGAGGCTGAGGCAGGCAGATTACTTGAGGCCAGGAGTTCGAGACCAGCCTGGCCAACAAGGTGAAACCCCCATCTCTACTAAAAATCTAAAAATTCGCAGAGCATGGTAGCAGGTGCCTGTGATCCCAGCTACTTGGGAGCCTGAGACACGAGAATCACTTGAACCTGGGAGGGGAGGTGAAGGTTGCAGTGAGCCAAGATCACATCACTGCACTCCAGCCAGCCTGGGTGACAGAGTGAGACTCCATCTCAAAAAAAAAAAAAAAAAAAAAAAGATCAGGAATCAGACAAGGATGCCTGCTTTCGACACTCTTATTCAACATAGTCCAGGAAGCCCAAGCCACAGTAATTGGTCAAGAAAAAGAAGTTGTAAAAGCATCTAAATTGGAAAGGAAGAAGTAAAACTATCTCTGTATGCAGATGGCATTACCTAGTATGCAGAAAAACCTAAGAATACACACACACACCCATATACACACACAGAAAGTTAAATGAAGTCAATGAAGTTGCGAAATTCAGTCTTGACTTTAACTCTCAAAAATTAGATCTGATTTCAACACTCAAAAGTCGTATTTCTGTACACTAGCAGTGAATAATCAAAAATAAAATTTAGAAAACAATTTCATTTACAGTAGCATCAAAAATAATAAAATGTTAACAAGTAAACATATGGAAGGAGAAAAACTTGTACACTGAAAACACTAAACATTGCTGAAAGCCATTAAATATACAAATAAATGGAAAGCTATCTCCTGTTCATAAACTGGAAGACTTAATATGGTTAAGATGGCAATACTATGTAAAGCAATTCATAAATTCAATGAAATTTCTATCAAAATCCCAATGGCATTTTTTGCAGAAATGTAAAACCAACCCTAAAATTCATACAGAATGTCAAGGAATACCAAATAGCCAAAACAGTATTAAAAAACAAGAACAAAGTTGGAGGACTCACACTTCCTGATGTCAAAACTATTATAACTATAGTAATCAAAACAGTGTGATACTGATATAAAGAAAGACATATAGACCAACGGAAGAGAATTAAAAGTCCCCAAGTAAACTCTTCCATCTATTATCAGTTCATTTTCAACAAGAATGCCAAGACCATCCAAAGGAGAAATAACAATCTCTTCAACAAATTGTGCTGGGAAAACTGAAAATCCACATGCAAAAGAATGAAATTGGAGCCTAAATTTCATTAGGCTCCAAATGGACAAAAATCAACTCAAAAGAGATCAAGGGCCTAAATTTAAGAGCTAAAAACTATACAATCCTTAGAGGAAAAACATAGGGGCAAATTTTCATGACCTTGGATTTGACAATGATATGATATCAAAAACACAGGCAACATTAGAAAAAATAGGTAAATTAGACTTCATCAAAATTAAAAATGTGCATCAAAGGATACTATCAAAAAAGTTAAAAGGCAACCCACAGAATAAGAGAAAAAATTTGCAAATCTTCTATCTGATAAGGGGTTAATATTGAGTATACACAAAAACTACAACTCAACAACAAAAAGAATCAATTTAAAATATAGGCTAAGGACTCAAGCAGACATTTCTTCAAAGAAGATATACAAATAACCAACAAATACATAAAAATATGGTGTACATCACTAATCATTATGGAAATGCAAATCAAAGCCGCAATGGGATACCACTTCACACTGACCAAGATGTTTGTAATTAAACAACAACCTAGAAGATAAGAAGTGTTAACAAGGATGTGAAGAAAGTGGAATCTTTGGATAATGCTGTTGAGAATGAAAATGGTGTGGCCCCATGGAAAACAGGTTGGCACTTACTCCAAAAGTTAAATACAGAATTACCATATGACCCAGAAATTCCACTTTTAGGAAAAGACCCAAAAGAATTGAAAATAGGAACTCAACAGATACTTGTACACCAATATTCATAGCAGCATTATTCACAATACCCAAAAGGTGGCAACAACCCAAGTGTCCATCCAGGGATGAATGCATAAACCAAATGTGGTCTATACATACACAAAATAATATTCTACCATAAAAGAATGAAATTCTGATACATGCTATAGCATGGATGAGCCTTGAAAACACTAGGTTAAGTGAAAGAAGCCAGATACAAAAGGGGAAATATTATATCATTCCAGTGACATGAAATATCTAAAATAAGCAAACTGATAGAAATAGCAGATTAGAGTTAACCAGGAAGTCGGTGGAGAAGGAATGGGGAATTATTGCTTAATGGGTGCAGAATTTAAGTTGGGGAGATGAAAAAGACTTGGAGATAGACAATAGTGATATTTGTACAACATTGTGAATGTTGTATGTTCTATGCAAAAGGGACTTTGCATAGAAATTAAGTCAAGGATCCTGAGATGGGGAGACTATTCTGGGTATTTGGAGGAAGCCAAACATAATCACCAGGGTTCTTATAAGAGAAAGACAGGAGGGACACAGGCAGCGACGGGGATATGCTGATGGAAGCAGCGGTCAGAGTGATGTGGAGCCATGAGCCAAGAGTCATGAGCCAAGGAACATAGGGGCCTCTAGAAGCTGGAAAAGCGAAGAATAAATTCTCCTTGATCCTCCGGAAGGAATGCAACCCTGCTGATACCTTGATTTTAGCCCTGCAGATTCATTTTAGACTTCTGACCTCTAGAACTGTAAGATAATACATTTGTGTGTGTTAAGCCATTAGGTTTGTGGCAATGTGTTACAGTAGCAAAAGAGGGCTCACAGAGGGACTTTATGAGTCCGATTCTGCTGGGTGCAGATAGGGACTGCCCCTATCTCCAGCACTTCAGATAGGAACTGCACATAGAAGACATTTAGTAAATATCTGTGGAATAAATTAATGAATAAAATATTTCTAGACTTGCCAATGACATGCATTGTGTACAAAATGTATATTTTCTCTAAAATTAAGCTTCTAGAATAATGTCCTTAGAACTGAAGAGATTTCTTAAAGGCCTGTTACCTAAAGGTTACTCACATCAAGGGCTGGCCATCACACTAAGTGGATGGTGAGAGGACTAAGTAACAGGCTGACCAAATACCAAAGATACCAAGCTACTTAACTAGAGAGAGTGAAACTCCTGGTGAGAAACCAAAGGGCACAGGTGACATTTTTCATTGCTCCCACCAGTTGAAGCCTGTAACTTAACAGAGAAGTCAGAAATAAAATGCCAGCTACCTTAACCAGGCATGGTGGCACGTGCTTGTGGTCCCAGCTACTTGGGAGGCTGAGGTGGGAGGATCACTTGAGCCTGGGAGGCGGGAGGATGCAGTGAGCCAACATCACACCACTGCACTCCAACCTGAGTGACAGAGTGAGACCCCATCTCAAAAAATAAAGTAAAAATAGATTTAAAAAATAAAAAACGCCAGCTATGGACAAGATTTTGAAGAGGAAGTTTCAGTTTTCAGGCTCACAGTTTCTAACACCTGAAGAATGAGCTCTTGGAAAGAAAAATGCTGCACTCACCTTGGGAAGATCAGGAAGAATGAGCTATCAAAAACTCCAGTGACCTGATGGAGACACTTTTAAACCAGAATCATGGAAGGGAGCTAAAAATTCTGTTTATACTCTAAAACAAAAAAGCAGAAAAATGTCTTTTTTCTCTAATCCCCAGTATCGAGTTTAGTGTCTTTTTTTAAGAGACGGGATCTTGCTCTGTCACCCAGGCTGGAGTGCAGTGGCACAATCATAGCTCTCTGCAGCCTCAAACTCCTGGGCTCAAGGGATCCTTCTCTCTCAGCCTCCCAAGCAGATGGGACTACAGCCGCACGCCACCACACCTGGCTGTTTATTTATTGGTCTGTTTATTTATTTATTTATTTTTTAGAGGCAGGGTCTTGCTATGTTGCCCAGGCTAGCCTCGAACTCCTGGGTTTGAGTGATCCTCTCATGTCCACCTCCCAAAGTGCTGAGATTACCGGCGTGGGCCACTGCACCTGGCCTCATTTAGTGTCTTATTACTTAATAAATGCATGTCTAAATAGTAATATAGAAAATAAGGCTATAGCTAAGAAACTATTTAGCAGTTTTCAAGGACAAAAAATAAACAGCTCAGTAACAAAACTTATGGCCACTGACCCTACTACTGTGACTTAGAAATTTTACCAAAATGCAATAATTATTGTCTCATAAAACAATATTATTTTACAGTTTGAGTGTAACCTTAGAGATCATGTAAATTCAGCCTTTCATGATATTGATCACAAAACTAAGGTCCAGAGAGGTGTGAATTGTGTGTGAATTGCGCATTCTTGCAGGGAAGACAGCCATCGCTCAGGCGACCTGATTTCCTGTCCCAACTCCTACCAGAATATATTTTTATCTCAACACATATATATCACTAAGATTCAGTGGAGTGAGATTTAAAACTAAAATATGGCAATATTATAGCACATTTGATTCAAAAAACATACTGTAGTTCTACCACAGAAGGAAAAAAAATCAGGTAATAATATTTTCACAACATGATGCTGAATGTTTATCCAATTTATAAATTTCCCAAGCTACATTAGAAAGAATCAAAGTGCTTGGGTTCTATGTACCACAGATGGTATTGCCATTGAGTGGTGTCATTTGTTCTTAGTTTACAGCAAATTTAAGCTTCATTCTGAGGTGTTTTAGGAAGACTATTAATTTCATCCTGTCTGATAAGAACAAAAGCAATTGCAAATGGTAATACAAAGAGACCTATGATTTCCATGAAATGAAAGTAGAGCTATTTGACCCCCAGCCCCCACCCCAAAATTAAACGTGGAAAGATGATGACAAATGTTATAACATGATGAAAACACTGGGAATCATTCTAAGGAAAAGACAAATCACGTAACATGAACAGGGCTATGCCCATCTATTCAATTAATAACGATCTGCACAAAAGGACAGAAGGCGGTTGATGAAACATAAAACCTTTCCAGTGTGTGACTAAAGTATCAGTTTCAGTATCAGATGCTCATTAGCCTAATCAGAAAAAGGATGATCAAACTTTTATTGACTGTTGCCCACAGTGCATTTTGAATGTGCAACATCAAATGAGAACTAAGGCCACAAATATAAATATATTGCCATCAATGTCCACAGAGACCAACAAAAAAGGGGTAGTTTATCTACTTCGGCAGAATTTCAGTGCAGATAAAACTTAACTTGTTTTGGAACAAGAGGTCTGAGAGGTCTACCCACAAGGAGAGGCATCCGCCTTTACTTTAAAGTATCCAAGGACATTCCTATTTGGTAGAAACACATCCAGAGACTCCAAGCTCAAATCCTCCAGGATAATCTTGGCCTTACACATGGATGCCCAGACCTGAGTCCTGTCTGGAAGGAAAGTAGCTTCCCCACTTTCAATAAATGTATAATAGTGTACTAACAGCAGAGAAGCCAGAAGAGTGTGCTTGGTCCAAAGGGCAATGAATGAGGTCACGGGGACTGTTTTGATAATAAATTCTTTGGGCAATTGAGAATATCTCTTGTTGACATTACTTGTTGTCGTAGCAAACACTGAGTGGCTACGGGTTACTGAACTTTCTTTGGTTTGGGGACACAGTCAAGGGCACAGTCAAGACCTGGATGTTAAAGCATCTGGTACTTTCCATTATGACCAAAATCTCAGCTGTACCCTTTGCCTTCTTCAAGGCAATCTTGGTTTTCATCAGAGCCAGGCAAGCACAGTTTCCTTCAAATACAACAGTAATACCTCTCTCTACCCTTCCAACATCGAAGATATCAATAATGGCAGACACAAAAAGAATGGATTGAGAAATTAGCCCAAGGAAAAGTTGCATAGTAAACGTGACAAAAGTATAAAGATCAAGGGGTAATTGTTTCAAAATGTCCTTCTCAGGAGGGAACATAGTGCATAAACACTGCATGCAGAGCTGGGCACAGCAGCTCAGGTCTGAAATACCAGCAATTCAGGAGGCCAAGGTGGAAGGATCTCGAGGCCAAGAGTACAAGACCAGTCAGAGCAACATGGTGAGATCCTGTCTCTACAAAAAAAAATGGAAAAATTGATGGGGCATGGTAGTATGTTTATATAGTCCTGGCTGCCTGGGGGGCTGAGGAGGGAGGATCCATTGAGCCCAGGAGTTTGAGGCTGCAGTGAGCTATGATCATGCCATTGCACTCCAGCCTGGGCAACAGAGCCAGACCCTGTCTCATATAAATAAAGAAATAAACAAACAAATAAATAAGTGCTGAGATACAAGAATGGAAATAAAGCAAAAAGAATCTGGACAAGAATAGGAAAGAAACAGTGATTGATTTGAGCGGTGTGTGTCGCAGAACACCTAACTAGGGGCCAGATGTGGTCATTTTTGTGGTTGGAGCACAAAATTCATACAGAGGCAAAACAATTACAATCATGATATTCTTTTCTGTCATCTGCTTTATATGCATTTTTGTAAAAACAGTAATTTTTATATACACACATATATACACACACACACATATATATAGAGAGAGAGAGAGAAAGAGAGAGAGAGATAGAGAGAGAGAGAGATGGAGTTTCACTCTGTCGCCCAGGCTGGAGTGCAGTGGTGAAATCTCAGCTCACTGCAACCTCCGCCTCCCAAGTTCAAGCGATTCTCCTGCCTCAGCCTCCTGAAGAGCTGGGATTACAGGTGCCCGCCACGATGTCCTGCTAATTTTTGTATGTTCAGTAGAGACGGGGTTTCACCATGTTTGCCAGGCTGGTCTTGAACTCCTGATCTCTAGTGATCTGCCCACCTCCGCCTCTCAAAAGTGCTGGAATTACAGGCACGAGCCACTGCGATCAGCTGAATAGTTATTATATGTTTAATTGGTTTTATGTAGGAGATCATATTTCAAAGGTTAGGAAAAAAAAGCTGAACAATACAGAAATGACAAGCACTTCTGGAGAAAGTTACCATTTGCATAGTTATAAATAAAATGCACCATTAAAAAAAATAAGATCTCAGCCGGGCTCAGTGGCTCACGCTTGTAATCCTAGCACTTTGGGAGGCTGAGGCGGGTGGACTGCCTGAGCCTTGGAGTTTGAGAACAGCCTTGGCAACACGGTGAAACCCTGTCTCTACTAAAATACAAAAAATTAGCCAGGCGTGGTGGCGGGCGCCTGTAGTCTCAGCTGCTCGGGAGGCTGAGGCAGGAGAATCGCTTGAACCCGGGAGGTGGAAGTTGCAGTGAGCCGAGATAGCGTTACCGCACTCCAGCCAGGGCAAAAGAGCAAGATTCTGTCTCCAGAAAAAAAAAAATTATAATAATAATAATAAAGATTTCAAACAACTCAGAGAGAAGGCTGACCAATATAAAAATTAAAGAGCTCTTGAAATGCAGTTTAAGAATGGTTTTGCTGCAGTTCTAAAATTGAAATTCTGACTTTATTCTCACAAATAATCCCAAAGGGATAAAACGGAAAAGGCATCTACAGGAAGCCTTGGCTAGCTAGGGAACTGTTTTTGGTATGATCGGACTTTAAAAGTTCATATCCAGAACAAAGAAGAACAAGGTGGTAGAAAATAGAATGCCTAAGGTGCAAAATAAACTTGAGGCTGGCAAAAAGAAAAAAAAATACATATATATATATATGTACACACACATAATGTTAGCTTATTTATTGTATAATTATGTGTAATGAAATAATACTCTTATACGACTATAATTATGTTCATATAATTTATGCATATGTGTGTGGTATATATATATTAGCCATGTTTGAATGAGATAGATTGATAGTTCACTGTTTGAGATGGAGCAATTTTTTCTCATCTCAGATTTGAAAGGCTCTAATCTGAGGATAGCACTAATTATTAAGAAGTGTCTCCCTTATATTGAGCAAAATCAAAATTCATCATTCATCACCCCCCCACACCTCCTGCTGCTATCCCAGAAATTGATCAATTTAAATACCAGAAGAGATTTCGCCTACATCAGAGGTCACAGAACCAATGGCTCCTGGCATCTGGCAGGTAATACGGAAGTACCCCACACATTTATAGAAATAAAATTCAGAAGAATATGGATGACCCGGTGTGGTGGCTCATGCCTGTAATCCTAGCATTTTAGAAGGCTGAGGCAGGAGGATCACTTGAGGCCAGGAATTTGAGACATAGCAAGACCCTATCTCTAAAAAGTACATATATATACACATATACACACACACACACATATATATACACATATGGGTGGAAAGACTAGGCATAAAGCAGCAATGGATGTTGGCAGTGTAGTGACCTGGATAATGTATACCCTGTCAAAAGAAATTTACCCACAAAAATTAAAAATTAAAATTGTGTTTAAAAACTTTAAATTTAAAACTTAGAAAGATACTGTGTTGGCCAAGTTGAATATCCTCAGACTTCACCGGTGTGTTTCTGGTTCGCAATCCCTGGTTTAGAGGATTTCGGAGATTCAGAGAGGTTAGGTGACTTGCCCCCAAACCTAGAACCAATCGATAAAAATATGTACAATGAAGATATCAAATCCTAGAAGCAAGTAACTGGCTTACCTAACATAACCTGATTCAAATGCGGAGGGCGCCAAACTTGTGTTCCACTCAAGTGGTTCCACAAAAACAAATTTTGCCTCTTGGGGATGTTTATAGATAAAATTCTCCACAAACAATAATTTCTTTCAATATCACTTCATTTAGAGGGGTGATTTCGAGGATTCCAGTTCCATGTCCGGCAGCAGTCCACTGCGTCAATTTCCTCAGAGCCACACCCATGGGATCCGCCAGTGCTCAGACCTGAGCTTAGCACACGCACTACATCAGAGCAGAAAGAGAAAGAGACAATAGCGTCCACCTTTTCCTTGGAACATTTTTCATTTTCAAGACTTTAAACTAGTACTCCCCATCCCACATTCTGCTTATTAATCTTGGAAGATTCTTTTAACATTATCTAATTGCTCTTCAGTTCAATAAAGTAGTAAACCAGCACTAGGTAAAACTGACTAGTATTTAAGAACTTTCTTGTATTTGTCTGCTCTGAAATTAATAACTTCTTTCTAATTTTCCTGGGGCCTTAGAGAGAGGATTCAAACAGATAGGCATAAAACCCAAACAGAAAACTCCAAGAGTGGAAAAAAAGAAGTGGAAGAGGTTGGCATTAAGGGCTTTTGTTCACAGCTCTGTTGGGAGCCAGCAGTTTCAAGGACAAATGCTCCTTTGAGCCAGGACTCACATTGTTTAGAATTATACTATTAAACTGAATATTGTTATCCTGACTTTCTTATAGTGATAATACCTGCATCATCACAATGATGACTGAAGAACATGATTCTGATAGCTCTGGTTTCCCCAAGTGCCTTCTGAGTTATAAAAAAAAAAAAAAGAAATAGAATAAGAACAGTATTGTGAAATATAATTTTTTTCTGAAAATTGATGTAGGAAACATTGATCCTATTACCAGACTATCTGGACAATCCAAATACTATATTCTCTGCCCATATATCCTGCCCAGAATGACATTTTACTGTAATTTGCAACCTTCTTAAGAGTTAATGTGAGAGAGGTAGGAATAAGTGAGAGTCTTTCTGCCTTTTTATCTAAATTAGTTACCGGAAGAGTCTAGCAGTAAAATTTAAAACAAATTCAAGTGAAACAAACTTCACATTGGCTAAATAGAAATTAGTCTGTAAAAGAAGATCTTTTAAAAAATAACAGTATCTGTAACATTAAATAAGAGCCAAGTTAGAACGCAACTTCTGACTTTAATTTATAATGAACATTTAAGGCTTTTTTTGCAGATAAGCTATATTTGTTTCCTTTGTCATTGTAATAACACTTGTTGATAAAATATTTCTTCCATAATGTTAGATGAATGGTTATACAATTAAAAATAGAATAAAATTAGGTTTTTTCCGATCATTATATTTTTACAAAGGCTCAAAGTACAAAGATTAGACTTGGAGATTTTACATTCTGCACTGTATTAAATCTTAGAACTATCTATTAAATTCAATCACAGGAGATCATTGGATCACAACAGGGCAGTACTTTCTGCTGATAGAGTATAGAAATATTATAGAGATGTCTAGTTACCAACACGATAGGAAAGGGGGCATTATCAGCCTTTAGTGATGAGGACCAAGGATGTAAAATACCCTTCTGTGCAGGACAGTACCTCAGAAGGAAGAATTCTGCTGTAACCTCCAGGTATCTGATAAGTGAAAAGCTTCAGATAAGCACTACCTGAGCCTAGAGTTTTTCTACACTTTGCAAAAATCGCAAAGTATTTTGTCACAGTTTTATTATACCCTGAATTTTCCAGAATTGTAGCTTTCATAAATGAAAGGAAGGTAGTACATACTTTGTTTTACATGGAATTTTACCAAGACATCATTGATAGCAAGGTTATTTGAGAAATTTAAGTTGCAATGGCACGTCTGTTACCAGTCTGCATTTGGGGCTGCTGTGTTTACAGTAATTCTGTGTAAGGCTGGACATCTGACTACTTCCTTATATACTCTAGCGTAGTGGTAACTCAAGCGTTTACATGCTGATATTTTATTACAATTATTTTCTTTATAGTTAGCACGCTATTGATATTGAAAACTTTATTAAATATGTACGATTATAATCTATGATCTTGATTTCAGGATCGTAAAGCAGCATTACAAAATTTTGTTATAAAAACCGAGTACTGGATCAGATAGGGTCGAGAACAACTGATCCAGACATATATACCAAAGTGTTCATGAAATAAAGCGTAGAAGTTAGTGCACGAATTTGTTCTGGGCGTTTGTTTTAGTATTCCAGCATTTTGTTTCTATTGCTAACTGATGAGAAATGCTTTAAACACATAAACATGTTCTGATGTGTATGTGTGAGACTTGCGTTTCCCAACGTTGCATAAAATAAGCACAAATAAGTGTAAAATAGTGTAAAATAACTGCAAATAGCTTTATCTTACACAGAAAGACAGGTGAACAGCTCGTCTTTAATCTTAAGCATAACATTTGTTTTGGTAATCTTATAAAGATTGCTTCTTGCACATTTTTAAAGAAAAAATGTGAAATTAAACAGATTATTAACGCTATACTAGTCAATATACCATATAGTAACTTCTTGAAGGACCCTTAGCACAGAACTAAGAAATGCAAAATCGTTCTTATTTCCGTCAAGATAAATTTTGACAGAAATGTAGCATTTGAATCTACTCAAATTGTATTTCCAAGTCCAGTGAACGGTAGCAATGCACAGTTTTATTAAAGAAGGTTGGTCAGCTTAAGAAAACCTCAGGGTGAGGCCGGGCGCGGTGGCTCACGCCTGTAATCCCAGCACTTTGGGAGGCCAAGGCGGGTGGATCACGAGGTCAGTAGTTCAAGACCAGCCTGACCAACATGGTGAAAAGCCCGTCTCTACTAAAAATACAAAAATTAGCCAGCTTGGTGGCGCGCGCCTGTAATCCCAGCTACTGAGGAGGCTGAGACAGGAGAGTCATTTGAACCCAGGGAGGTGGAGGTTGCAGTTAGCCGAGATCGCGCCACTGCACGCCAGCCTATGCGACAGAGTGGACTCCATCTCAAAAAGAAAAAAAAAAAAAAAAAACCCTCAGGGTGGCCTATGACAATCCAGAAGGCAAGTTCAATGTTATTAGAAAATAAATAAATGGTGTTCCAAAATGGTCGGTATAACTCAAAACTAAGATTTTAAAATCAAAAGCAGTTGCTCCCCAGTTCCTACCCATTGCCAATCCATTAGCTCTTTTGGCTTAAGAACCATAGTTAAAATGAATCCATGTAAATAGCACATACCTTTGAAGTAAAGAAAATAAGTTTAAAGATTAAAAAGGAAAAAGCTTTGATTACGTGTTTACATAAACTGGGAATCAGTTAACACTCATTTTTCTCTCTATCCAATAGATACCATAGATTGTTTTTCTTTCTAATGGTCAATTTTAAGCTTCCAGCATCATTAGTGAAATAAAACCCATTCGGGAATCATGTCGTTAACACTTATGCAGAAGCACGACCGAATTCTTTAGGGGGCTATGGAAAGGCAGCCATCAGCTCTGAGATCTATGAATGTGATTGGTAACATCCACCGGGAGTCCGCGCATACACGGCTTTCTGAGAATGCAGAAGTTACTCAGTAAGACCTACAGAAAATCGAACTTTTAGAACTGGCATGAACAGGGCCCTAAGTAAAATCAAAGCTAAGCCTAGTGTGGGATGACGGCCCCCACCAGACTCGTTACAAGAAGGGGGCGTCAGAGCTGAGACCCTAAGTTTCCAAGAATGGATTCGGTAAAGGGACGAGGTGGGAAGTGACGGCGAACACCACGTTGGGAGCGGGAGGCCGAGCTGCAAGGGCGAAGGAGAAAGATGGGCTCGCGGAAGGAGAGACAGGGAAACAGCGGGGTAAGTGGAGAACCGATCCGGGAGGTGATGGGTCCAGGGTAGTGCAGAGAGGGGCGCAGGGACTGAGGAGCAGACGGTCCCCAACCGAGGGCCGAGGCAGGGTCTCGCGGGGAGGAAGGAGCGAGATGGGCCTGGGAGAGAAAAGGGGAGGGGGCAGGTCTCGGCCCCCGGGAGGGAAAGGGAAGCAGGCGAGAGCAGCAGCGGCGGGGCCGGAGAGCGGCCCCGGTTTCCCGATCTACGCGGCCGGCTGCAGAGCCCCCATGGGGTGGGCCTGGGGACCCCCGGCCGAAGTCACCTGCAGCGCCCTGCCCCGCCGCAGTCGGCGCCCACCTGTTGCTAGGACACCACTCAACCCCGGGCGCCCTACGGCCGCGTAAAGCTGCGCCGTCGGCTGAGGCCTCCCGGGTTTGTGCCCTCCCTCGGGCGCCGCCCCAGCCCTCCGCTCCCAGTCTCACCGGCCACGATCGCAGCCCCGTCCGTCACCGCGGTCCGGGGACCTCCGCGCATCCAAGATTCCCGCGGACTCGCTGCACCGAATGCCCACGCCAGAGACGCTCTGCGCCCGCGCTGGGTTCCACCCGCGCCGGCCACCTGCTGCTTTCCACTCGGCCCCTCCCGGGAAACACTTTCATTCAACTCTGCATTTCCCTTTCTCAGACACTCTTATACAACTCCCCAGTATGCATCCCAACTCACTCCACGCGGTAGGAAAGGTTGACCTTCACGAAGGTCGTGAGCAGTTGTGGGGTCGGGGACAAGTTAGCAGAAACTTAAAATAGAGCAGAAAGGAAAGAGAAAATATTCCTTAGAAACCCTTTTTACATTTCTCCACAGGCTTCCAGACAAGTGCGTTGTATGTACCTGAAATCTTCACTGAGTACCCCCAAATAGCATAGGGCTTCTCCTAGGATATTTGAGGCTTACATGTTTCTCTCCAAAAAACGAATATGTTAGAATACTCTGATACTCACCTGGAAAGCAGAAAGCGCTCTTCAATAGGGCAGAGGATCGGAGTGAAATGAAAACACGTCCCCCATCTCTTTTTTTAAATGGCTTTTACCTTTGTCCATTAAGATGGTTTTGACCCCACCTCTAGACACCCTACCAGCAAGAGTCCCAACTGGAAAACCAGTGAGGGACAAGGGAGTAGGAATATTGAGGCGGGGGTGGGTGGGGAAGAATGCACTATCTTGGGGTGGAGGGAGACTGTGCTTAGAGGCCAGTGCCAGAGCATTTACGATGATGGGATGTTTCGGAATTGAAACTGGATTCTTTTCCAGATGCCAAAGAGGCAAATGTGGAATGTCCTCAGGATATCACCTGTCATTATACGGATACAGCTCAAAGCAGAACCTTCCTGCAAACATGTAGGGATATGAGACCTAAATATTTGTCCTTTATTTTCAGTTTTTTGGAGGGTCGGGTGTGTCCAGAATTGCTGGGTTCTTGGCCTCGCTGACTTGAAGAATGAAGCCGCAGACCCTGGCGGTGAGTGTTAACAGTTCTTAAAGATGGTGCGTCTGGAGTTTGTTCCTTTAGATGTTCAGACGTGTCTGGAGTTTCTTCCTTCCGGTGGGTTTGTGGTCTTGCTGGCCTCAGGAACGAAGCTGCAGACCTTCATGATGAGTGTTACAGTTCATAAAAACGGTGCGCGTCTGGAGTTGTTTGTTCCTCCTGGTGGGTTAGTGGTCTCACTGCCTTCAGGAGTGAAGCCGCAAACCTTCACAGTGAGTGTTACAGCTCACAAAGACAGCACAGCCCCAAAGACTCAGCAGCAACAACTGTTATTGCAAAAAGCGGAAAGAACAAAACACACCGTCAGGAAGACGACCACAGTAAGCTGCGGTGGCTAGCGCAGGCAACCTGCTTTTATTCCCTTATCTGGCCCCACCCACATCCTGCAGATTGGTCCATTTTAAAGAAAGCTGATTGGTCCGTTTTACAGAGAGCTGATTGGTCCGTTTTGACAGGGTGCTGATTAGTGTTTACAATCCCTGAGCTAGACACAGAGTGCTGATTGGTGCATTTACAATCCTCTAGCTAGACATAAAAGTTCTCCAAGTCCCCACTAGATTAGCTAGACACAGAGCACTGATTGGTGCATTTACAAACCTTTAGCTAGACACAGTGCTGATTGGTGCGTTTACAATTCTCTAGCTTGACATAAAAGTTCTCCAAGTCCCCACCAGATTAGCTAGATACAGAGTGCTGATTGGTGCATCCACAAACCCCTGGAGCTAGACGTAGAGTGCTGATTGGTGCATATACAATCCTCCAGCTAGACATAAAAGTTCTCCAAGTCGCCAAGCGACTCAGGAGCCCAGCTGGCTTTACATAGGCCTGGTGGATCCTGCGCCATGGGCCGCGGGCGGAGCTGACCTTCAGTCCCAGGCGGTGCGCGGGCACTCCTTAGCCCTTGAGGGGTCAATGGGATCTGGCGCTGCAGAGCAGTGGGCAGTGCGCCCATGGCGGGGAGGAGCCAGGGGAGGAGCGGGGGAAGAGGGGGTGGGGGAAGCGGGGCGGGAGCGGGGGGGGCGGGGCGGGAGCGGGGGAGGGGGGCGGGGCGGGAGCGGGGGTGGGGGGCGGGGCGGGAGCGGGGGTGGGGGGCGCGGGGCGGATTTGGGCATATGCCGCAGGCTGCAGGTCCTGAGCCCTGACCCGCGGGTAGGCGGCTGAGGCCCAGTGAGAATTCGAGAGTGGTGCGCGCAGGCCGGCAGTGCTAGGGGTCCCGGGGCATCCTCCGCAGCTGCTGGCTTGGTGCTAAGCCCCTCACTGCCCTGGGCACTCCAAGTGCAGGTCCCGCCGAGCCCACGCCCACCCGGAACTCACGCTGGCCCGCGAGTGCTCTGCGCAGCCCCAGTTCCCACCCGCGCCTCTCCCTCCAGGCCTCTCCCTCCATACCTTCCGGCAAGCAGAGGGAGCTGGCTCAGGCCTCGGCCAGCCCAGACAGGGGCTCCCACAGTGCAACGGCGGGCTGAAGGGCTCCTCAAGCGTGGCCAGAGTGGAGGCTGAGGCCAAGGAGGCACGGAGAGCGAGCAAGGGCTGCTAGCGTGTTGTCGTCTCTCAGGGGGATGGAGTCTGGCTCTGTCACCTAGGCTGGAGTGCTATCTCTGCTTACTGCAACCTGTGCCTCCCAGCTCACTGCAACCTTTGCCTCCTGGGTTCAAGTGATCCTCCGGCCTCAGCTTCCTGAGTAGCTGGGATTACAAACATGTGCCACCATGCCCAGCTAATTTTTGTACTTTTAGTAGAGACAGGGTTTCACCATGTGGGCCAGGCTGGTCTCAAACTCCTGACCTCAAGTGATCCGCCCACCTAGGCCTCCCAAAATGCTAGGATTACAGGTGTGAGCCACTGCACCTGGCCTGTTTTGGGTTCTTTTCTTCTCTTTTTGAAAGTGCAAAAGTTGTTGGGAATTGAATAGTTTCGCCTAAAGGAGCTTCTACCTGCAGAGAAGCTTAGGCTTGCAACCAGTGAGAAAGGGGCTTATGCTAATAGGTATATAGCCTGGGCAACAGCACAAAAACTCTGTCTCAAAAAAAAAAAAAAGTATAGTAAATTATGAAAAAGAATAAGCATCTTCAACAATAAAGAATGAAAAAAATAAAAACTATACTCCACAATTAGAAAACAATAACTCTTAGGTTGTTAAAATATTTTTTGATATATTTTAAATAAGACACCCTCAATATATGTGCAGAAAAGATTATATTAGTATAGGAAACAGCTGTGATTATAGATATATAAACTAGAGAAATGCTAGTCAGAAATAGGTTTATCAGAAGAGAGAAGAAATTTTTATTTGAGTAAATGTAGAGTCTATAATTTAAAATTATACAATGGTTTTTTTATTAAATGTTTATTCAAATATAAAAACAAAAGCTTATAAATAGACCAAAAGAAATATTGTTGGTTTATAATCAGGTTCATAGGAACTAAAACAGAGTAATTAGATGAGAGAGTGTGCAAATGATTGTGTTATTTTAGTAAAAATATCTAACACTGTACCTTACAAATTAAAAATATACTTTTTAAAGGTCAACAAAAAATTATTGTGCTTCACATTTTTAAAACTTACCCTTCTTGTAGTATAGTTTGAAGTCAGGTAGCGTGATGCCTCCAGCTTTGTTCTTTTTGCTCAGGATTGTCTTGGCTATACGGGCTCTTTTTTGGTTCCATAAGAAATTTAAAGTAGTTTTTTCTAATTCTGTGAAGCAAATCAATGGTAGCTTGATGGGGATAGCATTGAATCTGTAAATTACTTTGGGCAGTATGGCCATTTTCATGATATTGATTCTTCCTATTCATGAGCATGGAATGTTTCCATTTGTTTATGTCCTCTTTTATTTCCTTGAGCAGTGGTTTGTAGTTCTCCTTGAAGAGGTCCTTCACATCCCTTGTAAGTTGGATTCCTAGGTATTTTATTCTCTTTGTAGCAATTGTGAATGGGAGTTCACTCATGATTTGGATCTCTATTTTTGGTGTATAGAATGCTTGAGATTTCTGCACATTGCTTTTGTATCCTGAGACTTTGCTGAAGTTGCTTATCAGCTTAAGGAGATTTTGGGCTGAGACGATGGGTTTTCCAAATATACAATCATGTCATCTGCAAACAGAGACAATTTGACTTCCTCTCTTCCTATTTGAATACCCTTTATTTCTTTCTCTTGCCTGATTGCCTTGGCCAGAACGCCCAATACTATGTAGAATAGGAGTGGTGAGAGAGGGCATCCTTGTCTTGTGTCGGTTTTCAAATGGAATGCTTCCAGCTTTTGCCCATTCAGTATAATATTGGCTATGGGTTTGTCATAAATAGCTCTTATTATTTTGAGATACATCACTCATAAGTGGGAGTTGAACAATGAGAACACATGGACACAAGGAGTGGAACACCACATACTGGGGCCTGTCGGGGAGTGGGGAAGTACAGGAGGGATAACATTAGGAGAAATACCTAATGTAGATGACGGGTTGATGGATGCAGCAAACCACCATGCCACACGTATACCTGTGCAACCAACCTGCACGTTCTGTACACGTATCCCAGAACTTAAAAGTGTAATAAAAAGAAATAAAATTTATCCTCCAAGTGAAATTACTATAAGAAGATAAATCTAACCTATAAATAAATAATCGACTATTTGGGAAAGTTAATAAACTTCTCAACACACAATAGAATTAAGGAAGATAGGCTGGGCGCAGCGGCTTATGCCTGTAATCGCAGCACTTTGGGAGGCCGAGGCTGGCAGATCACGAGCTCAAGAGATTGAGACCATCCTGGCCAACATGGTGAAACCCCGTCTCTACTGAAAATACAAAAATTAGCCGGGTGTGGTGGCCTGTGCCTGTAGTCCCAGCTACTCGGGAAGCTGAGGCAGTAGAATCGCTTGAACCCGGGAGGCGGAGGTTGCAGTGAGCCGAAATCCTGCCACTGCACTCCAACAGGAAATTAATAACAAAAAAGAGACAGAGAGGGTGTGGAGAGAGTGTGTGTGTGTATGTGTGTGTGTGCATGTGTGAAAGAGAGACTATGGGGGTGGGGAGTGTGTGTGTGTGTGAGAGAGAGAGAGATTATCTCTGCTTCTTTTGTGGAAAAGCAGCCCCGCCTCCTCCTGCTGATCAGAGTATATGAATCCTGCCCCAGTGGTGATGTATTTCTTGTCTTTTGGTTACTGGACCCAAAGAATCTAAAGCACCCAACCCATAACCTTTAGAGAACAGGACTTGCCTGCCTTCCAGATCCCAGAGCTGCAGTGATGAGAAGCACAGGAAAACCTTAGAAGATTATTGGGAGCATTTGTAACTGGGGACACTCCTGTTTCTACCTCTCAGTTTCCTGTAGATTCTTCCTATGAAGAACTACTATATAAAGATCTGTGATTGAATATGTATAAAAGATGATGCCTCCTGCTTTCAGAATGTCTCTTTTGGCATAGTACCTCCTTTGCATCTTGAGAAGATTTCCCCAGGGCTCCATGAGTCCAACTGCGGCTTTTTTTTTTTTTTTTTTGAGACAGAGTATAGCTCTGTCGCCAGGCTGGAGTACAGTGGCTCAACTGCAACCTCCGCCTCCCGGGTTCAAGTGATCCTTCTGCCTCAGCCTCCCGAGTAGCTGGGACTGCAGGCGCCCACCACCATACCCGACTAATTTTTGTATTTTTAATAGAGACGGGGTTTCACCATGTTGGCAAGGATGGTCTTGATCTCTTGACCTCGTGATCCACCCGCCTCGGCCTCCCAAAGTACTGGGATTACAGGCGTGAGCCACCATGCGCGGCTGGAATTAAGACTATATATATATTGATTTTTTTTTCTTGAAATCTACATGGATTTAAGAATCATTAGTATATTGAACGGGAAGAAACAAGATGGCGGCTGAAGGTGATCCAGAGTGGGGCCCCAGCGATTCGGATTGAGCCTTCTCCCTCCACCCGCTTCGGCAGGCCGGGTCTCTACCGCCCAGGCGCCCGGCCCCTCGGGCCTCCTCGTCAGGCCCCGGCGCTCCCCACTGCCTCCACTGCGCCCGCCGCTCCTCGTCCGCTTTCCCTTCTCCCCCGGTCTCAGCCGCCGCCGCCGCACACGTCCGAACCCATCGGGGGCTCAGCTAGCGGCAACGCAGTAGCAGCCGGGGCAGGTGGGCCGCCGCCAGGATGAGGTGGCGCCCAAGACGCGGCTGAGCTCGGCCAGGGTGGGCAGCAGTAGTTGGCGGAAGCTGCCGCTGCCTTCCGCCCCCACACACGCACACCACACCACACACACCAGCGCCCCTGGCGGCGGCGGCGGGGGCGGCGGGGCTGGGGCAGCCACCTGGCGTGCACCACCGAGGCCCTCGGCCGTTAACAAAGTGGTATACGATGACCTCAAGAGCGAGGAGGAGGAGTACGGCGACGCTGAGGAGACCCAGGAGTCTGAGGACAACTAGGAGGATGAGATGGAGGAGGACGACGATGACTTCGATTACCCTTACCCGGAGGAGCTGGAAGACGACGAGGAGGACTCCAGTTACTGCAGGGAAAGCAACTTCAGGAGCCATAGTACCTACAGCAGCACTTCAGGCTGGAATGCAATGTTGCGATCTCGCTTCACTGCAGCCTCTGACTCCCAGGTTCAAGCGATTCTCCTGCTTCAGCCTCCTGAGTAGCTGGGATTACAGGTCAGTTTCTCTCCCTGGAAGGAAGAGTATTCTCGGATTTCAAAAAAAGGAGGAAGAGTTCAGGCTGCCAGAAGTGGACTAGCACTTCTGAATATCCGGAGGCGAGGTCGCCTGACTTCCTTGGGAAGCTCTGCAGTGCCCCCACCCCACCCTACCCCACCACTGCAGGCCCTGGAGTCCTGGGACCACCCAGGTCTGCGACCCAAATCCTTCCTCGCTAAGGGGAGGGGAGGGGGTTCCGGGGGGGCGGGATGGGAAGGGGTGCTTGGACAGGATTGTGACATAAGATTGCCATGGTGACATGGAGCAGATTTAGACCCGAGCCTAATAAAGGTGGCATTAAATAAAGGTGTCATAAAGACAGGGCAGGGCGCACGCTTATAAGGGACACGAGCGTTTCGGGGCTGCCAGAATGGCTCTCGCTCACTGCGCGGTGCCAGCATGTGTCATGTCCCGGCTGTGTTTCTGGGGCCTATGGCCCCTGCTCACGTGGCAACTATTGTGGCTACTAGTCAAGGAGGCTCAGCCTCTGGAGTGGGTCAAGGATCTGCTCCAGCTGACCTCTAACCCCCGGGGGCCGCCTGAGCCCTGGTCTTCCGCTCCTCCCATCTCCCATGGGAATCTCCCCATGCCCCTATTGCCCCAGCAGATCCGGGGGACTTTGATTACCTGGGGCCCTCTGCTTCCTCGCAGATGTCAGCCCCACCCCAGGAATCAACTGAAAATTTGGTTCCATTCCTGGACACGGATTCAGCTGGAGAGCTGCCCCTAGGGCCAGGGCAGTTCTCAGTTGCACACCAGGATTTCAATGACAAGCTGACTCTGCAAGAAAGGCTCCCAGAGGTGGTTCCAATGCTGGACAGGGATCAGAACCAGACCCTAGTTCAGCCTCCTCGCCTCAAAAGTAAGGTTCAAACTGCAGATCTAGATGGGGCTGCAGGTCATCAGGCAGATGAAATACTTGTTCCACTAGACAGTAAGGTTTCAAAACCAACCAAATTTATTTATTGTTTGTTTCACCCAGGAACCTGAAGAAAGATCTAGCTCAGCATTGGAGCATTGCTGATATTGTTGGAATTCCACAGCAATTATCCAAACCACAGCGTTAGAAACAGACTTTGCAGGATGAATATTCGAGTATGGATACACAGTATCCTGGCAGCCTGCCTCCAGAACTCCGGGTGAACTCAGATGAGCCTCCAGGGTCCCCTGAGTAAGTTGGACTTTCTCAATTCCATCTAGAGCCTGAAACTCAAAATCCAGAGACCCTTGAAGATATCCAGTCCTCTTCACTCCAGGAAGAAGCCCCAGAGCAGCTTCCACACCTCCTTCTTCAACCCAGCAGGAGGCCCCAGCTCTGCCTCCAGAGTCCTCTATGGAGAGTCTAGCTCAAACTCTACCAAATCATGAGGTGACAGTTCAACCTCCAGGTGAGGATCAAGCTCATTATAACTTGCCCAACATTACAGTTAAACCTGCAGATGTGGAGGTTACCATAACTTCGGAGCCTACCAATGAGAAAGAATCTTCCCAAGCCCAGCAGGAGGCTCCAGTTCAGTTTCCAGAGGAGGTGGAACCTTCTGCAACCCAACAGTAGGCCCCAACCGAGCCTCCATGTCATCCTACGGAGCGTGAACTTTCCATTAGTGAGCAGGAGCAGCCAGCTCAGCCTTCTGAGTCTTCTGGGGAGGTTGAATCTTCTCAGACTCGGCAGGAGACCCCAGCTCAGCCTCCAGAAGAGATGGAACCTCCTGCAAACCAAGAGGAGGCCCCAACTGAGCCTCCAGGTCCTCCTGTAGAGCCTGAACTTTCCCCCAGTGAGCAGGAGCAGCCAGCTCAGCCTTCTGGGGAGGTTGAATCTTCTCCAGCCCAGCAGGAGACCCCAGCTCAGCCTCCAGAACATCATGAAGTCACCGTTTCACCTCCAGGTCACCATCAAACTCAGCATTCAGATTTGCCCAATGTCTCTGTTAAGCCTCCAGACATGCAGCTCACCATAGCAACAGAGCCTAGTGCAGAGGTGGGAACTTCTCCAGTCCACCAGGAGGCTACAGCTCAGCTCTCAGGACCAGGTAATGATGTAGAACCTCCCACTATCCAGCACGGGGGCCCACCTCTTCCTCCAGAGTCACCGGAAGATGCTGGACCTTTAGCAATTCAACAGGAGACTTCAGTTCAATCTCCGGAACCTATTAATAATGAGAACCCCTCTCCAACCCAGCAGGAAGCTGCAGCTGAGCATCCACAGACTGCTGAGAAGGGTAAGTCTTCTCTAACCCAGCAGGAGGCCCCAGCTGAGACTCCAGAGCTCCCTAATGTAGTTGTAGCTCAATCTCCGGAACATTCAAACCTGACTCAAGCCACAGTTCAACCTTTGGACCTGGGGCTTACCATCACTCCAGAATCCACAACAGAAGTTGAACTTTCTCCAACCATGCAGGAGACCCCAACTCATCCTCCTAAGAAAGTTGTACCCCAACTTCCAGTATATCAAGAGGTTACAATTCCAACACCAGGTCAGGATCAGGCTCAGCATCCAATGTCACCCAGCATTACAGTTCAACCTTTGGACCTGGGACTTACCATCACTCCAGAACCCACTACGGAGGTTGGACATTCTACACCCCTGAAGAAGAATGTAGTTCCTCCAAAGCACCCTAAGGTGACACTTCCACATCCAGACCAGGTTCAGACTCAGCATTCAAACCTGACTCAAGCCACAGTTCAACCTTTGGATTTGGGGCTTACCACCACTCCAGAATCCACAACAGAGATTGAACCTTCTGCAGCCCTGACGACTACAGCTCCTCCTCCAGAACACCCTGAGGTGACACTTCCACCTTCAGACAAGGGTCGGGCTCAGCATTCAAACCTGACTCAAGTCACACTTCCACCTCTGGACCTGGAGCTTACCATAACTACAGAACCTACTACAGAGGTTAAACCGTCTCCAACCACGGAGGAGACCTCAACTCAGCCTCCAGACCTGGGGCTTGCCATAACTCCAGAGCCCACTACAGAGACTGGACATTCTACAGCCCTGGAGAAGACTACAGCTCCTCATCCAGACCAGGTTCAGACTCTGCATCGAAAACTGACTGAAGTCACAGGTCCACCTACTGAACTAGAACCTACTCAGGATTCACTGGTGCAGTCTGAAAGTTACGCCCAAAATAAGGCTTTAACCGCACCAGAGGAACAGTAGGCCTCCACAAGCACCAACATATGTGAGCTCTGTACCTGCGGAGGTGAGACGCTGTCGTGTATTGATCTCAGCCCAAAACAGAGGCTCTGCCAAGTGCCTGTGCCAGAGCCCAACACCTACCATGGCACCTTCACCATCTTAAATTTCCAAGGAAACTATATTTCTTACATTGATGGAAATGTATGGAAAGCATACAGTTGGACCGGGAAACTAATTCTCAATGAAAATTATTTGACTGAATTACATAACGATTCATTTAAAGGCCTGCTATCCCTCCAGTATTTAGATTTATCCTGCAATAAAATACAGTCTATCGAAAGACATACATTTGAACCACTACCATTTTTGCAGTTTATAAATCTTGGTTGCAATTTACTCACAGAACTGAGCTTTGGAACATTTCAGGCCTGGCATGGAATGCAGTTTTTACACAAGTTAATTCTCAATCGCAATCCTCTGACAACTGTTGAAGATCCATATCTCTTTAAATTGTCAGCATTTAAATATCTAGACACGGGAACAATGCAAGTCCCACTTACAACAATTGAGAACATTCTCGTGATGACTGTTGAACTGGAGAAACTGATCTTACCTAGCCATATGACCTGCTGCCTCTGCCAATTTAAAAATAGCACTGAGGCTGTCTGCAAGACAGTCAAGCTGCATTGCAGCAGTGCATTTCTGACAAACACCATACATTGTCTGAAGAAGCATCTGTAGAGAATCCAGGAGTGTTCATGAAGGTGTTACAAGCCCAGAAGAAGCACACGAGCACTGAGCTGACTATTGAGCCGGAGGCAGCCTCAGACAGCAATGGCATCAATTTGTCAGGCTTTGGGAGTGGGCAGCTAGACACCAATGATGAGAGGGATGTTATCAGTGCACTAAGTTACATCTTGCTTTATTTCTCAGCGGTAAATCTAGATGTGAAATCAATGTTGTTACCCTTCATTAATCTGCTTTCTTCAAATGTGCAAGATGGAGATAGGCTCCTGGGTATTTTGAATAACAATACAAAGAGCCCCTCTCTTCAACCTGCATCCAACAACTCAACTTATGAAAATAAATTGAGAAAGCTGTATTTGCTGGAAAGTATGTTAGATGCAGAAATACAAGAAAAAATTGATGAAGTTAAAAGGGAAGAAAAAACTGCCATGCTTATGCAGTCCAGCCTTCTAGGTAACAAATTTAAATGCCAAATATTTGAAAAGAAATTAGAAACTATCTAACCACAGGAAAGCAGCCTGGCAAAGATTCAAAGTGTAGGCAAAAACCTGCAGAGAGTGAACAGAGTCCTCATGGGCCCAAGGAGCATCTTGAAAAGGCACTTCAAAGAGGTGGAAAGCAGAGGATCAGGAGGGAACAGGGTGCCCAGGCATTTGCAGAGAACGCTGCCAAAGAAAAAAGGCTCGGGAGTCCAGCCCCAAGGGAGCTGAGACAGCCTCACATAGAGCAGGGGCCTGACAAGTTAGTGGGAAACACCATCTACACCAAGCCTTCATTCATCCAAGAGCATAAGGCCGCAGTCTCCTCTGTGCTGAAACCCTTCTCCATGGGTGTGCCTTCTGCCTCCACCCCTGCAAAAGCCCTACCTCAGGTCAGAGACAGAGCAAAAGACTTAACCTACACCATTTTCATTTTAGAAAATGCAAAGGCTAGAGTTAAAAATATGAAGGCTGCTAAACCAATCGTACATTCCAGAAAAAAATACTGCTTTCATAAAACTTGCTCCCGCATGGCCCACAGAACACTCAAGGCCAAAAAGAGTCCAAAGTTCAGAAAGAAAAATTACCTCATTAGACTGATGCTCGCAAAGAGGCCTCCATTCTCTGCAGTGAAGAGCCTCATAAATTCCCTTTCCCAAAGGGCTTTTTCATCTTTAGGAGACCCGAGTCCTCAGGAAAATCCTTTTCCAGAAGTATTTGCTCCTTCAGAACGTTTTATAGAAAACACTAATGTAAAAAACACAACTGCAAGAAATGCCTTTGAAGAAAACATTTTTATGGAAAACACTACTAGGCCATAAGGCACCATCTCTGAAAACACAACCCACAATCATCCTCCTGAGGCAGATTCCGCTGGGACTGCATTCAACTTAGGGCCAACTATTAAGCAAACTGAGACAAAATGGGAATACAACAACGTGGGCACTGACCTGTCCCCCGAGCCCAAAAGCTTCAATTACCCATTGTTCTCGTCCCCAGGTGATCAGTTTGAAATTCAGCTAACCCAACAGCCACGTTCCCTCATCCCCAACAACAATGTGAGAAGGCTCATTTCTCATGTTATCCGGACCTTGAAGATGGACTGCTCTGAGACCCATGTGCAATTGACCTGTGCCAAGCTCATCTCCAGGACAGGCCTCCTGATGAAGCTTCTCAGTGAGCAGCAAGAAGTAAAGGTGTCCAAGGCAGAATGGGATACGGACCAGTGGAAAACTGAGAACTATATCAATGACAGCACAGAAGCCCAGAATGAACAGAAAGAGCAGAAGTCGAGTGAGCTCACAAAAGAAGTTCCAGGATATGGCTATAACAACAAACTCATCTTGGCAATATTTGTGACCGAAATACTAACGACTTTGATTATAATTTTTTGCCTCATTGAGATTTATTCTCACCGATGGTCATCACAAGAAGATGGAGAAGGATTCTCAAGGGGCATTTTCAGATTTCTGCCACAGAGGAGATGCTCTTCACGAAGTGAGACTCAGGATGAATCTTTCTCATTCAGACAGCCACTCTGGCTTAAAGATATGTACAAACCTCTCAGTGCCACAAGAGTAAATAACCAGGCATGGAAGCTGCACAAGAAGTCATCTAATGAGGATGAGATCCCCATCTGATGAGGACAGCGAAACCCCAACAGAGAACGGGGAGGAGAGTGAAGCCCTGCCACGGGAGGAGAACACAGAGTGACCCCAGCCCACCTCAGGCGTCCTGCAAAAATACTTAGCGTAAACAACAAGGGCCATCAGAAAGAAAAGCAGGACTGAAGCCAGCGGCCCACGCATCCACAGAGGCAGCCGGCGGAGGAAGCACAGGGCCGTCGTTCCCTCCTTTGTTTCCCAGTCTAATTAATCACCCAGACCTGAAAACATATCCTCAGGGGGTGGAGATTTTACAATTAAATACCATTGTTCTTGGTGAAAAAAAATCATTAGTATATTATATATTGTGCACTAACAGTGACATAGTAGAATTTCTTTATCATCCTGAGAAGTCCACAAGACACTGGAAGAATAGACTAATCTACTTGTTCAGTTTTCTTAACTTTCAATGTATCTGTTTTGTCTTTTTGTCTTAATTTTATGCATAGAACTGCAGTGATTCTAACTAAAGTGAATAATAATTCAAGAAGCTTAGGCTCTTTTAAAAACACACTCATGAATTCTCTATTTAACATGCCTCAATTTAGCAATTTAGTCAAAAGTAAATATTTTCCACCTTTATGGTGATTCTGCCATTTCCAAATTCTTCCTCCCAAGTGCTCTCAATTTTGTTGTGTTGTTTTTTTTAGAAAAAAGTATCACCACAGCCCTGTTCAAATTTAGGTAATGGCTCTCTAAAGCCTCCATGATAACGTCTGAATTTCTGACAAGGTGCCTCCAAGTTTTGTTCCAAATTCTCATCTCACTAATTTTTGTCATACATTCTATGTTCCTTCCAAATCCTCTTTATCTCCCAAAACTCTGTTCCTCCTCTGCCTTTGCATGTGGTCTATGTGGAATGCCCAACTTTTTTTTTTTTGGTAATGACAGGGCCTTGCTCTACTGGCCAGGCTGGAGTGCAGTGGTGTGATCATAACTCACTGTAGCCTCAAACTCCTGGGTGCAAGCGATCCTCCTGCCTTGGCCTCCCAAAGTGCTCAGATTACACATGTGAGTCACTGTGCCCAGCCCACCTCTTTCCCACAGAATGTATCCTCCTTGTTCCTCAAGGTCAGTAAATATGCTTCATCCTCTCTAATATTTTCTGGTCTTCTCCAGAAGCCAGGATCAGGAGTCACTATACCTCCTCTGTTTTCCCCAAGCACTTTGTTAACAAATCTTTCATAGAATTCATTGCAGTATATGATATGCATTGGATTATATTGTATTATAATGTTATATTACTGCATCTTTTTCTCCACATTGTAAATTTCTTGATAGAGAATTTTCTTTATTCATTTCATGTCTAACATTGTATTTCTTGTCATGTAATAAGCAATAAAATTTTGATGACTTGAATGATGTGAGAAAATAAGAAAAAAACAGACTTGACGATTACACAGGTGTATGTCTTATTTTTCATTCGGCATAACTTCTGCCTGTATTTTATTGATAACCTTGGCCTTGAATATACATAAGTGGATAAAATGTCTCATATTTCGGAGTAGGTTGTAGCAAATTAATCATCTAATTGCTTGTTTATACTGTTCAATTTGATCATCACAGTTTAGGTCTCTAGCAAGAAGAAAAAGACGACTTTCACGTATGTGACAAATACATAAATAGGATACAAATCGGATTTGTTAATAATCGGAATCTGTTAAAAACAAGATAAATTTTTACTGTTTTGTGATAATAACAAAGTAAAATGAATTGTGTTCCTAGGGTTTACTTACAAATTAAACACACTATTACCACTTTATTTTCCAATTTCATCTCTTTAAGAAAAAAAAATGTGTTACTTTAAAATGATCTATGAGTACAATTTTATATGGAAAGGGCAATAACATTGCTTTCAATGCAAATAGAAGTTTATTATTGCAAGGGCAACTGTTAAAAAAAACTTCTTATTCACAACAGGCTGTGTGACATAGGCCTTTAACATGGGGCCAATGTCGCTAAGAAGTTGAAAATACAGTATTACAAAATCAGTAGAAAACAAGCAACAAAACAAAAGTGTCTATCTTCTTTTCTTTGTCCAACATGTTTGGGTAGTAGTATTGAAGGAGCTCTATGACAAGTGCAAATGATTGTAAAATGAATCAGCTCTGCTCAGCATATACACAGAGACTATAAAGTTACTTATGCAAATATAGCTCTACTGTGTTAATTGCCACAGGACTTAGATAGGTATGGCAGAAAGATGGCCAGATTTAGATGACCTAGACACTGATGTCACACTAAACTCTTGGAATTGGCTTCTTGGCTTTCCTCTCTGACAAGTGACTGAAATGGGGGTAGGGTTGAATTTTATGAAGATGTGACACTTAACCCACCACACACACGCACAAATTATTGTATTTCCTTCTTCGTGCCTGTGTTATGGCCTGCTAATGGTATACTTTACTTGAATGAACTCATGTGCTCCAAATTTTCTGTGGGATAGAGATTGATCATATTCCCCATTTTAAGGAAATTACAGCTTGAAAAAACTAAATAGTGTGGCAAGAAAGCTAGTAAGTTGCAAAGTCAGGGATGGTCCCAGGATTCTGTCTCTGGAGACTGTCCTTTCCACCCCACCACACATGGCTGCTGATCATCGAGACAGGTTTCCATGATGCACAGGATGGTGGGTGAAGTAGGTGGAGGCAAGACATGTTCACTACACTCACACCTGTCATTTACCAGCAAATCAGCCATGGAAAGCACCACGGTCCTTAAATAAATGACCCCTGCTGGGACTTACTTTAGATAGCCGACATGTTTGAAGCAGCCCTGGCTCACACCGAGGCCTGAGGCCTCCGTGGAGACTGCGCATCTGCCCATTGGATGTAGGAGAGCCTCCCAGCACATGCAGTGGGCATGCCCTGCAGAGCGCATTTTTCTCATTCCACAGAGCATCGATCTTAAGACAGATCATCCTGAACTGCCCTTAAAGCTGAGGGCAATCTGTCCATCCACTCACACATCACTTAAGAGACAGAAAGAAACTTCATTCTCTCTGTGTGTGTGTGCGCGTGTGTGTGTGTGTGTGTGTGAAGTCATTTCCTTTTCCTCTCTCCCCCGCCAAGGCACCTGCTCAGCACACTTTCCTTTTCGCTTTTTCCTCCTGGGCAGTGCTCATCCTCCCTGCCTGATTCAGATTCTTCCCTGGTGCTGCTGTCCAATATTTATTGCTCAGCTAAGTATCAAAAAAGAGGAAATACAAAAATCTTGAAGGCTACTACATGCTAGGTAATTTCACATACTTTATTGGAGAAAACGAAATTTTTCAGAGCTTGTTTCCTGACGCAGTCACACAGTGAACTAGCGGCAAATCCAAGATAGACTTTGGGCCAAGATAACCCTAAACCCGTTCATTTTCCTCAATCCCACCAGAAATCACCCTAAAGAGGTTTATTTATTTAAAAAAAAAATTGAAACATCTATAGGTCACATTGATTATTTCCCATTAAAAATGAAAAGGGTTCTATTAAATCCAATAAGGGGGAAATGAATATTCCTTCAATTTAGGTTTGTTCCTTTTATGGAATAAAGTAATAACGCGTTAGATAAGTGTCACTGCTTTTTAGCCATTCATACATTACCATTTGGAATTCTTTAGTATTTACAACCCAAAGTTGGTTCTCTAATCTATTTCTCATCTTTGTGTGATAATTTTACAAAATGTCCTCTTCATTTTTGAAGACAAAGAAACGTGAAACGTCCACGATCAAATGATTTCCCCCTGTGTTGTATTAGACAAACCCGAAGCAAAGCCTCCGGAGGGCGCTGGAGAAGCCGCAGCTGCAGACACCGCGACAATCTCAAGACACTTAAGCTGGAAGCGAATGTGGCATTTCAAAGAGGCACGAAATGCAACCGGCTAGGAAGGAGGGATTCCGCCGCACGGCTGCGGCGTCCGCGGGACAGAGACGCCTAACCGGAAGAGCTAGCAGGAACGCCGGACGCCGCTGGGACGTGTCCGGAAGCGCGGCGGAACGGCGGACTACATTTCCCATAAGCCCGCGGGGCAGGGCGAGGGGCGGGCGTCGGGGACATTACCGGACAGGCCTTGTCCGGCAATACCAAGGTAAATGCCGGCGCCGCGGCTCAGAGGGAAGAGTAACTTACGATCTGCGCCTAGATTTTTCCTAGTAACCCTCCTAACCCATCCCCCTAACTGACAAAAACGACTCTTCCATCCGGGAGACTTTGGGATTTCCGGGCTACAGGACTCCACCCCCCACAACCTAGTCAGTCCCACCACCAACGTTCGGCCTGGGGCACTTCCCAAATGCCTAAGGACGCAGGGGGTTGCGCTAGTAAGTTGAAGGCCCAGGGCACCCCCTTTCTAGGGTTGACGACCCGTAAAGACTCCTCATTGGCCCCGCCCTCTACGCCCAGTATCCTATTTTTATTTTTTTTTTTAATTATTGGTTTCTTAAATAGAGCCAGGGTATCGCCATGTTGCCAGGCTCGTCTTGAACTCCTGGCCTCAAGCAATCCTCCCCACTCGACCTCTCAAAGTATCGAGATTACAGGCGTGAGCCACTGTGCCCGGCCGTCCCCATGCCCAGTCTCCTATTAAATCCCGCTGGAGGTGCCTGGCTCCCTGGGGCTGGGTGGAAAGGGTAGTGTAGGGGAAGTTGCCCTCCGTCCCAGCCCAGTTTAGGAGCCGGCGACCTCCTCTCTCCTTCGGCTGCTCCTCGGACGTTCTTGGCTCAGGGCAGCGAAAACTGTCGAAGACCTGCGGGCCAGGGACTGCTGAGCACCTCCATCCAAGGTCCCCAATGCTTTTCTCCATCTACCCTTTAGAGTGGGTGTCACGATTGCCACTGGAAAGGCTAAGTGACTTGCCCTAGGTCACATAATTTAAATGGCAGAACTGGAGTTTCTCACAGAACCTGTCCCGACTTAAAGCCCTTTGCTTAGGCCCCATTTAACTTCCTCAAACCTTAACTTAGGAGAGTGCAGGCGCTGGGGACCGCAGAGTCATTTTTGTTGCCCAGCGGTGCCGTCGCGTGCAGCTTTGGGCCCAGGTGCAGAACCCAACCGCGCATCCCCAGCGCGCACTTCGTCCACCCGGCTGCCAGAGCGGACACATCGGTCCGGCCTCGGTTTCCCCCTTCTGAACAAAAGCGCGCACAGTGTGCTCCCCGCACCAAGCCGGGACTGTGGCCCCCTTTCCCCGCTTCCCGGACCCTCCTCTGGGGACAGACGGACCGCGCGCGTCCTTGCCGCGGCGGCGGGTCGGGTGGGTGGGGTTTGCTGCACTGCTGCTGCGGCGGCGGCGGCGCCAGTGGGTCCTCCGGTGACTCTGGGGCGGGGCTGTGGGGAGGGCACGGACTGACAGACGGACTCCGGCGGAATGGGGGGTGTGGCTGCTCCGCCAGGGTCCCCAGGGTGGGAGAGCGGCTCCGCGGCCACCGATGCCCGGACCCCCTCTGTCTTCTGCTAGACATGCTCTTCCTCTCGGTGAGTTGTTTTGCTGTCGTCGCGGGCCGGATTCGTGGCCTTAGTCACGCCCCGGGGGAGGAGGAAGGAGCCGGGCCGCTTCGATCTGTGTGGCCTGGATAGGGCAGGGCAAAGGGGAACTGACCCGCTTCGCTCCCGGGCCTCCTCCTTTTGGGGCATGTTGATCCGCGGCTGCGCTCCATGTTCCAGTTTCATGCAGGCTCTTGGGAAAGCTGGTGCTGCTGCTGCCTGATTCCCGCCGACAGACCTTGGGACCGGGGCCAACACTGGCAGCTGGAGATGGCGGACACGAGATCCGTGCACGAGACTAGGTTTGAGGCGGCCGTGAAGGTGATCCAGAGTTTGCCGAAGAATGGTACGTGCGCTGGGCCCCGGCTGTAGACGCCTCCTGCAGAGAGCCCCAAAGCCCCCTTTCACTTTCTGGTTCTAGTGTTGTTTATTTAGCCTTTTTTTCTGTGTAGGAGCCATGTAGTGGAAGGGGAGCTATTGAATATGAATTAATTACCTTTTGATCTTCCAAACCGGAGAAAAATCTAATATCCAGATTTTAAGTACTTCATATTGTTGAAAACAAAAGTCTTGTCACTTAATGACTGCGGATTTGGGTGTGTTAAAAAATAAATCCGGGCCGGGCGCGGTGGCTCAAGCCTGTAATCCCAACACTTTGGGAGGCCGAGGTGGATGGATCACCTGAGGTCAGGAGTTCAAGACCAGCCTGACCAATATGGTGAAACCCCGTCTCTACTAAAAAATACGAAAATTAGCCAGGCTTCGTGGCGTGCGCCTGTAGTCCCAGCTACTCGGGAGGCTGAGACAGGGAAATTGCTTGAACCCGGGAGGCAGAGGTTGCAGTGACCCGATATCGTGCCACTGCACTCCAGCCTGGGCGACAGAGCCAGACTCCATCTCAAACAAACAAACAAACAAACAAACAAAAATCTAGGCTGGGGATGCCTAATGCCACACACTCATAGGGTCTACCAGCTTAAGCGTTTTGAAAACTTTTGATATGAAGGGACAGAAAAGAAAGAATAACTATAGTCAATTGTGAAGTAATTTCTATTTTAATAAATATATATTTTCTACCTTTTTATTTGCTATTCCATTGTATAATGTTCTTTTTTATACTCATATTGGACCTTCTTTGCAGCTGGTGAGAAAAAAGTCATTCCAGTGGCTGATCTCCTTCTTGTATTTAATGTGCTATTTCTCTGGCTGCTTTTTAGATTTCTTTTCTATCTTCGGTTTTCAGCAATTTGACTAGTAGATGTGGTTTTTCTTCATATTAACCCTGTTCACGATTTGCAGAGCTTTTTGAATTTGTAATTTTATGTCATAGACCAATGTGAAGTTTTTGGCCATTAAATATTTTTCTCTGTTCTAAATGCAGAGTCTTAGAAGCAAGACGTACTTTTCAATTCATATCTTTCTACATTATATGAATTATATTTCACAATAAACATATTTATTTCTTTAGAGATGGAGTTCCGCTCTTGTTGCCCAGGCTGAAGTGCAATGGTACAATCTCAGCTCACCTCAACCCCCACCTCCCAGGTTCAAGCGATTCTTCTGCCTCAGCTTACCCAGCAGCTGGGATTACACCCGTGCGTCACCATGCCCGGCTAATTTTGTATTTTTAGTAGAGACGGGGTTTCTCCATGTTGGTCAGGCTGGTATTGAACTCCCGACCTCAGGTGATCTGCCCTCCTGGGCCACCCAAAGTGCTGGGATTACAGGCATGAGCCACCGCGCCCGGCCCAATAAACATATTTAGAAAGTAATTATAGGTGCTACTACTGTGCCACAGTTGTAAAACTAACTGAATACAACAATAATATGTTACTATAGTATTTAATATCATGATTTCTGTTTTCATTAATTATCATTAATTATCAATAATTTCAATAATTATAGGTAACAAATATTCAACACATCATTCAATAAAAATTCATTAAATGCAGATTCAGAAATTTTTAAAAACAAATATACACAAAATAGTGTTCCATTTGTAATTTCTTTCCTTCTATGGTGTTGTCTGAACCTTTTGTAATTTCAAACATTCTATTGGAGGAGGGCATATGGGGGACTGAAAGATAAGAAAGAACAAATAAAATATAAAAAAAAGCATGAACTTATTTAGGTATTGATTTTTTAAGTCCCTAATTATTAGTGTTTATAGAAAGGTATGATTCTAAGAGTTTTATGTAAGTAGTATGTTTATACTTTCTTCTAAAGCACACGTTTTTATAGTTTTTTGAAAATTGGTAAAGCTAGACTGATGTCTCTAGGCCACTATGCCTGTTGACATTATGTACCACTTATTAGGAAACCTGTATAAAGTACAGTTTGTATGTACATAACATTTAAGAAAGTATTGCAAAGTTAACATACCCTATCGGCCGGGTGCGGTGGCTCACGCCTGTAATCCCAGCACTGTGGGAGGCCGAGGCAGGCTGATGCTGAGGCGGGCTGATCACGGGGCTGGCGGATCACAAGGTCAGGAGATTGAGACCATCCTGGCTAATACGGTGAAACCCCGTCTCTACTAAAAATACAAAAAATTAGCCAGGCGTGGTCGTGGGCGCCTGTAGTCCCACCTACTCGGGAGGCTGAGGCAGGAGAATGGCGTGAACCCGGGAGGCGGAGCTTGCAGTGAGCCTAGATCACACCCCAGCCTGGGTGACAGAGCCAGACTCCGTCTCCGAAAAAATAAAATAAAATTAAATTAAATTAAATTTAAAAAAAAAGATACCCTATCAGGCCAGGCGTGGTGGCTCACACCTGTAATCCCAGCACTTTGGGAGATCGAGGCAGGCCCTGAGATCAGGAATTCCAGACCAGCCTGGCCAACATGGTGAAACCCCACTTCTACTAAAAATACAAAAATTAGCTGAGTGTAGTGGCGAGTTCCTGTAATCCCAGCTACTCGGGAGGTTGAGGCAGGAAAATCGCTTGAACTCGGGAGGCGGAGGTTGCAGTCAGCTGAGATTGCGCCATTGTACTCCAGCCTGGGTGACAAGAGCCAGACTCCAACTCAAAAAAAAAAAAAAAAGATATCCTATCAAATGGTACTTGTGTTGGACAACATCCAGTATACTGTTATCCCCTGAAACTAAGTTGATATTAATTGAAGCAGAAGTTTGTTATAATGGATTATAAATATTTTTGTAATACTACTTTTAAACCATTTGATTTGCTCTGAATCATTATGCAAAGAGCAAGATCTTGGAGTTTTTTGTTCCTTGTTTCTCAATCCTTATTTAAGGCCTGAAATAGTAATGAATCCTATGACATCTATGTTTGGTATGACCTTAACCTTTTAAAATTAAAATTCTTAGCTAATATTTCAAATACATATGAAGTACATCATGTGTGAGCACCTTGAGGACAGAAATCTTACTTGAGTGTCTTACACACAGACTACACTCAATAAATGTTCTCGGTTTTTGTATTTTTAATATCATTCACCTAAGCCAATAAACATATTTGGTTGACTTACTGAAGATATTTTGAGATTAGACTTTTGATGTTTTAAATTTAGATTTGTGTTATTTAAATAAGTGACCATTTTAAACTGTGGTTTCTCCATTTTTTTCCCTCTGCTTTATAAAGGATTGTATCATTAGAACACTATCTATTAGGTACTCCTAAATGTGCATATATTATACAGATAATTATTATAGTGATTTGAGAATTAATTATGCACTCTCGGCCAAACCTGAAACACTAGTTCTCAGTTTATCTCTGTGGTAATTTCCACAGCACAGCTTTTTTTTTTTTTTTTTTTTTGAGACCAAGTCTTGCTCAGCTGCCCAGGCTGTAGTGCAGTGGTGTGATCTTGGCTCACTGCAACCACCGTCTTCCAGGTTCAAGCAATTCTGTCTCAGCCTCCTGAGTAGCTGGGATTACATGCACCCACCGTCATGCCCGGCTAATTTTTGTATTTTAGTAGAGACGGGGTTTCATCATGTTGGCCAGGCTGGTCTTAAACTCCTGACCTCCGGTGATCCGCCTGCCTCGGCCTCCCAAAGTGCTAGGATTACAGGTGTGAGCCACTGTGCCCGGCCCACAGCTCTTATAAACTGCTAGCTTATGCAATTTACAAATTTTAAAAAATATCTTGTTACAATTGTTATTTTTAAAATTTTGTTATAAAGGTAATATACACTGATGTTTAAAACTTTTTTAAAAACACATAAGTGAAAAGGAAAATAATTTGTATACTTACTATTCAGAGATAGTCTTTAAACATTTTATGTTTATCTTTCTACTGTACTTTTTATGTATATAAATATTTTGCCAAAAGGTATCATATTACATATGTTGTTTTTAAACTTATTTTTCTAAATTTATAGTAGATCATGGAACTTATACCATTATTTATATTTTTCTACAATATAACTTTTTAGGGCTACAGTTATAAATTGTCCTGTTATATTTATATATCATAATTATTTAAACAGCTATTATAAAACATTAACATTCCAATTTTTCAGTTATTGAGAATACTGCAACTTATAGCACTTGCTTATACAATTTGATTTTTTTTTTTTTTTTTTTGAGACAGGGTCTTTCTCTGTCACCGAGGCTGTAGTGCAGTGGTGTGATCACAGCTCACTGCATCCTTGACCTCCCCAGGCTCAGGAGATCCTCTCTGCTTAGGCTCCTGAGTAGCTGGGACTACAGGGTGTGCCATCACACCCAGCTAATTTTTGTTTTTATTTGTAGAGACAGGGTTTTGCTATGTTGCCCAGGCTGGCCTTGAACTCCTGGGGTCAGGTGATCCACCCACCTCAGCCTCACAAAGTGCTGGGATTACAGACATGAGCCACCACAACTGGCCAATTTAAAAATTTTAAACATGAGAAAAACTATAGATATGCTAGAAACATATATGAAGAATTATCCTCAAATTGATGTCTCCAAAATTACAGAGGTAGGAAGTGAGAAATCTATTTTATCTTAGATTAATTCTTTTTCTACCATAGTGTATACTCTTTGGCTTTAGCCCCAAATTCCTTATCTACTGAGAATTTGAAATTTGGCAGAGTATACATATAACTTTTTCACTTACACTAGTCAGTTTTGATTTGTCATAAGCTTTGAATAAAAGTACCTTATTACGATTGCTTAATAATAGTTATTCTATATTTTAGTATGTTTTTAAAGAGACATTTGCAGGTTATTTTGGTTATATCTACAGCATGTCTATTCATGTATTCTTTTATTTATTGAACCATCTTAGGCATTGCTATTAAAGTTTAAAATCTCAGAGTGTTTTGAAATCAAAGAAGCAAGCAACTAACAGAACCATAACTTTTGTTTCTATAAGCTAGAAATAAATCATTATCTAAAGTATTAATGCAATATAAAATCACTATTAGTATAGCTAAGCTAATTTATAACCTGATTATCAGTTGTATTCCCCAGGTGATTTGTATTTAATGTGTGTTTCCAACAGGTTCATTCCAGCCAACAAATGAAATGATGCTTAAATTTTATAGCTTCTATAAGCAGGCAACTGAAGGACCCTGTAAACTTTCAAGGCCTGGATTTTGGGATCCTATTGGAAGATATAAATGGTAATTTTTTGTGTAGAGCTATGCAAGAATTTAAATTTTAATGACATAATTATCATATGGCTATTACTTAAGTGGTTATATATTATTCTGTGCAGAAAGTGTCCTAGGTATTGGGTACAATTTTTATCCTCCAGGTTTTCTTTTTTGTTTGTTTGTTTTTGAGATGGAGTCTCACTCTGTTGCCCAGGCTGGAGTGCAGTGGCAGGATCTCGGCTCACTGCAGCCTCTGCCTCCTGGGTTCAAGTGATTCTCCTGCCTCATCTTCCTGAGTAGGTGGGATTACAGGTGCGCGCCACCACACCCAGCTAATTTTTGTATTTTTAGTAGAGACAGGGTTTCACTATGTTGGCCACGCTGGTCTCGAACTGCTGGGTTCAGGTGGTCCGCCCACCTCGGCCTCCCGAAGTGCTGGGATTACAGGCGTGAGCCACCATGCCCAGCCTTCCCAGGTGCTCTTAGTACAATTTTACACAAATAGGAAAATCTTGGGGAGGAGAGGAAAACAGTAAAACCAAAAGGGATAGGTGCATCAAAGATAAAGAAGCATTATCAGTTAATCTTTACTTTCATGGAGTTTTCCCTTTTTTTTTTTTTTTTTTTAAGGCAAGAGCAACTCCCAACCTAAGTTAAATAAACAAACTTTTAACTGCCTCTTTTGCCTGCAAGAAAAATAATGGCTTTTCCTTGTTTGTACTGAGCCTTGAAGATAATAAATAACTAGGAATATGACTCAGGTACTGCCATGCTAACTTTTTATCTAAGCTGTCACTTCTGACCTACTGTAATTGAATAGAAATTTGATCTTTTATATACTTAAAAGAATTCTAAACTAAAAAGTATACTTAAATGAATTATAAACTATAAACTAAAAGAATTATAGATACAGGTACCTGTACTCATCCGTGCTGTTTTCCCAGTTGACTAACAGTTGATACTCTAATACAATTGAAGCCTTCACAAATGTCTGAGAAAAGTCAATTTTAGACTGTACGTTATGAACAGAATATGCTAATTGGTGAAGCATGTTTTATTTATTTATTTATTTTTGAGATGGAGTTTCACTCTTGTTGCCCAGGCTGGAGTGCAATGGCGTGACCTCAGCTCACCGCAACCTCTGCCTCCCAGGTTCAAGCGATTCTCCTGCCTCAGCCTCCTGAGTAGCTAGGATTACAGGCATGCGCCACCACGCCTAGCTAATTTTGTATTTTTAGTAGAGACAGGGTTTCTCCATGTTGGTCAGGCTGGTCTTGAACTCCCGACATCAGGTGATCTGCCCGCCTCGGCCTCCCAAAGTGGTGGGATTATAGGCGTGAGCCACCCCCCGCTCCCGCCCCAGTGGTGAAGCATGTTTTAAAACCCACACCTTTTTTTTGGACACAGGGTCTCACTCCCATCACTCAGGCTGGAGTGTAGTGGCACCATCATGGCTCACTGCAACCTCTGCCTCCTGGGCTCAAACAATTCTCCCACCTCAGCCGCCCTAGTAGCTGGGACCACATGCTTGTGCCACCACACCCGGCTAATTTTTTAAATTTTTTCCTAGACGGGGTTTGCATGTGTTGCCCAGGCTGGTCTCAAATTCCTGGTCTCAAGTGATCCACCTGCCTTGGCTGGGATTACAGGTGTGAACCACCATGCCACACCAGTTTTTTTTTTTTTTTTTCTTCAGACGGAGTCTCACTCTGTCGCCCAGGCTGGAGTGCAGTGGCGCGATCTTGGCTCACTGAATCTCCGCCTCCCAAGTTCAAGCAATTCTCCTGCCTCAGCCTCACGAGTAGCTGGGATTACAGGCGCGTGCCACCACGCCTGGCTAATTTTTATGTCTTTAGTAAAGACAGAATTTCACCATGTTGGCCAGGCTAGTCTCGAACTCCTGACCTAAAGTGATCCGCCCGCCATGGCCTCTCAAAGTGCTGAGATTACAGGCATAAGCCACTGTGCCCTGCCCATTTTTGTTTGTTTGTTTGTTTTTTCCCCACACACTGTGATGCTCAGTTTCTTCACCCTGAACTGGAAGTGCCATAAGCTTGTTTTAAGATTTCTTAGTTCTCTACTTTCCTTTAAGATCTTTATGAATTGTCACAAAATAACAGGTTAAATGAAATAGTAATATGTTATTATTTCATATAACTTAATTTTAGTAGTATTAAATATTATTTAATATAATTTGATTTGCCCATTTTAAGAAGATTTAATTATTTGCTTCATGTTTTTCCCCTAGAATTGACCTTTGGTGGAGTTAAACTCCTTCGGGGAAAAACATATAAAAATGGAGGTTTACATGTCGGGCAAAAATTTGAAAGAACTATTATTATTTAGGGGTTTAAAAATTTCCTGTCTCTCACATTTTCAGTATCCTAGAAGTGAGAAACCATTTCCATTTTTAGTTCAAATGTACAAGTTAGGCTCTTATTTAAATTAATAGAACCTGTTAACCAAAATGTCTGTTCATTTAAAACATGGCTGGCTGGGCGCAGTGGCTCATCCCTGTAATCCCAGCACTTTGGGAGGTCAAAACAGTGGATCACATGAGGTTAGGAGTTCGAGACCAACCTGGCCAACATGGTGAAACTCCATCTCTACTAAAATACAAAAATTATCTGGGTGTGGGGGTGCATGCCTGTAATCCCAGCTACTCAGGAGGCTGAGGCAGAAGAATCTCTTGAACCCAGGAAGTGGAGGTTGCAGTGAGCCAAGACCACACCACTGCACTCCAGCCTGGGCAACAGAGCGAGACTCTGTCTCAGAAAAAAAAAAAAAAAAAAACCCATGCCTGAGTGTTACAGCTCTTTTAGAATTTTTCTAGCAGGCTTTCCGGTCTTTACCGGAAAGCCTATTGAGAAATTTATATTAAAAAGAAAAAGAAAAAATAAAACATGCCTGTGACAATTAATGTAGTCTTCTACACTTGATCTTAGCCAAAACCTGAGAAGCAATAATGTAGTCTTCTAAAATGTGTATTTCTGTTACTGTTCTTTGTAATAATATAAAAACTTTGAAGGATTCTTATCAAATATTTATGAATGGTCTGTAGTCTCTGGTACATTACTACATAGACGGGTTATATACTTATTTGTTTTAAATACTATTTAATTTGCTAGTTTATTTGCTGTGATAATTTTCTTCATGGTAGCACATTTAAGACAATCCTGTTATGGCTTTAAGTAGAACCTGTTTTAATTAGTAACCCTATAGCATCAACTATAAATTGTATTCTGAGCAATTAAAATCAGATGTCTCTTTGTCATTTTGTGGATACTTTCATTTCTAGGGATGCTTGGAGTTCACTGGGTGATATGACCAAAGAGGAAGCCATGATTGCATATGTTGAAGAAATGAAAAAGGTAGGGAAAATAATTCACAGTTAAAATGAAAATTCAGAGCAGCTCTAATTTAATTTGGTTATCAGACAAATTAGCTGCTTTGCTTTAAGGAGATTGTAGTATGTTATACAATAGAATCTAGATTATTGGATTTGTTAGGACTTTTCTGCTTCATTAAAGTTCATCTTAAGTGTTTTTTCCCTAAGATATATCACACTGTGATGATGTGATGTTTTATTTTGTTTTTGTTTTGAGATGGAGTCTTTCTCTGTAGCCCAGGCTGGAGTGCAGTGGCATGACATTGGCTCACTGCAATCTCCGCCTTCCAAATTCAAGCAATTCTCCTGCCACAGCCTCCCGAGTAGCTGGGACTACAGGTGCACACCACTACACCCAGCTAATTTTTGTATTTTTAGCAGAGATGTTGTTTTTCCATGTTGGCCAGGCTGGTCTTGAACTTCTGACCTCAAGTGATCCACCTGCCTCAGCCTCCCAAAGTGCTGGGATTACAGGCATGAGCCACTGCGCCTAGCCTGTTTTTTGGTTTTTAATCTCCCCTATCTTTCTCTATAGTCAACTTCTGGAGAAAGTGTAGAAATAGTAATCTTTGAAAATATTGAAATCCCTTACTCAGGAGTCTAGGAAGTAGCTGGACTCTCTTGAAAGTATTTCTGCTTTGGAACTTTTTACTTAGTTCAACAATGTTCTCATGCAAGTTTTCACTCGTAAATTGAGGTAGGTATTCTTTTCCCTGGACTGTTGTAAGAAGTCACATTTTTCTGTGAGTACATAGATCCTTCAGAAGCAGAATAAGATAAGGAAGTTTTCAGGTTCTCTGCTAACTAGTAAGGAAGGGGCATTCATTATTAACTAGCTCTTTTAAGTGTGTCAAAGGCATTCTTTTGAGGAGCAAGTATATGAAGAAATCATGAATTTTAAAGATGATCATAGAGTCTTTTTTTTTTTTTTTTTGAGATGGAGTCTCACTCTGTTACCCGGGCTGGAGTGCAGTGGCATGATCTTGGCTGACTGTAACCTTCACCTCCTGGGTTCAAGAGATTCTCCTGCCTCAGCCTCCCAAGTAGCTAGGATTACAGGCGCGCACCACTACACCTGGCTAATTTTTGTATTTTTAGTGCAGACGGGATTTCACGATGTTGGCCAGGCTGGTCTCAAATTCCGGACCTCAGGTGATCCACCTGCCTTGGCCTCCCAAAGTTCTGGGATTACGGGCGTTAGCCACCATGCCCGGCAGAGACTTTTTTATAAAGAACCATTTTTATGTTAGACATGGATCAGAGGTTGTGAAATCTAAGTTTGATAATTTTAAATAAATTATCTTTGAACATAAAGAAAATCTGTAAAAAGGAATAGTTTTTTGCCACATGATTTGATGGTATTAATCTCTGTAGTAATTTTTATTTGTTATTACTAGATTTAGACTTGTTTTTTTTTTCTTTTTAAATTTCTTCTACATTGCTCATAGTCATGCCCTTTATTACATTCTTGCAGTTTTTATTTGGTAGACTTTGTAACCAAGGGCAGAGTTTCGTTCTTTTGGCTATTAACTATGTCAATAACACAATAACAAATAGGCCTTTCAAAAGCAGAGAATGAAAGGTAATCTAAAGCCTTTTGGTTTCATAACTATTTCTCTTTTTTTTTTTTTTACCTTAAATTTCTTTATAATTTTTAGGACATACTTCTATAACATAATGTTGAATTGACACATTAAGTAAAATTTACTCATTTGTCCTATTCAATTGTGTTAATTAATGGTATAGCCACATTTTAAAGTTGGAGGACGATGAGGCAATGTGTATTCTGCCTTTTTCCCTAAGAAAGATTAAAACTATATTGCTGCTGAAATACCTGTAACTCCTTTAATTAAAATAATTTACTCTTTTCATTCACACTTTAAAAATTTCATTGCGTATTGTGAATATGACAAAGTTTACAGTGCAATTTTAGAGGTAAACCTAAAAATATCAAGATATCCATAAATTGAAAATTTGATTACTCTTTTGAATTATTTTTAGAGTTTAGCTTTATGACTATCAGTTAATAAAATTGCGTGTTTCTAAATAATGTTGTGGGATAGTACATTATCCCAAAGATTTGATTATTGAATTTGGGACTTATTCTAATTTCAATAATTTACTAATTGAAGCACTTGTTAAATTACCTCCTTAAATATAGTTTTTGTCATTATTCTTTTTTTTTTGAGACAGGATCTGGTTCTGTTGTCCAGGTTGGAGTGCAGTGGTGCGTGCCTCAGCCTCCCGAGTAGCTGGGATTACAGAGGCATGCCGTCACGCCCAGCTAATTTTTAGTATTTTTAGTAGAGATGGGGGTTTCACCATGTTGGCCAGGCTGGTCTCGAACTCCTGACCTCAGGTGATACACTCACCTCGGTCTTGCAAAGTGCTGGGATTACAGGCATGAGCCACCGTGTGCCTGGCCTGTCACTGTCATTATTCTTTACAGTATAAATCTCATTTTGTGTCTTTGCAGTCAGAGGTTTCAGCAATCTTATTAATTTAACTATATTTTATAATGATGTTTTGTAGAAAGTGACTTTTCATAATTTATAAGTTGTCCCATGAAATATCACTGAGAAAGTTGATTGAATAAAAAATTCTTTTAACGCCGGCTGTGGTGGCTCAGGCCTGTAATCCCAGCACTTTCCGAAGCCGAGGCGGGCGGATCACCTGAGGTCAGGAGTTTGAGACCAGCCTGGCCAACATGGCGAAACCCCGTCTCTACTAAGAATACAAAAAAAATTAGCCTGGCGTAGTGGCATACGCCTGTAATCCCAGCTACTCGGGAGGCTGAGGCAGGAAAATCGCTTGAACCCGGGAGGCAGAGGTTGCAGTGAGCCGAGATTGCGCCGCTGCACTCCAGCCTGGGTAACGGCAATAATCTGTCTCAAAAAAAAAAAAAAAAAAAAAAATATATATATATATATATATATATAAACATAATAGGATTATGTTTTATAGAAAATTGCTTTTCATAATTGATAGTGTCCCATAAAATGTCACTGAAAAACTTAATGGAATAAAACATTATTTTAATATAATGTAATAGGATTTTAGCTTTGAGGGAAAGTAATGTGGTTTGAGGAGTGGGAGAAATGCATGTTTCATTCAATAAGGTTTATTTATAGAAGTATAAAATTCTTTTTTTTTTGAGACGGAGTCTCGCACTGTCGCCTGGGCTAGAGTGTAACGGCGCCATCTTGGCTCACTGCAACGTCCGCCTCCTCGGTTCACACCATTCTCCTGCCTCAGCCTCCCGAGTAGCTGGGATTACAGGCGCAAACCACCACATCTGGCTAATTTTTTGTATTTTTAGTAGAGACGGGGTTTCAAACTATGTTGGCCAGACTGATCTCAAACTCCTGACCTCGTGATCTTCCCACTTCGGCCTCCCAAAGTGCTGGGATTATAGGCATGAGCCACCACGCCCGGCCAAAATTCTATTTTTTTTTTTTTGTACAAATTTAGGCTCTCTTCTGGGGATTTCCAGAATATTCAGCTAACATTTGAATAATGTGCCTTATGTCTGTTGAATTTAAAAAGAGATGGGTGTACTAAACCCTGGCTACACATTAAAATCACTAGGGGATCTTGTGAAAAAATAGAAATGCCCCAGGATGACCCCAGACTAATTATTTCAGGATTTCTAAGAGATTGGGATAATCACTGTAATAGAGGGAGGATTAGAGGATGGTCTCATTAAAGATGGAATCTCGGCCGGGCGCGGTGGCTCATGCCTGTAATCCCAGCACTTTGGGAGGCTGAGACAGGCGGATCACCTGAGGTAAGGAGTTGGAGACCAGCCTGGACAACATGGTGAAACTCCATCTCTACTAAAATACAAAAATTTAGCTGGGCGTGGTGGCGGGCGCTTGTAATCTCAGCTACTAGAGGGGCTGAGACAGAAGAATCACTTGAATTAAGGAGGCGGAGGTTGCAGGGAGTCGAGATCACACCATTGCACTCCAGCCTGAGCAACAGAGCGAGACTCTGTCTCAGAAAATAAATAAATAAATAAATAAAGATGGAACCTGAAAGTTGCCATGGCAGAGGGTCTAGTCCATAGCTCAACAACTCTAGAACACCAACTGTCTCTGAGTACTGAGGGTTGGCTTTTGTTTTAAGGTTTCACTCATAGTAAACATCTTTTGCAGATTGAGGGAAAAAACAAATGCCAGTTTCTTAAAGTGAGTGATAGGCTTCTAGTGATCAGCATACTCAGAAGTGATATCTAGGTCACTCTTCAAAAGGTTAGAAGTGCTTGGGAGACTGAGTTAGTGATTCCATTGAACAGAGAGTAGAGCATTAGGATTTGGATGGCTTTAAGAGATGTGGTAATTTTGGACCAAAAAAGCCTGAGGAATTTAGTCTTCGCTTTCTTAAGAGTATATCTACACCTTTCCAGTATATTTTCATCATGTAGAAATGATGTCTCTCACTGAGGAAAAGTGCTGGACAGACCTAGAAAAATTATGGGGCTTTGGATGCCTCTTTTCTGGTGTCCATGCAGCTTACCAGATATTTCTGTCAAAACATTCTTCATTTGGTTGGGTTATAATATATTAAATTAGCTTAGTTAACTTATAACTTTAGACCAGGGGTGGCCAATCTTTTGGCTTCCCTGAGCCACACTGGAAGAAGAATTATTTTAGGCCACACATAAAATACACTGATACTAACAATAGTTGGTGAACTAAAAAAAAAAAAAAAAAAAAAAATCGCAAAAAAAATCAGAATGTTTTAAGAAAGTTTACGAATTTGGGCCAGGCGCAGTGGCTCACACTAGTAATCCCAGCTAGTAATCCCAGCACTTTGGGAGGCCGAGGTGGGTGGATCTCTTGAGGTCAGGAGTTCCACACCAGCCTGGGTAACATGGTGAAACCCCGTCTCTACTAAAAATACAAAAAAGTTAGCTGATCATGGTGGTGCATGCCTATAGTCTCAGCTACTCGGGCAGCTGATGTAGGAGAATTGCTTGAACCCCAGAGGCAGAGGCTGCAGTGAGCCAAGATCATGCCACTGCACTCCAGCCTGTGCGACAGAGTGAGACGCTGTCGCAAAAAAATTAACAAAAAAAATTAAAAAAAAAAAAGAAAGTTTACGAATTTGTGTTGGGTATTTAAAGCCGTCTTGGGCCACATGCTGCCCGAGGACTGCAGATTGGACAAGCTTGGTTTAGATAACATCTTCTCTGAGGGTAGGTAGTAGTTACCTAGACTGAGATTTGCCTGTGTCTGCTTGTGTGTGTGTGTGTGTGTGTGTGTGTGTGTGTGTGTGTAGTCTGTATCTCATGTGTGTACATGTGCACCATTTCTTGTATTTCAATATTGGTGTCAGGGAGATAATTTTGCAAATGGCTGGGGATCATTCTTGGTTTGTGTATGTTTAAAGTTGCTTCCTCAGAGAATAACCTCTTCAAAAGGGTGGAGGAAAGGGCTGAAAAACTTCCTATTGGGTACTGTGTTTACTGTATGGGTGACTGGATCAATAGAAGCCCAAACTTCAGCATCACACAGTATACCCTTGTAACAAACCTGCACATGTACCCTCTGAATCTAAAAGAAAAAGAAAAAACAAAGAGAGTAACTTCATCAATTTTGGATGTGTCTTGTTTTGGCTACTGTGTCTTCACTATATTAACTACTGAAATTCTGGTTTGTTGAGAGAATGAATACTCAGTTAATATTTGCTTACTGCCAATGGATACTCCTTTTATTTCGTTCTGAGACTTCAGTCCACAGTTTACTCTTTTACCCTATGGGGCATGAGAAACCCAAATGCCGAATTTAGTAGCCTTAAAAATAAGGACAAAGTTAAGAAAGAGATCTTTTAATAAGCCTTGAGAAGTAGAGGTGTTGCTTGGTGGTCAGGATGTGGTATGCAATTGGCTTACTAGATTCTGCTAACTGAAGTCTTTATATTACGGCAGTGTGGGATAGTGTAAAGGGTGCTGATTTATGTTTGAATTATTTCTCTGCCATTTATTAGTTGTGACTTGGTCACATTAAACATTTCTCTTGGTTTGAATCTGATTTATCTCAGAATTATTATTATAATTCAAATATATTACAACTCAGATATTTATAATAAATAATAAAACATTCCTCCACATGGCCCTAGCCTCATAACAAATGTTTCCTTTAGCAAAAAGAAATTTTGTGATTAAAGCATTCCTTTCACAGTACATTCAGAGGAGCAGCAATCAGATAATTTACTACAAGCTGTAAAATTAAATTATAATCACTAGAACCAGTTATTGTTAACATAGTTCATTCTGTGTAATCTCTCTCAACAACCTCCTCCTACACATATAACACAGTGGGGAATGGTGTTGATGAGCATGTAATCCTATCAGAGTTGCTGACTACCATAGACCACCAATGATCCATCTTGTATTTGGTTTAGGAATAAAAGCATGTTGTTTGAACAAGAATTTTAGGGTTTTGGCCAGGCGCAGTGGCTAACACCTATAACCCCAGCACTTTGGGAGGCCGAGGTGGGCAAATCACTTATGAAGGTGTCTGAAATTGCTTGAAGGTGAGAACTGCTCAAACCAGGAAGGTGGAAGTTGCAGTGAGCCGAGATCGTGCCGCTGCACTACAGCCTGGGTGATGATGGAGCGAGACGCTGTCTCCAAAAAAAAAAAAAAAGAAAGAGAGCGAGAGAGAGGGAGCCAGTTCTGGTATCTTTTTTTTTGGAAACAGAGTATCACTTTGTTGCCCAGGCTGGAATGCAGTGGTGTGATGTTGGCTCACTGCAACCTCCGCCTCCTGGGTTCAAGCAATTCTCTCGCCTCAGCCTCCCAAGTAGCTGGGATCACAGGTGCATGCCACCAAGCCCGGCTAATATTTGTATTTTTAGTAGAGATGGGGTTTCACCATGTTGGACAGGCTGGTCTCAAACTCCTGACCTCAGGTGATCCTCCTGCCTCAGCCTCCCAAAGTGCTGGGATTACAGGCGTGAGCCACCACGCCCGGCCCCTGTTATCATATTAAACATCCTGTGATTGGCACACACAGAGCTGACTTTATTCTTTTTAATATATGCAAAATATTTCAAATCTAGAAATACTTTAATTTCTTTGATCAGTCACCAATTGATGGCTGTTTAGTTAAATACCTTTTCAGTTAATTTACCTTGTTCTTTAAATTTGGTGATTCTAAATTGGCCCATATTTATGAAGGTGTCTGAAAGTGATTACAATTTCCTACTTTACTTTTGTGCCCTGTTAGAAATACTACGCTACCTTATTGTTAAAGAACAGACATCATAATTTTACTCTAACTTCAGTTTTCTATTTCGTTTAATGAAAGCCCCTAGTTTTTTTGTTTGTTTCCTTTATTTTTTTGGAGACAAGATCTCGCTCTGTTGCCTAGGCTGGAGTGCAGTGTGGTGTGATCATGGCTCACTGCAGCCTCAATTTCCTGGGCTCAAGAGATCCTTCCACCTCAGCCTCCCGAGTAGCTGGGACTACAGGCGTGCACCGCCATGTCTGGATAATTAGACAATTTTTTTTTTTTTTTTTGTAGAAATGGGCCCTTACTATGTTGCCCAGGCAAGTCTCGAACTCCTGGGCTCAAGCCATCCTCCTCCTGCTTTGGCCTGCCAAAGTGCTGGGATTACAGGTGTGAGCCATTGCACTGCGCCCCCTAGCTGTAATACACAATTTATAAGTTATTGTATAAAATTTTACATGAAGCTCATGTAAAATAATCTTCAAAATGAGAACACTTTTAGATCTTTAATATACTTGAAGCTTTTCTAGGAGTGTATATACTTTTTTTAAAGGATTCCTTTTATTTTATTTTTTAATTTTTGGAGATGGCATCTCACTCTGTCACCAAGCCTGGAGTGCAGTGGTGCCATAATGGCTCACTGTAGCCTCGACCTCCCAGGCTCATGTAATCCTCCCACCTCAGCCTCTGGAGTAGCTGGGACCACAGACACACACCACCGTGCCTGGTTAATGTTTTTTAAAAAATTTTTAAGAGACAGGGTCTCACTGTGTTGCCAAGGCTGGTCTCAAACTTCTGGGCTCAAGCCATCCTCCTGCCTTGGCCTCCCAAAGTGCTGGGATTACAGGCATGAGCCACCACTTAGCCCGGCCACAGTGTGTATACATTAAGTATGTAATTAATGTAGATCCTTCAGAGAGTCTATTATGAATGTCAAATATTAAAATTATTGACAAATTGGAAATAGGAGATTATTTGATATTAGTGGAGATCAAATTAAGAGTTTGTGATTTCACAATATTTGTTTCTTTTGATTACAGATTATTGAAACTATGCCAATGACTGAGAAAGTTGAAGAATTGCTGCGTGTCATAGGTCCATTTTATGAAATTGTCGAGGACAAAAAGAGTGGCAGGAGTTCTGATATAACCTCAGGTTGGACTATTTTACCTATTTTTAAATTCATCAACTGATATATTATGCACATATTAATATTTGTATCTCTGATTTTTTTTCTTACTTTCACGCGCCAGTCCGACTGGAGAAAATCTCTAAATGTTTAGAAGGTAGGAATCATGAAATCATGTAAAAGTTTTGTTTAAAATTTACATGTCAAAAGAATTCTGCACAAACTTACAGAACTTACAATCTTGTCACCCAGGAGTTTTCATTCCAGGCAAACACATTATATGAAGTTCCAAAACATTATAAACCCTTAAAATTTTAACCCTTAAGTGGTAAGCTATTAAAATACACCAGGTAGTTTACTTAGTATATTCGAAATTATAGCAGAATTCATGGTTTTATTTTGATAGGTCATGTTTTCTATTTTGCTTTGAGAATTACGTTAATAGTACTTTGAATTCAATGATTTACTAGCTAATTTTAAAATGGATATGTTGGCCAGGTGTGGTGGCTCATGCCTGTAATCCCAGCACTTTGGGAAGCGAAAGCGGGCAGATCACCTTGAGGTCAGGAGTTCAAGACCAGACTTGCCAACTTGGTGAAACCCCGTCTCTACAAAAAACACAAAAATTAGCCAGGCATGGTGGCACACGCCTGTGATCCCAGCTACTTGGGAGGCTGAGGCACAAGAATCACTTGAACCCAGGAGGCAAAGTTTGCAGTGAGACGAGATCACTCTGCTGCACTCCGGCCTGAGCAACAGAGTGAGATGCTGTCTCAAAAAAAGAAAAAAACAAACAAAAAAAGAAATTAAAAATAGATGTGTTTAGGGTGTGGTTTAACTATAGCATATAAGCTAATGCAAGACAGTTAATTCATTTAGCTTGTTTTCTTTTTTCTTTATTTTGGTTCAAGCATCTCTGCATGGATTACAACTTCTATTTTTTTTTTTTTTTTAGAATTTTGTCTTCATGTACACAAAGGATTGAAAGGGTTGTGTTTTGCATACTTGTAGGAGTTGAATAAAATGGGAGATTTGTTGGTATTAACTAAACATTTGATCTTGAATTTTTTTTAGAAAGCAGAGTGAAATGAGACCACAAGAGTCAATTTAAGAGAAAATTATATACCCTTTAAATAAAAATCGCCTGGCATCCCCTTTTTTTCCCTTGACATCCCTATTTATAAGACATCTTTTAATAATTGACAATAATGGCAGCATTTCAGAATAGTAATCTTCCTGTGCTGAAATCGGTCCTTGTCACGGTCATAAACCACGTGCAAGTAGTACTGACTGCTTACTGGGCATAACTCTACCACATCATTCTACATCTGATTTGCTTACAGAAGTCAAATATTAACAAGTAGTCCTTCTTATAAGGCATGCTTATTCAATTCAGAGAAAAAACTAAATGTTTTCTTCTTTTCTTTTTTTTTTTTTTTTTTTTTTGAGATGGAGTCTTCCTCTGTCACACTGACTGGAGTGCAGTGGTCCCATCTTGACTCACTGCAACCTCCAACTCCTGGGTTCAAGCAATTCTCCTGACTTAGCCTCCCAGGTAGCTGGGATTACAAGTGTACACTTGTATTCTTGTATGGCTAATTTTTGTATTTTTAGTAGAGCCAGGGTTTTGCCATGTGGGCCAGGCTGATCTCGAACTCCTGACCTCAGGTAATCCTCCCAACTCAGCTTCCCAAAGCACTGGAATTAAAGGCATGAGCAATTGTACCCTGCCAGAAAAAAAAAATTAAATGTTTTATGTATGTCAGGCATGTTGGGATGCAGAGGGAAATAAATCTGGATCTGCTGCTGTGGTGTCCAGCCACTGGCCAGAGGCAGATATTTAAACAGCTAATTATAAAACAAAGAAGAGTAAATAATAGTAATAAAGGTGCAGGCTCACAGCTACCTAGCTATAACTTACAATTTTAAAAATCTTTGAAGACCAGAAGTTTTTTGGTAAACTCATTTGGCAGCAAAACCTGTCTGATATGAACTAAAAATCTGGGGAGTAAAACCTGACCTGAAGTAAAACGAGGGTATTTTGAGTCTCTTTCCTCTTTAATGTAACTATTTATATGTTTTGCTGCAAAAATCACATTCTCTTTTTAGTGAGAGCTGCCTTAGACTCTATTGGATGTGTTACATAATATACCAAATGGCATATGTACCATATAACCTTTGCAAAATTAGAAAACTTGAGATTTCAAAATGTATCTGGATCCAAGGGTTGTAAGTAAGGGATTGTGGACCTGCACCATAATTTTTTTAACCTGAGCCATTCTGGTGGACATTTAGGTTATTTACTCCTTTGATCTTCAGAAAATACTGCTGAGAATAACCACGTACATTTGTCATTTCACATATGTGAAAGCATATCTGTAAGAAATATTAGAAATGGAGTTAGAAATGTTTGATGTTTGTAATTTTGTAAGATATTACCAAATTGCAAAACAGTTTGCAGTCTTGCCTTTTTTTTTCTAAACAAAGCATTTCCTTAAAAGTAGCCATTTAGGTCCAATAGAACAGATGTATCAGTTTTACATTGCCATTTTCAGAATATACATATACAGTAAGTTTTGAAATCAGGAATGATGAGTCCTCCAATTTTGTTATTTTTCAAGATTGTTTTGGCTAATCTTGATCCCTCACATTTTCATATGAATTTTAGAATCTGCATGTCAATTTTTGCAGAAATGCCAGCTTGGATTTTGATACAGATTGCAGTGAATTTGCAGATCATTTTGGGGAGTATTGTTACCTCAAAAATATTGTCTTTCAATCCATGTTCTCAAAACAGTGTCCAGTAACCAACAGCATTGGTAACAAATGTGATCTTTATAGAAATTTGGAATCTTAGATCACCCTAGACATACTAATTCAGAATCTGCATCTTAAATAGCTCTCAGAAGATTTGTATGCACATTAAAGTTGAGAAGCTCTGATGTATTTACCCTCGGGATATAGCTTTGGCCACTTGGACAATTTGCTTTTGTAAGTGATTGATCACATTAATGGATACTTTAAGAAAAAAACTTAAATATCATAAAGACAGATAATGTGAGTTGTGCACCTGAAGTCCTAAAGGTAATACAGGAATAAAGTTTGTAAAATGGACCCCAACTGTAATATTGATGAGATTGTTGGTAGAACCAAAAACATATTTTTGTTTTCAGCATCCTAGCATATAGGAAGTATCTCTTCACTTGCCATGTATGAAGATCCATTGATCTCTAACTTTATTTTGATTGATATTAACTTAAAAATAATTTACCCTCTGCCTGATTCAGAAAGGATTTAAGATAGCTTGATCATAAGGTGATAATTGAAGGAATTTGTCTTGTAATATATGTATGTTTATAGTCAAAGAAAATAATACTATTATATATATAACATTTTAATTCAAAATTATTTTATTAGTTATTTGTAAATTTTATTAGTATTACTTGGAAATTATGACATTATTGTATATTATCACATTGTGAGTAAGTGGTCATTTCATGTTTTAGATCTTGGTAATGTTCTCACTTCTACTCCAAACGCCAAAACCGTTAATGGTAAAGCTGAAAGCAGTGACAGTGGAGCCGAGTCTGAGGAAGAAGAGGCCCAAGAAGAAGTGAAAGGAGCAGAACAAAGTGATAATGGTAATGTTTGGAAAATCAGTTAGTAATTTTGCAATAAATAAACTAAGAGGGTATGAAGACATTTGGGCTGATTTGGTATTGTAGAAGATTAAAGCAGGTGGTGGGATGTAAGCTGTTGACCTTATAAACAAGTTTGCTGTGGACCAAAAGGCTCTACTACATAGTATAGGAACAGCCAACCTTATGCGTAAATGGAATAGGTGTTAATTGAAGGTTGACAAGAATAGGCCACTCCTCCAAATGGATGGCCTGAAATGCTGCATTAGACATGTGCTATTTTAAAGTGTTGTTCCCAACATGAATCTGCATAAGTTACTAAGGATAGGAGACAAGTTAGACTCTCAATATCTTACCAAAAATAGAATGGAATCCAGAGAATAGGATAAAGGCATAGTGTTTTTTTTTTGTTTTTTTATGAGATAGAGTCTCGCTCTGTTGCCCAGGCTGGAGTGCAGTGGTATGATCGCTGCTCACTGCAGCCTCTGCCGCCCTCTGCAGCCTCAAGCCGTCTTCCTGCCTCAGCCTCGCAATTAGCTGGGATTACAGGCATGCACCACCACACCCCGCTAATTTTTGTATTTTTAGTAGAGACAGGATGTCACCATGTTGACCAGGCTGGTCTTGGACTCCTGACCTCAAGTGATCTGCTCACCTCGGCCTCCCAAAGTTCTGGGCTTATAGGCATGAGCCATCGCACCCGGCCTACAGGCATAAATTTTCATGAAGAAGGAACATTGGAATTATGGCTTAGAGCATTGAGGGCCCTGTTGGAATACCAATAACACACGGGAAGACTGTTTTCAAAAGGGGAGACAGAAAGACACTAAAACAAACTGCGGCCGGGCACGGTTGCTCACACTCGTAATCCCAGCAGTTTGGGAGGCCGAGGCGGGCAGATCACCTGAGGTTGGGAGTTCGAGACCAGCCTGACCAACATGGTGAAACCCCGTCTCTACTAAAAATACAAAAATTAGCCAGGCATAGTGGCGGGCGCCTGTAATCCCAGCTACTTGGGAGGCTGAGGCAGGAGAATCACTTGAACCCGGGAGGCAGAATTTGCAGTGAGCCAAGCTCATGCCATTGCACTCTAGCCTGGGTGACAGAGCGAGACTTTGTCTCAAAAAAAAAAAAAAACTGTGTAACTTAGTTTTGCCTTCCCTTTCCAGTAAGGTATGACAAATAGCGCCTTCTTTAAGGATCCTTTTTATCAGCTATGTGGACCCCTTCGCACTGCTAGGTCTCATAGAGCAATTTGCTTATGCCTAAGGGAGTAAAAAGACTTTGAGAGATTACTTTTTAAAAGAAATTCTAGAAGATTGACAGGGAACTGAAACAGTTTTGAAGCCAACATAGTTTGGGTGAGCTCTCAGCGTATAGTAAACCCCATTTCAAGGAGCACGCCTTCTCTTTGATCCAAGTAGGAAACCCTTCAAAGGGATTGTGGTAGGTTAGGGAAATAACAGCTGGATATTAAAACATGGTATGCAGAAGGTGACCTACTGTGAACTTTTATGAATCTTTCCCATTTTCTCGTAAAAGATAAGAAAATGATGAAGAAGTCAGCAGACCATAAGAATTTGGAAGTCATTGTCACTAATGGCTATGATAAAGATGGCTTTGTTCAGGATATACAGAATGACATTCATGCCAGTTCTTCCCTGAATGGCAGAAGCACTGAAGAAGTAAAGCCCATTGATGAAAACTTGGGGCAAACTGGAAAATCTGCTGTTTGCATTCACCAAGGTATTGTCCCCAAATAATTCTGTGTCCAGCCTCTTTCCTATGAATAGTCTTTTAGTAATTATAGGATCTTTAGGATCAGTTTAATTTAAAAATCTCTTATTTAATAATATCTTAGGGCTTATTAATATTATAAGCATTTATAGTTTTGAAAAAGAGTGAATTAGGGCCAAGGTTATATATGTATCTCTTTCTGTTGCCCAGGCTGGAGTGCAGTGGCATAGTCATGGCTCACTGCAGCCTTGAACTCCTGGGCAATTCTGCCTCAGCCTCCTAAGTAGCTGGGATTACAGGCATGTACCATCATGCCCAGTTAATGTTTAAATTTTTTGTAGAGACAGGGTTTTGCCAGGTAGCCCAGGCTGGTCTGGAATTCCTGGGTTCAAGTGATCTGCCTGCCTTGGCCTCCCAAAGTGCTAGGATTACAGGTTTGAGCCATGCACTGGCTTATTTTTTAATTTTTAGGGATACATAATAGTACATGTGAGAAACATCATTTCTTTTTCTTTTCTCTTTTTTTTTTTTTTGAGATGGTGTCTCGCTCTGTCACCCAGGCTGGAGTGCAGTGGCGCAATCTCGGCTCACTGCAACCTCTGCCCCCTGGGTTCAAACAATTCTCCTGCCTCAGCCTCCCCAGTAGCTGGGATAACAGGCACGTGCCACCATGCCCAGCTAATTTTTGTATTTTTAGTAGAGACGGGGTTTCACCATGTTGGCCAGGGTGGTCTCAAACTCCTGACCTTAAGTGATCCACCCGCCTTGGCCTCCCAAAGTGCTGGAATTACAGGTGTGAGGCAACGCGCCCGGCCGAGAAACATCTTTTTTTTTTTTTTTTTTGAGACAGAGTCTCGCTCTGTCGCCCAGGGTGGAGTGCAGTGATGCGATCTCAGCTCACTGCAAGCTCCGCCTCCTGGTTTCACGCCATTCTCCTGCCTCAGCCTCCCGAGTAGCTGGGACTACAGGTGCCCGCCACCATGCCCAGCTAATTTTTTGTATTTTTTAGTGAGACGGGGTTTCACCGTGTTAGCCAGGATGGTCTCGATCTCCTGACCTTGTGATCTGCCCTCCTCTGCCTCCCAAAGTGCTGAGATTACAGGCGTGAGCCACAGTGCCCGGCCAAGAAACATCATTTCGTAATGTAAGAACCAAACTTGCCTAGTTGGATCTTACATTTAGGCATCCTGCTTGGTAGGTAGTTTTCTCTTACAGGGTTATTAGGTTTTATAAGATTTCATCTAGGCTGTCTTTATGGAATTCAATGATAAAATATTTTGTAATCTTTTCAAATAAAAATTATCAACTAAATTTAAAGTTTTGGTAAATTTTAAAAAGTGTGGCTTGATAAATCAAATTCGTCTCTCAGTATAAAAATAATATAAGGCTGATGAATTTTGAAAATGGAACAAAGGTCAGGCACAGTGGCTCACGCCCGTAATCCCCGCACTTTGGGAGGCCGAGGCGGGTGGATCACCTGAGGTCAGGAGTTCGAGACCAGCCTGACCAACAATGTGAAACTCCGTCTCTACTAAAAATACAAAAGTTGGCTGAGTGCGGTGATTCATGCCTGTAATCCCAGCACTTTGGGAGGCTAAGGCAGGCGGATCACCTGAGGTCAGAAGTTCGAGACCAGCCTGGCCAACATGGTGAAACCCCATCTCAAGTAAATATACAAAAAATTAGCTGGGCTTGGTGGTGTGCACCTGTAATCCCAGCTACTTGGAGACTGAGGCAGGAGAATCACTTGAACCCAGGAGGCAGAGGTTGCAGTGAGCCGAGATCACACCACTGCACTCCAGCCTGGGCCACAGAACGAGACTCCATCTCAAAAACCAAAAATAAACAGTATTTTGGGAGGCCAAGGTGGGTGGATCATCTGAGCTCAGGAGTTTGAGACCAGCCGCACCAATATGGAGAAACCCTGTCTCTACTAAAAATGCAAAATTAGCCAGGTGTGTTGGCCCATACCTGTAATCCCAGCTACTCGGGAGGCTGAGGCGGGAGAATCACTTGAATCCGGGAGGCGGAGGTTGCTGTGAGCCGAGATCGCACCACTGCACTCCAGCCTGGGCCACAAGAGCAAAACTCCGTCTCAAAACAAAACCAAATGAAACAAAAATTAGCTGGGCATGGTGGTGGGCACCTGTAATCCCAGCTACTTGGGAGGCTGAGGCAGGAGAATCACTTGAACCCGAGAGGTAGAAGTTGCAGTGAGCCGAGATCACACCACTGCACTCCAGCCTGGGCAACAGAGCAAGACTCCATCTCAAAAAAACAAAGGAATAAATTTGTTTTTCTTCTACTATAGTATAATTACCCTATCTGCACTTTTGTTCATATTTAGATATAAATGATGATCATGTTGAAGATGTTACAGGAATTCAGCATTTGACAAGCGATTCAGACAGTGAAGTTTACTGTGATTCTATGGAACAATTTGGACAAGAAGAGGTAAAAATGACATTTTCTGATTGGTGTATTTTCAAAGTGGTGTATTAGAATTCAATGCGTAACTTCTGTTAGTAGCAAATATACATGCTATTTTTCATTTTGAAAAGATACTCCTAAAATGTTTAAACATTTGTATTTTAAACTATTTTTTATGAATTCAAAAATAGGTAAAATTCTGGAAAAGTCAAAGAAAAATTAATAATATTAACTACTCCATTATAACTAATAATATACATATATTTATAAATATTCTAGGAGACGTGGGATGGGGATGCAGAGAAAACACTTTTTATGCTAGTCCCAATGTTTGAAACATTTATTAATGTTCAGGAAAATTGAATGATCTTCTTTGTTGTTTTTTTTGTTTTTTAGAGATGGGGTCTCTGTCTGTCACCCAGGCTGGAGTGCAGTGGCGCAATCTCGGGTCACTGCAACCTCCGCCTCCTAGGTTCAAGCAATTCTCCTGCCTCAGCCTCCCAAGTAGCTGGGATTACAGGCATGTGCCACCACACCTGGCTAATTTTTGTATTTTCAGTAGAGACAGAGTTTCACCATGTTGGCCAGGTTGGTTTCAAACTCCTGACCTCAAGTGATCTGCCCACCTCAGCCTCTCAAAGTGCTGGGATTATGGACGTGAGGCATTGTGCCCAACCTAAAAATGGGTTCTTGATATGTTGCCTAGGCTGGTCTCAAACTCTTGGCCTCAATCAGTGCTCCCACCTCAGCCTCCCAAAATGCCGGGATTACAGGTGTGAGCCACCAAGGCTGGCCTGAATAATTTTCAAACAAATAAGTCTGTTCTCCACATTGACTGTAATTCACTGGATTGAAATTTTTAGTGGAAATAATTTTTAAATTTCAGTTAATTAAGATCCAGTATTGGGAGAGAAAACTTGAAAAACAAATTATAGGACATCCATGAATCCTTTTTCTCAACTTTTTCTGATAATGATGATAGCAGTATTTTAATTTTTAATTTTTTAATTTTTAATTTTAATGGGCACATAGGTATATATATTCATGGGTTAGACTGGGCTCAGTGGCTCACACCTGTAATCCCAGGAGGCTGAGGCAGGAACTTCGCTTGAAACCAGGAGTTTGAGACCAGCCTGGGCAAGAAGGCGAGACCCCCATCTCCACTTTATTTTTGTAAAATATAAAAAATATAATAAATATATATTTATGGGGTATATGAGATATTTTGGTGCAGGCATATGATGTGTAATAATCACATCAGGGTAAATGGAGTATCCATTATTTCAGACAGTCATCATTTCTTTGTGTTCCAAACATTCCAATTGTACTCCCTCAGTTATTCTAAAATGTACAACAAAGTATTGCCGACTATAGCCACTCTGCTGTGCTATCAGGTACTAGATCTTATTCATTGTATCTCTATCTCCATGAGTTTAATTGTTTTAATTTTTAGCTCTCACAAATAAGTGAGACCATTTGAAGTTTTTCTTTCTATGCCTGGCTTATTTCACTAAACATAATATCTTCCAATTCCATCCATATTGCAAATGACAGGATCTCATTCTTTTTTATGGTAGAATAGTACTCTGTCGTGTATATGTACCACATTTTCTTTATCCATTCGTCTGTTCATGGACACTTAGGTTGCTTCCAAATCTTGGCTATTGTGAATAGTGCTGCAATAAACATGGGAGTGCTGATATCTCTTCAATATATTGATTTCCTTTCTTTTGGGTATACAGCCAGCAGTGGAATTGCTGGTCATATGGTAACTCTATTTTTGGTACTTTTTTTTTTTTCTGAGGCGGAGTTTCCCTCTTGTTGCCCAGGCTAGAGTGCAATGGGATGATCTTGGCTCACTGCAACCTCCGCCTCCTGGGTTCAAGTGATTCTCCTGCTTCAGCCTCCCGAGTAGCTGGGATTACAGACATGCGCCACCATGCCCCGCTAATTTTGTACTTTCAGTAGAGACGGGGTTTCTCCATGTTGGTCAGGCTGGTCTCGAACTCCTGACCTCAGGTAATCTGCCTGCCTTGGCCTCCCAAAGTGCTGGGATTTCAGGCGTGAGCCACCACGCCCGGCTTGTTTGTTTGTTTTTTAAGAAACTTCCATACTGTTCTCCCCAGTGGCTGTACTAATTTTACATTCTCACCGACAATGTACAGGGGCTTCCTTTTCTTCACATCCTTGCCAGCATTTGTTATTGCTTGTCTTTGGGATAAAAGCCATTTTAACTGGGGCGAGGTAATATCTCATTGTAGTTTTGATTTGCATTTCGCTGATGATCAGTGATGTTGAGCACCTTTTCATATACCTGTTGGCCATTTGTAGGTCTTTTGAGAAATGTCTATTCAGATCTTTTGCCCAGTTTTAATCAGGTTATTAGATTTTTTTCCTATTGAGTTGTTTACGCTCCTTATGTATTCTACTTATTAATCTGACAAAGGTGGTTTTGACAGCTATATTTCTGTTTGGCCTCTTTATATCCTCTCCCCATTCTGTTTCCTACCTACCTACCCTGTTCTAATACAGTTCAGTGTGTCTTATAGAAAATCATTTATCTTTTGCCTCCCTGAAATGATTTTAACTTTTTGTGTTTTTCTCCTTTTCTCATTTCATAATGCAATTAAATCTACCCCTTTTCTCAAATTTTAAAAACACATGAATAAAATATCTTTTACTTAAGGTCAAACACAAATGGAGTGGCGTAGGCTGGTCATGGTGGCTGACACCTATAATCCCAACACTGTGGGAGGCCGAGGCAGGTGGATCACTTGAGCTCACAAGTTTCAGAGCCGCGTGAGCAACATGGCAAAACCCCGTCTCTACAAAAAAATAAAAAACTTAGCCAGGCATGGTAGCTACTCAGGGAGGATGGCTTGAGCCTGGGAGGCAGTGGTTGCAATGAGCCAAGATCGCACCACTGCACTCCAGCCTGGGCTATAAAGCCAGAACTTGTCTCAAAAAAAAAAAAAAAAAGCAGCATAAATTGGAAGAATAATGATAAGGAGGCCAAACTGAGAATGAGTGAAATTAGTGAAAAATGAAAAGGATGAAAAACTCAGATTCCCTTTTATTTTTTTCTTTTTAAAAAAGAGATATTTGGGGAAGGTTGATGAAAGGGACCAGATAGAGATTAATCTCAGTAAATATCCAGCTGCTACATTCTAGTTTTGTTCCTGTTTTCTCTCTCAATCAGTTGATGGACTAAAGCTCAAGGGGCTGTCTGACCTGGCTTCTGGAGTGCAGTGGCACAATCTGGGCTCACTGCAACCTCCACCTCCTGGGTTCAAGTGATTCTTGTGCCTCAGCCTTCCAAGTAGCTGGGACTACAGGCATGTGCCGCCCTGACTGGCTAATTTTTGTATTTTTAGTAAAGACGGGGTCTCGTCATGTTGGCCAGGCTGGTCCCATACTCCTAGCCTCAAGTGATCTGCCTACCCTGGCCTCCCAAACTGCTGGGATTACAGGTGTGAGCCACCATGCCGGCCCCTTGCTGGCCTCTGTTAACACCACTCTCCTATTTGGTCGTTGCTCACCACCCACCCTGGCCTTCTCTCTGTTTCTCTAATGTGTCAAGTCCCTTCCTACCCCCACCCCCACTTGTACATCCTCCCTCTTCACTGAGGACTCTTATATACCCTTTATACCCTAACTCAGATGTCCCTTCCTGAAGGAAACCTTAGATAAGATACAACTCACCTCATCACCACCTTCATCAAGTCCAGTTAATTATAGGTTGTCATCCATCGATGTCTTAGGTGGGTTCTTTTAAAAACACATTTAGGTTCTGCCTACACAGTAGCCATTCTTTATTCCTTTACTTTCTAAATAAGCTTGCTTTGACTTAAAAAAAAATTTAGGTAGTAATCTCTAAGAATAAGGTAAGCATAGAAATGTAGATGTTTCTTTAATAACTGACTCACAAAAACAACTCACTGGGCGGGCGTGGGGTCTCACTCCTGTAATCCCAGCAGTTTGGGAGGCCGAGGTGGGCGGATCATGAGGCCAGGAGATTGAGACCATCCTGGCCAACATGGTGAAACCCCATCTTTCCTAAAAATACAAAAATTAACCAGGCATGGCGGTGCGTGCCTGTAATCCCAGCTACTCGGGAGGCTGAGGAAGGAGAATTGCTTGAACCCGGGAGGTGGAGGTTGCAGTGAGCCGAGATCGTGCCAGTGAACTCCAGCCTGGTGACAGAGCGAGACTCCATCTCAAAAACAAACAAACAAACAAAACAATTTACTACCCAAGCTTCTTGACTCTGTTCATGGACAAATCATTCTTGTCCTATTTCTTCCCTGCAGGTAGGAAGCAGCATATGAATTGAAGACATTTTTTAGAAAAAGAATATTTCCAATAATAACATGAAAGAACATTTTAGGAAAACAGTATTTCTCCTATTGCTGTAAAAACTTTGTGGTGTATAATTCACATTTCTAGCTTTTAACTAAGTGTCATTTCTAATTTGTAGTCTTTAGACAGCTTTACGTCCAACAATGGACCATTTCAGTATTACTTGGGTGGTCATTCCAGTCAACCCATGGAAAATTCTGGATTTCGTGAAGATATTCAAGTACCTCCTGGAAATGGCAACATTGGGAATATGCAGGTGGTTGCAGTTGAAGGAAAAGGTGAAGTCAAGCATGGAGGAGAAGATGGCAGGAATAACAGCGGAGCACCACACCGGGAGAAGCGAGGCGGAGAAACTGACGAATTCTCTAATGTTAGAAGAGGAAGAGGTGTGGATTACCTTTTTTCTTCCCTCACCTTTATTGATTTACTTACTTATTTTTGAGATGGAGTCTCGCGCTCTGTCGCCCAGGCTGGTGTGCGGTGGTGCAATCTCGGCTCACTGCAACCTCTGCCTCCCGGGTTCAAGTGATTCTCCTGCCTCAGCCTCCTGAGTAGCTGGGATTATAGGCACCCACCACCATGCCTGGCTAATTTTTGTATTTTTAGTAGAGATGGGGTTTTACCATGTTGGCCAGGCTGGTCTCGAACTCCTGATCTCAGGTGATCCACCCACCTCGGCCTCCCAAAGTGCTGGGATTACAGGCGTGAGCTGTGCCCGGCCGCCTGACTAATTTAAAAAGTTTTTCTGTAGAGATGGGCATCTCACTATGTTGCCCAGACTGATCTCAAAATTTACCTCCTTTAGATACAACAATAGAAGTCTTGAAAACAGCATCAGGCACCTCAGTGCCCTCTTTGGGGTTTAACTTGGCAAATAGCTCTAATTCGGTTTCCCTTTTAATCCCCAACAATGCTTGATGCAGGTTCAGCTATGGGAATTCTGCTGCAGTGGAGGTCCAGGATGCTAAAGGGCAATGAGCTAGACAATTTCCTATTTATTATTCAAAACAAAACTTGCCCATTATATTAGCAAATGTAAAATTTTGTAATATTCCATTCCTACAAGGCTAGGGTAACACAATAGTATCTTTTATACTCTGCAATATAACACTGTTTCAGCCTTCTGATAAATAGCTTGGGAACCTTGACCCAGTTGTTATCCTTTAATCCAGTAATGATTCTTTTTGGAATCTGTCTTAAAGAGATCAGGGGAAATTTGGACGAGTATTTACATACAAAACCATTCACTGCAATTTTGTTTGTAACAGAAAAAATTTGAACTCATCCTACCTATCCAAAAGTGGAGAATGGTTGAGTGAATTATTTCATAACCTAACTAGGGAATTTATGTAACCATTTAAGTGTTTTTGGAATAAAATTTAATGAGGCAGATAAGTGTTCATAATATGATTTTAAAACTAGGACATAAAATCATGTATAAGGGGTAATGCCAATTTTGTAAATATATGCCCAGAGAAAAGAATGGATGAATATATAACAAAATCTTAATAGTAGTGAGATTTCTATAAGGAACACACAATTTAGAATAAGAAGAACACATTTAAAATCTTTTGGATGGCTGGGCGTGGTGGCTCACTTCTGTAATCCCAGCACTTTGGGAGGCCAAGGCAGGCAGATCACTTGAGGTCAGGAGTTCAAGACCAGCCTAGCCAACAATGTGAAACTTCGTCTCTACTAAAAATACAAAAATTAGCCGGGCGTAGTGGCATGCGCCTGTAATCCCAGTTGCTTGGGAGGCTGAGGTAGGAGAATCGGCCGAACCTGGGAGGCGGAGGTTGCAGTGAGCCATTGCACTCCAGCCTGGGCAACAGAGTGAGACTGTCTCAGAAACAAACAAACAGACAAATACCTTTGGAGATTTATAATGTAATTAAACAAACAAACAAAAATGACCAAAAAGGCAAACGTAGCTCTTTACTGTAACTTTTAATACCTAAAGAAGTAGTCTCCAGGGCCAGGAGTGGTGGCTCATACCTGTAATCCCACAGCAGTTTGGGAGTCCAGGGCAGGTGGATTGCTTGATCCCAAGCATTCGAGACCAGTCTGGGTAACATGGGGAGACCTCATCTCTATTTAAAAAAAAAAAAGTCTTTGAATTTTTCAGTCTGGTTACCTTATTAGTAAAGAATTTTTGAGCAGGCACTCCAAATATGTGTATTATTTGTGAATTATTTGCATAATGTATTAGTATATTATGTATATTATAGAACCTTAGCAAAAAATTTTAGAATATATCAATATGAATAGAAGTTTACAAATCAATTTCTTTGAGCTCAGCAGTTTATTTTATGTACTTCCTGACTGCTTCTACTCCACGTTGGAAGTTTTTTTTTATTTTTTTGAGATGGAGTATCGCTCTGTCGCCCAGGCTGGAGTGCAGTGGCATGATCTCGGCTCACTGCAACCACCGCCTCCAGGGTTCAAACAATTCTCCTGCCTCAGGCTCCTGAGTAGCTGGGATTACAATTGCATGCCACCACACCTGGCTAATTTTTGTATTTTTAGTAGAGACAGGGTTTTGCCATGTTGGCCAGGCTGGTCTTGAACTCCTGACCTCAGGTGATCCGCCCGTCTCAGCCTCCCAAAGTGCTGGGATTACAGGTGTGAGCCACAGCTCCTGGCCACACTTTGGAGATTTAGATCTCAAAGAAATAACAGAGGAAAATGAATAAAACACAGTTTTACTTGTATAAGAATTATTTAAAACAAGCTTATTTTTGCCTCTTAAAATAGGACATAGGATGCAACACTTGAGCGAAGGAACCAAGGGCCGGCAGGTGGGAAGTGGAGGTGATGGGGAGCGCTGGGGCTCCGACAGAGGGTCCCGAGGCAGCCTCAATGAGCAGATCGCCCTCGTGCTGATGAGACTGCAGGAGGACATGCAGAATGTCCTTCAGAGACTGCAGAAACTGGAAACGCTGACTGCTTTGCAGGTAAACTTCCAAATGTATCATACCTTCTTGTGCTTATTGATTCTGGAAAGCAATGTGGAGTCTGCGTTGATCATATTGACATAAATTAATGTATTTTACTGATTTTTTTAGAAAATAGAACTTGGTTTTGAAAATATTGTTTAAGAAAAGACTGACCCAGAAACTAATTACTGCTTAAAATAATAGAAAAATGGTAAAATAATAGAAAAATGGCTGGGCGCCGTGGCTCACGCCTGTAATCCCAACACTTTGGGAGGCCGAGGTGGGTGGATCACCTGAGTTCAGGAGTTTGAGACCAGACTGGCCACTATGGTGAAATTCTGTCTCTACTAAAAATACAAAAGTTAGGCAGGTGTGGTGTTGCATACCTGTAATCCCAGCTACTTAGGAGGCTGAGGCAGGAGAGTCCCTTGAACCCAGAAAGCAGAGGTTTCAGTGAGCCGAGATCACACTACTACACGCCAGCCTGGGTGACAGAGTGAGACTCTGTCTCAAATAAATAAATAAGTAAGTAAGTAAATAAATAAATAAATAAAATGAAAAGGGTTCATAGGAAGAGATACTACAGCTTGATTTATAGTTTCAACTGTGGCCTATGATAATCCCGGGACTCAGCTGCCGCTTCTTGAGTAACATTTGTTAGAGAGAGTAAAGAGGTAATTAGCATTGACTGTCTGACCTAGCTGCAAACATTATACAGCATTGAAGCATCATGCTGTAACAGATGTTAAGAAGTATTTGTAGGGATTAATCAAAGAAGACATGCTTCCATTGCAAGATAAATACATTAATTGTGACTCATGTAAAGAAACTGATAGCAGGCTTTCCTAAACAACCACTGTGAATATCTTTCTCTTTACCTAATCAGTAAGTTACTCAAGCTATCATGTTTTTAAAAATTATATGTATCTCCACAATTCTCAGTTACATGTTATTATTATTATTATTATTATTATTATGGGTTTTTTTTTGAGATGGAGTCTCACTCTGTCACCAGGCTGGAGTGCAGTGGCGGGATCTCGGCTCACTGCAACCTCCACCTCCTGGGTTCAAACGATTCTCCTGCCTCAGCCTCCTGAGTAGCTGAGACTACAGGCGCACGCCACCATGCCCAGCTAATTTTTGTATTTTTAGTAGAGACGGGGCTTCACCATGTTGGCCAGGGTGGTCTTGATCTCCTGACCTCGTGATCCACCCGCCTCAGCCTCCCAAAGTGCTGGGATTACAGGCGTGAGCCACCGTGCCCGGCCTCTCAGTTACATATTATTATTAATCAGACTGCAAATTCCTAGACTTCCAGGAGTCCATGAACACCCTAAAATACTATGCACATTTGTCTTTGATCTTGCATTTTTGATGGGAGAGGACTTGTTGTCTTCATCAGATCCTCAAGAAGGTGTATAAGGAAAGAGTTTAAAATAGTGCCTTATGACCGGGCGCGGTGACTCACACCTGTAATTTCAGCACTTTGGGAGGCCGAGGCGAGTGGATCACTTGAGGCCAGGAGTTCGATACCAGCCTGGCCAGCATGGTGAAACCCCATCTCTACTAAAAACACAAAAATTAGCTGGGCGTGGTGGTGCATGCCTGTAATCCCAGCTACTCAGGAGGCTGAGGCATGAGAATCACCTGAACCCTGTTGGCGGAGGTTGCAGTGAGCCTAGATCACGTCACTGCCCTTGGCTCACTGTAACTCCACCTCCTGGGCTCAAGTCATCCTCCCACCTCAGCCTCCCAAGTAGCTGGAACTACAGGTGCACACCACCACATCTGGCTAATTTTTGTACTTTTTGTAGAAACAGAGTTTTGCCATGTTGCCCAGGCTGGTCTCAAACTCCTGAGCTCAAGTAATCAGCCCACCTCAGCCTCCCAGAGTGCTTGGGATTATAGGCGTGAGCCACTGAGCCTGGCATGCTCTATGTTTTTTTTTTTTTAAAGAATATTTTACATATATTCAATATCTTTAGTGATATTGAAATTCTGCTAAAATTCTTTTGATGTATTTTCTTAGACATTTACTTTTTTCACTGTGATAGAAAACTTTAGGCTAGGCCCATGGCTCACACCTATAATCTCAGCACTTTGGGAGGTCAAGGCAGGAGGATAACCTGAGGCTAGGAGTTCAAGACCAGCCTAGGCAGCATGGCAAGACCCTGTGTCTACCAATAAAATAAAATTAAAATAGCTAGGCTTGGTGGTCGGCCCAGCTACTCAGAAGGCTGAGGCAGGGTGATAGCTTGAACCCAGGAGTTCAAGGCTGCAGTGAGCCACGATCTCACCAGCCTGGGCAACAGAGCAAGACCTCATCTCTACAAAAATACAATACAATAATAAAATAAAGTTCAAAAGATTTTAAGGACTTTTTTCCTTAAAATTTGCATAATTCACTTGGATGACTCATAGAAGAAATAAATTGGGCCAGGCATGGTGGTTCATGCCTATAATACCAACACTTTGGGAGGCTGAGGTGGGTGGATCACCTGAGGTCGGGAGTTCGAGACCAGCCTGGCCAACATAGTGACAACTATGGTGCCACCACACCCAGCCAACACCAGTTAGCTGGGTGTGGTGGTGCTTGCCTCCCAGCTAATTGTGAGGCAGCGGTTGCAGTGAGCCAAGATCGTGTCTCAAAAAGAAAAGTTGAATAGGTAATGTAATAAGACTGTAAACATAAGAGTTTAGATTGATTTGAGGTTTTATTTTCATAGTCTTATATAATTTGAACTAAAAATATAAAGCATTAAAGTATTGTTTGGCTTGCTGTTTTAGGGAACTTGTCCTTTGGTAAGTATTAGTTTCAGGATAATCAAAGTATAGTTAGCAGAAAAATACTGAATAAACTAATATTTCTACGTTCCAACTGTTCTATACATAAAGAAAACAAAAGCAACCAAAAAAAACCTCAATATTTCTGCCTTTTAAAAAAAGATAGGAAATAGAATAATTACTGTGTTTTTCATTTTTTCAAGGCTAAGTCACCTTCATTTGCATTTACAGGCAAAATCATCAACATCAACATTGCAGACTGCTCCTCAGCCCACCTCACAGGTAAGACATTTTTTAAAAAATTTAAATGCCAGGGTTTCATATGTTTTTTGTTGTTGTTTTTGTTTTTGTTTGATACGGAGTCTCGCTCTGTTGCCCAGGCTGGAGTGCAGTGGTGCGATCTCAGCTCACTGCAAGCTCTGCCTCCTGGGTTCACGCCATTCTCCTGCCTCAGCCTCCCGAGTAGCTGGGACTACAGGTGCCCGCCACCACACCCGGCTAATTTTTTGTATTTTTAGTAGAGACAGGGTTTCACCATGTTAGCCAAGATGGTCTCGATCTCCTGACCTCGTGATCTGCCCACCTCGGCCTCCCAAAGTGCTGGGATTACAGGTGTGAGCCACCGCGCCCGGCCCATGGTTTCATATGTTACAATACATTTAGAATATACAAAATCTTTAAATCATTCCAAATGAAATCTACCTTTGCAGTTAAAAAATACTTGTTTTGTGTTTATTTAAGTCTGAACTACTCCTGAAAGCCTGTTTCCTGAATTATACTCTGAAATGCAGAATATCTTTCTTCTTTCAGCAGGAGTGAGATTTGTTACTAATTTTCTTTTCTACTTTCAAAATTATGAATTAGGTATGTTTTTAAGTTTATACATGCAGTATTGAATAGATTGGTGACAAGCTTATTGTATTTTCTCAGAGACCATCTTGGTGGCCCTTCGAGATGTCTCCTGGTGTGCTAACGTTTGCCATCATATGGCCTTTTATTGCACAGTGGTTGGTGTATTTATACTATCAAAGAAGGAGAAGGTAAGACCAGTTTCATCATTTGAAATGGTGTATAACTCTCATAACCTATAGTAGACAGAGTTTTCAGCAGCAATTAAGGGATGCTAGGTCCATTTTATAGATACATCGTCATAGTGAACATTCTATATTTATCCTGAGACTGAAACTGCCTTGGAAATGATATCTTGTGGATTCCTAGGTACTTGTTAGACTTAAAAACATTTTCACTTGAGAGCATCTGATGGATTTATACACCTTTGATTTAGGCAACCACACAAAAATGACTACATGCATCTTTTTTTTTTTTTTTTTTTTTTTTTTTGAGACTGGGTCCCGTTTTGTTGCCCAGGCTGGAGGGCAGTGGCTGTTCACAGGCATGATCATGTGCACTGAAGCCTCAGATTCCTTGGCTCAAGTGATCCTTTCTGCCTCAGCCTCCTGAGTGGCTGGGACTACAGGCATATGTCACTGGGTGCGGTTTATATGCATTTTAAATTTTATGGTTTGTGAGGAAACAGTGTTCTGAAAGGCACGGTGGCTCACACCTATAATCCCAGCACTTTGGGGAGGGCGAAGCAGGAGGATTACTTGAGCAAAGGAGTTCGAGACTAGCCTGGGCAACATAGGGAGATGCTGTCTCTATTTTAAACAATTAATTAAAAAGGAATTTGGAGGTACTTTTATTTTTTTAATTTATTTTATTTTATTAATTTATTTTTTTGAGACAGAGTTTTGCTTTTGTTGCCCAGGCTGGGGTGCAGTGGCACGATCTCAGCTCACTGCAACCTCTGCCTCCCAGGTTCAAGCGATTCTCCTGCCTCAGCCTCCCAAGTAGCTGGGATTACAGGCATGTGCCATCATGCCCAGCTAATTTTTGTATTTTTAGTAGAGATGGAGTTTCATCATGTTGGCCAGACTGGTCTCAAACTCCTGACCTCAGGTGATTTGCCCGCCTTGGCCTCCCAAAGAGCTGGGATTACAGGCACGAGCCACTGTGCCCATCCGGAGGTTACTTTAATTTAAGGGCCAGATTTCCAGTTTGGGATGACAAGGTACCTCAAATAGGTCAGAAAATAATAGATTGGAATCCCTGAAAGTAATTCTGAGTCTGTCCATGTTAGGAATAACCTGAGGCCAAACCCTTGGATTCAAGAAAATCCTTAAATCTAAAAAGTTGCCAGGTGCAGTGGCTCATGTCTATAATCCCGGGACTTTAGGAAGCTGAGATGGGTGGATTGCTTGAGCCCAGGAATTCAAGAACAGCCTGGGCAAGAAAGTGAGACTGTCTCCACAAAAAATTTAAAAAATTAAATAAAAAAATTAGCCAGGTTGGTGGTGCACACCTCTAGTCCCAGATACTCGGGAGGCTGAGGCGGGAGGATCAACTTGAGCCCAGGAGGTTGAGGCTGCCCTGAGTCATGATCATGCCACTACACTCCAGCCCGGGTGACAGAGTGAGACTGTCTCAAAAAAAAAAAAAAAAAAAAAAAAGAGGATATAGACCTGAATTTAAATCCTTTCTTTTCTTCTTCTATACATTTTCAATTCCTCCTATGATGGTTGGGTTTAGTGCTCTACAGTGTTTTACATTTAAATATCCCTGGTAATAGGAAAGAAGAACCAACCGTTTGTTAGATATGTAGTAATGCTGGATATAAGCAGCAGGGCTCAGTGCCACTGCTGCTTATGGGGAGATGTTTACATATTTTTAATGCATCTCAAAGTTCCTTTTCATGTTTCCGTTGTAGAAAGTTGGGAGTTGGAGAGTAGAGGAATTTGCTTAAAAAAAAAACTCTAAAGCTTACTTTGGTTAATAATTTATTTTATGCTTAAGATGGAAGCAGCTTATTACTTCATTAAAGATTGAAAAAACAAACTACACTCTACATCAACAGTCACATAAAATTGGAGTTTTTCTAAAAATGTTTAAAATGTTCTTTACTAATAGAAGTTTTGTAAAAGGTTGTTCACTATTTCTCCTAAATATCCCTTTTAGCTGTTCACAGATGTCTCTGAATGGAGAAACGCTTTCCTATTTTTAATTTTCTACTTGGTTATTATTGAACCTTTATAAGTTTTTTACTGTATGTTAACTGTTTGATCCTTCCAAACTGCAAATTCTGTAGCACTGTGCAACTTCATTTTGACGAGGTATAGTGTTTTTACATATTGTTTGCTTATATATGTAATAGATTAACTGTGGTTGGAAGTAGGGCCATATTTGATATGGTGGAAATAAGTTTTAGCCTTGAGGGGATTTAGGCATCTTTTAATCTAACATTGTTTAGCAATTTTTAATCTGATAGTTAAAGGAATGAAGACCAGAGAGCAGTTGTATGGTTTGGAAGAGATAGGTTCTGTGTTAGAGATGAGAAGAAAGGTCTAGAAATCTGATTAGGATGGGGAAAGTGTGGGCAAGTAGAGGGTGTGCCCTACTCATAATAGGGATCATCCTATAGCTCATCCCCAAAACAGTGTCTGGCATGTAGTAGGTGCTCAATAAATGTGTGTTGAGTCTATGACTGAATCCCTTTTTGGGCAAGATGGCAAACGGAAGTACCATAAGACATGGAAAAGCTTTCATTTTATTGAATAAATATGCATGTGGACACAGACATACTAGGATATGTCTGATAGATAGATATAGGGTAGTCCTATATATGTATAAAACATATAGGACTGGAGGCTGGAGTGCACTTGCGTGATCTCGGCTCACTGCAACCTCTGAGTCCTGGGTTCAAGTGATTTTCCTGCCTCAGCCTCCTGAGTAGCTGGAACTACAGGCATGTGCCACCACGCCCAGCTAATTTTTGTATTTTTAGTAGAGACAGGGTTTCGCCATGTTGACCAGACTGGTCTTGAACTCCTGATCTCAGGTGATCCAGCCGCCTCGGCTTCCCAAAGTGCTGGGATTACAGGCATGAGCCAGCACACTCAAGCTGTGATAAGCTTTTGAAAATAAATATCTTTTCCTTCAACATTAAAATTAATACATAAAGTCTGCTGGTTTTTTTTCTAGCGTAGAATAATATAAATTTAAAAGTAAAAGAGATTTCTTATGCTATCACTCTGCAGTGGATCAGAAGAAAATTCTGTATGTGATAGGAAGAACAATACCTGCAGACTTCTTGTTCAGAAATAGGCCCTGAACAGTCTCCTGTGGTAACACCTGTCCCTGGTTGTCTAGCCTGACAACTCTGCTATTAAAATTATCCTTGAGTTAAAATACCGAAAGCAGACCTGTTAAGTCTAAGAAACTACTCTTAAACTATTACTTTGTTTATTTATTTATCTATTTGAGACAAGGTCTCACTCTCTTGCCTGGGCTGCAGTGTAGTGGTACAATCAGAGGTCATTGCAGCCTCAAACTCCTGGGCTCAAGCAATCCTGCTGCCTCAGCCTCCTGAGAAGCTGGGACTATAGGCAGGTGTCAACTAACTGTCTTATTTTTGTTGAGATGGGGGTCTCACTATAATGCCCAGGCTAGTCTTGAACTCCTGCCCTCAAGAGATCCTCCCACCTCAGCCTTTCTTGTACTGGGATTACAGGACTGAGCCACCATGCCTGGCCTAAATTATTATTGTTACAAGAAAGGGGCCCCAATCCAGACCCCAAGAGGGAGTTCTTGGATCTCACACAAGAAAAACTTTAGGGCAAGTCCATAAAGTAAAGTGAAAGCAAGTTTAAGAAAGTAGAGGAATAGGCCGGACGCGGTGGCTCACGCCTGTAATCCCAGCACTTTGGGAGGCCGAGGTGAGCCGGTCACCTGAGGTCAGGAGCTCGAGACCAGCCTGACCAACATGGTGAAACTCTATCTCTACTAAAAATACAGAAATTAGCTGGGTGTGGTAATCCCAGCTACTCGGGAGGCACCTGTAATCCCAGCTACTCGGGAGGTTGAGGCAGGGGAATTGCTTGAACCCAGGAGGCAGAGGTTGCAGTGAGCTGAGATCGTGCCACTGCACTCCAGCCTGGGTGACACAGTGAGACTCCATCTCAAAAAAAAAAAGAGAGAAAAAAGAAAGTAGAGGGATAGAATAATGGCTGCTCATTGCCCATTTTTGTGGTTATTTCTAAACAAGGGGTGGATTATTCATGCCTCCCCTTTTTAGACCATATAGGGTAACTTCCTGACGTTGCCGTGGCATTTGTAAACTGTCATGGCGCTGGTGGGAGTGTAGCAGTGAGGACGACCAGAGGTCACTCTCATCACCATCTTGGTTTTGGTGGGTTTTAGCCAGCTTCTTTACTGCAACATGTTTTATCAGCAAGGTCTTTATGACCTGTATCTTGTGCCGACCTCCTATCTCATCCTGTGACTTAGAATGGCTTAACCTGAGAATGCAGCCCAGTAGGTCTCTGCCTCATTTTACCCAGCTCCTATTCAAAATGGAGTTGCTCTGGTTCACATGCCTCTGACATTACTTTGAAGGAAAGGATGTTTCTAACCAGTTTTCCTTTTTTTTTTTTCTTTGCGACAGTCTTGCTCTGTCGCCCAGGCTGGATTGCAGTGGCGTAATCTTGGCTTACTGCAAGCTCCGCCTCCCAGGTTCACGCTATTGTCTCTCAGTCTCCCCAGTAGCTGGGACTACAGGCGCCCGCCACCACGCCCGGCTAATTTGTTTATATTTTTAGTAGAGACGGCCAGGATAGTCTCGTCTAACCAGTTTTCTTAAGCAGCCTGCCCAGATTCCTAAATTGCTATCATGTAATCTTCTTGGGGACATTCAGCCTTCAGTAGAGAGGTAATAAATACAAACTTGTTGGGAGTGGGGAGGGTCTCAGGAGGATTATTCTCCAAATGGAGCCTAGGGCAGAAGGCACTGACACAAAAAGTCAGGCCCTGGCTTCTGAGGAGGGGAAGGAATTGCAGCAGTGCAGCTAGAGCAGCATTCACCGCGGCGAAGGGAAAGGCAGAATTTATTCCTGTTCCCTTATCTGTTGTTTCCTGTGACTTTTCTTCTATCACACTATACCCTCCATTTTGCAAGTTGATTTAAAACAAAACAAAACAGAAAGACCTCACAAAGAGCCTGAAAACAATTCTAAAGTTCTGAAGACAGTGATTTATGTTCACTCTATTACCTTAGAAGACTGGGAGTTCAGGCTGGGCACGGTGGCTCACATGTGTAATCCCAGCACTTCAGGAGGCTGAGGCAGCAGAATAGCTTGAACCTAGGAGGTGGAGGTTGCAGTGAGCCGAGGTCGCGCGCCACTGCACTCCAGCCTGGGCGACAGAGCGAGACTCCATCTCAAAAAAAAAAGAAAAAAAGATTGGGGGTTCATCGAGACCAAATTTTCTGCCCTTTTTAATTTTTTTAATTTTTATTTATTTGTATATTTATTTATTTTGAGACAGAGTCTTGCTGTGTCACCTAGGCTGGAGTGCAGTGGCCCGATCTCAGCTCACTGCAACCTCCGCCTCCCAGGTTCAAGCGATTCTCCTGCCTCAGCCTCCCAAGTAGCTGGGACTATAGGTGCGTGCCACCATGCCCTGCTAATTTTTTGAATTTTTAGTAGAGACGGGGTTTCACCGTGTTAGCAGGATGGTCTTGATCTCCCAACCTCGTGATCCGCCCGCCTCGGCCTCCCAAAGTGCTGGGATTACAGGCGTGAGCTACAGTTCCGGCTTTGTCTGCCCTTCTATAAATCTGCAAAGGATTGTGTGTAGTAATCTGCATCCCGCAGATTCTTAATAAGTGTTGCTAATTGTTCAGGCACCCTGAAGCTAACATTTTTGCTAAAACCTCACTCAGGCAGGTTGTCTTTACAACCCACATCTCTCTTGTCTTTGTCAACCATTTCAATTCTCTTCCTCCAGGGGCCTGTTTTCTTTATGCTGCTGGGATCTCCTTCTGTTTTGTGAAAGTTGATCTGACTATTTAAAATGTCACTCCTGCCAAGGAGGTGTACATAAGAGGATTTCTGCAGAGGATAAGGAATGATCTGATTGTTTAAAATATCACTCCTGCCAAAGGAGTTGCATAAGGGTATTTCTACAGAGAGGAATCAATCTGTTATGAGAGTTTCAGGCATTTTGGCATCTTGAGTGCTGGGGAGGGTTTGTAGATTTTAGAGCAGAACTCAGATCATATGTGATGGTGTAAGGTGCTAACAAGCTCAGCCTTTTCTGATAGCTCATTCACTCTTCTGTCTTTGAAACCATCATATTATATATATCCAAGTTTGGGATTTATATGCCTCTTCCTCCCCCACCACCTAAACTGAGAGCTGTCTTGAGGCCTGAGAGCCTGCCTCATTTATCTCTGAATGCCCAGGGCCTGGCACAGAGCCTGGAAAGTAATAGAAACATAATCCATGTTGATTAAGTGAATACTCCAGGTCGTACATCTATTATCCTCTTACAGTTTTGTTACGCATTTGTTTCATAACTTTTCCATTTTGATAAAATTATGAAATCATTTCCACAAATCTTAATTGTGTAATAGCCAATTAGAAAAGGGTAAGAATCTAGAAAGTAAGAGAGGATGAATGTACATTTAAATTATTTATTAAAAACTGGCCAGGATGGCTGGGCGCCATAGCTAACGCCTGTAATCCCAACACTTTGGGAGGCTGAGGTGGGTAGATCACCTGAGGTCAGGAGTTCAAATGGCGAAACCTCGTCTCTATTAAAAATACAGAAATTACCCAGGTGTGGTGGCACACACCTGTAATGCCAGCTACTTGCAAGGCTGAGGCAGGAGAATCGCTTGTACCCGGGAGGCGGAGGGTTGCAGTGAGCCAAGATGGCACCATTGCAGTCCAGCCTGGACGACAGAGCAAGACTTTGCCCCAGTAAATAAATAAATAAATAATTTAAAACTGTTTGGTAATTTCAGCACTTGTAATTGGATCTTTCCTATCAGGCTGCAAGTCATATGATGTAGTTCTATAAAGACTGTTGGTAATATTATGGTTTTATTTTGAATTTGTATGTTATTATTATTATGTTACCATCCAGAGAATTATTTGCATTCATACTCACAGGAAATTGGTTTTTATTTTCTTTTTAAAGAAAACTGAACTGAGGAAAATGGTGTTTTCCTCAAGAAGACTACTGGAACTGGATGACCTCAGAATGAACTGGATTGTGGTGTTCACAAGAAAATCTTAGTTTGTGATGATTACATTGCTTTTTGTTGTCCAGTAGTTTAGTTTGTGTACATATATACACATATATATTTTGCACTACACAAACGATAACATTTTAAGGACTAATATTGCTGATACTTGAATAATCAATCTCTACTAGGTTATAAGTAGTATACACAGATTTACCCTGCCCTTGAACTTGAAGGACATTAAATTATTAATGATCATTTGGTAACATGTTTACCTGATTATCTTCCATAGAGTAACATAAGCTGCTTTTCAAAGGTACCATTGTGATAATGAGATCAAATTTATAAGTTATTATTTTTAATTTTCTAAATTAAATAAAAGAAAGAATGCAAACCAGGAGTGAATTTCAAATGAGATGTAATCGACTTTATATCTTAGTCACGGAGTTGCCATGGCATGTAGTAGAAAACCACAGGAAGAATGGTCATATTCACTTTGTGGGCTGCCCATAATCTTTCTTGGGCATTCACAACTCTTGAGTTTGGTGTTCAGGCATCATTATTAAAAAGTGGAGTCCTATGTACCAGACTGAGTTTTTACAAATGATTTGCAGGCTAGACATAACCCACTGATGGAAATGGTGAAGAATGAGCTTCATGTAGGTTTAAAAGTGTATTCTGAGCCTGTAGATGATTAATCAGGTTTTTATTCAATCATATAAATGTATTCCTTTGTAATCATTTTTGTTTAACTGAGGATATCTAGTGTCTGCTTCATAGGGTGCTTTGAAATATAAAATGAAAACTTATTTATACTGTTTTTACAACAGTCAAAAAGGAAACACACGAAAATCACTTTTCTGCAACTGATGAACTATATAGACTGGACTCTTAACCTCTTAGTGCCTCAGTTTTTCCTTCGGGGTATACTATTTTAGATACACCTACTTCACAGGAGTACTGGAGGGATTTGCAAGCTAACGGGCCAAATGCTTCCATAGGAATAAGGCATGCCCAGCTAACAGAAATTTAAGTCCCTCTTCCCCACCTCTCTCATCTAGACCAAAAAGAAGACTACAATTTAGATCCTTGGAGACTTTTCCTGTATGCCTTCCAAAACTTCCTGCTCACTTAGATGTACCTTGTGCTTTGAAGATTTCTTTGATGCAGTCTTTGTAACAAATAATTTTTTTTTTTAAATGGAGTTTCTCTCTTGTTGCCCAGGCTGGAGGGCAATGGCGTGATCTTGGCTCACTGCAACTTCCACCTCCTGGGTTCAAGTGATTCTCCTGCCTCACTCCCAAGTAGCTGGGATTACAGGCATGCACCACCATGCCTGGCTAATTTTGTATTTTTAGTAGAGACGGGGTTTCTCCATGTTGGTAAGGCTGATCTCAAACTCCCAACCTCAGGTGATCTGCCTGCCTCGGCCTCCCAAAGTGCTGGGATTAGAGGCGTGAGCCACTGCACCTGGCCTGTAGCAAATAATTTTTAAGCATTCTCAAGATGTATGATGTTGGGTTTAACATCATATGTTCACAGTGTTTTAAATAAGAAATAATCTGTCTTTAGTATACAGAATGGTTCTTTGTTTGCCTGAAAAGTATAAGAATACAATTTACTTTTCCCAAACTCTTTTTCCTTATTTTTTTCTTTCAAATAACTTTAATTATTTAATCCCATACTGATTAAAATATGTCTGTCTAAAGGGATCTACTACTATTTGCTTTTAAAAAAGTGTTCCCTATTTATTTAGGAAAAAGTGAAGCAAGCAACTGAATTTATATGTAAAAATAACATTTAGACCTGTGGATCAAAGATTATTTTCAAAAATGAGATATCAATTTGGTATCAGTAAAAAGTGTCTTTTCTCTTAGTATATAAATAAATAAAATGCAAATTAAGAGTGTAAGCAGTTGTGAATCATTACAAGCAGTCTGGGATAACTAACTCCTAGGGATAACCATTTCTATCCTGTTCCAAAGTCTTATTTTATAGTTTGAAAAGCACTTTGCACACAGTTCTTGTATATAAAAGTAAAGATGTAATTATAGGATATAGTGTTCCTGCTTTGTTTAATAAGAACCTCATTTAAACTTGACAGCTATGGTATTTTTTTAATGATAACTTCTTTTCTGTTTATTGTAAAACTAAGTTAAAAATAAAAGGTTAATGAGAAATGATATGGCTTTTATTACTTGTTACTATTAGCCCATTGATTAGGTAAGAATTCAATGAGAGTAAGTAGTAGTCGCACATAAAGTAATTATGACTCTCAAAATAAAGCCATGCTATTCCACACAATTTGATAAAAATCAGAAACTGGGATGAAATTTAACTTATTTAGTCATCTGGTTGAGAATATTAGCAATCCAGTCAGATTCTTGGTTTTACTTTTTTTTGAGACAGAGTCTCGCTCTGTTGCCAGGCTAGAGTGCAGTGGCGTGATCTCGGCTCACTGCAACCTCCGCCTCTCAGGTTCAAGCGATTCTCCTGCCTCAGCCTCCCGAGTAGCTGGGAGTACAGGCACGTGCCACCACTCCCGGCTAATTTTTGTATTTTTAGTAGAGACGGGGTTTCACCACGTTGGCCAGGATGGTTTCCATCTCTTGACCTCGTGATCTACCCGCCTCGGCCTCCCAAAGTGCTGGGATGACAGGCGTGAGCCACTGCACCCAGCCGGTTTCAGTTCTTACACCAAATAAATAGCTTCCCACAGCCACACAATGAACCCTAATCAACCATCTTATTATTATTATTATTATTATTATTATTATTATTATTTGAGATGGAGTCTTGCTCTGCCGCCCAGGCTGGATTGCAGTGGTGTGATCTCAGCTTACTGCAACCTCTGCTTCCCAGGTTCCAGTGATTCTCCTGCCTCAGCCTCCCACATAGCTGGGATTACAGGCACCCACCACCACACCTGGCTAATTTTTTGTACGTTTAGTAGAGACGGGGTTTTGCCATGTTGGCTAGGCTGGTCTTGAACTCCTGACCTCAGGTGATCTTCCTGCCTCTGCCTCCCAAAGTGCTGGGATTACAGGCGTGAGTCACCGCACCCAGCCCTAATCAACCATCTTAAATACACATCTCTGGTCTTATGTGGAAAATGATGAGAGGGTTTTTTTTTTTTTTTTTAATTGAGACGGAGTTTCGCTCTGGTTGCCCAGGCTGGAGTGCAATGGTGCCGTCTCGGCTCACTGCAACCTCCACCTCCCAGGTTCAAGTGATTCTCCTGCCTCAGCCTCCTGAGTAGCTGGGATTACAGGCATATGCCACACTCCTGGCTAATATTTTGTATTTTTAGTAGAGACAGGGTTTCTCCATGTTGGTCAGTCTGGTCTTGAACTCCCAACCTCAGGTGATTCACCTGCCTCAGCCTCCCAAAATGCTGGGATTACAGGTGTGAGCCACCGCGCCTGGCCTGGGTTTTGTTTTTAATACCCATCTATGACTTGTAACTTCTACAGAGTAATAAAAGTGATGTATCATTTAAGGTATCATTATTCTGCTTCATGTAATAGAAACCCAGCTGTGGTGGCTTGACCAAGTAACTGGGTCTTTTCCTTCGATATAAGTCTGGAGATAGAAGTCCAGGGCCGGGAAGGTGCTTCCACAATGCCATTAGGTAGACAGGCTCCTCCTGTCTTTCTTTCTCCCATCTTTAGTGTGTAGCTTTTATCTTCATGCTTGCAAGATAGTGAAGTACATTTAGATCTAATGTCTACATTATAGGCAGGCACAGAGTGAAGCGCAGAAAGCAATTAACAGTTGTATTTTTCCATCTGATCAGGAAACAGTAACTTTCTTGAAAGTCCCACACAGGAGACTCCTCACATCTCATTGGCAAGAACTGGCTCTCATAGTTATATTTTTGTATACAAAATTATTTAATCACTTCTTAGCCTTTTGGCTAAGATCAAGGGTAGTATCAGTTCTTATCAGTTCTTTTTTTTTTTCTCTCTTTTGAGACAGAGTCTCGCTCTGTTGCCCAGGCTGGAGTGCAGTGGCGCAATCTCGGCTCACTGCAACCTCCGCCTCCCAGGTTCAAGCAATTCTCTTGCCTCAGCCTCTCAAGCTGGGATTACAGGTGCCAGACACGTTGCCTGGGTAATTTTTTTGTATTTTTAATAGAGACAGGGTTTCTCCATGTTGGCCAGGCTGGTCTCAAACTCAGGTGATTAACTTGCCGCTGCACTCCAGCTTGGGAAACAGAGCAAGACACACACACACACACACACACACACACACACACACACACACACACACACACACACACGAAGGAAGGAAAGAGAGAGAGGAAGGGAGGGAGGGAGGGAGGAAGGAAGAAAAGAAAGAAAAACATAAAAAAAGAGAAATAGAGAAATTTCCTCACTTGTTTCAATTCTTTAACATGTGTTGAAGAGAACTTTTTTTTTTTTTGAAACGGAGTCTCACTCTGTCACCCAGCAGGCTGGAGTGCAGTGGTGTGATCTCGTCTCACTGCAACCTCCATCTCCTGGGTTCAAGCAATTCTCTGCCTCAGCTTCCTGAGTAGCTGGGATTACAGGCGCCCGCCACCACGCCCGGCTAATTTTTGTATTTTTAGTACAGACAGGGTGTCACCATATTGGCCAGGCTGGTCTTGAACTCCTGACCTCGTGATCCACCCGCCTCGGCCTCCCAAAGTGCTGGGATTACTGCTGTGAGCCACTGTGCCAAGCCTGAAGAGAACTTTTTATACCTACATAAAATCAGGCAAGGGAGTATCAGTTATTTTTTAAATTTTACTGGTCACCCTTTCCCCTCTCTTCTGTCCCCTCCCCTCTTCCCTTGGAGCGCTCTTCCTCCTCCACGAGAATCCAGTGATTCTGGTGAGGCTGCTAAATGGAACACCCAGCTATGCCCATTGCTGCCCCATCGTGACTCACAGTAATGGACATGTGACTCAGCCTGGTCAGCTTATATCCCATTCTCCTGACCACAGTGACATCACAGTGATGGGCATAGAACCAGCAGTCAGTTACTCTCTGGGATTTATTTCATGGAACTAGGAGAGAGAGAGTGTTTAAGCCACCCCATCTCCAGCCCCCAGTAGACTTTTTTTTTCATTATTATAAATTTTTTTTTTCACAATCCCTACTTTGGATGTAGACTTAAAAAAAAAGTGTCAAGGAATGTATCCATTTCTTGTAGGTTTTCCAGTTTTTTGGCATATATTTATTCCCAGTAGTCTCTGATGATTCTTCATATTTCTGCGGTATCAGTTGTCCTGTCTCCTTTTCCATCTTTGATTTTATTTACTTGGGTATTCCTTTTTCTTAGTCTGGCTAAAGGTTTGTTGATTTTGTTTTCAAAGTAAACCAAGTTCATTTTTAAAAATCTTTTGTATTTTGGGGAGTTTCAGTTTCATTTGTTTCTGCTGTATCTTATTATTTCTTCTACTAATTTTGGGTTTGTTTTTGCTTTCCTAGTTAAGATGCGTTGTTAGGTTATTTATAGACTTTATTGTTATTATTTTTTTTTGATTCAGAGTTTCCCTCTCGTCACCCAGGCTGGAGTGCAGAGGTGCAATCTCTGCTCACTGCAACCTCTGCCTCCCGGGTTCAAGTGATTCCCCTTGCCTCAGCCTCCTGAGTAGCTGGGATCATTAGCACCCACCACCACACACCCAGCTAATTTTTTGTATTTTTGGTAGAGATGGGGTTTCACCATGTTGGCCAGGCTGGTCTTAAACTTCTGACCTCAGGTGACCTGCCTGCCTCGATCTCCCAAAGTGTTAGGCTTACAGGCGTGAGCCACCGCATCTGGCCATAGACTTTTTTAGAACTGTTTTAGGTTTACAACAATATCAAGTGGAAAGTAGAGCTCCCATATTCTACCCTCCTCTCCCCCCGCCCCACCTGCACAACCTCTTCCACCGTCAACATCTGGTGGAGTGGTACATTTGTTTCATCTGATGAACCAACATGGACATATCATTACCATGGGGCTCACTCTTAGTGTACATCCTATGAGTTTTGACAAATTTAAAATATGTATCCACCATTATATCATACAGAGTAGTTTCACTGCCCTAAAAAATCCTCTGTGCTCCACCTTGTCATCCTTCCCTCCTAACTTCTGGCAACCACAGATCCTTTTACTGTCTCTATAGTTGTGCCTTTTCTACAGTGTCGTATATTTGGAATCATACGGTGTGTCGCCTTGTCAGACTGGCTTCTTCCAGTTAGTAATATGCACTTAAGATTCATCTGTGTCTTTTCATTGTAGTTCATTTCTTCTTAGCGCTGAATAATAGCCCATTATATAGATGTGCCTCTGTTTATTCATTCACCTGTTGAAGGAAGAGTGTAAAAGAATTTGCAGACATACCATTTTTATTTGGAGGTGTCCAACTGATTTCTTGAATTCTTTATTTGGGTGTCTCACAGACATCTCAAACTTAGTATGTCTACCCATCCTGTCCCTCATTCCAGTTCAGGGTGCAGCACCACAATCCACCCAACTGCTCAAGCCAGAAGTTAGGTGTCAAATGTGGCTCTTCCATTCTCTCACCTGTCTCATCCCATATATCAGTAAAGTCCTGTTGCTCCTACCTCTAAAATATGTCTTGAATCCAGGTGGGCTGGTGCAGAAGCCTTTTATTCAGTCTCCTTCCTTCAAATGTTGTCCCGTACAATACACTTTCCACACAGTTAAAAGAATGACTCATCCATGGTTGGCTTGGTATTAATTGAAAGACCTGGTGTAAACAGTAAATATATTTGTACTATATTCTGGACTCTCAGCATTTTTATAAATGGCTAAAAATAAGACAGTTCTTTGTAGCAAATAGAGGAATTAGACCCGAATGTCCTTCAAGATGTTTTGGAGCATAATAGTAAGGCTTTATATAGTTACCACTTCCCGAACCCAAAATTAAAGTACATATTCCAGGAGGCAGTAGGGTACTTAGGGTTCAAATAATTATCATTTTATTAAACACCTTTTATGTTTGCTATGTACTTCATCTTACTTAATTCTAACATAGGTGGGCCAAGATAAACAGGACATTCTTCAAACATAATTTCTGGATTTGTTTAACATTTAATGGGGGTGGGACAAAACATTTTTAAATAATTTTTTTTGAGGCAGAGTCTCATTCTGTCACCCAGGCTGGAGTGCAATGGCGCCATTTTGGCTCACTGTAACCTCCACCTCCCAGGTTCAAGCAATTCTCCAGCTTCAGCCTCCCGAGCAGCTGGGATTACTGGCGCGCACCATCATGCCTGGCTAATTTTTATATTTTTAGTAGAGACGGGGTTTTACCATGTTGGCCAGGTTGGTCTCGAACTCCTGACCTCCTGTGATCCACTCGTCTCAGCCTCCCAAAGTGCTGAGATTACAGGCGTAAGCCACCATGCCCAGCCTAAAAAACAATTATTATTTTATTTTTTTAGATAAGTGTTTACTGATATTTTTATTTTGGAGCTCCAAAGGAAAACAAGTCACATCTATTATTTTGCATTTTTCATGTAAGAATAAAACATTTTCCTTTAACAGATACCAACTTATTTTTTCTTTTTACTCTTTTTCTAAATTCATCCAATAAACATTATGCCGTTGTGAAAACAAAAGTTTATTTATATATATATATATATATTTTTATTATACTTTAAGTTCTAGGGTACATGTGCACAACGTGCAGGTTTGTTACATATGTATACATGTGCCATGTTGGTGTGCTGCACCCATTAACTCGTCATTTACATTAGGTATATCTCCTAATGCTATCCCTCCCCCCCACCCCACAACAGGCCCCAGTGTGTGATGTTCCCCTTCCTATGTCCATGTGTTCTCATTGTTCAATTCCCACCTATGAGTGAGAACATGCGGTGTTTGGTTTTTTATCCTTGCGATAGTTTGCTGAGAATGACGGTTTTTAAAAAATTTAGATAGAGACAGGGTCTTGCTATGTTGGCCAGGGTAGTCTCTAACTCCTGGCCTCAAGCAATCATCCCACCTTGGCTGTCCAAAGTGCTGGAAATAAAGGCGTGAGCCACTATGCCCAGCCACAAATTATTTTTTATTAATACAAACTGTATATAGCTGGCCGGGTGGCTCACGCCTGTAATCCCAGCATTTTGGGAGGCTGAGGCGGGTGGATCACGAAGTCCGGAGTTTGAGACCAGCCTGGCCAACAAAGAACAATACATTTGTAGAGAAATGACAGGACAAAGGAAAGTGGTTTTAGGCTTCCAAGGACTGGAACCTTTGGGAAGGCAAACACTGTATGTGGGAGGAAACTAATTGAATAAGGTTTCTTTGCCAATTCCTCTGGTGCTGTCCCTGGTAGATAAGACTCTAGAATTGTCTCCAGCAAAGGAGAAGTTATATCCTGCCTTTGGGCAGAAAGGCAGGGGGATGGCGAGAGCTTTCCTCAGTTTGCTGCTTCTTAACTGCCTTTAGCTCAAAAATATTTTTATGTCAAAGAGGCATTTTAGGATGATATGTTCTGATTTCCTTCATAGCAAAAGATGAGTGGATTTCTATTGGTGGCCGTTGGTGTTTTTTAAAGACGTGCATGCACACATATACATCAGCTGTCAAAACCATCCCCTTTTTCCCATTGTTCTTTCCTCTTAGGTTTTTCCCTAGCAAGTGTCTGAATCTACATCTTGACAGGTATAAATTTAGATAATAAGTCACCTGTTCCCAATAAATACCATTACAGCATGCCTTACCTGTGGCTGAATTTCAAGTGACTATAGCTTCACATGCTAGGTCTGTTAGTAAACAGTGTAACTTTCCACTCAAGGCCATTGTCTTGTGCATTGGGAATATGCTCAGAGAACATTTCCCCGATTATTCAGTAATGTTTCAAGTCCCTGTTAAGGTTAATATCCTGGGTAGCAACTAAATTGGCTTGTTCCTCAATCTACTCTGTTCATTCCAACTCTCCAAATTAATCACTATTAATCCCCACTATACAGTGAGTCATCAATAGCTCAGTTTAACCTGCCAGAGGCCTTTTATTGTGGCAGAGCAGTGATTTCAACAATTTGTGTTTGATTCCCAAACTTTTTTTCTTTCTACTACTGGCAAATACCATAAAAGGATAATAGATAATTCTATGCTTTTGCCTAATTTAAGGGAAAGATGTAATTCAAAGTTTTGAACAACTGTATTTTGAACATTTTACTAGAAGTGACCATTAAATCTAAGTAGTTATTACTAAAACAAGCTCAGTAAAACCATTAACCCATGGATTCAGTTATATAGCACTAATTATAATGGTGTATCTTTCACTGTAACCATTTTAAATTTGTACATTTTGTCAACTACATTGCAACAGGGCTGTTGATTGGGATGGTAATGGAAAGTAAAAACACTAAACCCGATGTGCAAAAGGAACAAGTTTTTTTTCCCCCGGAAATGGGGTCTCGCTTTGTTGAAAAGAATGATGTTGACAGATAATGTACTTGTGATAGTTATATTTATTAAGCAAAAGAAAATTATGTTTTGTTTTTTAAGGACCAATCTGTTTCTGATAATGTTGCATGTTTTAAATAAATGACAATAAGATGTAAAGCATCACATTTTCTATTAAAATTGAACAAGCTATTCAAATTGCTACATTATATCACACCTAATTGTTCCAGTAGTATTTTTTTTTTTTTTGAGACTGAGTCTCATTCTGTTGCCCAGGCTGAAATGCAGTGATGTGATCTCAGCTCACTGCAATCTCCACCTCCTGGGTTCAAGCGATTCTCATGCCTCAGCCTCCCAAGTAGCTGGGACTACAGGTGTGCGTCACCATACCTGGCTAATTTTTCTATTTTTAGTAGAGACCAGGTTTTGCCATGTTGGCCAGGCTGGTCTCAAACTCCAGGCCTCAAGCGACTTGCCTGCCTCAGCCTCCCAAAGTGCCGGGATTACAGGCATGAGCCATCGCACCCGTCCTCCAGTACCATTTTAAACAAATACATATTGTGGACTACGCACCAATAGAAATTAAGGTGGCAAAACCGTATCATTAGTAAAGTAAGTGAAAGCCTTAGTCTTTTTGTTTATTCCTTATTCCCCAAAGGAGTTACTAAGTGAAGGAATTTTCCAGCTGCCTTTATTTTTTTGAGACGGAGTCTTGTTCTGTTGCCCAGGCTGGAGTGCAGTGGCACGATCTTGGCTCACCACAACCTCCTCCTCCTGGGTTCCAGCGATTCTCCTGCCTCAGCCTCCAGAGTAGCTGGGACTACAGGCGCCCACCAACATGCCCGGCTAATTTGTGTATTTACAGTAGAGATGGGGTTTCATTATGTTGGCCAGGATGGTCTTGAACTCCTGACCTCAAGATCAGCCTGCCTCGGCCTCCCACAGTGCTGGGATTACATGCGTGAGCCACTGCGCCCGGCCTTCCAGCTGCATTTCTGAGGTCACAAGTATGGCCTTAAATGATTGCCCTCAAGAACACAGCTTTTGAAGGTAATCATATGCAAGTAAATTACAATCAAATGGAACTGTATGATTATTTTATTATTTTAATGCTAAACTGAACAGTGAACTGAAATCAGAGGAGAAAGAAAATCAAGCTAGTGGCTCACTCTCAATAGTGTCCTCTAATTTTATTGATGCTTCAGTTTTCATAAAGTGCAATAAACAAAATAAATAAATGAAAAAAGCTTTGAAGATTTATATACAGTTTTGAGGTTAAGATAAATTACTGACTATATTCCTTTCAGCCTTTTAACTCTGTGAAAGCTGTAACGTACATTAAAAGCACATTGAACTAGGTTAAATAATGATCTTTCCCCCTTAGATCAATCTAGTATTAAGGAGTATATAATTATGCAAGTTCATTCTATAACACAAGGCTAGACTAAAAGGAAAATTTTTGTGCTACAGACTAAATCCAGATACAGTCAGGTGCTGAGCAGTATTCCTGGCTTCAAAATAGGAGGTATCTGTTTCATCATCTGGCTGGGGGATGAAAGGCATAGTCTGATGCTGCAGATTTTCCCAGTCCACATCACTGAAGAGAGGATGACGTTTTAGCTCTTAGGAAAAATATAAAACAAAACAGTATGATATCATTACCTAAGTAAGTACTGCTTTACAGGAATTATTATAAAAAGAGAATGTCTCACATATAACTTACCTTACTTTATTATGTCAGTTTCACAGACATTTGTTTAATGTCTGTTAGGCCACATACTTCACAAAGGTCTACATGGGCCATTTTGAATATCACTTGGCATATGACAGGTGCCTGGTTTGTATTTGTTTAATGACAGAATGAATGATTTGCCTTAACTTAGAAGCCTATCTTTCTCACAGCTTTTTTTTTGAGACGAGGTCTCGCTCCGTTGCCCAGGCTGAAGTGCAGTGGCGCGATCTCTGCTCACTGCAACCGCCGCCTCCCGGGTTCAAGCGATTCTCCTACCTCAGCCTCCCGAGTAGCTGGGATTACAGGTGTGTGCCACCACACCAGGCTAATTTTGTATTTTTAGTAGAGACGGGGTTTCGCCATGTTGGGCAGGTTGGTCTCGAACTCCTGACCTCAGGTGATCTGCCCACCTTGGCCTTCCAAAGTGCTGGGATTACAGGTGTGAGTCACCATGCCCGGCACTCACATCTTTTTTTTTTTTTGAAATGGAGTCTCTCTCCAGTGCCCAATCTGGAGTGTAGTGGTGCAATCTTGGCTCACTGCAACCTCCATCTCCCAGGTTGAGTGGTTCTCGTGCCTCAGCCTCCCAAGTAGCTGGGACTACAGGTGAGTGCTACCATGCCTGGCTAATTTTTTTTTTTTTTTTTTTTGTCTGTCACCTAGGCTGGAGTGCAATGGCACAATCTCGGCTCACTGCAAACTCTGCCTCCCGGGTTCAAGCGATTCTCCCACCTCATCCTCCTGAGTAGCTGGGATTACAGATGTGTACCACCAAGCCTGGCTAATTTTTGTATTTTTAGTAGAGATGGGGTTTCACCATGTTGGCCAGGCTGGTCTCGAACTCCCGACCCCAGGGGATCCACCCGCCTCAGCCTCCCAAAGTGCTGGGATTATAGGTGTGAGCCACCGCGCCCACCCTGCCTGCATCTTGTTAAAGAATCCCTGACTCAGGGGAAGAGAGTGTGGCCTACTTTCTGCTCCTTGATAAACCTTCCATGCCATTGATCTTCCATGATGAATGCTCCAGTTTTGACTCTAAGGCCTTGCCACCTGTTTCTATCACCACGCTCCTTAGCAGTATCTATTGCCCTAGACAGCTTTAGCATGAAGCTCACCCCCTTCTCCCTTTCTTCCCTGTGCTCCATCCTTATCCTTCATGGTGACTTCAAGAATAGATACTGATGACAGTTCTGACACGTTCTCTTCATGGTTCTTTGACTTCCTTGATTTCACTGACTTGCATCTCTACAACATATTGACTTCTAGCTTATGGCTACATTGGAAGCTCTATATCACTGAGCTGCTCTGCTTACAAGATTTCAAAGCCTTCCTCACCTCTTTACTGCCATTTCATTACCTGTCATTGTTCCTATTTCCTTCTACCTAGTAAAATAAAAGTATGCTCTTTTGGGCAGAGTAATGGCTCATGCCTGTAATCCCAGCACTTTGGGAGGCTGAGGTGGGCGGATTACTTGAGGTCAGGAGTTCGAGACCAGCCTGGCCAACATGGTGAAACCCCGTCTCTACTAAAAATACAAAAATTAGCCAGGTGTGGTGGGATGCAGCTGCAGTCCCAGCTATTTGGGAGGCTGAGGCAGGAGAGTCACTTGAACCTGGGAGGCTGAGGCTGCAGTGAGCCGAGATCATGCCACTGCACTCCAGCCTGGGCAACAGAACGAGATTCCGTCTCAAAAAAAAAAAAAAAAAAAAAAAATCCTTCTTATATGTGATAGTGTTTTTTATAATGGCAATCTGACCAATATGTTGCATTCAGACACTCACATCTATTCTGAAATAATACTACAAGGACTCAGTATGTCCAAATCCAATGTACAGCATCAGAAGTTGAAACGTGTGTGTGTTTATATGTTTTAAGTAGTATAATCTAAGTCTGAAGTGCCTTGAAAAAGCTAGAGCTGACTTTCCAAATGTCTGCTCCCTCACTTTACACAGGTTTCTGCTCAAATGCCCCTCTTCACAGAGGTCCTCCTGACCACACTGTCTAAAAAGAAGTCTCGTGCCATCACTTCATATCCTCTCACCCTGCTTTATTTTTCTTCCTAGTATTTACCACTACATGACATTATGTTGTGTCTGTAACTGTTCACTGTCTCTCTTTCCACTAGAATGTAAGTTCCACGAGGACAGGGATCTGAGTCTAGATCATCCCTAGGGTATTCCCAGGGCCTGAAGCAATATCACCTAGCTCCTAGAAGGCACTCTATAGGATTGGTTAAATCAGTGAGTAAACAAACTGGGCCAGGCGTGGTGGCTCATGCCTGTAATCCCAGTACTTAGGGAGGCCAAGGTGGGCGGATGGCTTGAGCCCAGGAGTTCGAGACCAGCCTGGGCAACACAGCAAAACCCCATCTCTACTAAAAATACAAAAATTAGCTGGGTGTGGTAGTGTGCACCAGTAGTACCAGCTACTTGGGAGGCTGAGGTGGAAGAATTGCTTGAGCCCAGAAAGTTGCAGTGAGCCGAGATTGTGCTACTACATTCCAGCCTGGGCGACAGACCCAGATCCTGTCTCAAAAAAATCCCAAAACCAAAAAAAGAAAGAAATTATTACAGGGAACACCTAGAAGCTGATGCAAATGACACATTTCTGAAGCTCATTTTCCTGAATACATTCTACTTGATAAAGAAATGCATTTTGGGACGTAATGCTTTTCTCTATATTACCATACCTCGTTACAAAAGGAATTTTAAAATCCCAGCACTTTGGGAGGCCGAGGCAGGAGGATCACAAGGTCAAGAGATCGAGACCATCCTGGCCAACATGGTGAAACCCCATCTCTACTAAAAAATACAAAAATTAGCTGGGCGTGGTGGCACATGCCTGTAGTCCCAGCTACTTGGGGGGCTGAGGCAGGAGAATCACTTGAACCTGGGAGGCGGAGGTTGCAGTGAGCCGAGATCACACCACTGCATGCACTGCAGCCTGGTGACAGAGCAAGTCTCTGTCTCAACAACAACAACAACAACAACAACAACAAAAGAATTTTAAGGCAGCTGCTAATGAGATTTACTAGTTTCCAAATTAGGGCTTAATATACTCCTGCATTGAGAAAACTACTGAGTGGTATATAATATACCAAGTTTGTCTTGAGCCAACCTGGGATCCAGTACATTTATCAATAAATAATAGTATCAAAAATGAAGCAATAAGAAATTACAGAACATCTCTCTCGCAAGATTAGGGAAAATAAATTTGTTTTTAAAAATGACAGAACAGAGGGTTTCATAAAAAAAGATTTCCTGTATTTCCTTAACTTTATCAGGCTTTGAAAAACCCAAGACACTAACAAGATTGTTTTAGGACAGGCAAGGTGGCTCACACCTGTAATTCAGCATTTTGGGGAGGCTGAGGTGGGAGGATCCTTTGAGCCCAGGAGTTCAAGACCAGCCTAAGCAACATAGTGAGACACTGTCTTTAAATAAATAAATAGCAATAATAACGTATGTTAAAAAAAAAAAAAAGAGGTAAGATTGTTTTAGATACTTGAGATAAATAATTTTTTTTGAGCCAGAGTCTCACTTTGTTTCCCAGGCTGAAATGCAGTGGCGTGAACATGGCTCGCTGTAGCCTCGACCTCCTGGGCTCAAGTAATCTTCCTGCCTAAGCCCCCAAGTAGCTGGAACTACAGGTGCGCACTGCCTTGCTTGGCTATTTTTTGTATTTTTTGTAGAGACAGTTTCACCATGTTGCCCAGGCTGGACACAAACCCCTGAGCTCAAACGATTGCCAGCTGCAGCCTCCCAAAGTGCTTGGAGTATAGGCATGAGCTACCACACCCACCGATTAATAAAATCTAATGCATGAATACAGTATTGCCATTTGACCACACTAAATTTTTTTTGCCTCTTCTACCATGTGACACATTGAATTTTCATGTAGAATAAGGACCAATATATCAATGCATACCTAGAGGGGAGAAATAAATCGAATTATCTTTGTACCAATTTAGCAGTCAGATTATCTGTAGTATTATATTGGAACTTGATTTTTTTTTTTTTTTGAGACAGAGTCTCTGTCGCCCAGGCTGGAGTGCAGTGGTGTGATCTCTGGTCACTGCAATGTCCGCCTCCCGGGTTGAAGCGATTCTCCTGCCTCAGCCTCCAGAGTAGCTGGGACTACAGGTGCACGCCACCACGCTGGGCCTAATTTTTGTATTTTTTTTTTTTTTTTTTGAGAGGGAGTCTCGCTCTGTTGCCCAGGCTAGATTGCAGTGGCACAATCTTGGCTCACTGCAAGCTCTGCCTCCCAGGTTCATGCCATTCTCCTGCCTCAGCCTCCCAAGTCGCTGGGACTACAGGCACCCGCCACTATGCCTGCCTACTTTTTTGTATTTTTAGTAGGGACAGAGTTTCACCATGTTAAGCCAGGATGGTCTCGATCTCCTGATCTCGTGATCCGCCTGCCTCGGCCTACCAGAGTGCTTGGATTACAGGCCTGAGCCACCACACCCGGCCAATTTTTGTATTTTTTAGTAGAGATGGGCTTTCGCCATATCGGACAGGCTGGTCTTGAACTCCTGACCTTGTGATCAGCCCGCCTCAGCCTCCCAAAGTGCTGGGATTACAGGCGTGAGCCACCACGCCCAGCCAGAACTTGCTATTTTTATAAATATTCACCATCTGCAAAAAATCAATGGTAAAACAATGTATTAACACAAAACCATACCTTTCATTCCAGCTCTCTTTGTATCATCAATGGTTAAAAGTATTTCTACTGCACTTTGAGCATTATCAGATAACTTTTCTTCACCTTCTGGCCAAGGGATATCTAAAATTATACATATACAAATAAACTTGTTTATTACTGCTCAAAATAATAGTATCCAGAGATAAATGACTACTTTTTTTTGTTTTTTGAGATGGAGTTTCACTCTTGTCACCCAGGCTGGAGTGCAAAAGCGTGATCTCAGCTCACTGCAACCTCCACCTCCCAGGTTCAAGCGATTCTCCTGCTTCAGCCTCCCGAGTAGCTGGGATTACAGGCGCCCGTCAACATGCCTGGCTAATTTTTTGTATTTTTTTTTTAGTAGAGATGGGGTTTTACCATGTTGGCCAGGCTGGTCTCGAACTCCTGACCTCAGGCGATCCACCCGCCTTGGCCTCCCAAAGTGCTGGGATTACAGGCATGGGCCACTATGCCCAGCCAGTAAATGACTATCTTAATAGGAGAAAAAGAATCACCTCTTTTCAGAATATTCTGGAATACTTGTTGTGGTGTTTCATCATTGAAAGGGGGAATTCCTGTTAGAAATTCAAACAAGCAAACTCCAAGTGCCCACCAGTCTACCGCAGGACCTGTAATCGAAGAGGAAACAGCTAAAGTTGCAAGCATTCTCTACAAATATTTGATGAACAGAAATATTAATTGTGGAGTCCTAATTAGGGAAAACGAGTTAGGCTGGTAGGACCAGGGGGAAGCAAAAAGAAAAAGCAGATAAGCTGCAAGTCTGCCTTTCCTCATGGTCCAGGACGCACAGCCCTCCTGTACAAATAACTCACAATTGTCCTGTGCCCACGTATCACCAGACCCTTGATTGATACAAAAATGCAAGGTAGAGCTGGGCGCGGTGGCTTATGCCTGTAATCCTGGCACTTTGGGTGGCTGGGGAGGGTGGATTACCTGAGGTCAGGAGTTCAAGACCAGCCCAGCCAACATGGTGAAACCCTGTCTGTACTAAAAATACAAAAATTGGCCAGGCGTGGTGGCACATGCCTATAATCCCAGCTACTGGGGAGACTAAGGCAGGAGAATCGCTTGAACCTGGGAGGCAGAGGTTGCAGTGAGCCGAGATCACGCCACTGCACTCCAGCCTGGGCGACAGAGCAAGACTCTGTCTCAAAAAAAAAGAAAAGAAAAGAAAAGAAAAGAAAAATGCGAGTTAGCTCACTGCAACCTTGGCATTATCAGCGCAGCATGCGGCCTTCTCCGGGACAAGCACCGCCCTGTAACATCTCTAGCAAGCCCTTGTCGCCTTGTGATCAGCTCCCCTCTTGGTGACTTGCTCGTTACAACCTTACAATGTATTTTCCTACTTCGTCTAATAAATTTGCCTTTCTTTACCTACAACTGTCTTCATCAATTCCTTTATTGCCCACGCCATCAGCCCCAGATAGTCACTATCTGCAACATTAGTATGTGAACATTTTGGTATAATCAAAAGTGCAAAAACCCACATTGTTTTCACTTGGGCAATGTGACAACTGCTTTCCTCTTTATTTTCCAAGAAGTTTAGATTACCAATTACCACAGCTGGTTAAAGAGAAGATAAAGCCATTTTTTTCATTTATTAATAATTTCTGATATTCTGGATATGTTATGTATCTTAAATCCTAAAATTATTCTCTAAAATAGGCAGACTACTACTCAATTTCATATCAGGAAATGTAAACATTTACATGATTATTCTGTATCCCACACAAGGTATGAGATAAGGCAGCAACATTTATAGTAATTGGAGGAAAGCCTGGTAACTAGGGAAGGCCTTAATTACAGAGTATTTTAATGTGGCTTTATTCCTTTTAGGAACAGAGAGGGACAAATTAGTTTAACAAAGAATATTCACTTAAACTATGGTTTCAAGAGGTAAGTAGGAGATGTCTTAAGATATAGGTAAAACTGATTTCTAAATAAAATATTCATTGGATGCAAAATTTATATACAAAGTTTTTTTTCTTTGTTTGTTTGTTTTTTGAGACGGACTCTCACTCTGTCACCCAGACTGGAGTGCAGTGGTGCAATCTCTGCTCACTGCAAGCTCTGCCTCCTGGGTTCACGCCATTCTCCTGCCTCAGCCTCCCAAGTAGCTGGGACTACAGGCGCCTGCCACCATGCCCAGATAATTTTTTTCTGTATTTTTAGTAGAGACAGGGTTTCACTGTGTTAGCCAGGATGGTCTCGATCTCCTGACCTTGCGATCCACCTGCCTCAGTCTCCCAAAGTGCTTGGATTACAGGCGTGAGCCACTGCACCTGGCCACAAAGATGTTTTTAACGATTATTTTAAATATGATCTTATAAACTATAAACTGGTTTATACTTTAGTTCTATGAACAAAGTGTTTCCTAAGAAAAGGTTAATTTTAGTTCAAAAATGGATAACTTCAATATAAATTAAGAATAGGCATCCTAGTCTAGTGCTAAATTTGCCTGAAAGTTACTCTTTAAAGACAACTTCACAAAATTCTTTACTGTGGTTAAACAACTGCCACCACTGCATTTTAAGACAACTAGGAAAGCATTGTGGAATCTGATTTTAGGAAAAATAGCTGCATGCATTTAGAGTGCCATTTTACCTGCGAGCCATATAATCCCATCTTCCCTTAAAGGAATACAAAATGCAAATATTCTATAGGCTTCTATTTCTATAATACTATAAAAACATACAAACCACCTCAGTTAGTAGGCCTTTCAAGCAGCACTGAGAAAGAATTATCCCAATGGATTAGATAATGTAACCAAATAACAGAAAAGTAGGGGGGAATTAGAAAAAAAAAATTTCCTTATTTTACTTAGGTTAGAAATTAGGCCCCTTTTACCAGCTCAGCCAAAATATACTTGTGTTAAAAAAAAAAAAAATACATGATTTCTCTATGGATATGCCACACATACCCATATACTTAAGTCAAAGTCTAATAAGATCACATAATGGAATAAAACTTTGCAATTATATGTTATTAGCCACAGAAAAAGAACAGATTTGTTTTACATTGCTGGCTTTCTAATTCAAAACTCATTTCTTTAGTTTATAGGGATATGTTGATATTGTTACACTTTTTTATTTTCTAATGATAATAAAATGAAAAGATTTGGAAAATTAGAGCCCTTCTGTAGTTGTCAATTTTTTTTTTTTTTTTGAGATGGAGTCTCGCTCTGTCACCCAGGCTGGAGTGCAGTGGTGTAATCTCAGCTCACTGCAACCTCTGCCACCTGGGTACAAGTGATTCTCCTACCTCAGCCTCCTGAGTAGCTAGGATTACAGGTATAAGCCACCACACCCAGCTAATTTTTATCCTTTTTTTAAGTGGAGACGGGGTTTCGCCATGTTGGGCAGGCTGGTCTCGAACTCCTGACCTCAGGTGACCTGCCTGACTCGGCCTCCCAAAGTGCTGGGATTACAGGCGTGAGCCACAGTGCCCAGCCATTTTTAATATTTGTATCAATACTATTTTTTCTGTTATAATAAAAAAGACTGCGTCTTCACTCTGTGCTACCTTTAAAAGTTGATGAAAAACGCCTCAGGCCTATATTTCTTTTCACAGAGAAGAACCACCTCTCTGGATGTCTTGCTGCTCAGAAAACAGAAGACGGTTCATTTTTGTATTTCACAAGTGAGCTAAAAGGAAAAATAGTTTTTTATGCAATGTGATCTAGTTATACTTTGACTGTTCAGTTTAATGTGCTTTGCCGCATTACTTTATAGAGAAGCTCACTCACCGGAAGTCAGAAATCCTGCATGTAAGAAAACAGTAGTTAGGTACACTGTATTAAAATTATTAGAGTCCCTTCCCTCATCATTCACTGAACTGGGCACCAGGTATTGTGCCAGATATAAAGGATACAAAGACGATTAAGAAAAATCTCTTTTCCCAAAGAGAAACCAGCCTACTCTGGAAGAGACAATACAGACAATTTTAACACACTAAGCTGAAACAAAAAGGTGCACATAAAGTTACGGAAAACTCAGGACAGACTCCCTGGCTCATCTCGGCTGAGAGGCAAGATGGAGGGGCATCAAGAAGGTCATGGCTGGGCCTCAGCATGTTGTCAGCATGTTGTTTAGCTGAGGGAGCTAGATGTCTCACTAAAATAGTGGCAAGATGCTATAAAATACATCTTTATGTTTGAAGCTTACTTTCACACTGTGTCCTAAGTTAGAGATAATGCAAATTATAATACAGAAAATGGGCTAGCAAATCTGTGACAGAGCAAAAGAGGCACTATATAAAAATCAGTGCTCATAGGAATTTACTTGCTTTGGCTAAGCGAGAAAGAGGAACACTAAATATGTCTATTGCCAATATTGTAGAGATTATTAATATCAGTTACTGAGTGCTTCCAAGGAATTCAGGAGTGCTATGCAGAAGGCAGAAAACTCACACTCTTGGCTGGGTGTGGTGGCTCATACCTGTAATCCCAGCACTTTGGGAGGCTGAACACTTTGGGTGGATCACAAGGTCAGGAGTTCAAGACCAGCCTGGCCATGATGGTGAAACCCCGTCTCTACTAAAAATACAAAAATTAGCCGAGCATGGGGGCAGGTGCCTGTAAACCCAGCTAATTGGGAGGCTGAGGCAAACAACTGCTTGAACCCAGGAGGCGGGAGTTGCAGTGAGCCAAGACTGCGCCACTGCACTCCAGTCTGGGCAACAGACTGAGACTGTCTCAAAAAAAAAAAAAAAAGAAAAAAGAAAGAAAACTCACAGTCTCCTCAAAAAGTTTTCTTAAGCTTTTGTAGTGGAGATAAATAAACAATTAGTTACAACACAGGAAGAATGGCATAAATTTTAAACAGTTTCTAATAAGGTAACATAGAAGTGAATAATTCCCAGTAGTTGATCAAGGGATGCTTTATGGAAGAGGTAACATTTGAAATGATGAAATGAGAAGGAATTTGACTGGAAGATACTAGGAAACTGGCTTTGCTCAAATAAGGTTTAATACACAAGCAAAATAGGGAAGACCTGAAAATTAAATGTATTTAAGAAATGGAATGGGAACATAAGGCATATAAAGAGACTCTTTGAGAGACAAGGCTGGTATGAGAGCTATAACCTCAAATGTCGTGATCAATTTGGATTTTACTTAGCAGCTAAGAGGGAGCCACTGTAGTTTTCTGAGAAGGGAAATAGAATAAGCCATGTGATGGTTTTGGAAGAAAAATCCGGTGGCAATGATTATTGATAATAAGATGAAGTTGAAGAGATCAGATAGAAGGGCACTAAAATAATAAAAGAGAAAGATGAGTTCTTAAAGAGAACAGTGGCAGAGAAGAAAATGAGAGGTGAAATGCTGCAGAGATCTAATTGGCTGGATTTAAATGCTTGAATGTAGGAACAAAGATTGTGTCACCATGAAGGTGATGAAACTGAGGTAGGGAACAGAGGAAGAGCTAGCTGGGTAACAAGCCCAGTGTTTTCTTTTTTTTTTTTTTTTGAGATGGAGTCTTGCTCTATCACCCAGGCTGGAGTGCAGTGGCACGATCTTGGCTCACTGCAACCTCCGCCTCCCGGGTTCAAGCGATTCTCCTGTCTCAGCCTCCTGAGTAGCTGGGATTACAGATGCACACCACCACGCCTGGCTAATTTTTGTATTTTTAGTAGAGATGGGGTTTTACCATGTTGGCCAGGCTGGTCTTGAACTCCTGACCTCAAGTGATCTACCCAACTTGGCCTCCCAAAGTGCTGGGATTACAGCCATGTGCCACAGCACCAGGCCCCACAAGTCCAGTTTTGAGACCCAACATTTGAAAGATCAGTAGAATACTGAATAGCCAGATTGGCTGTCTGTCTGCTGCCTAGAGAAAGTCAGGATTAGAGACAGAGATTTGGGAATCATCAACATGGAGGTGACAAACTGACATCATGGGAGTGATGAGATGAACATGGAGCACGTGTAGGGCAAAAAGGGTAAAGGCAGAATCTCCAAGAACTATATTTAGAAGAGGTAAGGAAGGAACTGAAGAGCAGCAACAGAGGTCAGGGGAATGAGAAGAGACAATTGGATTTGACAATAAGGAAATCACTGGTGCCCATTAAGAAGTTTCAGTTAGGCCGGGCGCCATGGCTCACACCTGTAATCCCAGCACTTCAGAAGGCCAAGGCAGGCAGATCACCTGAGGTCGGGAGTTCGAGACCAGCCTGACCAACATGGAGAAACCCTATCTCTACTAAAAATACAAAATTAGCCGGGCATGGTGGCGCATGCCTGTAATCCCAGCTACTCGGGAGGCTGAGGCAGGAGAATATCTTGAACCCGGGAGACGGAGGTTGCAGTGAGCTGAGATCGTGCCACTGCACTCCAGCCTGGGCAACAAGAGCAAAACTCCATCTCTAAATAAATAAATAAATAAATAATAAATAAAAGAATTTTCAGTTAAATAGTGAGATGATAAGTTGCCAGAGCAAAATAATCAAACAAAGAGGAAACCTTTGAGAAGTTAGGCAATGTTGGGGAGACAAGGGTGGAAACTTATTTTCAGGCTGAGGATAAAAGCCGGCAAGGAAATACAAACAGAAGAAAGGGTGTGAGAGGTGGGGTGGGGAGGATGAAACAGATGATCATGAAAAGAGCTCAAAGAAAAGGGAAGTAACTAACATCAACATGTAGAAGAGGTTGATGTTATGGGTTGAACTGTGTCCCTCCCAAAAAAGCTATGTTTAAGTCCTAACCCGTACCTAAAAATGTGACCTTATTTGGAAATGGGTTTTTGCAACTATGATTAATTAGGTTAAGATTAGGTTAAGATGAGGTCATACTGGAGTAAGATGGGCTCCTAATGACTGGTGTCCTTCTCAGAAGCCAGCTCTATGATGATAGAGACACAGGGAGAACACCATCACAGAAAGAGGGAGAACTGGAATGAGGCATCTTCAAGTCAAGGAACACTGAGGATTGCCAGCAAGCCACCAGAAGCCAGGAAGAGGCAAAGAAGGATTTCCCTACAGGTTTCAGGGGTAGTATAGCCCTGTGGACACCTGATTTTGGAACTCTAGCTTCCAGAACTGTGAAACAATGAATTTTTATTGGTTTGAGACACCCAGTTTGTGCTACAGCATCCCTAGGAAGATGAATACAGTTCATTTCAGAATGCAGGAAGGGAACAGTTTTCAGAGAGAAAGGGAAGAAAAGAAGATAGGTGAAAATGTCATCTTTTTATTTTTATTTTTATTTTTTTTTAGACAGAGTCTTGCTCTGTTGCCCAGGCTCGAGTGTAGTGGCACGATCTTGGCTCACTGCAACCTCGGCCTCCCAGGTTCAAGCAATTCTCATGCCCCAGCCTCCCGAATAGCTGGAATTACAGGCATGCACCACCATGCCCAGCTAATTTTTGTGTTTTTAGTAGAGGTGAGGTTTCACCATGTTGGCCAGCTTGGTCTCGAACTCCTGGCCTCAAGTGATCCACCTGCCTTGGCCTCCCGAAGTGCTAGGATTACAGGCGTGAGCCACCGTAACCAGCCCTATCTTTCTATACTTATGTTCTGTTTTGAAGGATGATGGTTCATTTCTGGCTTGACTCTTCTGGTAAGGATATAACTGAGAATAAGTTCTAAACAGGAATAGGCTTCTGAAGACTGAACAGAAATTTAGACCCAACATTGTGGTCCTGAGCCCAAACTCCATCCAACCTGAAGAAACATTAAGAGGTAAGATAGGCCGGGTACGGTGGCTCACGCCTGTAATCCCAGCACTTTGGGAGGCCAAGGTGGGAGGATCACCTGAGGTCAGGAGTTAAAGACCAGTCTGGCTAACATGGTGAAACTGTCTCTACTAAAAATACAAAAATTAGGCGGGCATGATGGTGGATGCCTGTAATCCCAGCTACTCAGGAGGCTGAGGCCAGAGAATCACTTGAACCTGGGAGGCAGAGATTGCAGTGAGCCGAGATTGCACCATTGCACTCCAGCCTGGGTGACAAAAGAGAAACTCTGTCTCAAAAAATAAAAATAAAAATAAATAAAAAAATAAAAAAAGAGATAAGATAATATCAAGGGTGGCAGGTGGGGCTTCTCTGGAACATTGAGACTGAACCAGAAGGCAAAGGACAAATGACTACATGTACTCCAGCATCTGGTCTTTTACATTCAGAGAGTGGGACAGCCATGGCTACTGCTAGTTTATTTTCCTATGACAAATGCCATATATATACTAGATGAGTTCATTTTCTTTTACTTTAGGTAACGTAAGTACTGAAGAAATTTTTTAAAATTTAACCTTGAAAGATAATGTAGTGATAGATAACACTTCAAAAACTCAAGACATGCATGCCTTACCATGGGCCCTGCCTAGTAACAGCTCAGGTGCAAGGTAGTCTGGGGTTCCTAGAATTCGCCCATCATCAACGGGGGCCACCCCTCTTCTCACACTCTTCGGAGTTCGGTATGGAGTTCCCGACTTGATCTGATTTGGGGTCTGCTAATTCAAAAAGGGTTTAAGAGATAACAAATATCTTAATTCCTTTTACACCGAATAGAAAATGGTGAAACACACAAGCCAAATAACTAGCTCATAGGCTACTAGGCGTAAAGGATGTAGTCAAATTTTTGATAAGTTTTGAAAATGAATGCATAATTAGTTATAATTATGAAAAAGTCCTTTTATCTGGTGAAGTTCAAAAGCTTAGACAACACTGATTATTCCAATAAGATCTAGATAAGAAACAATAAAAAAAATCTGCAAGAAAAATGTTCAGTGAAAAAATCTGCAAGAAGACTGATAGCATGGACTAATACAAGCTTAAGAAGAGCCACTGAGGAAGGCTATGGCTAACAAATGATTAAGACAACACGTAAGACAGAACTACATATAACCTATTGTACTAAATAGCATTTAAAAATTTTTAGGATAATTTGTTATTTCACAACAAGTTTTTTTTTTTGAGATGGAGTTTCGCTCTTGTTGCCCAGGCTGGAGTGCAGTGGTGCGATCTCGGCTCACCACAACCTCCGCCTCCCAGGTTCAAGGAATTTTCCTGCCTCAGCCTCCCAAGTAGCTGGGATTACAGGCATACACCACCATGCCTGGCTAATTTTGTATTTTTAGTAGAGACGGGGTTTCTCCATGTTGGTCAGGCTGGTCTCGATCTCCCGACCTCAGGTGATCCTCCCACCTTGGCCTCCCAAAGATGGTGTGAGCCACCACGCCTGGCATTCACAACAACTTTGTAAGACCAGCAAGACAGGTGCCATTATCCCTTACAGACATTTAGAAAAATTGCAGGTCTGAGGTTAAGGGACTTCTAAGTCATTTAATAGTAAGTCTTGGGTAGAAAACTCAAGTTTCGAAACATAAATTCAGGGGTTACACATTTTATGTTATGATGTTTTCCCAAAGGAAGAAAAAAAGTAAAACTTTGGGTTGGTAAAGGTTTAGAATATAGAGAGTAAGCTTTGAAATATATATTTTTCGCTGGGCATGGTGGCTCATGCCCGTAATCCCAGCACTTTGGGAGGCCAAGGCAGGCAGATCACAAGGTCAAGAGATCGAGACCATCCTGGCCAACGTGGTGAAACCCCATCTCTACTAAAAATACAAAAATTAGCTGGGCATGGTGGCACATGCCTGTAGTCCTAGCTACTCAGGAGGCTGAAGCAGGAGAATCGCTTGAACCCGGGAGGCGGAGGTTGCAGTGAGCCAAGATCGCGCCACTGCACTCCAGCCTGGTGACAGAGCGAGACTTTGTCTCAAAAAAAAAAAAAAAAAAAAAAGAAACATATTTTTCAACTTTTATTCTCTTAAGAAGAGATCATCTAAATATGTCCTTGGAAGGCAGTAAGGTAGAGCGGACTTAAATTATCTCTGGCCAGGTGAGGTGGCTCACACCTGTAATCCTAGCACTTTGAGAGGCCGAGGTGGGCGGATTGCTTGAGGTCACGAGTTTGAGATCAGCCTGGGCAACATGGTGAAATTCCGACTCTACTAAAAATACAAAAATTAGCCAGGTGTGGTGGTGGGCCCCTTATAATCCCAGCTACTTGGGAGGCTGAGGCAGGAGAATCGCTTGAACCTGGGGGTGAAGTGTGCAATGAGCCAAGATCACACTACTGCACTCCAGCCTGGGCAAAAGAACGAGACTGTCTCAATAATAATAATAATAATAATAATAATAATAATAATAATAATTTTGTAACTCATAGTACTGTGGGGATCAAGTGAAAATTAATTTTGTAACTCATAGTACTGTGGGGATCAAGTGAAAATATGTGATTGTATTTTCTTAGGAAAGTACATAAAACGACACAAATGGAAGGAGGCATTACAGCTAAAAATAATAAACATGATTTCTACCAGCTTTACTTTTCTGGGTGAAAACTTCCAACAGCCCACAGATTCTCAACAAGAAGAACAGAACTATATGATTAATACCGCATAGTCTAGCTTAGAGGCAAATGTCTGTCTTCATAGTTTTTCTAAAATCCAAAAAACAGTATTAGAAAGTTATAAATATACCTGATGTGGCATACAGGATCTTCTTTTTTGAGTAGGGGTTATAGCCATGGGATATGAACCACTGTAGGCACACGAAATATCCATTGCATCTAAAGAAGTCATGTTCATTCTGGATGGTTCTGAGTTATTGGATGCATTAATATGACTGTTAAAACTTCGAAAAGCAACAGCATTTCTTTTAGAGGCTAACGTTTTCAGCACCTCCAAAGGAGGACCTAACATTTTTTGGTTACTCTCTTGTACAGCAGGGTTCTCGACACCTTTTGGTGAGGTCTTTTCTTGGCAATCTGGTGTTACAATAAGTGGATCTTCAATATTTGATTCTTCAAAAGAGGATTCTTTGATGCTTCTATCTGAATCTAAGGGCTGACTTTCTAATGGACTTTCCATTATAGAAATTCCAGGAAAAGATGAATCAGAGTTCATAGAAATATTTTTAGAAGCTCTATCATCATCAGAACATAGAAAACTAGAACTTAAGTAGTCCCTCTTACTATTCTTTTCACAGTCTTCATCGAGTTCACACATAAGGTTTTTTGCTATCATTGGTATAGGTAATTTTTCTGGTGTTTGTTGTTTATCAGTAAAAGAATTGACAATGTTCTCCTTATTAGCACAGTCATTTTGTTGACTTTTGTGCACTGATAGCTTAAGGTCCTGCACTTCAACTGTTAAGCCTGTATTTTGATTTGTATAACAATTTGTCATTTCGTTATGCTTATACTCTACACAAGTTTTTTTATTCTGTATAATTTTTTTACAAGGACTGGAGTCAACCAACTCAAAATTTCTTTTTAAACTTCTTTTCCCAAGGTGCTCTTCAGATATCCCACCAGAATCCACAGCCCACTGATTTGACTGATGGAAACCTAACTGACTTGTGTCAGTGTCCATATTTATATTATTTACATCCAGTTCTACTGCTTCCCAAGAAACTTCCCCAGAGAAGCATTTTTTAGCAAGGTTTACACAAGAGCGTCCAGTGGTGGGAAGGGCACTGCTGTTATGAATGGGAGAAAGAGCTAACTCCAGATCCTTTTTATTGAAACCTTTCGTCTCAATGGCATTTGCAGATTTTGCGCATAACTTTTCAACTGCATTCCAACTCATCATTGTTGGGCCCAATGCTTCATCACTTTCCTAAGAGGGAAAAAAATATTTGTTTTAGTTATATAAAGCTGAGATTCATTGACCTTTTAACTATGGTCCGTTAAGGTAGGATAAATGACCCCATAAACTATTATGCTACCTGTTGCCACTTTCAAATGGAAAAAATAAACAACAGAGAATTAAAAAGCAATGTAAGCAATTATAAGCTTATATACATTATTCTGAATGAAACGGTCTAAACTTTAAATAAATTATTCTATAATACTTATTTTGATTGTATATCACAGGCTACTTAAACAGGACAAATTAACAGGCAACATATTCAGGCACATTTTGGGGTAAGGCTGCATTACGTACATATCTATTTTGCAATAGGTATATGGATGATTCTGTTTTTTTTTTTTTTGAAATGGGGTCTTGCTGTCGTCCAGGCTGAAGTGCAGTGGTGCGATCTCAGCTCACTGCAGCCTCTGCCTCCTGGGTTCAAGCAATTCTCCCACCTCAGCCTCCCAAGTAGCTGGGATTACAGGGGCACACCACCACACCTGGCTAATTTTTGCATAATTTTTTTTAAGTGGAGATGGGGTTTCACTATGTTGGCCAGGCTAGTCTCAAATTCCTGACCTCAGGTGATCCACCTGCCTAGGCCTCCCAAAGTGCTGGGATTACAGGTGTAAGCTACCACACCTGGCCTGGATGATTCTGTTTTGAACTGCAAAATGCACAGGGCTTGAAATTTAGTCAATGAAAAATTATAGACCTAAAATATTGTCAGTGTAAATATATATCACTTCATATAAGTATTAAAAAACCAAGCTGATAAGGATGAAATGACATTAATGGTAATTAATAATTACAAACCCCAAAGAGCAGAAATTAAAGTCCATTGTCAACAAGATGAACTGATAATGCATTAATAATGATTTTTTTTTCTGAATTCCAACTATCTGTGGGTATTTGTGGGTACTCAGCTTTGTATATAATATTGCAAATTGGTGCTTGGTGATCAAGATTTTTACAAGATTAGTCAAGTAGAGTGAGTCTTCAGTAAACTCTAATAGTGCTTATTTTTGATGTGTAAATGAATAGTAAACTTTATTAACTATCATTAACTTAGTAATAATAATGAGCATTTAGTCTCAAGCAAAAAGGATATTTTTTTTTGAAGATGGAGTTTTGCTCGTTGCCCAGTCTGGAGGCATGATGTCCGCTCACTGCAACCTCTGCCTCCCGGGTTCAAGCAATTCTCCTGCCTCAGCCTCCTGAGTAGCTGGGATTACAGGCGCCCACCACCACGCCCAGTTAATTTTTGTATTTTTAGTAGAGACGGGGTTTTGCCATGTTGGCCAGGCTGGTCTCAAACTCCTGACCTCAGGTGATCTACCCACTTTAGCCTCTCAAAGTGCTGGGATTACAGGCGTGAGCCACCGCGCCTGGCCTAAAAAAGGATATTCTTGAATTATATCTCACTGATCTGTAAGCACAGAAAATGATGCATGTGGGGATCAGTGTAAGGTTTTTCAGAGGGTGCCTTATCATTCCTCTGATCATAACTTGAGAAGCACCACTATAATCCCATCGGTGCATCCCTCAGGGATGCAGAAGTGGGAGGATAGTAAAGCTGTGTATAATTTGAAATAGTAAACAATATGTTTTCTTCAATAGGAAAGGAGTGCAGTAATAGTACTGGGAATGGAAATCTGTTTATCTTGCAGCATATAGTACCTTTACTTTATAAAGACAGAAGGAAAAAAGATTAAGAAACTCTGCCTTAGTTAAACGTTAATTTGATCTTGCTTATAGAATACAAATATCCAATAATAATAAAATTCTATTGCTGAGAATAAGCAGCAAATAGAATCAAAATTATTTTAGCAAATAAAAGGTTTATTCTTTGGATATTAGTGTTATCCTAATCTATCATTATTTTATCAGCCTTCTATGAAGGAAACCTTATTATGATTTTAAATTTTAGTTCCTACCACCTTTAGTATCTCTTAGCTCTAATAACTGTTTAAAAAGGCAAAAACAATATGTAAGTTAAGTAAAGTGACTTTAAGTAAATCCATTCATTTGGCAAGCAATATCCTCAGAACAGACACTTTAAGGGCTTAGCTCTAATAACTGTTTAAAAAGGCAAAAACAATATGTAAGTTAAGTAAAGTGACTTTAAGTAAGTCCATTCATTTGGCAAGCAATATCCTCAGAACAGACACTTTAAGGGCACACCCACGTTACCTTTCCGGTCTAAAAGTTATTTCTGATCCAGAAGAGTTACCATTCCATTAAACAAGAAACTGACAGGAAACAGTATAGAAGGAGGTAATATGAGTTTTTAAATGACATAGGTTAAAAACAAAATAAAACAAAACCAACAAGCCAATGTCTGTATCATGGGAAGGACTTCTAAAAACAAGTGAGGTCCACCTAGATACACAGAAGCCAAGCATTTATTATCAATTTACTGCAAGAATCTCATTATATAATCAAGTAAGAACAATGTCACAATTGAATGAGAAATGAAATATTTCAAAAGAATTTGACAGAATGTGCAGGAAAATGAATTTCTGATTAATACTATGACTGCCATTCATGTAACAATTTCATTTCTTTATGGAATTTATATGAAAAGGTATAATATTTCTCACATTCATTTGACATACATAATTGATTTTCATTAAGATAAATGTCCCTCAAACCTGGCAATCTTTTTCCCATTTGGGACTGCTGTGGCATTCTGATTCCACACTGGATATGAAGGTGTGGGATTGACTACTGGCACTGGATGTGGCCAGCCTTTTCCTAGACTGGAGTAAATTAGAAGTTAGACACTTCACAGGCATTCCTGGGTTGGAGGCAACTGTTTCAAGACCTATAGAGAAGAGACAATATTGAATTCCATGTTACAGCTTTCTTAGTTCCTTACTGAACCTGAATCTTTACATATAATTAAGCAAAGTATCAAGAATTACATATTAATATGTATTAAGAATTACATATCAGAACTATTTCTTTGTAAACACTATCTAGTCCACAAGAACAGCTGGCATGCTTCCCATTATGTTTAGATACATATACTATTAATATATCTAAACATATCCCACTATGTTTAGACACAAGTACTGCTATGAAAGTTAGAACCGAACAAAATCCCCTTAACGTTCATTCAGTAAAGAATAAGAACAAGGGAATGGTCGATTGATTGACTAATTCATGGCAGGATCTCCCTCTGTCATCCAGGCTAGAGTGCAGTGGTATGATTACTCTCACTGCAGCCTTGACCTCCTGGGCTCAAGCGATACTCTCATCTCAGCCTCCTGAGTCGTGAGGACCACCAAATCTGGCTAATGCTTTTAATTTTTTCTAGAGATGGGGGTCTCACTATATTGCCCAGGCTGGTCTCAAACTCCTGGGTTCAAGTGATCCTCTCGCCTCAGCCTCCCAAAGTGCTGTACTTACAGGTATGAACCACCAAATTAATGTATAACTAGGAGCAAATCAATTTGGAATAGCTATCATCCAATTTGAACCCATTCCTGACAAAGGAACATTATTGATGTGGTATATCCAGACGTGCTATAAGGTTAGAATATGACTACATTTACTCAATTCAACTTGTATTTAATTTAACACTTGTATTTAATTCAACTTGTATTTATTAACACTGAGGTTTATGCGCTTACAAATGTCAATTATACACACTTACAAGGGATTTTTAAAAAATACTACTGGATAAAGCAAATAAATAATGGTAAATTGCTTGCTTGTTTTGAGACAGTCTCACTGTCACCCAGGCTGGAGTACAGTGGTATGATCTCAGCTCACTGCAGTCTCCGCCTCCTGTGTTCAAGCGATTCTCCTGCCTCAACCTCCTGAGTAGCTGGGATTACAGGTGCCCACCACCACGACCAGCTAATTTTTGTATTTTTAGTAAAGACAGGGTTTTACCATGTTGGCCAGGCTGGTCTCGAACTCCTGACCTTAAGGGATCCGCCCGCCTCGGCTGCCCAAACTGCTGGGTGTCATGTTGGTACTCAAAATGTTTTGAATTTTGGGGCATTTTTTGTTTTTTTGAGGAAGGGTCTCACTCTGTCACCAAGGCTGGAGTGCAATGGCGCTATTAAGGCTCACTGCAGCCTCAACCTCCTGGGCTCAAGCGATCCTCCTGCCTCAGCCTCCAATGTAGCTGGGACCACAAGTGTGCACCAACATGCCCAGCTAATTTTTGTAGAGATGAAGTCTCACTTTGTTGCCCAGGCTGGTCTTGAACTCCTGGGTTGCAGTGAGCCGCCGAGATCGCGCCATTGCACTCCAGCCTGGATGACAGAGTAAGACTCCGTCTCAAAAAGAAAGAAATCCTGCCTCAGCCTCCCAATGTGGTAGTATTACAGGTGTAAGCCTCTGCGCCTGGCCTACCTTTTCTTTTATACTCACATGATTTTAGTAATTTGCTAGAATAAGGCGTAGTGTCCTTTTGATCTACAGACATAGGGCATACGAGTCCTTGAGAAAGCTGTGATGTTTCAGACAGACAGGCTGAAAGGATGTTTGCAGGGTCTTGATTTTTTTCTGCAATTGGTGTGTTCTATTAAAAAGAGAAAAATAAAAACAACAGGTTTACCTTCCCCAAAACACCACCTAAGTACATAGACTGTTATACCACCTAAGTAGACAAACTGTTAAAGTAAATCCAAATGCTTGATATTTAAATCTATTTTGATCTTTTTTTTTAAAGGTGATTTTAAATTTTAAGTGGTGATCATGAAGGGGTATGTCATGTTAATTTTCTTCTCAAGTACTTACAAATCCCAACGAGCTGATAAGCGATAACACTTGTCCTGGGGTTCTTGAATAATCTTGTCTAGGTTTTGCCATTGATGGTGTTGTAAGGATATCCATCATATTAATATCTATGTATGCAAAGAAAAGTATATAAATGTATTTAAAACCTTTACCTCCCATTGACTAAAAATGAATGTTATGTATATGACAACAAAACAATTTTTTGTAAACCAAATGTTAAAAAAGGAGACAGTGGCTGGGCACGGTGGCTCACACCTATAATGCCAGCACCTTGGGAGGCTGAGGCAGATGGATCACTTGAGGTCAGGAGTTCGAGACCAGCCTGGCCAACATGGTGAAACACTGTCTCTACTAAAAATACAAAAAGTAGCTGGTCTTGGTGGTGGGCGCCTGTAATCTCAGGTACTCGGGAGGCTGAGGCAGGAGAATCACTTGAACACGGGAGGCGGAGGTTGCAGTGAGCCGAGATCGCGCTACTGCACTCCGACCAGGGCGACAGAGCAAAACTCTATCTCAAAAACTAAATAAATAAATAAGGAGATGGTATGGAATCAATATTAATTTTAGGCCCCTCACGTTAGCTAATATGTTTAAGCCTAGGTCAAGATAGAAACTGACCCAGATTATTAGCATGTTTCAGTGCATAATATTTTAAAATAATTCAACACTGACACATAATACTATACTATTCCACTTAGATATAAAAAATGGTAAGAGAAGTCTAATGTTCTTATCCAGGCATGGTGGCTCACATCTGTAATCCTAGCACTTTGGGAAGCCAAATGGAGAGGATCCCATGAGCCCAGGAGTTTGAAACCAGCTTGGGCAACATAGTGAGACCTATCTCTACAATTTAAAAACTAGCTGGGCATTGTGGCAAGCACCTGTAGTCCCAGCTACTGGGGAGGCTGAGGTGGGAGAATTGCTTTTCCCAGGAGTTCAAGGCTACAGTAAGCTATGATCACATCACTGCACTCCAGCCTGGGTAATACAGTGAGACCCTGTCTCTTAAACAAACAAAAATAATCCCAGAACTCTAATGTTCTTATAGGACTTTTTAAAATTAGCTGGGTGTGGTGGCTCATGCCTCTAGTCCCAGCTACTCGGAAGGCTGAGGGACAAGAATCGCTTGAGCCTGGGAGGCAGAGGTTGTAGTGAGCCTAGATCATGCCACTGTACTCTGTACTCCAGCCTGGGTGACAGAGCAAGACTCTCTCTCAAAATAAATAAATGAATGAATAGGCTGGGCGCGGTGGTTCACGCCTGTAATCCCAACACTTTGGGAGTCCAGGGCGGGTGGATCACGAGGTCAGGAGATCAAGACCATCCTGGCTAACATGGTGAAACCTCATCTCTACTAAAAATACAAAAAATTAGCCGGGCGTGGTGGTGGGTGCCTGTAGTCCCAGCTACTCAGGAGACTGAGGCAGGAGAATGGCGTGAACCCAGGAGGTAGAGCTTGCAGTGAACTTAGATTGTGCCCCTGCACTCCAGCACTCCAGCCCGGGCAACAAAGCGAGACTCTGTCTCAAAGAAAAAAAAAAAAAACAAATAAGTAAATAAATGAAAGTATACTGAAAGTTTTAACAACAAATGTCATTTATGCCTCACATTGATGAAGTGATAATAATAATACACGTATATGATATTTTACAAAAAAAGTTTTATTAAAATTAGACCCTTATGATAAACAAAGTGACTTAAATTTATCAACAATTTTATCTTAATGCAAAATTTTTGTCATTTGTGATATTTTCCAATAGCTTATCTGAAATCCTTAGAATCAGATTTCGAAATAAGATTTCAAAGTCAGATTTCTTTGAAATCACAATTCAAAAATGTTTAGATTTTAGAAAAGTAATGTGGTAAATATACTGCATATTATGAAATATCCCTAGTGGCAAATCATATGAATAATCACATGAACTGGAATCAACAGACTATAAATACCCCTGGCCAGGCACGGTGGCTCATGCCTGTAATCCTAGCACTTTGGGAGGCCGAGGCGGGTGAACCACCTGAGGTCAGGAGCTCGAGACCAGCCTGGCCAACATGGTGAAACTGTGTCTCTACTAAAAATACAAAAATTAGCTGGGCGTGGTGGCGGGCACCTATAATCCCAGCTACTCAGAAGGCTGAGGCAGGAGAATTGCTTGAACCCGGGAGGTGGATGTTGTAGTGAGCCGAGATCACGCCATTGCACTCCAGCCTGGGCAACAGAGCAAAAACCCCATCCCAAAACAAACAAACAAACAAAAGACTATAAATACCCCTACATCAGCATAGATCAGATTTTACCAAACTTAGTAAAAAGTTTTAGGTATTCATAACTGTTGAACTTTGTACTTCCACATGAAGAATTGTAGATCTGCATATATTTTCAAATATTAATAGTTATAATTCCAGAGTTTTTAAGTCCAATTTCTGGTTATTTTCATTATTAATACTTTCCCATCCGTCTACACTTTCTAATAGAGAATACAATATGTTTCTTTTTTTTTCGAGATGGAGTATCGCTCTGTCCCCCAGGCTAGAGTGCAGTGTCGTGATCTTGGCTCACTGCAACCTCTGCCTCCCAGGTTTAAGCAATTCTCCTGCCTCAGCCTACTAAGTAGCTGGGACTACAGGCGTGTGCCACCACACTCAGCTAATTTTTGTATTTTTAGTAGAGATGGGGTTTCATCAGGTTGGCCAGGCTAGTCTAGAACTCCTGACCTCAACCTCAAGTGATCTACCCGCCTCGGCCTCCCAGAGTGCTGGGATTACAGGCATGAGCCACGGCACCCGGCCAAGAATACAATATGTTTCTAAGTTGATAATCAATCATTTATCCATGTTTCTATGATGAACTTAAGTAATTTCTAGTTTCTCCCTATTAGAAACAATGTTGCTACAAGTGATTTCATTTATGTGTATTTTGTTCATTTGAACAATTTCCTTAGAATAAATTCCAAAGCATAAGCCACTAGATCAAAGAGAATTAAAAACTTTTATATTTAAAAACATATTGGCAGATTTCCTCCAGAAAGCACTATGCTAATTTACAATGCCCCCAGAAAAATATTAGTGTGCTTTTTTGGTAGTATTACTAACTGGACCATCGGTATTCCTTTCTTTTGCCCATTTAATAGTGTAAGATGGTTCATTTACTCTTTCTTATATTAGCATTTATTTAATTACTACTAGTGAAAAGAACACAGTCCCATATATACATATATGTGTTAACTGTGTATTCATTTTCTTTGTCCTTTTGTTGATCAAGGTCTTAGTGGTGGCCGTGTATATTTGAATATGTTTTCAGTTATTAACCCTTCATCATGTTATAGTTATTCTGGTCATTTTACTGATGCTTAATTGGTAAGAATCAATTTCACTTGGGATAAAAGTCAGAAAAACAGAAATTGTGAGTTCCTCTGTGAAGATCAAAGGACCTTCAAGGACCTCTGAATAGCCAAGAATAATCACTCCTATTTTTCATCTTCAGTGGAAAAAAGAACCCGTTATACCTTTCTAGCCTATTCTGGGATAAATAACAAATTTTATTTAGTGTAAACTAACAAAGAAAACAGTGGAAGTTAATGAAATGTAGTCTCTATAATTTGTTAGACTTTTCATTTTTTTTAATTTTTTATATTTATTTTTAGTTGGACTTTTTTTTTTTTGAGAGAGATTTTCACTTTGTTTCCCAGTCTGGAGTGCAATGGCGGGATCTCAGCTCACTGCAACCTCCATCTCCTGGGTTCAAGTGATTCTCCCTGCCTCAGCCTCCTTAGTAGCTGGGATTACAGGCGCATGCCACCACGCCCAGCTAATTTTTGTATTTTTAGTAGAGATGGGGTTTTGCCACGTTAGCTAGGCTGGTCTCTAACTCCTGACCTCAGGTGATCTGCCCGCCTTGGCCTCCCAAAGTGCTGGGATTACAGGTGTGAGCCACCACGCCTGGCCTGTTGGATGTTTTAAAAAAGTACTTACTTGATATTTTTCTTACCTCTATTCAAAGTAACTTTTGAAAGGCCAAAATCCGTCAGTTTAATATGACCCTCATTAGAAATAAGCATATTGTCCGGTTTCAAGTCCCTGCACACACAAAAGGCAAATATTAGATAACCAAAAAAGGGCTAGTTTTAATGTTAGAATTTCCAGAAAAAAAGAGTTACAAAGGAGGCAAACCCTATTTATTTCCTCCAAAATAAAGATACTCATTGATGGCTTTGAAAAGTACAGAAAACATCTCTCAAAAGCAAAACATCTTTCGTACTGTTTATCAGAATCTACAAAAAAGATAAATTAATACTAGATTATCTTTGGTATCATTGGTTAGATATTCCATTAAAATAAAGAAACCTTATTAGATAAAATCAACCTCAAGCCAGTTCAAATTTACATTTACTTTCTTTTTTTTCTTTTCTTTTTTTTTTTGAGATGGAGTTTCACTCTTGTCACCCAGGCTGGAGTGCAATGGCACAATCTCGGCTCACTGCAACCTCCGCCTTCCGGGTTCAAGCAGTTCTCCTGTCTCAGCCTCCCGAGTAGCTGGGATTACAGGCACCCACCACCACACTCGGCTAATTTTTGTATTTTTAGCAGAGACAGGGTTTCACCATGTTGTCCACTCTGGTCTCAAACTCCCGACCTCAGGTGATCCGCCCGCCTCAGCCTCCCAAAGTGCTGGAATTATAGGTATGAGCCACCACACCTGGCCTACATTTACCTTCTTAAAGGAAGGTAAGATTGAGATTTAATAAGTCACTTAATCTGACTTTCTTTGCATAGAGAAAAACATTGTAAATCAGTTGGACTACAAAATATACCACTTTTGTATAATGCAGAGGAGCGGAAAGGATTCAATACTCTTCACATAAAATGCCATACTTAATGGGCCGTGGTAGCTCATGCCTGTAATCGTAGCATTTTGGGAGGCTGAGGTGGGAGGATCCCTTGGGCCCAGGAGTTAAAGAGCAGCCTGGGAACCTTGTCTCTACAAAAAAAAAAAAAAAAAAAAAAAAAAAAAGCCAAGAGTAATGGCACACACCTCTACTCCCAGACACTTGGGAGGCTAAGGCAGGGGGATTGCTTGAGCCCCAGAGGTCGAGGCTGCAGTGAGCCAAGGTCAAGTCACTGCACTGCACAACCTGGATGACAAAGTGAGACCCTGTCTCAACAAAGAAAAAAATAAATAAATATGTAAATACAAAAATAAATAAATACATGCTATACTCATGTTCAAAGCAATATATTTTAAAAAACACAGGGAGATGAAAGAAGAGTTAATTTCTAAATGAATACAAGTTACTAGTAAACTTTAGATAACCTGGAAATAAGTGCAAGTGGTTACTGTGAATATCTGAGACTCAAATATGTAATTTGATTACTTGAATTTTTAAGTAATAATTTGGAGAAGTCAGTCTTTACCTGTGGATGATTCCATGTCTGTGAAGGTAGTCTAGAGCCAGTGCTACTTCAGAAATATATTTCACAGCCATCTCTTCATCAAAATAACCATATATATGTAGGAGAGACTTGACATCTCCCCCAATAAGATATTCCATTACCTTTCAAAAAAGAATTTAATATTGTGAAATAAAAACAATATGATTACTTTAAAAATCTAGTATTTGGGCATTACAGTTACAATATTTGGCATGGCTCTGTAATGAAACGACCTTTTCTTGCTATTACTCGTAATACATTAATACTAGGTTTATTCATGTTGCCATAACAGTTTTTAATTAAAAATTAAACTGTTTAGGCTGGGCACAGTGACTCACGCCTATAATCTCAGCACTTTGGGAGGCCAAGATGGGCAGATCACTTGAGGCCAGGAGTTCGAGACTAGCCTGGCCAACATAGCAAAACCCCGTCCCTACTAAAATTACAAAAAATTAGCTGGGCCTGGTGGCAGCTAATTTATACAAAAAATTAGCTGGGCCTGTAATCTCAGCTACTTGGGAGGTTGAGGCACAAGAATTGCTTGAACCCAGGAGGTGCAGAGTGGCCAAGATTGCACCACTGCAGTCTAGCCTGGGCAACAGAGGGAGACTCTATCTCAGGCTGGGGTGCAATTATGTGCAATGGTATCTCTATTAGCTAGCTGCATACCACCATGCCCAGCTAATTTTTACTTTAATTTTTTTGTAGAGATGGAGTCTCCTTATGTTCCCCAAGTTGGTCTTGAACTCTTGGCCTCAAGTGATCTTTCTGTCTCAGCCTCTCGAAGTGCTTGAATTACAGGTGTGAGCCATGGCCCCTTGGCCTGTCTCTCTATGTACATATACATACACATACACACGCACCGTATGCATATATCTTATTGGTTCTTTTTCTTTGGAGAACTCTAACTAATATAACAGGTAAATTTGCCAAGGCAGTGAGTGCAGCCAGAATTCAAATGCAAGCACTCTGAACCAAAACATGGTTCTCTTAAATCACTAGGTTCAATGACTGCTTAATGGATAAAGAAACAACATAAAAATTATTTACTCACCAAGTAGACATTGTTTGCAGACTGCAGTGAATAATACAAATGGACAATGAATGGGCTTTTGCTTAGTGCCAGTGCATCTCTCTCAGCTTGGACCTGATGAGTCATATTTTTGTTGATCATGTCTGCTTTTTTAACAACCTGTAATAGATAAAATAAAAGTGATATCATGTTATTTTATTTTGAGACAGAGTCTCATTCTCTTGCCCAGGCTGAGTGCAGTGGCATGATCAAAGCTTATTGCAGCCTTGATTTCCTAGGCTCAAGTTATCCTCCCACCTCAGCCTCCCAAGTAGCTGGGACTACTGGCACACATGACTACATCTGGCTACTTTTTAATTTTGTTGTAGAGACAAGGTCTCACTACGTTGCCCAGGCTGGCCCAAAATGAGCCTCAAGCAATACCCCTGTCAAAGTGCTGGGATTACACGTGGAAGCCACAGCTCCCTGCCTTGTTTTTAAATTACAGAGTGATCTCAGGTTTCAAAGTTGCCATCATGAAAACGCTAACAGAGAGAACACATATAGATGTCATGTGGACCTTACACTGCTATCAGGAAAGCACGTACAAAAAATAGTTAAGACGGTTTAAAAAAATCTTCAAGATAGAATTGCTTATCTTGGTATTAAATGGCAGAAGTATCATAATCTCTTTCAAGAAGGAAAAAAAATTAAATATTCCCAGACTGCCCTGCATATTAATAGAAAAAAAATTCTGTTCCACTGTTCTGATAACGAAGTCAAAAGACAGTTACATTCCTCATAAGCCCACAGATAACTAGCACCTGGGCGTGGAGTAACTACTTAATTTTTTTTTTTAACTTCTGATTTTTTGATAGATGGGGATAGAATCAGAAAGAGGAAGAATGTCGGAAGTTTGCCTAGAAAAAAAAAATCTTAAGTTGGAATGATTAGAACTACTGAAATTTAACAGTCCCAAATGCTGTCTTACAGAAAACTAATTACTCTTTTCAAGTTTCAAGGTAATCTGTACAGAAACAGAACTATTAAAGTTGGAGCACTAAGAAAAATTAAAAATACATAAATAAATAAATAAAAATAAAGTTGGAGCACTAAACTGAATAGTCAGTAACACTGGGATCAATTCTCAGGACTGCTATAAGAAAAAAAGGCATATTTCTTTCAAAGATTTATTCGAGTACTTAATAAAATCATTAGTACATGATAAATTCCTGCCTTAACTCCTTTCTTTAAGAAAACTGAGGGAAACTGACAAAGCAAGCTGGTAACATGATTTTTCCTATCATTCCACTGGCTATGAGGGCATGTGTGTTTTGTTCCCCATTGTTGTCCAGTTCGTAGACACAAAGAGGGTGGGTGCTAAGCAAATACTGACTGAACACATGGATTGGTGTTTTCATTTCAACTGATCATGACTAAGTACTGTAGAAGGAAAAGTAAAAATCTCAGGAACATATAAAGTAACCAATTCAATCAGATCTTCCAATTCTGAAAGATTAGGGAAGGTGTGAAGGGGAGCTAAGATGAATCTTAATACATGAATAAGACAGGTGGAGAAGAGCACAAAAGGGTAGAAGAAAAGCACTTAAAAAGGAACCAGCATAAGGCCAGGCACGGTGGCTCACCCCTGTAATCCCAGCACTTTGGGAGGCTGAGGCGGGCAGATCACCTGAGCTCAGGAGTTTGAGACCAGCCTGCCCAAAATGGTGAAACCCCGTCTCTACTAAAAATACAAAAAATTAGCCCGGTGTGGTGGCGGGAATCCCAACTACTCGGGAGGCTGAGGCAGGAGACTCGCTTGAACCCGGGAAGTGGAGGTTGCAGTGAGCTGAGATCACGTCACTGTGAAACTCTATCTCAAAAAAAAAAAAAAAAAAATTCATAGCAGGGCAGGGCGCGGTGGCTCACACCTGTAATCCCAGCACTCTGGGAGGCCGATGTGGGCGGGTCACCTGAGGTCAGGAGCTCCAGACCAGCCTGGCCAACATAACCAAAACAACCTGGCTAAATTCAATCTCGGCTAAAAAAAAAACTACACAAATCAGCCAGGCATGGTGGCGCGCGCCTGTAATCCCAGCTACTCGGGAGGCTGAGACAGGAGAATCGCTTGAACCCAGGAGGCAGAGGCTGCAGGGAGCCGAGACTGCACCACAGCACTCCAGCCTGGGCGACAGAGAAAGACTGTCTTAAAAAAAAATTATTAAAGACTTCTCAGAAAATAGTAATCTTTCTTCTGGTTAAGAATAAAACTTAAAAAGTTATCAGTGCCTACAGATTAATCACTCTTCTGTGGTAGAAAAATTTCGACGATTCTGCACGTCAAAGCAAACAAGGTAAACAAAACCACTAATTACTAAAAACCTTTTGGATTTAGAAACCTAACTCGCCGGGCGCGGTGGCTCACGCCAGTAATCCCAGCACTTTGGGAGGCCGAGGCGGGCGGAATACGAGGTCAGGGAATCGAGACCATCCTGGCTAACACGGTGAAACCCCGTCTCTACTAAAGAAACCCCGTCTCTACTAAAAATACAAAAAATCAGCCGGGCGTGGTGACGGGCGCTTGTAGTCCCAGCTCGTCGGGAGGCCGAGGCAGGGGAATGGCGTGAACCCGGGGGGCGGAGCTTGCAGTGAGTCGAGATTGCGCCACTGCACTCCAGCCTGGGAAACAGAGCAAGACTCCGCCTCAAAAAAAAATAAAAAAGAAACCTAACTCAAGCCAGGGTGAGACTACGAATCACGGCTTTGGCTTTAAGTGCCTGTTGTACTAAGACCGATGTAATCACCTCGGTCAAGTCCCTTTGCCTTTGGCCTCAGTTTCCTCATTTGCTAACGCTGGGCAGGGAGAAGAGAGTCAAACTTTGCTGTTCTCACTGGGCATCTGAGATATGGAGGGAAGGGCGGAACAGAGGCGAGACACCCGACCCGACCGCTGATGTCGCCCCAAAAAGAAGTCAGCTCGCAGGGCTCTGGAGGCTTCAGCAAGCCAGGCCACCCAGACTCCTCGCTCCAGCAACCCCGGGGCCTGCCCAAGCCGGTGGGGCAGGAAGGAGGGCCGAAGGGCCTAACCCCTTCCTTGCTACTCGTTGACTTCCTACCTTTACTGCATACAATTTGCCGCCTTTCTGCCCCAGATACACTTTCCCGAAGGCGCCCCGGCTAATGGGCTTCACTATGCTGAATTCCTCAATGGAGGGCGGTTTTGGCACTGCGATCCTATTCACGCCCTCCTCAGTCGCCGCGCCTCCTCCAGGCTCCTTCTTGCTTCCCGCGGTGGGATCCATCGCTGGACAGCATACAGCGGCCCCGCAGACACTGCCCCTCCGCGAGCAGCCACTCCCGCCAACTGGGTTCAAAGTGAGGCTCCGCCCACGCCGCGCGCGGCCGTGACGTCACCCCGCCGCCGCGCCCCGCCCTCGTCACCTCCCCTACGCAGACGCGGACGGAGGGGGCGTCGGGAAAGCCCCGACTTCGCAGCCTTACACTCTTCGTGGGCGGCGACCGCGGCCCCACTGACATCATTCCTCATGAGGGAGGAGGCACAAACAGTTCTGGGCCGACCAGAAAAAGGACGACTGGGACTTGACTCTGAATCGCAGGATTTGAAGAGATTTCTCCTGGCTTCCCAACGAGGCTGGTGGGAAGCGGTCCTCCTCCCATACACGACCTCCCACCCTCGCGAGGCGTAGAAACCAGTTCTGACTGTACAGTAAAGCGAGGGCCAGGGCTGAGGTCTGGAAGCTAATGAAAGCACAGAAAGTGTCGAAACTGGATGAGCAGGAAGCGAGTGGCCTCCCCTGTCATCTGACGTTTTCCCAGGATGTAATTTGCCTGACTGAAACAGATCAGGACCAACAGGGAGAGTTTTCGATTTAGTGTGAGGAAAAGAGCACTAAATTGTAGCAAAAGACCTTATTGCTCAAGGCCCAGTCAGAAGATTTCATAAGGAAGCTGTAGAAAGTCTTAAGAGGAAATCAGCCGGGCGTGGTGGCGGGCACCTGTAATCCCAGCTACTCGGGAGGCTGAGGCAGGAGAATCGCTTGAACCCGGGGAGCAGAGGTTGCAGTGAGCCGAGATCGCGCCACTGTACGCCAGCCTGGGCGAAAGAACGAAACTCCGTCTCCAAAAAAAAAAAAAACGAAGAAAAAGTCCAAAGAGGGTAAAGGCTGTTCTCCCCTTAAAAAACAGCTAAAGACCTTTGGGGGCGCTGCTCCTTGTAAATGTCAACTACTTCCGCGGGAAAGAACGCGCAGGCACTTGGCCTTGTGGGCGCTCACTTGCCCCGGAAGTACTGTTGAGTTAGCGCCTCGCCTTCCGGGGCGGATTGTCTGTCGTTGCAGTAGCTGTAGGAAGGGGAGGCCATTTTCCGTTTCTGGGAGGAGTGAGGGGCAACGGGTCGGAGAAAAAGGAAAAAAGAAGGGCTCAGCGCCTCCCCGCCGGGCCGTGGACAGAGGGGCACAGTTTCGGCAGGCGGGTGAGGTCGCTGAGGGCCCGCCGGAGATGTTTTCCTTGTCGAGCACGGTGCAACCCCAGGTAAGCCAGGCATTCAGCCCATTTTTTTTCCTCCCGCCCTGCCCGTGGCTGTTTGCAAATTGCGCTCGTGGAAGCGATTTCTCAGAAGGGACTCTAGAAATGAAGTGATGTACTCAATGCGAATCCCAGGATTGAGGAGTGGATCAGGGGACGACGCTGAGAGTGGGCCGGAGACTTCAGTGCTGACGATGAAGCTGTTGAGGGCAGAGGCGGGATGTGAGCTCAGTGATAGAGAGAGACCCTGGCTTATCGAACTGATTGCGTGGAATTTCTGCTAGAGAATCCGTCCGGCATTGTTCAGTGTCCGGCGTTCTGGGGTGGGAAAATGTCTGTACCATACATTAAAGGGAGCAGGTAATGTTCCCTTTTTTCCGACTTTCCAGTGGCTTTAGTGTTCACAGCCCCTATCCCCTGCTCTTTATTTCCTTTTAAATGGAATTTAAATTTAACCCAAACATGGTATAATATTTCGGATGGCCAGCCATGCAAGTTTTTTTCTCATTTTGACCAGAAGTAACTAAAATGTGTATTTCCGAGTCGTAAACTGTTTGCAGTTAAAATTTTGATTCAGCCTCATCCTCATCGTTTTGTAAAACAAAAGGTAGTGAAGAGAAAAATGATTTCAAGGGTTTTCATTACGCTCTTGGGCAATCACTTGTGACAATGTTTTATTCTTGCTTCATTCCAGTCTCTTTTTTTGATGGTAACATTTTAATAGATTTTTTGAGAGTTCCTACAGTTTTGCAAAGAAATAGTTTTTAAAACATTGAGTTTTTTTAAAACATAATTTTTAAGAAAATCGACACTCTTAGGTTCTTGATTTAAGCATATGATTGTGTTCCTTTGTGTAACTTTTACTCCCCCTCATTTTAAGAATTTTTAATTTTTTGTGCTAGTACTGGCTAACAAACTGAAGCAGCTGCTTGTTATTGGGCATCAGTTATGTACCAGGTGAGCAAAGCAAATGTGGAATCTTCTCTTAATATTGATATGAAGTAAATATGAGTAGGACTTAGCAAGGTGAAGAGTGAACAGGTATCACAGGCATACAGAAAAATACCTGGAGGTCCTGAGTTAGGAAAGGGTTTAGCAGGTTGAAGGAACAAAAATAAGGCTAGTGTGGCTAGAACATAGTAGTTAAAGGGGGTAGTGACAGAAGAGGTTGGAGAAAAGACTTGAGGCAGATCATACAGGGAGTAAAGGATATATTATGGCTGATTTCATTTTAAGTGTATTGGGAACCATTGAAAGTTTTAAAACATGATTAGATTTTCATTTTTAAGAGATGACTGGCTTTTGCTATATGGAGAATAGGAGAGGGCAAGAGTGGAAGATGTTATCAGCTAAAAATACCCACCCACCCCCCAATTAAAGCTGTTGCAGTGGTTATGGAAAGAAGAGAATGAGATATATTTTGAAGAAAGTGGAATTGCATGAGAGATCAGAGAGATGATGGGGAGAGGTGTTTCTGGGTTTGATCAGATGAATGCATTGAAGGTGCTATTTACCAAGATGACAGTGTCTGGAGAAGTCCTAGTAATTGTTTGAAAAAGAAGTCTGACATGGCCTATTGAATATGGTATTGAAGTTTTTGAAACTCAACTCTTTGCCTTAGTTCACATCAAGAGGCCTGATTTTAGGAGAATTTACCATCAACTGAATGGACAGTTAGTAGTATGTGATGTTGGTAGAGATGATAAAGGGATTTTTATGTACCCTAGGCAGTCTTAACAGGGCTCAAATATAGTGAGGACTCTCAGGCATTTCTTGCTTTGAAGGATGGTAACACATTTGGAATTCCTTGTTGCTTAATTGGTTGAATACACTTGAAATTAAATGGTAAAAAGGAAGACACAGAAAATGAACTTTTTCATTGAGAAGAGCTCAACTCTAAATCCTTTTGTGAAAGAAAAGAGATATAACTAATTCAAATAAAAGAGATATAACTAATTCAAATAAATCTTTTCAAAGAGGTAGAAAATATGTATCTTGAAATGATTTGATTATTTTTAAAGTTTCAAAAGAAGTTACTGTTTATTTTTTTTTCTTTTTACTGCCCCCAGGCTGTAAGGAACTTACTGTTTCTTTCTGACTCTAAAAATGATACATTGCTTCACTTGACTAGCCTTAAAACAAATCCATGTTTTTTTGCTAAAAATGCTGAAAGTATAAATAAGATCGCCCATAATCTCATTACTCAGGGATACGTATCTTAGACTAAATTCTTTCACACATTTTTTTCTATAAACAAACACGGGTATGCATACTTTTTTTTATTTTAATTTTTTTTTTTTTTTAAGATGGAGTCTCGCTCTGTCGCCCAGGCTGGAGTGCAGTGGCGCGATCTCCGCTCACTGCAAGCTCCGCCTCCCAGGTTCACGCCATTCTCCTGCCTCAGCCTCCCAAGTAGCTGGGACCACAGGCGCCCGCCACCACGCCCGGCTAATTTTTTGTATTTTTAGTAGAGATGGGGTTTCACCGTGTTAGCCAGGATGGTCTCCATCCCCTGACCTTGTGATCCGTCCGCCTCGGCCTCCCAGAGTGCTGGGATTACAGGCGTGAGCCACCGCGCCCCCACGGGTATGCATACTTAAGGTAGTTTTACGGTCAGCTTTATTCCTTAGTATGTCACGAATTTATTTGTGTATCAATATCCATGGGATGAGAAGTCTGGAATTTTGAGTCAGATTCTAAATCTTTGTTGTCTTCATCTATTAAATGGTCTGTACCCACAATAATGGCGTTAGTCCATTGATGAGGGCAGAGCCCTCCTGAACTAAATGCCTCTTAAAGGTCCCACCTCTTAACAGGATTACAGTGGCAACTAAGTTTGCCATTGTTCTCAACTCAAACTTGAGTTTTGAAGGAGATAAACACTGGAATTTTTACTGGAAGTGGGCCCTGATCCAGACCCCAAGAGAGGGTTGTTGGATCTCGCACAAGAATTCGAGAGAGTCGCCAGGCGCGGGGACTCACGCATGTAATCCCAGCACTTTGGGAGGCAGAGGCGAGCGGATCACGAGGTCAGGAGATCAAGATCCTGGCTAACATGGTGAAACTCCATCTCTACTAAAAATACAAAAAAATAGCTGGGTGTGGTGGCCTGCGCCTGTAGTCCCAGCTACTCGGGAGGCTGAGGCAGGAGAATCACTCGAACCCAGGAGGCGGTGGTTGCAGTGAGCCGAGATTGCATCACTGCACTCCAGTCTGGGCGACAAAGCGAGATTCCATCTCAAAAAAAAAAAAAAAAAAAAAAAGGCGAGAGAGTCTATAAAGTGAAAGCAAGTTTATTAAGAAGGTAAAGGAGTAAAGAATGGGGTACTCCATAGGCAGAGGAGCTGCTTGGGCTTGTCCACGAAGGATACCTACAGTTAGTTATTTCTTGATTTTATGCTAAACAATGTGTGATTATTCATAAGTTTTCAGGGAAAGGGGGACCCCTAAGGTTCCTCCCCTTTTTAGACCACATAGGGTAACTTCTTGATGTTGCCATGGCATTTTTAAACTGTCATGGTCTGGTGGGAGTGTCTTTTAGCATGCTAATGCATTATAATTAGCACATAATGAGCAGTGAGGACTAGCAGAAGTCACTCTCCTCTCCATCTTAGTTTTGGTGGGATTTGGCTGGCTTCCTTACTACAACCTGTTTTATCATCACGGTCTTTATGACCTGTATCTTGTGCCCACACCCTATCTCATCCTGTAACTTAGAATGCCTAACCTCCTGGGAATGCAACCCAGTAGGTCTCAGCCTCATTTACCCTCATTTTGCCCCTACTCCAGATGGAGTCACTCTGGTTCAAAAGTCTCTGACAGAACTGTAACAAGAAGTATAATTGTTACTCATTATTATAGCTGTTTGAGGATTAAATGGGATGATAGAAGTAAAGCCTGTAGTACTAAACCTGGTATATAATAAGAACCCATTTAATGTATTCATTTACTCAACAAATATTTATTAAGTAAATTTTTTTTTTTCTTGAGACAGGGTCTTGCCATGTCATTCAGGCTGGAGTGTGGTGGCATGATAGCTCACTGCAGCTTCAACTTCCTGGGCTCAAGTGTTTTTTTTGTTTTCATTTTTATTTATTTATTTATTTTGAGATGGAGTTTTGCTCTTGTCACCCAGGCTGGAATGCAATGGCATGATCTTGGCTCACTGCAACCTCCGCCTCCCAGGTTCGAGTGATTCTCCTGCCTCTGCCTCCCAAGTATCTGGGATTACAGGCGCCCAACACCATTCCTGGCCAATTTTTTTGTATTTTTAGTGGCGATGGGATTTCACCACGTTGGCCAGGCTGGTCTCGAACTCCTGACCTCAGGTATCTACCTGCCTTGGCCTCCCAAAGTGCTGGGATTACAGGCATGAGCCACCATTCCCGGCCTACTTACTATTTTTTTTTTTTTAAATGTTGGATGTATTTCATTCTGTGGTAGTTTCTTTTTTTTTTTTTTTTTTTTTTTTTGAGAGACAGGTCTCACCCTGTTGCCCTGGCTAGAGTGCAGTGGCATGATCACAGCTCACTGCAACTTCCGCCTCCTGAGATCAAGCAATTCTTCTACCACAGCCTCCCAAGTAGCTGAGACTACAGGCGCACACCATCACACCCATCTAATTGTTGTATTTTTTGGTAGAGATGGGGTTTCACTGTGTTGGTCAGGCTGGTCTTGAACTCCTGACCTCAAGTGATCCACCCACCTCGGTCTCCCAAAGTGCTGGGGTTACAGGCGTGAGCCACTGCACTCGACCAGTGGTATCATTTGTTTTGCCGCTCCCCTAATGCTGGATGTTTCCAGCTTTCTACTATTTTTTAAATGTTTCGATGAGAGTTGTTCTCTATGCATGTGCAAGTACTTGTCAGATTATTTCCTTATAATAAATTCCTAGAAGGTGGATTGCTACAAACAAGAAATGTATGTATTTTTGATACTTTTGATTTACATATTCAGAATAATATCCTGAAAGAACATACCAGTTTTCGTCTCACCAGCAGTAAATCTGAGTACTTACAGTTTTTAGTATACAGAGTTGATATATAATGTACCTTTAACTCTTAACAAATCCTGACAAAAAAAGGAGATTGTTCTGTTTATTTAAAAAAAAACTACTTAGTTTTTAACTTTTATCTTTTTCTAGGTTACAGTTCCTCTGAGTCATCTCATCAATGCCTTCCATACACCAAAAAACACTTCTGTTTCTCTCAGTGGAGTGTCAGTTTCTCAAAACCAGCATCGAGATGTAGTTCCTGAGCATGAGGCTCCCAGCAGTGAGGTAAGTCTTTATCCTGGTTGTGTGAGAAAGCCTTTTTGATATACAGTTGACCCTTAAACAAATGAAGGATTAAGGATATTGTCCCTCCCCCGTAGTCAAAAATTTGAGTATAATTTTTGACTCCTGAGAAACTTAACTACTAATACCCTACTATTGACCAGGAAGCCTTACCGATAAAATAAAGGGTCCATTAACATATATTTTGTATATTTTATGTATTGTGTACTGTATTCTTACAATAAAGTAAGATGGAGAAAATGTTATTAAGAAAATCATAAGGAAGAGAAAACATATTTACCATTCATTAAGTAGAAGTGGACCATCATAAAGATCTTCATTATCTTCAAGTTGAGTGGGCTGAGGAGGAAGAGGAGGGGTTGGTTTTTCTGTCTCTGGTGGCAGAGACCGGAGAAAGTCCACGTATCTGTGGATCTGTGCAGCTTTAATCTGTGTTGTTCAAGGATCACCTGAGGTCAGGAGTTCAAGACTAGCCTGACCAATATGGTGAAATCCCATCTCTACTAGAAATACAAAAATTAGCCGGGTGTGGTGGCGTGCGCCTGTAGTCCCAGCTACTCAGGAGGCTGAGACAAGAGAATAGCTTGAGCCTAGGAGGCAGAGGTCGCTGTGAGCCAAGATCGCACCACTGCACTCCAGCCTGGGTGACAACAAGACTCTGTCTCAAAAATAAATAAATAAATAAATATAAAAATGTAATCTCATTTTTTGGTTTAATCTAAAAAAAAACACCTGTTTTTACAGGGAAGTGGAATAGGTAGGGATTTAAGAAGTAAATAAAACTCTTAAAAAAATAAAGGACCAGCAGATTTAGGGAGCAGCTCATACTTCTAGGGCTGAGATAGAGTCAGGAAGAGTTCTCCATCCCCAGGGCTGAGATCCTGACATTGTTGGCGAAGGCATGGCCTTGGCTCACTGAATGGTAGAAAAGTTGCTGTGATGTCATGCCAGGGTAACGTGCTAGAAATCTGGGAAGTCTGCCCTCTAGGATACTGGGAAAAGCTGTTCCTGGGGATGTGTCCTACTAGAGAAGCTGTTACACGAGTGGTGCCAGGGGAAGCTGCTAGGTCCTGCTGGCCATTGTGCACGCCAGGAGCCAGGGTTTGGTGAAACTGCACAATTGACAGGAGCCAGATGCTATAGAAACCACGGGTGTTACAGACAGGAACTTGCTAAATGAGCATACCACAACCAGGAATCAAAACCTCTCTTCCTACAGTGTATGTTCAGTGACTTCCTGACGAAGCTTAACATTGTTTCAATTGGCAAAGGAAAAATATTCGAAGGGTACAGATCCATGTTCATGGAGCCAGCAAAAAGGATGAAGAAGAGCTTGGACACAACCGATAACTGGCACATCCGTCCAGAACCCTTCTCCCTCTCAATCCCTGTACACTGCGGGTTTCTCCAAATGCCTATTGTCTATGATTTGTTTTGTCCATCGTTCTTAGTCACGGCTTAGTTCAGGTTCTTGCCATCTTTCACTTGTTCCATCAGCCTTCTCTCTCATCCAGTCTAGTTTCTTTGTTTGTTTGTTTTATCATTTTTAAATTTTTTGTAAAGACAGGGTCTTGCTTTCTTCACCAGGCTGATCTCGAACTCCTGGCCTGAAGCAGTCCTCCCACCTCAGCCTCTCAAAAGTGTTGGGATTACAGGCTCGAGCCACCATGCTAGGCCAGTCTATCTTCCTTAGTTCTCCATTTTCTTCTATAAGACAGAACTAATCATGTTACTTAGAGAATTAAATTCAAACATGGCTCTTCACAGTTTGGCCATAACCTATCTCTTTAATTTTTTCTTTCCTTGAATTTTTTGAGATATTCCAGACCCTTGGATGGCTTTTTGTTTGCCCCCGTCCCTAAGCCGCCTTGATCATTTTTAATAGCTTAAAAAGTACTTTTAAGTATTTTATTTCATCATGCCTTTAACTGTCTTTTACTATGTGCTGTCATGTTGTATGCTAGGATACGTAGATGAGTAAGGCATGATCTCTGCCTTTGATCCTTACTATTAGGAAATAAGGTGTATTTTATAGTTATGTTAGTATTGAGAAAATGAATTCTAAGAATATGAGTTATAGCTAATTTAAAAAGTACCGTATTCCCAGACATCAGTCCAGAGCTATATAATCCGTGTCCATGCCTCTTTTAAAAAAAACTTTATTTTTAGAGACAGGGTCTCCCCTTTGTAGCCCAGGCTGAAGTGCAGTGATGCTGTCATAGCTCACTGCAACCTCCAGCTCCTGGGCTCAAACATTTCTCCTGAGTAGCTGGTGCTGCGGGTGCATACCACCATGCCCAGCTAATTTTTAAATTTTTCATCAAGATGATGTCTTACCATGTTGCTCAGGCTGGTCTCAAACTCCTGGCCTCAAACGATCTTCCCACCTTAGCTGTTTTGGGTTTGAGTAACATGTAATTGTTACTTGCCTTTAAGTGCCTCTCTTTCAGCTCATGTGGACAAGAAAATAATCCCTATCCTGTTGTTTAAAAGTGGGTATACACACATTTTTGTGATTTTTAGACTTTTTTGCCTGATTTTCACACAGTTTTGACTTTAATTTTCTTCTTTATTAGAAGATATGGGTAACTTTAGAACCTCTGAGTTCAAGGAAGGATCTAAGCAATGAGGCCAGAGGAGTGAGATGTCCTATGGTAACCAAGCATACCATTTCTTTGTCAAGTGGGCTTTTGTTTATGGCTGCTTAGGGGCTTAAAAGCTCCATGGACTGGTGAGGATTATCATTTGAATGGAATTTCCCCAATTCAAGAACCTTACTATTATCCTCCAATCAGTTCTACACTGTTGGGGAAAATCCCCTGGACCTTATATAACATACTTTGTAACCCTGCAGTTAGTTACTCTTACACTCTTGTCATTATAAATGCTTGATCAATAGTTGATAGACTAGCTCTTGATCAGAGTACCCTTGTATGGAGAGAAGGAAAAAATGCCATACATTTCACTTGATTCTGTGAACCATAATGCTTAGGACAGTAGTGGTTTGGGTTTGATTTAAAAAAAAAAAAAGTTTTTCTCATTCATGCTGAAATGTCATCTCTTTATTTAAGGATACCATTAGGAATATAATTTTTTAACCTATGTCAAACCTCATATGACTGATCTCAGTAAAACGAACTGTGAAAATATTTGCATCAATTTATTTTTAAATATTAAAAAAAGGAAATATATTTGTTAGACTTTTAAAATCTGATTGTTTTAACTGATAATATGTACTCCTTAGGTTAAATATCTTGATAATATTAATGCATACCTGGTTGACCCAATCTTTTACAGCCTTCACTTAACTTAAGGGACCTTGGATTATCTGAACTAAAAATTGGACAGATTGATCAGCTGGTAGAAAATCTACTTCCTGGATTTTGTAAAGGCAAAAACATTTCTTCCCATTGGCATACATCCCATGTCTCTGCACAATCCTTCTTTGAAAATAAATATGGTATGTTAATGTGTTTTTTGTTCCAATTAAATATTTTAGCACTATTAATAATTATAGATACCATTTCTTAGCTTTCACAGTAGCGTTTATTGTGGGCTGGGTTCTTTCCTGAAGTGTTTTTTTTTTGTTTTTTTTTTTGCAATTTTTCATATTGAAATAGTACCAGATTTACAGGAAAGTTGCAAAGATAGTACAGAATTTTGCTTCCACTAATTTTGGCATCTTACATAATCATGTTACATTTGTTAAAACTAGGAAATTAACATTGGTACAATAATTTTTTTTTTGAGACGGAGTCTCCTTCTGTCAGCCAGGCTGGAGTGCAGTGGCACAATCTCCGCTCACTGCAAGCTCCGCCTCCCGGGTTCACACCATTCTCTTGCCTCGGCCTCCCAAGTAGCTGGGACTACAGGCGCCCGCCACCACGCCCGGCTAATTTTTTGTATTTTTAGTAGAGATGGGGTTTCACCGTGTTAGCCAGGATGATCTTGATCTCCTGACCTCGTGATCCACCCTCCTCAGCCTCCCAAAGTGCTGGGATTATAGGCGTGAGCCACCGTGCAGGCCTAACATTGGTACCTTATTTTTAACTAAACTACAGACTATTTGAATTTCAACAAAATTTGTTTTCACCAAATCACTAGTTCTCTGCAAGTGTCCTTTTTCTTTTCCAGGATCTGATCCAGCATACCACATTGCATTTAGCAGAATGGGGGGGCGTTGTTTGTTTTAATTTTAGGTGACACACATTTAATTCCAGGAAACATACTTAATCTTTGAGAATACATTGATTAAAAAAACAGTTGTTATCCCTTTTGTGGAATGTCTACATTTTTTTTTACTTGAATCTCATAACAGTATGGTAGTATAATAAGTGGGTTCATACTAGTCTGAAAAGGGATGTCAACTTTATGAGTTTTTCTTTGGATGGCACTTAAACAGGCCATAAAAATCCAGGAACAAAATAGCAGGTTTGACTAGTTTATAATGAAGGTTTGATTTGAAGCTGTCCTTTGCATAAACTTAATTCATTAATTCTTGACCCTTCCTTTGCCTTTATTTCAGTGTAAGGGCATAAAAAACCGTAAGTGTGAGGAAAAAATGAAATGGTTTTGAGCTTGGGGGCTTAGACTAAAAGTTTGCCTCTGCCTAAAGTTGCCTTCTTATAAAATATTTGGCCCATACCAAGTGTTCAATAGAATAAAATTCTTTTTGTTACTATGTTATTATGATTATTCCTACTGCTCTTCTAGTCTGCATATTTACATTTACTCTTAAGATTGTTCCTCATACCACCAGCTGCTTGCTAGGTTTAGGCAGGCAGAGGTATTAGGAAGAGATTTTTTGACTGGATGCTAAGGGACCTTGAAAAAAGTCCCTAAATTCTAACTGAGACACACAAATAGATGATAGCCACTGTTTGTTTCTGCTGTTGCTGCTGATGATCTTTTCCCTAGGATCTTGGATATAAAATAGGATGAGACACACTAGTCAAGAGAAGCAGTTAGGAAGGATCAGTGAAGTATTCATGGCTTGACCTTTCTTTTTACCCAATGACTAGGGAAGCTTTATGAGGGAAAGATAATAGTAGCTATGATTCACAGTGTTTTATTATACCATTAGAGCTTTTGAAATTGTCTCTAAGAAACAGCAGTTCTTTATCTCTTTATGTTCTTAACTAAAAGTAATTTTAGCCTAAACACAGTACATCTTTTTTTTTTTTTTTTTAAAGAGACGAGTCTTGCTGTGTTGCCCAGGCTGGAGTGCAGTGGGGCAATCTCGGCTCACTGTAAGCTCTGCCTTCCCAGTTCACGCCATTCTCCTGCCTCAGCCTCCCGAGCAGCTGGGACTACACGCATCCGCCACCACGCCCGGCTAATTTTTGTATTTTTAGTAGAGACGAGGTTTCACCATGTTAGCCAGGATGGTCTGTATCTCCTGACCTCGTGATCCGCCCGCCTCAGCCTCCCAAAGTGCTGGGATTACAGGCGTGAGGCACCGCGCCTGGCCTTAAACACAGTACATCTTTTATCACTGGTTTTGTTTTGTTTTGTTTTTGAGACTGAGTTTCACTCTTGTTGCCCAGGCGGGAGTGCAATGGCGCGATCTCAGCTCACCACAACTTCTCCCTCCCGGGTTCAAGTGATTCTCCTGCCTCAGCCTCCTGAGTAGCTGAGATTACAGGCATGTGCCACCACACCCGGCTAATTTTGTATTTTTAGTAGAGACGGGGTTTCTCCATGTTGCTCAGGCTGCTCTCAAACTCCCAACCTCAGGTTATCCACCCACCTCTGCCTCCCAAAGTGCTGGAATTACAGGCGTGAGCCACCACACCAGGCCATTTTTATCACTGTTTATTTGAATTTAGTTTCATTAGCTACATTTGTATGCCAGATAAAAAAGATAATGTAGGCTGGGCACAGTGGCTCACGCCTGTAATCCCAGCACTTTGGGAGGCCGAGGTGGGCAGATCAGGAGGTCAGGAGATCAAGACCACATCCTGGCTAACACAGTGAAACCCCGTCTCTACTAAAAATACAAAAAATTAGCCGGGCATGGTGGCGGGCGCCTGTAGTCCCAGCTACTTGGGAGGCCGAGGCAGGAGAATGGCGTGAACCTGGGAGGCAGAGCTTGCGGTGAGCCGAGGTCGTGCCACTGCACTCCAGCCTGGGCGACAGAGCGGGACTCCGTCTCAAAAAAACAATAAATAAATAAAAATAATGTAACCAACAAGTGATAGCTAGTAAATGGAAGAACTGTGAGATGTAGTTAAATTAGCGATGCTTTAGATACTTTCATAAAAGCAGTCATATCATGGATAAATAAAAGTTGAAACTCATATTGTGATTTCCCTAATATTTGATAGAATTATTTATATTTCATAGGATTTTTGTTTTTTGGTTTGGAAATTAGAAAATTTACTTTTTGCAATTTCCCTCCAGGTAACTTAGATATATTTAGTACATTACGTTCCTCTTGCTTGTATCGACATCATTCAAGAGCTCTTCAAAGCATTTGTTCAGATCTTCAGTACTGGCCAGGTATGAAGCAACAACCATAAATTGTGGAAAAAAAAATATTTATTTACTATAGTCTGATTTGTCTTTCTTAATGGTATTAATTCTAAACATTCATTTGCAATTCACAGGACCTAAAGAGTATTTGGAATTAATGAGTTTGGGTACTTCTGTATAATTTTTAATCTGGAAAATATATAGGAGCTAAATTTTGAGCGTGATAGTGCCACAATAAATCAAACTCCAGGGAACTTATCTACGCTTGTTTCAAGATAAATGACTAACCACATTTGCTTACTCATCCTCACTTTCAAAAGCCCATTGAAATTAATTTTATATATATATATATGAGAAAAAAAGAGCAACAACAGAAGCGTTCCGTTAACGGACGAGAAATTTGAGGGCTTTCAGTAAGTTGTAAAATAAGTGACATCAAATTGACAGTAAAATCAAATTTGCATTTATTCATATAATTTTTGAATACAAGGCACTAGTGATAGATGTCAGGTGATAGTGATCACTGTAAATGAAAAAGACATGTTTTCTACCTTCATGGGACTAATGGTGTCATGAAAGAGGTGAGTACTTCTGTTTCCAGTAGTAGAACTCAGGAAAAACCCCACTTCCAGAGCCAGTAAAATTGGGCACTGGGATGGGATGGAATAAACAGTTGAAGATTGCCAGAAATGGGCCAATCACAGTGCAGATATGGCCTTTAACCTTTAGATAAATTAGCAAAAAACACCTTTCTAATAAGACGTCTGTGTGTGTGTGTGTGTGTGTGTGTGTGTGTGTGTGTGTGTGTGTGTCGAGGGACATCTGTCTGTGGAGACTCCTGGTTTGAGCATTGATGCCAAGGAAAGAAAGAAGCTAGCACCCCAGATTACTTTGGTTTTGAATTACACATTCGCTAAAGTATTCTGCTCATTTAGCATAGTCCATGTTTTATATTCTAAGTATATTTACTTTTGCTAGTGTTGAGGATACCCATTTGTAGTCAATACTGATGACTGTATTTGTTTTGTTTTGTTTTGTTTTTGAGATGGAGTTTTCCTCTTGTGACCCAGGCTGGAGTGCAGTGGCACTTCCTGGGTTCAAGCAATTCTCCTGCCTCAGCCTCCTGAGGAGCTGGGATTACAGGTTCCCACCACCAGGCCCAGCTAATTTTTGTATTTTTAGTAGAGACGGGGTTTCACCATGTTGGCCGGGCTGGTCTCAGAACTCCTGACCTTAGGTGATCCGCCTGCCTTGGCCTTCTAAAGTGTTGGGATGACAGCATGAGCCACGGTGCCAGGCCCTGATCACTGTATTCTTATTTATAAATACAAATGGATTACCAAGAATCCACATATTTGAGGAAAACTTAAAGCATAAAAGAGAGGCACCAATTTCAGCAAAGAGACTAATAACCCTCTAAAGAAATAGTTAATGCAGAAGACAGAAGAAGACAGCTGATACGTTTTTAGCTATTGTTGGAAGATGTATAAAAACTGAGCGTGTGTTACCTAGGGTATGAAAACTATCTTAATAAATTTTCCTAATGTTGTAACTCTGAGGTTAGATTCTCTCAATGTCAGAAAATAAAGATAAAAATCCAGTAACAGAAAAGACAGCTTAAAAAAATACCTAAATACGGCCAGGCACAGTGGCTTATGCCTGTAATCCCAGCACTTTGGTAGGCCGAGGAGGGTGGATCACAAGGTCAGAAGTTCAAGACCAGCCTGGCCAACATAGTGAAACCCCATCTCTACTAAAAATACAAAAATTAGCCAGGCATGGTGGCGTGTGCCTGTAATCCCAGCTACTTGGGAGGCTGAGGCAGGAGAATCACTTGAACCCAGGAGGCGGAGGTTGCAGTGAGCCGAGACCGCGCCACTGAACTCCAGCCTGGCAACAGAGCGAGACTCCGTCTCAAAAAACAAAAAAGACAAAAAAAACCTAAATACTTGAAATTTTTAAAACCCTTTTCTAAATGTCTCACGACTGAATGGAAATAAAACCGGGATTACAGACACTCAGTAATGAACCACAGTGAAAATCTGTATATCAGACTCTTGGTGAGGACAAAATGACATTGAGGGCGTTATATAATTTACTGAGAAATCAGGCTGGATGCAGTGGCTTATGCCTGTAATCCCAGCACTTTGGGAGGCTGAGTCAGGTGGATCACCTGAGGTCGGGAGTTCAAGACCAGCATGGCCAACATGGTAAAACCCCGTTCTCCACTAAAAAAGAAATACAAAATTAGCCAGGTGTGGTGGCACATGCCTGTAATCTCAGCTACTCGGGAGGCTGAGGCAGGATAATCGCTTGAACCTGGGAGATGGAAGTTTCAGTGAGCCAAGATGGCACCTCCATCCTGGGCAACAGAGCAAGACTTTGTCTCAAAAAGAAAAAAAAATTTAAGATATAAAGATAGAAAATAAATTGAATTTCTGAAAAATAATAGAAGAAATTAATACACACAAAGCAAACATTTTAAAATAATAGGTGGAAATAGTTTTAATTAAACCAAAAACAAATTTAGTATAAAAAAAGGAACAATTTAACAATTCTGATTAAGAAACAACAGGAAAATACAGACAGTATTAGAAGTATGAGTGGGAATTGCCATGGATATGTGAAGGTTTTAAAATTGCAAGGTAGTATGTGTAACTTTATGTCAAAAATAAAAATATGTTGAAATGGACAATTGTCTAAGCAATTAATTAACAAAGTTAACCCAAGAAGAGATAGGATAATAACCATGAAGTTTAAAAGACAGTATTTTAAAAATATTGTCCCTTTGCCCCAGAGGCACTAGGTTCAGATAATTTTTATGGCTGCATTCTTCTAGAATCTTGAGTTTCTTTTTAATTTAAAACCTTATTAAAAAGAAAAAGATAGAGTTCCCTATTTATTCCATGAGATTGCTGTTAGTAAAACTTTTTAGTATTAGCATAAGGCCAGGCACTGTGGATCACACCTGTAATCCCAACACTTTGGGATGATCGCTTGAAGCCAGGAGTTCAAAACAAGCCCAGACATCATCTCAACAACAGCAACAAAAATTAGCCCGTCGTGGTATCATGCCCCTGTAGTTCTGGATACTTGGGAGGCTGAGGTGAAAGGTTTGCTTGAGCCCAAAGTTCAAGGTTACAGTGAGCTATGATCATGCCACCGTACTTCAGCTTGAGTGACAGCAAGATCCTATCTAAAAAATATATATATGTATATATGTATGTATCTGTGTCTGAATGTATATACACACGCAAGCACGACAGAGGAACAAAATAGATGTGTTTCACTTAACAGAAATCCTAAATAAAATCTGAAGAAAGCAAATCTAGAAATGTGCTAAAAATATTATATCATGATTAAGGAATACAAAAGTGATTTAAGATTATTAGTAAGTCAATTTATCATATTGATTAGAAAAGAAAAATATCATTATTTCAATGTATGATAAAAAGACATGATATATTTTAATTGCTGTGCTTCCTGAAAACTCTTAGAAAGTTAGAAATGGAAGGAAACTTAAAATTTATTAAACATCTATTATGTTCCTGTTAATTTGAGAAACATGGAGTATCCTGGTTTTTTTTTCAGCATTAATTTGGAGATTCTGAACAATATGATTTAAAAGAAAACGAAATGAGCCATATGTAAGTCAAAAGAAGGAGTAAAATTATAATTTGCAGGTGATAACGATTGTTTACCAGAAAATTCAAGAAAATCATCCAAAAGGCTGTTGAAATAAAGAGTTCACTGCATTGTCCATACCAGATAAATGCATAAAAATCAATAGCTTTCTTATATTCTAGCGGCAGGTTTTATTTACAATTTCTTTAAAACCCAGTAAATGTTTTATCCTGACAGGAAATATACAACATAGATATATACACACATACACACGTGTGTGTATGAAGCTTTACTGAAGGAAATGAAAGAGGAACTGAGTGAAATAAAATAAGGCCATAATCCTATTTGGAAGAACTAGGTATTACAACAGTATCAATTTACACCCAAATTTGTAAAGTCAATACAACCCCAATCAAAACTCTAATGACCCACTTGGGAAATCGAGAAGTTGATTTTAAACTTAATTTGGAATAACTGAGTACATGTTAAAAGAATACTAATGAAGGGGATTTTATCCTACTTAAGTACATGAAAATACAGATATTTAGCCATGGAAATCAGTAGTGTAGTATTACAAATAACTAAAATTAAAAAATTTAACCTAGTGCTGACATACATCAGTGCAACAAAATTAAGAATTTTGAATCAATAAGCAAATGATGGATTATCAAATGTTATCAGCCTAAGTGGCTGTTTTGGAAAAATCAAGTTCTTTTCTTACATCATACCAAAAAAAAAAGTTCCAAATATGTTAAAGGGTTGAAAACAAAAATATAAAACTGAAAATATTAGAAGTAAGTAGACTACCTTTAAAATCTTAGTTTGGCAATGAAACTCTAATCAAGTTAAAATGCAGAAAACACAGCAAAGGTATGGCTGCACTGAGCTAATAAATTACTGTATATGATCGAAAGACAAAGACACATTAAAATAAATGTTTACAATATATATAACTAAAGATTACTATCTGTAACATCCATATTATCTAAATAAAAATGGAAAAATGTGCAAAGGACATGCATGGTCAATTTACTAAAGAAATAAAAATAAAAATAGTCAATAAAAATACAGAGGAAGCTTTTCAAAATTTTCCCACACTTGTAATCTGGGAAATGCAAAGTAAAACAAGGTACTGTTATTTTTGCCCGTCAGACTTGCACAAATTTAAAAGATTCATATTATTTAGTGTCGGCAAGGATATGAAGAAAAGGAAACTCATAAGCATTGGTGGGCACATAAATTGATAACAGCCTTTTTTAGAAAGTAGTCTCTTAGTGTCAAACAAAATTTAAACCTTAACAGTGTTTCTTTCAGGAATTCAGTCTACATCTGCTGACATACATATATAAGAATGTTCACCACAGTATTGTTTCCAGCAATAAAAACCAGAAAACAAATAATGTTCAGGGAAATGGTTGAATGAATTGCACTGTGATAAATTGGAAAAGTGTAAACAGCCATTAAACTGAATGCACTGTTCTGTTCTGAAAAATATGCACGAAAAATGAAAATTGCAAAAAATTAGGTACTATTTCTAGAGTAGTTTTTATAGAAAGAGCACCTGTGTGCATGCATACAAGGGTAGTCAGAATTGTTAACAGGTTATACTTCTGGGAAGTGGGATTGGGGCTTGAGAAATTAGAAGACACTAATTTGATACACTTACCCTTTTTTCAAAAACATTATGTAATTACCAAAAACATGTAAAAATCAGTTGTGTAGATTCAATCTATTTTAATTACTTGGTTGGGTTTTTTTTTTTTTTTGAAATCACAGTTTATCAGAGTTGATACTCAGTTTTTTAAATTATATTGTATAACCCTCTGACTTCTCTATTTACCTTTATCCCCTATCAACATAAAAAATAGGCCAGGCGCGGTGGCTCACGCCTATAATCCCAGCACTGTGGGAGGCCAAGGCAGGTGGATCACCTGAGGTTAGGAGGCTGAGGCAGGATAGTTGCTTGAACCCAGGAGGCGGAGGTTGCAGTGAGCAGCAATGCCTTGCACTCCAGCCTGGGCAACAAGAGTGAAACTCCATCTCAAATAAATAAATAAATAAATAAATAAATAAATAAATAAATAAATAAAGTTCCTTTTGAAAAAAGGAGGATAGAAAAAACTATAAGCTGGGCATGATAGATTTAAGTTCTCAGACCTAATCCCAGCTCTTTGGGAGGCTGAGGCAAGAGGACTGCTTGAGCCCAGGAGTTCAAGGCCAGCCTGGGCAATAAAAGGAGACCCCGTCTCTACAAAAAAGAAGGAAACAAAGGAAAACGTATTGAAGTGTCAGGCAAATTAGATAGACTAGGATATACAGGTAGGGTGTCAGACTTTAGAATCTTAGGCATTTTTCTTTTCCTGTAACAATTTATAGTGACAGTGAATGGTATTGTTTTATTTAGTTTTCATACAGTCTCGGGGTTTTAAAACTTTGAAATCAAGGACACGACGTCTCCAGTCTACCTCCGAGAGATTAGCTGAAACACAGAATATAGCGCCATCATTCGTGAAGGTAATTAGACCTTTTTATGATCCAAAAAGCAAATATTTTCAAGTTGTTAGAGTGAGGAGCTTCAATATCTGATTTCTTTTGTTGGCTGATAGATATTCTTCCTTCTTTCCACTAATAATAAGGGATTAGTAACCTGTGTAATCATTATACCTCTAACTCTTCTGGGCACCAGACTTGCCTCTCCACTTACTAGATTTTTTTCCCACAAACCTACACCTGTCGAGGTGTTCTCTGTATTAATGAGCAGCATCCACCCAAGCTAAAAACCTGGCTATCAACCTACGTTTGTCCATGTTGCCTTACCTCCCACATCCATTAACCACTAAAGTCCTGTTGATCCAACCTCCTAAATATTTCTTACATCTGTTCCACTGCCATAGATAGGCTATAACTATTTGTTGCCTAAATTACTGTAATGAATACTTGTTTAGTCTCCTTGCCTCTAGTCTTGCTGCGTTCAGTCCAGCCTCCAGACTGCCACCCATCAATCTTTCTAAAATAATGATCTAGTTATATTACTCTGCTTTATTGCTTACCTCCACCTGATACACTGGGAATTTCATCATTTGATCTCTACCTGCCATGTTTCTCTTCTCACCATTCAATATGCCCCTCTGTTTCCCTGCTCCTCTCTTGGCATTGAAGTCTTATATAAGATTGCTTACAGTTCTTGAGCACTGAAGGCTATTGATTCATGCCTCCGTCAGATTGTTCATAGTGTTTATTCCCTGTGTTTTAGATGTCCTATTCTCTGTAAGGCCTTTTCCATATTCCTGAGGTAGCATTGATTTACCACCATACATAATACTTCTAACATAATATCAAAATGATTTAAGAAACTTAGTTATTTATATATCTTTTTCCAGTAGACTGAAAACTTTAAGATCAGTGGTTTATTTATCTTTACATCTTCAGAACTTATATAAGGCCAAGTATATGAACGGTGCTTAGTAGACATTTAGTAAATTAATGAGATTTTTTCCTCTAGCAAAGATAGAGGGATATGAACATTAAGCCAATCAAACCCTAAAATAATATGTGACCTGTTTTCAGTGTAGTGTTCGTGCAGAGAATAATGCCACTTTCTTTATATTATTAATTGATTGATGCAGGAATGGGATCTAGTGTTAGTTTCCTAGTTATTGATTAATTCATTGCTGAGTCTTAATCTGTTTCTTCACATTGACAGTAAAAATTATACAGAATTTTAGTGAATTTTTTTGAGTGGTCACAATATTGTTGGGAAGTATCACTGTGTTGTTAACCAGTACTGATGTGTTGTTTGTGTATTCAGGGGTTTCTTTTGCGGGACAGAGGATCAGATGTTGAGAGTTTGGACAAACTCATGAAAACCAAAAATATACCTGAAGCTCACCAAGATGCATTTAAAACTGGTTTTGCGGAAGGTTTTCTGAAAGCTCAAGCACTCACACAAAAAACCAATGGTAAGTTGAATTGACACCATCCGTGTTTGAGAAGAGTAACTGAAAGGAAGTCATAGTCCTACATTTAAGTTTTAAGTAACTTTTCTAAGACCATCTATTGATTAAATTCCACTATATTTGTAACTTAATCTATGTAGAAATGGCGATACTGCTGATGGTTTCCCTTTCTCAAGAGAGAAAACAAATTGGAGAACAGGAAGTGTGAATGGCTTCATAAAGGTTTTTGTTTCTTTATTTTTTGTTTGTGTTTGTTTTTGAGACACGGTCTTGCTTCATTGCCTAAGCCAGAGTGCAGTGGTGCAATCATGGCTCATTGTAGCCTTAACTTTCTGGGCTCAAGTGATCCTCTCACCTCAGCCTCCTGAGTAGCTAGGATCACAGGCATGTGCCACCACGCCCAGCTAATTTTTGTGGAGATGGAATCTTGCCCTGTTGTCCAGGCTGGTCTTGAACTCCAGGGATCAAGTGATCCTCCTGCCTTGACCTCTTAAAATGCTAGGATTACAGGCATGAGCCACCATGCTTGGCCTTAAGTTTTTGATAATAGGGTACTTACAGGAAATCATAGCAGTTGTGAGAAAGAATGCCAGATTCCAAAATTGGATGTGATGAAATATGATTATTAACAATAACCTAATATTTGCATTTCATTGAGCTGTCATATTTCATAAATGTGATTTCATGTAAAGCTTTTTCTTTCTCTCCTAGATTCCCTAAGGCGAACCCGTCTGATTCTCTTCGTTCTGCTGCTATTCGGCATTTATGGACTTCTAAAAAACCCATTTTTATCTGGTAAAAGCTTTTTTTATTTGTCTAACTTATTTCTTATTCCTTTAAATACATGATTCCTTTTAATGCCTAATCTAACCCTTAAAGAAAGAACATATTAATGTTTACAGTACTAGAATTAGGCTTTCATTCCTAGTAGTGGTTAGTTTCCCAGATTTTTAGAAAATGATACCTGTCCAATTATAAAATTTAAAAATTATCCTGGTCAACAGGGTGAAAGGAAAATTAATTAATTAATTTTAAAATTATGTAGAAGAATTTTATAATGGCAATACAAGCTGAAATAGTCTTCTATTTCAAAGATAAACAAATTCAGTTTATTCATAAAATCACATTAAATGTTTCCCTTTTTTTTAGTTTGCTTATCTGAAATTAAGCAATAGTGTCAGACTTACGTGGTTCCAATTACCTTTTCCACTACTGTGCAGTTTTCACCCTGTGTTGCCTATTCTCTTAAATATTAAGGATATGTACAGATTCTTAAAAAATACTTTGTGGGCCAAAACTATTGGTGTTCATTCTAGAATTACTATTTTAAATTTGTTTTCCCAGCTTCTATGTTCCTGATTTATTAAGCATTTCTCCTTAACCCCATATTTTGCCAGCTCATTTTTCAGCCTATCTTAACAGTATTTTGGGCTTCTTCTGAGGAAATTAGAAATTGCTCAATTTACTCATTTATAACTGCTCTAGTTTGGAAGTTTCTACCTGAGTGGGAAAGACTTAAGAAATCCTTGTAATAGTTCTCCAAAATTGATCTCAAATATTTTACTCTCCTATCAGACTTTTTCTGTCTTGCTTGTCAGACTTAATGTTGTCATAATTGATAGGTCATTTGAGGGCAAGTAATAACAGTTGTCAGAGGAAGAAGACTACATGAAAAGTATAATAATGTGTTAAGCCTCAATTTTTTATTAATGTGTGTCAATGTTTTCTGCTAACTTTAAGGCAATGTGTTTCAAAGTGTAGACCTGTGACCAATTAGAATAATTGAAGTGTTTGTTAAAAATGAAAATTCTCCTGGGCCCTGTGCTGTGGCCTGAGAATTAACATACTTCTCAAGTGAGTTTTATTCACACCAAAGTTTGAGAAACTTTGATTTAAGATTTCTATCATTAGATACTACAATAAGAAGTAGAAAATAATTTTTGATTTTATTAACTGAAAAGTACAAATAGGTCATTTTATTTTATTTTTTTATTTTATTTCATTTATTTTTTTTGAGATGGAGTCTCGCTCTGTTGCCCAGGCTGGAGTGCAGTGGGGCAATCTTGGCTCGCTGCAACCTCCTCCTCCTGGGGTTCAAGCAATTTCACTGCCTCAGCCTCCCGAGTAGCTGGGACTACAGGCTTGCGCCACCATGCCCAGCTAATTTTTTGTGTTTTTAGTAGAGACGGCGTTTCACCGTTAGCCAAGATGGTCTCGATCTCCTCACCTTGCGATCTGCCCGCCTCAGCCTCCCAAAGTGCTGGGATTACAGGTGTGAGCCACCACGCCCAGTCTTTATTATTTTTTATTTTTTCAAGTTTATTAAGAAAGTAAAGGAATAAAAGAATGGCTACTCCATAGGCAGAGCAGCCGAAATATGTCTTTTTAACGTGAATCACTTACTCTTTGAAGATGGTTTAGAAATCCAGAAGACCAGCCGGGCGTAGTGGCTCACGCCTGTAATCCCAGCACTTTGGGAGGCTGAGGCGGGTGGATCACCTGAGGTCAGGAGTTCAAGACCAGCCTGACCAACATGGAAAACCCTGTCTCTGCTAAAAATACAAAATTAGCCGGGTTTGGTGGCGCATGCCTGTAATCCCAGCTACTTGGGAGGCTGAGGCAGGAGAATCGCTTGAACCTGGGAGGTTGAGGTTGCAGTGAGCCAAGATCGTGCCGCTGCACTCCAGCCTGGTAACAGAGCAAGACTCTGTCAAAAAGAAAAAAAAAGAAATCCAGAAGACCTAGTTTCTATTCCTCACTCTGATTTGATATGTGAAGTTAGGTCACTTAGACATTTAATTTTTCTAGGCTTTGCTTTCTTGCATCTAAAAAACAAGGTGATTGGAATGTTATTAATCTATCAAATATAAACATTTCTTTTCTTCCCTTTAGTCCGCTTCCGGACAACAACAGGGCTTGATTCTGCAGTAGATCCTGTCCAGATGAAAAATGTCACCTTTGAACATGTTAAAGGGGTAAGTTAAGAAGATTGCCTTGCCTTCTTCATACATCCTCTAATTGATACTCTATATGAGGTCGATATTTGATTCTACAGTGTATTCTAGAATAGGTAAAATTGTGTCCAAAAGTATTAGAAACATTAGTATTTTGGGATAAATAATAATAGCCAAGGATCAAATCTTGCTTTATGGCAGGGGATAGTATAATTTATGAAGGAGCAGCCTGGTGTAGTGGAGTGAATGTGGACTTCAGAGTCAAGCTGACTAATGTTTGAAATTCATTTTTATACTTATTAGCTATGAGACCTTGAAGAAATTACTTTAGATCCTGACAGATAATGTATGTGCTTGACACATAGTAGATATTTAATAAATGGTCCTTCTTTACCTGTACCTCTTACTGATCTTTGTAACTCCACTATCTAAAACATGTTAGACAATGTATATTTCTTGAATGAATAGAATGGATAAATGCTAGTTTATAGTTGATTAATTTGTTAAATATTTAATAGTATTAAGTGCTAGGCCCTATTTTAGCTGCTGGGATAGAATAAATAATCTCTGCATTCTTAGAGTTTAAACTCTAAAAGCAGTAATTGGACACTGATATGTGATGTAAGAAAAAGTAGAGTATGTTAAAAGAATAAAAGTGTATGGAGGAAAAAGTAGAGCAGGGTAAAGAGGATTGGGAGTTTTGAGAGAAGGCTTACAGTTTTAAATGGAGTGTTCAAGGTGTGATTGATGGAGAAGGTGACATTTGAGATAAAATCTGAAGGAGAAGATGGAATAAACTGCATTTATCTGAGAAAGGAACGTTTCTGACCAAAGGAACAGTTTGAGCAAAGGCTCTCAAGTAATAGGGTGTCTGACTTGTTCATTTTTGAAAGTAGAACTAATAGGATTTCTTATTGGAACGTAGGGTGTAAGAGAAAAGAGGAGTCAAAAAGAGCCACAAGATTTTTGGTCTCAGCAATTAGAAGGATAGAATTGACATTTACTGAGATTTTTGTTTTTGTTTTTGAGACGGAGTTTCGCTATTGTTGCCCAAGCTGGCGTGCAATGGCGTGATCTCGGCTCAGTGCAACCTCCACCTCCCAGATTCAAGCGATTCTCCTGCCTCAGCCTCCAGAGTAGCTGGGATTACAGGCACGAGCCACCACGCCCAGCTAATTTTTTGTGTTTTTAGTAGAAACAGGGTTTTACCATGTTAGCCAGGCTGGTCTTGAACTCCTGACCTCAGGTGATCCACGCAGATCAAAGTGCTGGGATTACAGGCGTGAGCCACGGTGCCCGGCCTTTAGTGAGGTTTTAAAAGGCTGTGAGTGGAGCAGATCTGGGGGACAAAGGTTAGAAATTTAGTTTTAGGTATGTTAAGTGTGAGAGATACGAATGAAAGTGTTGAGTAACTTGGATATACCACTTTGGAGGTATGGGAGAGGTCTGAGCTAGAATTAAAAATAGGAGATTATATTTATATGTATGTTAAGTCCACATGTTTGGATGAGATCACCCAGGGAGTGAGTGTAACCAGAAGAGAGATTTAAATACCGAGTTACAGAGCACTTACTTGAAGGTTCACAAGACAGAGAAGAGAAGCCAGGAACCAAGATGAGAAGGAGCTGCCAGTGAGTTAGGTGACAATGGTATCCTGGAAGAAAATATTTCTATGATGAGGGGAGTGATCAGCAATGTGAAATGCTATTGATGGGCCAAGTGAGAACTAACCATTTGATTTAGCAGTAGGTCATTGGTGTACCTGATAAAGAGCAATGTTAGTGGAGTAGCAGGGGTTAAATTCCAATTGCAGTGGGTTTACAAGAGGTGGAAAGAAATGAGATGGAATAGAGGATTGCAAACAATTCTTGGATTTTGTCTGACAGAAGAGCACAGATAATGTATCTCATAATACAAAATAAAGTTGGAATGTTGGTAAACTGTTAGGTGGGGGGTTGTGGAAATTGATAGAATCAAGGTCACCAGCAGAGAGAATATGGCTGGGAGAGGAGGAATGAGTGGTTAATGGAGGAAGTAAATTGTGTAGCAATAGGAGAATGAATGGAAACAGGAAATAAAACTGTTGTGCTCACTTGAAATTTTGGATCATGAATTTATATTAAGTCAAAATGAGTGGTTTTTCTACTGATTTTTTTTTTTTATTTTATCTTTTCCAAATGTGAATTCTGCAACTTTAGTACCACACTGTGCTCTTCTCTGTGCTTTGCCATTATATCTGCTCTATTACATTTGATTTCTCAGAACTGTAGTGGCTGGGTAATTATCTTTCAGGAGTGTTTTAGAAGAAATTCTTCCGCAGGAGGGATTTGAAGTACGTGATCTGAGGACTCTTCCAACTCTGAAGAGATTGGTTATGTTATTATTTCTGCTTTTCTTCTTTACTTATTCGTGTCTCTGTTTATACATAACCATGTTTTTTCAGCCTTGACTATTGGGGAATAAGGCATTGGGAATCATTATGATAGTTTTACAACCAAGTAGTTCTTTCCTTTCCTTTCCAGTTTAAATGGCTATGAACCCTGTTGGAATTGTATAAAGGGAACAATTGAGGAAGAGGTTGGTGCAGTGATTATTTGAAAACTTCAGTCATCAGCGTGGAGGGCCCTTCTCATTGTGTTTGAGGTCTGCATGCCTTTTCTAAATTGAGCCTGTATTAAGGCTGAGGTCAGACACAGCATTGTTATTCTCTGTCTGTAATGTACTTACATACTTACTGAATATATCACACTTCTTTTGGAATGAGAGTTTTTTTTTTTTTTTTTTTTTTTTTTTTGAGACAGGGTCTTGCTCTCTTGCCCAGGCTGGAGTGCAGTGGCATGATCATGGCTCACTGCAGCTTTGACCTTCTGGGCTCAAGTGATACTCCTGCCTTAACCTCCCTTGTAGCTGAGACCACAGGCATGCACCACCACACTTGGCTAATTTTTTAATTTAATTTTATTATTCTTTCTAGACAGGGTCTGGCTCTATCACCCAGACTGAAGTGCAGTAGTGTGATCTTAGCTCACAACAACCTCCTCCTCCTGGGCTCCAGCCATCCTCCCGCCTCAGCCTCTCAGGTAGCTAGGACTACAGGCGTGTGCCCCTATGCCTGGCTAATTTTTGTAGTTTTTTTTTGTAGAGTCGGGATTTAGCTGCGTTGCCCAGGCTGGTCTTGATCTCCTGAGCTCAAGTGATCCACCCATCTTTGCCTCCCAAAGTGCTGGGATTATAGGCATCAGCCACCAAGCCCAGCTGATTTATCTTTCTTTTTCTTCTTCTTTTTTTTGGGGGGTGGGGGAGCGGTGTAGAGACAGAGTTTCACTTTGTTGTCCAGGCTGGTCTCAAACTCCTGAGCTCAGGCAGTCCTCCCATCTCAGCCTCACAAAGTGCTGGGGGTAACAGGCATGAGCCACCACGCCTGTCCTGGAATGTGGGGATTTCTGAGTACTAAACTAAAGCCATGCTGATAACTAAGCATAGTGAAAGTAGACATCACAATTAAGGTAGATCCTTACCAAGTTTTCCATGCTAAAATGAATCAATTTTATAATTGCTGTAAGACCTAAATTTATATAGAGCAAAGTAATTCAGTAGCATTTACCAGAACAGGTTTGCCATTAGGTAGTTCCTGTGACAAATGTTTACCAAATCTCAAAGAGCTTGTATAGGAATGTCATTTCCTTGCCTAGAATTTCTGAATATATGGGCACACTTATATATATAGCCTTAAAAATATTAATAAGGGCATTTAATAACTTGATTCATTACCTTGATCCCATTAACTATTTTCCTTGATAGATCTTATGTTCCTCAAGTGGGGATTCTCTTGCCACAGAATTTGGAGAGAGAATATAGTTTATTTGAGTATTAAATTATGTTTAATCTCTTCTTTATTCCTACAGCTTAAAATTGGAATTATATCTATTATTTTGACCAAATATATTTTAGTCTTCTTTTAGTACATGGATATTATCTTTCAAGTTCTCTTTTAATAAACCAGCCAAGTCTTTTTTTAACCATAAATTTCATTGAAGTTTAACAAATTCACACAACAGTGCACAAATCCATAAATTTTCACAAACTGTCTGTGTTATAAGTACCCAGCTCAAGAAATAGAACCTTAGCAGAAGCCCAGAACCTCCTTGATGCCTCCTTCTGGTTACTAACCTAGGGACAATTTCCTGTCTAATACCATACATGAATTTTCCCTATTTTTGAATTTTAGATAAATGTAATCCATATAGAATATCCTCTTTTGTATGAGGCTTCTTTTATTCAACATGTTTGTGAGATCCATCTATGTTACTTGGAGTTGAGGTTTATTTATCCTTTATTGCATAGTATCCCATTATAAGAATACTACAACACGGTGCAATTACACTACTTTAGGGTGGACATTTATTTCTAGTTTTTGGTTCAAATACAGCTGGTGTGACTATTTTTATACAAGTCTCTTGGTGAACATATGTACACGCTTCTCCTGGACCTAGGAATGGACAAAGCTTTGTTTTGTATTTTTTTAAATACTCTGAAAAGAAAATGCTATGTTTTTAACCATTAACTTGATTAAAACATTATTACATTTTTAATTATTTAATCAGAATAACTTTCAAAGATCATTTCAAGTCTAACAAAAAAACATAACTTTGTTCTTTAATAAGTGTAATATTTCCTGGAAATATGCCTGGGAATTTTTCTTGAAATAATAAGCGAATCTTGACATTAATTGGACATTTTCAGAATGCCCTTTGGCGTGAAGCTATGTTTCATGTTTTAGAATGCTCCTCTCTAGGTACTTTCTTTTTAACCCTGTCCAATGTACTTGACTTTTGTTTTCTCACTGAGAAAATGAAAGTTCAGAATGATTTTTTTGGGGATAGTAAGGAGACTTTGCATAATGGGAAATAATGGTCAGGGGAAAACCCTTTGTTTTATAAGGGGCCATTTTTGTATGCTTTTTTTACTGAAACAGAGAAGGTCAGGTTAATTCCATATCCAAATTAAATTTATGATTTTCAAAAGGGAAGCCTTGATAATCTAACCAAACGTGTCCATTATCTAAAGTTATTTGGAAAATTGTGTCACTTTAGGTGGAGGAAGCTAAACAAGAATTACAGGAAGTTGTTGAATTCTTGAAAAATCCACAAAAATTTACTATTCTTGGAGGTAAACTTCCAAAAGGTAAGATATCTTTTCTTTATCATGATTTGATGGAAAAAACAAAAACAAAGAAACAAACAAAAAAAACCTATATTACTTATTTAATTTTAACTGATTAAAGTTTAAGTCTTAATTGCTATTTTACAAAATAGATGTTCATTCTGAACATACAATTCCATAGCCTTTTTTTTTTGGTAACTGCAAGTTTTTATATACTTTCAAATTTAAAGTTACAAGAATAGTACATAGAATGCTCCTCATACCCTTTACCTAGACTCACAAATTTTTAATATTTAGTTTCCTTTTTAGACCCAGGCTTGAGTGCAGTGATGCAATCATGGCTCGCTGTAGCCACAACCTCCCGAGTTCAGGCGGCCCTCCCAAGTAGCTGAGACCACAGGTACACACCACCATGCCGGCTAATTTTTGTATTTTTTGTAGAGATGAGGTTACTCCATGTTGCCCAGGCTGCTCTTGAACTCCTGGGCTCAAGCGATCCACTCACTTTGGCCTCCTAAAGTACTAGGACTGCAGGCATGAGCCAGCGCACTCAACCTAACTCCATTTTAAAAATCATTCACTTTGTCTCTTTATGTATATATAAATATAAAAATTATTTGTAAATAAATAAATTTTTAACTATTTGAGAGTAAATTGTAAACAATCACCCCAAGTGTGTATTTCCTAAGAATAAGGATATTCTTCTATGTAACTCCAGAATAATATTAAAATTAGGACATTACTGGGTGTGGTGGCTCACGCCTTTAATCCCAGCAGTTTAGGAGGTGGAGGCGGGTGGATTACTTGAGATCAGGAGTTCGAGACCAGTCTGGTCTTGAACCAGGGGCCATTGGAGTTCCAACCAGCCTGGCCAACATGGTGAAACCCTGTCTCTACTAAAAAAAGAAATTAGCTGGGCTTGGTGGCAGGCGCCTGTAATCCCAGCTACTCAGGAGGCTGAGGCAGGAGAATCGTTTGAACCTAGGAGGCAGAGGTTGCAGTGAGCCGAGATTGTTCCCACTGCACTCCAGTCTGGGTGACAAAGCAAGATTCTGTCTCAAAAAAAAAAAAAAAATAGGACATTTAACATACATACAAAACCATTATCAAATTTAGAGTCTATATTCAAATTTCAGCATTTGCTCCAATAGTATCCTTTGTAGTGTTGCCCTGATCCCTACCCACTTCCCCAGTTCAGGACCTAATCCAGGATCACAGGTAACATTTAGGCTTTTATTGTTTTTTTTTTTTTTTTTTTCAAATGAAACAATGAAACAATTCCTTAGCCTTTTGTGAGGGAGTGGAGAGAAGAGGATCTTTCATGATTTTTACAGTTGCAAAGAGTACTTGCCTAATTATTTATAGAATGTTCTCAGTTTAGCTTTGTCTGATGTTTTCTCATGGTTAACATGACTTTTAATGACTTCACAGTATCCTTCTAATTTATGGTTGTATCACAATTTAACCATTTATATTGAATTTTTATATGGTTTCCAGTTTTTTTGCTATTAAGAATAGTGCTGTGTTTCATCTTAATTCAAGGCTTTGCCTGCATGCTTAATTATTTCTTTAGAATAAATTTCTAGAAATGGAATTGCTGAGTTAAAGGATGACACTCCTTTTTAATGCTTGTTTTTATGCTGCCAACTATCTCCACTGAAAATACAGCAGTGTATGAAATTATTTGCAGTAACCTTTGCTAATTTAGGGTACATTTATTAAATCAGTGCTTAATAATGATAACTTTAGCTAATATCACTGGCAAAAGCCTTATCAACATCATGTACTTCCTGATGCTCTAGAAAGGACCCAAGTGATGGCTTATGTGGTGTCCACGCAAAAAGGAATTAAAAAAGAGCACAATCTCAATACAATCATGAGAAAACACTGGAAAAGCCCATATCAGGAGACATTCCACATACCACCTTTACATTTATTTAAACATCACAGAGTGAATGTTTAAAACCATAGAAGTATTAATAGTTACACTCTTCCTCTTTCTAATCACAAGGAGTATTTTAAATTTGTAGAAAATTTGAGTAGTATAAATTTGTAGAAAAATCTTCAGATACCAAGATGTAATCCACAGAAATTAATATGATTTAAACCAGTTAAGTATAACTAAAACATGACAATACTAGGATAGTCTTAAAGCTATTTTTGAGCTTGAGCTTTCTTTAAAATTTTTTTTATGTTAAAATGCAGCAAACATGTATGTAAAGAAGTTTTGTTGCTTTTTAAATGTAATATGTATATTTATAAAAACATATAAATCAGGTAATTCTGTTTTTCTAACGTGAAAATCTTTGGTGTTATGAAAATTTGCAAACATGGAAAACCTTGAAAGAACAGTACAATTAACATCCATATCCTATCCACTTAGACTCAACAATTGTTAACATTCTGTCATATTTGCTTTCTGTGTTATGTGTGTATTTTTCCCCCTGAACATTTGAAAGAAAACTATAAACGTCAACTACTTGACATCTAAAGACTTTCTTGTACATCACCTAAGAATAAGGACAGTGTCCTAAATAAACATAATAACCTTATCCCACCAAAGGAAATTATGCCTATTTCCTTAATATCATGTACTCTCAGTCTTGTTTAAATGTTTTCACCAGATGTCTCTAGAATTTTTTGTTCTTTATGAAAAAGCATCAAATCAGGATTCACTAATTACATTTGGTTGTTTAGTCTTTTAATCTATTTTTACATGAATTTTATCTTATTTAGTGATAAATGGGTTTATATTTTTTTGCCTCAAGATTCTCCCTGTCATGTCTCTTGTTGATATGGAAACAATATTTATATAATACAGGAACATTAATTTTGGACAAGATTCTGAAGTGAACCATTAGCAGAGACAAGTACGGTTTGCTGTGTTTCAAAATATTGGTTATTGGTGTGACCTCAGCCTGAAAATTATATAAATGAATAATTATTTATTTTATAGGTTCATATCGAGGGATTTTTTAAAAATACTTTGAATCATTCTCGTTTTCATTTTCTTTTAGGAATTCTTTTAGTTGGACCCCCAGGGACTGGAAAGACACTTCTTGCCCGAGCTGTGGCGGGAGAAGCTGATGTTCCTTTTTATTATGCTTCTGGATCCGAATTTGATGAGATGTTTGTGGGTGTGGGAGCCAGCCGTATCAGAAATCTTTTTAGTACGTTTTGGTGTATCTTTGATGCAGTGCTAAATTTTGTTAAGGGAAGTGTGTATCTTACCCTTTCTTTGCTAATTACTTTTTTTCTTCCTTTTTTTAATTTCTATTTTTTGGGGCCTCCAGCTTTGCATGCTAATTAGTTTTGATTGATAGTTAAAATAGCCATTGTGGGACCTTGGTTTGGGTAACTTACTATATGAATTATCGGAAGAGCTAGTGGAAGTGCAAGATGAAGTTGGAGGCTACCAAAAATCTCTTAGTGTTTTTTCATTTTATTCATCAATTTTGTAGTATGGAATTAAGGAGTAATTAGCTTCAAACCTGATTGTATATATTTGTATAGCTGGAAAGAATGAATGAATGCCCAACTGTTTTGTTTTATATCATTTCTTTGGTATAGTTTTTTCCCCCCTGAAGATACTATTTTTAAGTCAGTAAAAAATGACGTCCTTTTCTTTCAGTGAATATTTTTTGTTGGCTTTTGACAGTTGTATAGGATTTTAATATTTATCTCGTTTTGTTCAAAAGTGTTGACTTTCTTTCAGCTTATTTGAATGTTTTTTGTTTTCTTAGGGGAAGCAAAGGCGAATGCTCCTTGTGTTATATTTATTGATGAATTAGATTCTGTTGGTGGGAAGAGAATTGAATCTCCAATGCATCCATATTCAAGGCAGACCATAAATCAACTTCTTGCTGAAATGGATGGGTAATTGAGTCTTCTTTTTTCTTAGAATATGGTGATGCCTCCCAGCATTTGATATACGTAGAATTGATCTTATGCAAATTATTTCCATAAGGCATTTCATATCTAGAGATATGAAAAATGTGATGTGTATAGGAAACAGAGTAGTCCCTCATGCAAGAACTCAAGACAAGCTTTTTCTCTCAGTATTGTATTGTTTTCATTACTAACTGGATATTTGAATATCAACTCATCTTATTTAATTTATGGTATTTATATCCTTTCTCATTTATTGTTACACTTATGACAGAAAAACAATGATTTATGCCGAGACTAGTAGTCTATTTGAAGAAATACAGTTGTTTCTACATAATTTATGACTAACTTTGAGTGTTGTGGCAGATTTAAAGCTTACATCAATGTTCATAATATAAGAAGCAAGAGGTGATGTTGCTTTGAAAGAAGTATCTTAAAACTCAATATAAGACATTTTGAAACCACATAGGAAGCCCAGGAGCAAATAATTTGAATTGGTATACTTGAAAGTAATTTTTCAAAAATTAACCAGGCACCTAAGCTTTTTATATCAGGTTATCTTTTCCTGCATAGACCAGATAATTGTGAAGGTATGTAGTCAGAGATGAATTGGTGGTTTATTATCAGTTTCTTTTCTTGGCTGTTATTTGATTAATGAAGCTGGGCATGGTGGCTCACGCCTGTAATGCCAGGACTTTTGGAAGCCAAGGTGGGAGGATTGCTTGAGGCCAGGAGTTCAAAACCAGCCTGGTCAAGATAGCAAGACCCTATCTCTACTAAAAATAAAAACAGTCACCGGGCACAGTAGCTCAAGCCTATAATCCTAGCACTTTGGGAGGCTGAGGCGGGTGTATTGCTTGAGGTCAGGAGTTCAAGACCAACCTGGCCAACATGGTGAAACCCCGTCTTTACTAAAAATATAAGAATTAGCTGGGTGTGGTGGCAGGCGCCTGTAATCCTGGCTACTCAGGAAGCTGAGACATGAGAATTGCTTGAACCTGGGAGATGGAGGTTGCAGTGAGCACCATTGAACTCCAACCTGGGTGACAGTGAGACTCCATCTCCAAAAAAAAAAAAAAATAGTGGCTTGTACCTAGAAATTGGGGAGAAAAGATTTAAAAATAAATAAAAAATAAATTAGTCAGATATGTTGGCATGCACCTGTCATTCCAGCTACTTGAGAGGTTGAGGCAGAAGGTTCACTTCAACCCAGGAGTTTGAGGCAGCAGTGAGCTATGATCATACTGGTGCGCTTCAGCCTAGGCCACAAAGCGAGTCCTAGTCTCAAAAAAAGAAAACAAACCAGTTTTGTGTAGAGCATTTCTACATGTGTGCTGTGCTTCAGTGTTAGTAAAAGATACTATTTTTTTTCCAATATAGTTTTAAACCCAATGAAGGAGTTATCATAATAGGAGCCACAAACTTCCCAGAGGCATTAGATAAGTAAGTATTAAAAGAAGATTTTTGTGAAGTACTGTTACATGCTACAAAATTGTGCTAAAAGAAGTCCGTTGCAAAAGATCACATCAACACTGTATGATTCCATTTATATGCAATATCCAGAATAAGCAAATTCACAGAGACAAATTGGGTTAGCGGTTACCAGAGGTTAGGGAGAATGGGGAATGGCTGTCATTGGATATGGGATTTCTTTGTGGGGGATGGGAATATTCTAAAATTAGATTGTGGTGATGGTTGTACAATTCTGAATGTATTAAAAACCACTGAAGTATCCACTTTAAATTATGTGAATTACATCTCAATAAAACTTAAAATATTTATTTGTTATATGTCACAAAAGTTGTATGTAGAGAGGGTTTTTAAAATAAATTAACTGTAGTATTATAACTAGGTTTAAAGTTACTATGAAAAAATTTTACTGTAGAAGTTATTCGTATTTTCATTTGATCAGTAGTTTGTCACTGCCTAAGACTCTAGTCTAACATTCTGTACTTAGCAGTTGAGATGGATGTGTGGTTCTCATAATAGTTTGTTGTGGAATTATTTGTTCCTGGACTGAATTACCTGCATGCTTTTGTTTCTGAGGGGTAGGCTACCTAGGTACACACGTGTATCTAAATGAACCTTTGTTCTGCTTTCTGGTTATTGACACTGTTACTTGAGCCATGTTTTAAAGGAACTATCTGAATATTTATGTACAAAACTCCATCTGCGCTCTGGCTGCCATTGGCTTCCCAGTCACGTCATTAGGGTGTCAGTCCTGTTGAATTTGAGCTTAAATAGTTTTAATTTATATTTTCCTTTTGCATTCTTCCTGTAGTGCCTTAATACGTCCTGGTCGTTTTGACATGCAAGTTACAGTTCCAAGGCCAGATGTAAAAGGTCGAACAGAAATTTTGAAATGGTATCTCAATAAAATAAAGTTTGATCAATGTAAGTATCAAAACAAACATTTGTCATTTCTGTAAAGTGGTAATATACCACTCACCCTGTTTGTGGTCCTTTCATGATACATGTATTAACATTAAAAGACCAGTTCATTTTTGTCTTTTTTTTTTCCATTAGTATGTTCGTTTAAAAGTCCATTCCTTAGTGTATATCCAGGAGATTCTATTGTTTTGAACCCTGAGTCTAAAGAAAGGTTTTTTTAGAGTATTCAGACAGATAATATTTGAGGATACATACATATACATACACACACACACATTTTTTTAAGATGAATGTAAAATGCAAAATAATTTAAAAAAGCTGCAGAAACAGTAACTCATGATATAGTCAGTGTGGGGCCAAAAGAGAAGAAAGCAAATTATAAAACAAAACACATGGAAATTTATTACTCACTTGAGTAATAAATGAAATTATTAAAGCTGCAGTAGTTTCAGAGATAGCTGTATCAATTCATTAAACTATACATGTTTCCTATAAGGGCAGCTTTTATGTCTAAAGTATTTCCAGATGAAATTCAGAGAAAAAGTGACTAAACTATGGCTCAGAATAGCTAGCTATTTTCTTTTTTCCCTTGGAATGTGAGGTGTTTTTTTTTTTTGGTTTTTTTTTGAGACAAGAGTTTTGCCCTTTTTGCCTAGGCTGGAGTGGAGTGGCACAATCTTGGCTTACTGCAACCTCCACCTCCCGGGTTCAAGTGATTCTTCTGCCTCAGCCTTCTGAATAGCTGGGATTACAGGTGCATGCCACCATGCCCAGCTAATTTTTGTATTTTTAGTAGAGATGGGGTTTCACCATGTTGGCCAGGATGGTCTCCAACTCCTGTCCTTAGGTGATCTGCCTGCCCCAGCCTCCCAAAGTGCTGGGATTACAGGCATGAGCCAACGCACCCAGTTGGAATGTGAGTTCTTTGTGAAGAGCTTTCTTTTACCTGTTTTAGACTTATTAGCGTTGTGTTCTCTTTTTACATTAGCCGTTGATCCAGAAATTATAGCTCGAGGTACTGTTGGCTTTTCCGGAGCAGAGTTGGAGAATCTTGTGAACCAGGCTGCATTAAAAGCAGCTGTTGATGGAAAAGAAATGGTTACCATGAAGGAGCTGGAGTTTTCCAAAGACAAAATTCTAATGGGTAGGTTTCCTTTCTTTTTTTTCTGTCTTTTACTTTTCATTGTGTTAGATAATTCATTTAGGGGCAAATACTCTATTCAAACAGCTAAAGCCATGGCTATGTTGAATCTAATCTTACTCTAAAACTTCAGTGTCTGGGTTTTCAAGATTTGTAATAAATGATTTTACAAAATTCCCAACTTAACATCAAACAAATGCCATTAAACTGTAACATTTTCTTGACAATAATCTTGTCAGTGATACAGAACTGATTTTATAGTGTACCACATTTATTAGTTTTGTCTCTTTCTTAGAAAACCTTTTTTTCTGACTGGAAAGCTTTAAAAAGTGATGGGAACATGAAAATATATACTTGACAACACCACAATTTGGCATCTTACGAAACAAATATATTCTAGTTGCTTATGTAATTATATAGTTAAACTGGTAGTGGGGAGATGAGGCACGTATACATTTCCTCTTGTCAGACATTGCTGCGAAAAAGGATACTTTATTCTGTGCTTAATTTCGATTTTAAATCTTGGATTGGCTTAAAATCACATTAATTATGATATTCTTGTTAAACTGGAAGTTTATTTTATAGAAATAGAAATAAGTTTTCCCTTTTGAATTAAGATGATAGTTTTGACAGTTTTGGTTTTCAGTTAAATTGTTAAAGTTTGTATGTGTTAGGAATGAATTCTGCCCATTTTAAAAAACTTTGTAGACTGGGCGTGGTGGCTCACACCTGTAATCCCAGCACTTTGGGAGGCCAAGGCAGGAGGACTGCTTGAGCCCAGAATCGTTGGAGTTCAAGATCAGCTGGGCAACATAGCAAGACTCCATCTCTACCAAAAATTTTAAAAATTAGTTGGGTGGGGTGGCATGCGACTGTGGTCCCATCTACTTGGGAGTCCTAGGTGGGAGGATTACTTAAGTCCAAGAAGTTAAAGCTACAGTGAGCCATGATCATGCCACTGTATTCCAGCCTGGGTTACAGACCCTGTTTAAAAAGAAACAAAATTACTAAAAATTACTAAAGCTAGGTGCAGTGGCACATGCCTGTAATCCCAGCACTTTGGGAAGCTGAGGTGGGTGGATTGCTTGAGGCTAAGAGTTCAAGGTTGGAGTGAGCTATAATAAGAATGACTTTAAGGAGAATGAGTTTTTTGTTTTATAATATTAATCCCATATCAGATACATTCACCTCTCAGTATCCACTGAAGGGGTGGGGATTGGTTCCAGGACCCATGTGGATACCAAAATTCAGGGATGCTCAAGTGTCTTTTATAAAATGGTGTACTATTTGCATATACCTACATAATTCTCCTGTATACTTCAAATCATCTCTAGATTACTAATACAATATAAATGCTCTGTAAATAGTTGTTATAATGTATTTTTTTCATTTGTATTATTTTTTATTGTTCCTCTTCCCCATAGTTTTAATCCTTATTTGGTTGAATCTATGGATGCAGAATCTGCTGATAGGAAGGGTGGAGTGTATTTGATTTGCAGACAAGAATGTGTTTTGTTGATTTAAATATACCTTTCTAATGGAGTATTTACTCAATTAAATTTATCTTAGGGCCTGAAAGAAGAAGTGTGGAAATTGATAACAAAAACAAAACCATCACAGCATATCATGAATCTGGTCATGCCATTATTGCATATTACACAAAAGATGCAATGCCTATCAACAAAGCTACAATCATGCCACGGGGGCCAACACTTGGACATGTAAGTTTTTTGTAGTGTCTCGCCCTGTCACCCAGGCTGGAGTGCAATGGCGCGATCTCAGCTCACTGCAACCTCTGCCTTCCGGATTCAAACGATTCTTTCACCTCAGCCTCCCAAGTAACTGGGATTACAGGTGCCCACCACCACGCCCAGCTAATTTTTGTAATTTTAGTAGAGATGGGGTTTCACCATGTTGGCCAGGCTGCTCTAGAACTCCTGACCTCAGGTGATCCACCTGCCTCAGTCTCCCAAAGTGCTGGGATTACAGGCGTGAGCCACCATGCCCTGCCTAATTCTTAAATATCTAATTACTCCGCTGCCCCAAAAGGGAAAACATTATGTTTTGTAGTAACTGATTCAGTAGTTTCTCTAAGATTTTTATCATTTAGTACAAGTTTATCAGATCTTTCAACATTGTAGACATTTAAAAAATTTCTATGCACCTGGGGAGAAAACAGTCCTATTGCAGCATTATCCACCTATTGTTGTTGCTTTATAAAGGATGTTTTTATTCTCTAATTGCTGGTTTTTCATCAGTCCCCTGATGACCAGCTTTCAGCAACATGGTATAAAGTACTTTAGTGAGAGCTAAATGATAATTCTGGTTTGTATTTTTTTATTTTGCCCAGTCTTACGGTGCTGAAATTCTGGTTTTTAATGTAACTATATCAGAACTGTATCTGAATTTTTTTTAAATTTTTATTTTATTTTATATTGATGGAGTCTCGCGATGTTGCCCAGTCTACTCTCAAACTCCTGGGCTCAAGTGATCCTCACACCTCAGCCTCCCAAAGTGCTGAGACTACAGGTATGAGCCACTGCACCCAGCCTGTATCTGAATTTCTTTCATTACATTTTATTTTATTTTAATTTAATTTGGTTTTATTTTATTTATTGTATTTTATTTTTGAGATGGAGTTTCACTCTTGTTGCCCAGGCTAGAGTGCAATGGCATGATCTCAGCTCACTGCAACCTCTGTCTCCTGGCTTCAAGTGAGTCTTCTGCCTTAGCCTCCCAAGTAGTTGGGATTATAGCCATGCACCACCATGCCTGCCTAATTTTGTATTTTTAGTAGAGACAGGATTTCTCCATGTTGGTCAGGCTGGTCTCGAACTCCCAACCTCAGGTGATCCACCCACCTCGCCTGCCAAAGTGCTGGGATTCAGGCGTGAGCCACCGCACCCAGCCTCTTTGCTTATTTTTTATCTGATTAATTTTTAATTGTCTAGGTGTCCCTGTTACCTGAGAATGACAGATGGAATGAAACTAGAGCCCAGCTGCTTGCACAAATGGATGTTAGTATGGGAGGAAGAGTGGCAGAGGAGCTTATATTTGGAACCGACCATATTACAACAGGTTAGCTTTAAAGAATGGCTTTAGTTCAAATTATATGTGGTCTTAAAGATATGTTTTAAAATGGTATGTTTTTATTTTATTTTAGGTGCTTCCAGTGATTTTGATAATGCCACTAAAATAGCAAAGCGGATGGTTACCAAATTTGGAATGAGTGAAAAGGTAATAGATTTTTTAAATCCTTTTCATGTATCAAATTATGTGTCAAGTGTTGATTTGAGAGCTGGTTCTGATTATAAATTGGTAATATTCACTTTTTCTCTCACTCCAAATGGATTTGAGGCTCTTTATTCTGAACATTGTTATTCTCTGAATAAAGAAAATGGACCTTCTCTTAGCTGCTGAGAATGAGCTGCCCAGATAGTAACTATTACTTCACGAGTTAATTAAGTGATAAAGCAAGGTGAATTCCTTAGCTTTTCCATGTGGCATGAAAGAGTCTACTTTCTAAGTTTGGTTACTTTACTGTTTCCCTCTATTTCATATTTTCATCTTGTCATTGTTCCTTGAAGCACTACTATACTCTGTGAATTATGGATTTCTATATTTGAAGTAGCTGCCAAGGTTTTTCAAGAAAGTACTGAGAACCAGACTTAAAATGATTTTAGGCTGGGCACTGTGGCTCACATCTGTAATCCCAGCACTTTGGGAGGCTGAGGAGACTGTATTGCTTGAGCCCAGGAGTGAGTTCTGGACCAGCCTGGGCAACATGGCACAACCCCATCTCTAAAAAAATACAAAAATTAGCCAGGTATGGTGGTGTGTGCCTGTAATCCCAGCTACTTGGGAGTCTGAGGTGGGAGGATTCTCTGAACCCAGGAGGTCGAGGCTACAGTGAGTCCACTGCACTCTACCCTGGGTGACAGAGCAAGACCCTGTCTCCAAAAAAAAAAAAAAAGATTTTAAATGTTCTGTCTTGCTCATACTTTTACTATTTTGATATTAGTGTTTTTTTGTTTCTTTGTTTTTGAGACGGAGTCTTGCTCTGTTGCCCAGGCTGTAGTGCAGTGGCGTGATGTTGGCTCACTGCAGCTACCGCCTCCCGGGTTCAAGCGATTCTCCTGCCTCAGCCTCCCAAGTAGCTGGGATTACAGTCACCTGCCACCATGCCTGGCTAAATGTTAGTCTTTATACTTTCAGAAGAATGTGGAAATTTCTTTGCCCTCAAATGCAGTTTTTATTTTTATTTTTTTTGGAGACGGAGTCTCGCTCTGTCACCTAGGCTGGAGTGCAGTGGCGCAATGTCAGCTTACTGCAACCACCGCCTCCTGGGTTCAAGCGATTCTCCTGCCTCAGCCTCCTGAGTAGCTGTGATTACAGGCACGTGCCGCTATGCCCAGCTATTTTTTGTGTTTTTAGAAGAAATGGCGTTTCTCCGTGTTTCCAGGCTGGTCTCGAACTCCTAACCTCAGGTGATCCACCCGCCTCGGCCTCCCAAAATCCTAGGATTACAGGTGTGAGCCACTGTGCCCGGCCTCAAATGCAGTTTTCTATTGTACTTCTTTCTTGTCCCCCATATATTTGTTTCCTTATATATAGGATAGTACTTTCTCTTTCAAATTTGTTGGTGTTTGGGGGTTTTCTGTTCAATTACTTTCTTCCTTTTGGTTTTAGCTTGGAGTTATGACCTACAGTGATACAGGGAAACTAAGTCCAGAAACCCAATCTGCCATCGAACAAGAAATAAGAATCCTTCTAAGGGTAATAATATTTTTTGTGCTTATTTATTTTCTTAGGAACAATGTGCTTAAATAGTCAGGTTCTTAAAAAATAACAGCTGAAGGCCCTCTGTTCACTAGAAACATCATTTTATAAAATAAAGATAATAGTCACCATGGTGTCTGGGGAAAAAATTAAAAAATAAAGATAATAGTTGCAGCATTTCAGCAATGATTTAAATGTTATTAAGGCACCTCTCTGTTCATGAACCTGGACACGGGCTAAGAACAGTTCTATATTGCATGGTTGTAAAAATTCAATTCTCAGGGTGAGGGACAAAATAACTACATATTAGGTATTAGGTACAGTGTACACTATGTAGGTATGGATACACTAAAATCCCAGACTTTACCACTATACAATTCATCCATGTAACCAAAACCACTTGTACCCCATAAGCTGTTGAAATAAAATCTATATATAAAATTTTATATGTATATAAAATTCAATTGTACTTTAGCTGCAAAACTGTAAGAGGTAATAGAATGGGAAGAGTATTGTTTATTGAGTCTTTGACATGTATTCAACAAATAAATTTTTTTTTTTTTTTTTATGGAGTCTCATTCTGCTGCCCAGGCTAGAGTGTAGTGGCATGATCTCGGCTCACTGCAACCTAAGAAATAAGTTTAGTAGGTGTTTTATTGTTGGTTTTTTGTGGGTTTTGTCATTTTTTTTTTAAGGGGATGGGTCTTGCTATATTGCCCAGGCTGGACTTGAACTCCTGGGCTCAAGTCAACCTCCCAAGTAGCTGGGGCTACAGGCACACACCACTATGCCTAGCTCTATGATTTCAGTTTTTTGTTTTTGTTTTTTCTTTTTTTTTTTTTTTTGAGACAGAGTTCTGCTCTTGTTGCCCAGGCTGGAGTGCAGTAGTGCTATCTCGGCTCATTGCAACTTCCGCCTTCTGGGTTCAAGTGATTCTCCTGCCTCAGCCTTCTGAGTAGCTGGGATTACAGGCGCGTGCCACCATGCCTGGCTAATTTTTTGTATTTTTAGTAGAGACAGGGTTTCACTATGTTGGCCAGGCTGATCTCAAACTCTTGACCTCAGGCGATCCACCCACCTCGGCCTCCCAAAGTGCTGGGATTACAGGCATGAGCCACTGCGCCCGGCCCAATTTCAGTATTATGTATGTTGAATTTGAGGCATCTTAGTTGGAAATAGATGTGGGAACTTAGTGGAGAGATTGGTTATGTATTGCATTTGAATGTTGAAGCTACCCATTCATGAAGGCAGGTCTTTTTTTTTTTTTTTTTTTTTTTTTTTTTTTTTTTTTTTTTTTTGAGACAGCATCTTGCCCTGTCACCCAGGCTGGAGTGCAGTGCTGTGATCTTGGCTCATTGCAACCTCTGTCTCCCAAGCTCAAGTGATCCTCCCACCTCAGCCTCCTGAGTAGCTGGGACTATAAGCGCATGCTGCCATGCCTAGCTAATTTTGTTATTTTTTGTAGAGAGCATTTCACTATGTTACCCAGGCTGGTGTCGAACTCCTGGGCTCAAACGATCCACCTGCCTTGGCCTCCCAAAGTGCTGGGATTACAGGTGTGAGCCACCGCACCCAGCCAGGCAGGTTTTAAGGGTAAGACTGACCAGCCTGGGCAACATGGCAAAACCTCATCTCTACAAAACATAGAAAAATTAGCTGGGCATGGTGGTTCATGCCTGTAGTCCCAGCTACTTGGGCTGAGGTGGGAGGATCACCTGAGCCCAGGGAGGTTGAGGCCGTAGTGAGTTGTGATTGCCTGACTTCACTCCAGCCTAAGCAACAGTGAGACTGAAAAAAAAATAGAGAGAGAGAGAGTGACAGAGCTGAGTGCCAAAGTCTTTAGTGAGTAAGGACTATGTTTGTCAGATGGCACAATGAAGACGGTTGGATAGCTCCATAGTCAAATGGCCTGGACTTCAACAGAATAGGAAGAGTGCATTATATAAGAGGGTAGGTTAGTAATGGTCTGAAAGAGGTAATGGGAACAATGAGCTCAGCTGTTTACTGTGAAGTAACTAGGGTAAACATGAACAAATAGCACTTGAGAGGGCTTAGGGAATGCATTCTCCACAGGAGGGACCATGGGTTTGATTATTTCAAGGAAGTAGAGGGAATGCTTTAGAGTAGTTAAGGATACAGAAAGTTTGTATGATGGAAAGGTTTAGAGAGTGTTATAGAAGAGGTGGTCTCTGCCTTCTCAGGTGTTTATTCTCTTTTCCTTACTATGTTATAATGCACAAATTATCTCTACTGTAGAATCAAGATTCTACATGATTTTATAAATATAAACAGATTTCATATTTTTTAGGGTACATAAAGTTTTTCTTTCTCTTCCCATTGACTGGTTTTCGCATCCCTGCATTTGCTGCTGCTTACGTATCTCCTTTTCTGTTTCAGGACTCATATGAACGAGCAAAACATATCTTGAAAACTCATGCAAAGGAGCATAAGAATCTCGCAGAAGCTTTATTGACCTATGAGACTTTGGATGCCAAAGAGATTCAAATTGTTCTTGAGGGGAAAAAGTTGGAAGTGAGATGATAACTCTCTTGATATGGATGCTTGCTGGTTTTATTGCAAGAATACAAGTAGCATTGCAGTAGTCTACTTTTACAACGCTTTCCCCTCATTCTTGATGTGGTGTAATTGAAGGGTGTGAAATGCTTTGTCAATCATTTGTCACATTTATCCAGTTTGGGTTATTCTCATTATGACACCTATTGCAAATTAGCATCCCATGGCAAATATATTTTGAAAAAATAAAGAACTATCAGGATTGAAAACAGCTCTTTTGAGGAATGTCAATTAGTTATTAAGTTGAAAGTAATTAATGATTTTATGTTTGGTTACTCTACTAGATTTGATAAAAATTGTGCCTTTAGCCTTCTATATACATCAGTGGAAACTTAAGATGCAGTAATTATGTTCCAGATTGACCATGAATAAAATATTTTTTAATCTAAATGTAGAGAAGTTGGGATTAAAAGCAGTCTCGGAAACACAGAGCCAGGAATATAGCCTTTTGGCATGGTGCCATGGCTCACATCTGTAATCCCAGCACTTTTGGAGGCTGAGGCGGGTGGATTGCTTGAGGCCAGGAGTTCGAGACCAGCCTGGCCAACGTGGTGAAACGCTGTCTCTACTAAAATACAAAAAAATAGGGCTGGGCGCGGTTGCTCACGCCTGTAATCCCAGCACTTTTCAGAGGCCAAGGCGGGCAAATCACCTGAGGTCAAGAGTTTGAGACCAGCCTGGCCAACATGGTGAAACCCCATCTCTACTAAACATGCAAAAATTACCTGGGCATGGTGGCAGGTGCTTATAATCCCAGCTACTCTGGGGGCCAAGGCAGGAGAATTGCTTGAGCCTGGGAGATGGAGGTTGCAGTGAGCTGAGATCATGCCACTGCACTCCAGCCTGGGCAACAGAGCAAGACTCTGCCTCAAAAAAAAATTAAAATAAATTTAAATACAAAAAAAAATAGCCAGGTGTGGGGTGCATGCCTGGAATCCCAGCTACTTGAGAGGCTGAGGCACGAGAATTGCTTGAACCCAGGAGGTGGAGGTTGCAGTGAGCCAAGATCACAGGAGCCACTGCACTCCAGCCTGGGTGACAGAGTGAGACTCTGTCTCAAAAAAAAATTAAATAAATTATTATAACCTTTCAGAAATGCTGTGTGCATTTTCATGTTCTTTTTTTTAGCATTACTGTCACTCTCCCTAATGAAATGTACTTCAGAGAAGCAGTATTTTGTTAAATAAATACATAACCTCATTCTGAATAATGTCCCTCATTTTGACTATAACTGTGCTTGGTTTCAAAAGCAAAATTAAACAAAAATCTCAGTCCCCTCCGAAGTGAACTTTGTGTTACCCTGCGTCAGAAATGCCAAGTTGTGTTTACTTTTCATTCAGATTTTGTGAATATGAACATGCTGTTATAGGATCTACAGATGAATATTTAACTCAATAGAAAAATTATTTTAGAACACATTGTATTGGTATTACAACCAGATTATATTCTTGACGTTGACTTCATTAAAATTATCTACAATTTCCTAATAATTTAAGCTGTATATGGTCTTCATTGAAAAAAGATAGATATTGTTACAGGAAGCTTGTTACATTATATTCTTGACCTTTTGGTTGATAATCTTAAATCTTAATGTAATTTCAAACTGGCAGAAATGTTGCCAGCATAATACATGGATGTCTCATATACCCTGCATCCAGATTTACCAGTTGTTATCATTCTGCCCGTTTTTTATTGCCCCAAACCTGTTCTGTCTCCCTCTCTGTATGTACATACATACACGTATAAAATATTGATAAAGTCTTATCTGTCTTAAATTTTTTTACATATTTGTTGAGGTATAATTTACATATGATAAAATTCATTTTAAATGTAGAGTTGAAAGATGTTGTGTGTGTAATCATCACCACAATTAGATTTTAGAACATTTCCATCACCCAAAACATTGTCATGCAAGTGTTTGGATTAATTTTTTAAGAAACTTATGAACTATTTTCAAAGTGACTATAATTTTATGTTCTAACTAGCAATGTAGGAGGGTTATAGTTTCTCCACATCTTTTGCAGTGCTTATAGTCTGCCTTTATAATTATGGCCATTCTAGTGGACCACTCATATCCAAATTAATCTCATCCAAGTTAGATCATTTCTCTAGTGACATAAGATGCTGAGCATCTTCCGGTGCTTATTGGCCATTTGTATATCTTCTTTGGAGAAGTGTCTATTCAGATCTTTTACTTCTTTTAATTGGGTTGTCTTGTTCTTACAAGTTAAAAAAGATATATTCTGAATGCAAGTCCTTTATCAGATCTTGATTTTTTTTTTTTTTTTTTTTTAAGACGAGTCTGGCTCTGTTTCCCAGGCTGGAGTGCAGTGGCGCCATCTCGCCTCACTGCAAGCTCCGCCTCCCGGGTTCACGCCATTCTCCTGCCTCAGCCTCCCGAGTAGCTGGGACTGGCTACAGGCGCCGGCCACCACGCCCAGCTAATTTTTTGTATTTTTAGTAGAGACAGGGTTTCACTGTTAGTCAAGATGGTCTCGATTTCCTGACCTCGTGATCCACCCTCCTCGGCCTCCCAAAGTGCTGGGATTACAGGCGTAAGTCACCGCGCCTGGCCGGGTCTTGCCTTTTTTGTTTGTTTTGTTGTTGTTTTTTGAGATGGAGTTTTGCTCTGTCGCCCAGGCTAGAGTGCAGTGGCGTGATCTCGGCTCACTGCAAGCTCCGCCTCCCGGGTTTAAGCCATTCTCCTGCCTCAGCCTCCTGAGTAGCTGGGACTACAGGCGCCCGCCACCACGCCCGGCTTATTTTTTGTTTTGTATTTTTAGTAGAGACAGGGTTTCACCATGTTCGCCAGGATGGTCTCGATCTCCTGACCTCGTGATCCACCCGCCTCGTCCTCCCAAAGTGTTAGGATTACAGGTGTGAGCCACCGCGCCCGGCCTGGATCTTGCTTTTTTATCCCGTTTCACAATCTCTGCCATTTTGGTGGAGTGTTCAGTTCATTTATACTTAATATTATTGATATATTTGAATTTATACCTGTCTTTTGCTATTTTTTTTTCCTCATACCTAAAGAGATTCTGCTGTTCCTCCTTTCCTACCTTCTTTTGCTTTAAATAATTGGAACTACTGGCTGGGCGCAGTGACTCACCTGTAATCCCAGCAATTTAGGAGGCTGAGGTAGGCAGATCACTTGAGGCCAGGAGTTTGAAACAAGCCTGGCCAACATGAGGAAACCCCATCTCTACCCAAAATACAAAAATTAGTTGTGCGTGGTGGTGCATGCCTGTAATTGCATCTATTCAAGTTGCTGAGGCAGGAGAATCACTTGAACCTGGGAGGCAGAGGTTGCAGTGAGCTGAGATCATGCCAGTATACTCCAGCCTGGGTGACAGAGCAATATACCATCTCCAATAATAGTAATAATAATAATAATAATAATAATGATAATAATAATAATGGTTGGAACTACTGCTTTATACGATCTTAATGTCCTTAATCTTTATCTGGGAATGTCTGGTTTTGCCTTGATTCTTTTTTTTTTTTAAGGATAGTTTGCTGGATATAGAATTTGTGCCTGACAACTTTTTCTTTGACTCTCTTTTAATGTCATCCCAGTGCACCCGGATTTCCATTACTTTTGGTGCAAAGTCAGCTGTTAATTATTTTTGGTCTCCTTTGTGTAATTGTTTTCCTCACTGCTTTTGGGCTTTTTTTTTCTGGGCCTTGTCTTTTAAACAGTTTGACTAAGACGTTTTTAGGTGTGGATCTCATAGTGTTTATCCTACTTGGGTTTGTTGTTATTGGTTTTTGTTTGTTTTAGCTTCTTGGATATATAATGTTTTTTATAAAATTTGAGAGATTTTTGGACATTATTTCTTAGTTACATTTTTCTGCCCTTTGCTCTTCTGTGATTCGCCTTATGCATTTGTTGGTACATTTCCTGTTACCCTGGTCTCAGGCTCTGTTCATTTTTTTCAGTCTTTTTCTCCCTCTATTTCTCAGGTTGTGTAACGTTGATTTTTCCTCAAGCTCACCGATGCGTCTGCCATCTCAAATCTACTTGCATTGTTTTGTTTCGTAAGTTGAATTTTTCAGCGCCCAGGTTTCCATTTGGTTCTTTCATAACTTTGTACCTCTTTATTGAGATTCTTTGTTCATTGGATTATTATAAGTTTTCTTTAATATAATAAACAGACTTCCATTTTGAACATGTTTATGAAGTCTGCTAAATCCAATAGCTAAGGATACTCGGGCAGTTTCTCTTGAATACTTTTCTTCCTTAGTGACTTATTTTGGAACCACACTCCAGATAAAGCAATTTATTATTAAGAGTGAACCTAAAGAAGACTTAAACTTTTCATAGCTATTCACTCAAAGCTATCAGAATGCCAGAATTTCACCTATCATCTATATCATTATTACTTTTAGTAACTGATACATATTTTATTGCTAGATACTCTCTAATATTTGTTCATATTCATTTTAAAGGTAATTCTGCATTATTTCAAGCCAGCTAGTTATAAGCATATTTCTTAATGTAAGTGTCTAATATTTTAATAAAGTGTGGTAGAATATAGACGATCTTTGGATTGGAAACATAACAGTACTGGACATGAAGATTTGTAGAGCTGATTCTTTTTTTTCTTTTTTTATTTTGAGATGGAGTCTCACTCTGTCTCCCAGGCTGGAGTGAGTTGGCATGATCTTGGCTCACTGTAACCTTCTCCTCCCAGGTTCAAGCAATTCTTGTGCCTCAGCCTCCCAAACAGCTGGGATTCCAGGCACCCGCCACCATGCTGGCTAATTTTTTTGTATTTTTAGTAGAGACGGGGTTTCACCACGTTGGCCAGGTTGGTCTCATACTCCTGACCTCAGATGATCTGCCTGCCTCAGCCTCCCAAAGTGCTGGAATTACAGGCATGAGCCACTGCATCAGGCCAGAGTTGATATCTTTGAAGTGAGGATTTTACTTCTATGCAAATTCTTTTCTGTCAGAGGTGAATCCCTATTTTAGTCATGAATATGATATTTATTCCCCTTTCACAACAGGAACTTCATATATATATATATATATTCATTATATATATTCATTATATATATGATTATATATATATATTCATTATATATATGATTATATATATATATTCATTATATATATGATTATATATATATATTCATTATATATATGATTATATATATATGATTATATATATATATATATATAAGTGCTGTGTGGTGCTTATATATATATAAGTGCTGTGTGGTGTTCTAAACTATTTCAGTCTTGCCTTAGCATTGTAATACATAATGTAGCTAATCTGCTATGAATTTGGGAATGCATTTTATGACAAATTTACAAAGCTGTCAGGGAAGATGGAAAGGTGCTGATTTCTCATATAAAACTGTCTTAAGAGAGCTTGATGTGAATCTCCTGCACTTCTGGAAGCAGGTATTTAACTCATCGCCAGGAAATCAAGCCTGAGAAAAGTTCTGGTGAGCTGCTTGGCTACTGTGTTGAGATTGGTCTGGTCTCTTAGCATTTGTTTTGGCAAAGAATGTTTGGATGTTTATAGAGGACAGATGAGAGCTCTGGTCAAGTATGAGAGCTGTTGGTGGGAGGGAGAATCCATTTGGGATCCCATATGAAAAGTCCTGTTAAGGGTGTGAGCAGGCCTTAGAAGAGGGTAATCCAAAGTGGATCTGTGGATTCCTTAGGAGTTAAGAGGAAAGAAAGGCCAGAGTGGAGTGCATTCATTCAGGTCAAGGCAATTGCAGGTGAAAACAGCTGTGGGAACAGAATTGTCCCTGCAAGAGTCAGCGTTCAAAGAAAGGCCACATCAGATATTCAAAATCATCTCACAACAGTTATCAGCCAGATAAGAACCACCCTCTTCAGTTTTTGTTTTGTTTTGAGATGGAGTCTCACTCTTTCACCCAGGCTGAAGTGCTATGATGCGATCTCAGCTCGCTGCAACCTCTGCCTCCCAAGTAACTGGGATTACAAGTGCGCACCACCATGCCTGGCTAATTTTTTTGTGTTTTTAGTAGAGATGGGGTTTCACCATGTTGGCCAGGCTGGTCTCAAACTCCTGACCTCAAGTGGTCTACCCATCTTGGCCTCCCAAAGTACTGGGATTACAGCATAAGCCTGTAGAGGAGTCCTATGCCAGACAGAAATGACTTGGCTTTGTATCCTCTTTGTATCCTGGCAGAAGCAAGGTCCTGGTGAAAGCACCAGCTGGAGGCTACAGTTCAACTGTGCACTCCACAATAGGGTCTCCTGAAGACAGATCCAAACAGTGTGACTCCACGGCCTTTGTATCAATCTGGGTCCAATGACAGCATAGAAACCACACAGCAATTTAGCGTGGTTTAATATAAAGAATTACTAAGCTATGAGATGAGAGTAATTATAAAGATGGAAAGAGAAGTCTAAAGGGTACCTTAGGGCTGAAGGAGAGTACTCAAGAAGGGGTTAATTTGGGAGGGGGGTTCAAACATTGGTGAAGGAGGTGGGATTACAGCCTGCTAGGTGGCAGAGAAGTTTGACTCCATTTGCATGTGACTTTCCCTTGCATCTGACTACCAACCTCATTTCATCTGCATCCCAGTAGGTTGTTTCTGCCTGCCTAGAGACCAAGGGGTGGCCCTGGCCCAGGTTCTGCTGTGCTGCTGGGTTGCTTCTTCGTGTTCCTTCTACACCAATGTCAGTAGTACTCTGCCCAGGCTGTGCATTCCCAGAGCATGCAGTTCCTTGAGTACCCTGAGCTTTGGCCCCAGCCAGTAACCCTTTTAACATGGACACCATGGTCTTCGTGAGCAGGCTTGTAACAACTTCCTGCCCTCAAGCCTTGTACTGCTGTGTGGGGAACTGGGCTTCCTGCCTCCTCACACCATCTATGCACGTATCAGATTGGGCCCCTGGTACTCCAGAAGGGCGTTTGCTGTTTGCTCGATGACTGTGGACCAGCTCTGGCCTTGGCAACCACACCTTCTCCAAGGACATCTGAATCCCCAGCCTTGTGAAGCCACTCATTTTAAGTTGTTCATACTTTGGGTGTAATCTCATCCTAAAGGATTCTTTAGATTTTTCTTTTCACTTTTATACTACTGTTACAGTTAATAATAATTTTTCTTTGAGATGCGGTCTTTTTTTTTTTTTTTGAGATGGAGTCTCACTCTGTTGCCAGGCTGGAGTGCAATGGCGCAATCTCAGCTCACTGCAACCTCTGACTCCCTGGTTCAAGCAATTCTCCTGCCTCAGCCTCCCGAGTAGCTGGGATTACAGGAATGCACCACCACACCCAGCTAATTTTTGTATTTTTAGTAGAGATGGGATTTCACCGTGTTGGCCAGGCTGGTCTCGAACTCCTGACCTCGTGATCCACCCACCTCGGTCTCCCAAAGTGCTGGGATTACAGGTGTGAGCCACTATGCCCGGCCCGAGATGGGTCTTGCTATATTCCCCAGGCTGGTCTCAAACTCCTGTGCTCAAGTGATCCTCCTGCCTTAGCCTCCCAAGAAGCTGGAACTACAGGTATGTGCCACTGAGCCTGGATAATTTTTTTTTTTTTTTTTTTTTTGAGATGGAGTCTTGCTATGTTACCCAGGCTGGAGTGCAGAGGCACGATCTCAGCTCCCTGCAACCTCTGCCTCCTGGGTTCAAGCGATCCTCCCACCTCAGCCTCCTGAATAGCTGGGATTACAGCCATGCAACACCATGCCTGGCTAATTTTTTTGTATTTTTAGTAGAGACAGGGTTTCACCATGTTTGCCAGGCTGGTGTTGAACTCCTAACCTCAAGTGATCCGCCCACCTCAGCCTCCCAAAGTGCTGGGATTACAGGCATGAGCCACCATGTCTGGGCATGGCTAATTTTTTTTTTTTTTTTTTTTTTTGAGACAGTCTTGCTCTGTCATCCAGGCTGGATGGAGTGCAATGGCACAATCTTGGCTCACTGCAACCTCCGCCTCCTGGATTCAAGTTATTCTCCTGCCTCAGCCTCCCGAGTAGCTGGGATTACAGGCGCCTGCCACCACACCTGGCTAATTTTTGTATTTTTAGTAGAGATGGGGTTTCACCATGTCGGCCAGGCTGCTCTCCAACTTCTGACCCCAAGTGATCCACCCACCTCGGTCTCCCAAGGTATGTAATCTCTGCTGGGATTACAGGTGTGAGACACCACGCCCGGCACTGGCCATGGGTAATTTTAAAACACTTTTTGGAGACATGTTCTGGCTATGCTGCCTAGGCTGGTCTCAAACCCCTGGCTTCAAGCCATCTTCATGCCTCAGCCTCCCAAGTAATTGGGATTACAGGCACAAGCTACCATGCCAAACTTCTATAGCAAATAATTATTTGTATTAAATTGTTCTTGTTCAGGTTACTAAGTGGTTTCTCTCCTGATTGAAACCTGGCAGACACATTATCTCTTTCTAGGATGTACTTTTTTTTTCTTTCCATCTTCTCCCCTCTCACAAACTCCTGTTTATTCTTTAAGTCTCAGCTTTTAAAATTTAATTTAATTTGATTTTAGAGACAGGGTCTTGCTGTGTTGCCCAGGCTGATCTCGAACTCCTGAGCTCAAGTGATCCGCCAGCCTCAGCCTTTCAAAGTGCTGGGATTACAGGTGTACACCACCATGCCCAGCCCTAAATTTCAGCTTTGACATCACTTCTTCATGTGCCTCTCTCCATGACCTACCACCCTTCTCTTGACATGATTCTATAGGCCCTCTGTGCTCCCCCTTAATGTGGCACTAAACATGAAATTTGCCTCCCTCCCTGAAGTGAAGAATAACACATCTGTTGTTTCCTCACTGACTCTCACAATACCTAGAATAAAGAAGGTTCCCAGAACATGTTTCTGTTTAATGTGGTGGCCTCCTTACTGTGATCATCCCAGGTCTTGGATCTCCAGGAGATACAGGTAGATGGGCCTCAACACACTTGAGCCCTTATGTTCTAATCATGGTTTAATTATAGTTTCATTATTCCTCAATAGACACAGCAGAATGCATGGGAAGACACATTTCAAAGAATGAATGAACCAGTTTTGGAAAAGGGTTTGATGAGTTTCTTGGTAACTCTTAAAAGGAGAAAACACGTGTGACAGCCTTGAACTGGAATTAAAGAGCTTTATCTGGCCAGGCACGGTGGCTCACGCCTGTAATCCCAGCATTTTGGGAGGCCAAGGCGGGCGGATCACGAGGTCAGGAGATTGAGACCATCCTGGCTAACACAGTGAAACCCCGTCTCTACTAAACAAAATACAAAAAGTAGCCGGGTGTGGTGGTGGGCGCCTGTAGTCCCAGCTACTCAGGAGGCTGAGGCAGGAGAATGGTGTGAACCAAGGAGGCGGAGCTTGCAGTGAGCCGAGATATCGTGCCACTGCACTCCAGCCTGGGAGACAGAGCGAGACTTCATCTCAAAAAAAAAAAAAAAAAGAGCTTTATCTAAGGGATTTGCTAAGGCATTCATATCTCAGTTGATTTTCACTATAAAACAAATATTCCCCTAACACATTAATTTCATTGACATAATTATTAAATGAGGGTATAGGAAAACTGAACCAGGGCATTACTTTAGCCTTAGATAGGCATGGGAGTTCCAAGTGACAACTTTCTAGAGGGTGTCTGCTCTGGATCTGAAATTAATTTCCATATGAATGGGAGATCTTAGCTTTCAATGAACTCCAAGAAACTTTTTGGGGATCCAGCATTTGGCTGATGAATTCAACACCTCAGAGCTGGCCTAACATATAGTCCTTGGGTATCTCTGGTCTATACAAAAACACTATAGTCAACCAAATCTCTACAACTTACCTGGAGAGTGGTGTGTGATTCCTATATCCATCCAGACTGGTAATGTCTTTGGCCTTAATTTCAGGCTGCATTAGGAAATGTCAGAGTCCTCTGTTCAGAGTCAGTGTTCTCCACACTTGAGTATTTTTTGTTTGTTTTTGTTTTTGTTTTTTGAGAGAGAGTCGTGGTCTCCATCCAAGAGTCTCCACTCCAGAGGCAGTGGTGTGAACCTCTGCCTCCCAGGTTCAAGTGTTTCTCCTGCCTCAGCCTCCCGAGTAGCTGGGACTACAGGCATGCACCACCACACCCAGCTAATTTTTGTATTTTTAGTAGAGACGGGGTTTCACCACGTTGGCCTGGTCTCGAACTCCTGACCTCAGGTAATCCACCCACCTCGGCCTCCTAAAGTGCTGGGACTTGACTAGCTTCATAGATCACCTTGGGGAGTGTTGAGGAGACAACATAACTTTCTAGCTGGGGTAGTGTAGGAGGAAAATTCTTGGTGACGATAGTGGAAACCACTCTCCCACATCAAAACCATTTGATCTAGCTAAGCTGGAGAGGCCTGAGAAGTGTTGTTTTGTTTTTGCTCATTTCTCACTTGGCAATAAAGACGCCTGTTCTGGGGCCAGCCACCTCCTCCACAAGGGACCCTAGAGCTGTCCAGAGCTATGGAGGTGCATTCCAGCAGCAATTTCTGCTGAGACTCCACTTGACGTCTGCGTTGCTAATTCCAATTTGTTGTCAAATTATTCAATCTAGGCTGGGCGTGGTGGTTCACACCTGTAATCCCAGCACTTTGGGAGGCTGAGATGGGAGCATCATTTGAGCCCTGGAGTCGGAGACCAGCCTGGGCAACATGGTGAGACCCTGTCTCTACAAAAAATGCAAAAATAGCCGGGCGTGGTGGCTTGCGTCTGTAGTCTCAGCTACTCACTCAGGAGGCTGAGGTGGGAGTATCGTTGAGCCCAGGAGGTGGAGACTGCAGTGAGCCGTGATTGCACCACTGCACTACAGTCTGGGCGACAAAGCGAGACTCTGTTGGGGAAAAAAAAAAAAAAAAGAAGAAAGAGATGTAACCTTGGAAAATCAAAAGCAAAAAATAAAACATAAGGCTGGGCCAAAGGCAGAGGGGTGGGGGAAGGAGGCATGCAGAAATGCGTTCTCATTTCTTCTGGAGAATGTGCATTGGTTTCTCCTCGTAAGTTTGCACTTGACACATATTGCCACGATCTCCGAAATCCTGTGCCCTCTGCACTTGACACATATGCCACGATCTCCGAAATCCTGTGCCCTCTGTTGTTGCATCTGTTAAGTTCTCATGGAGACCAGATGGCACCCAAAGGGACATGGAAGGGGAATAAACTGAGAGATAGGGAGATTCAGAGAGTTTCTTAGGGGAGTTTTCTCGGAGAAGAGGCTTTCAGCATCTTAAAACTCCACGCTACTCCAGTCCCAGTCATGCGTAAAGGCTGCTTCCCCACAGGCGCGAGGCTTCTTTTCGCAAACGTCCTGAACACTCAGCCAGACTCCCACCGACATTTGTTTGACAGGAACGCAGGGCTCGTCCCAGTCGCCGAGATTTGCGAGGTCTGGGCCTTGCACATGCGCATGGAGCACACTTGACCACTGGGCCTTCGTGCGCACGCGCGTGGACCTTGCCATCTGAGGTGCGCATGCGCACTTGTGTCTAGCGGGATCGCTTGCTTGGTAACCCGGAGGGAGAGATTGGAAACCGCGGAGTTTCCTTTGGGAGGCTGCGGCCAGCCGGGGCTGACTTGTTATGTTGGGCTCCGGAGGCCGTTAAGAGCCGAGAGAGACATGAGGTGTCTCTGAAGCCCGGTCGCCTGGGCCATGAAGAAGATTTTTAGTAAGAAGGGCGAGTCGCCCTTGGGCTCCTTCGCGCGGCGGCAGAGGAGCAGCGCGGGAGGCGGGGGCGAGCCGGGGGAGGGCGCCTACTCGCAGCCCGGCTACCACGTCCGAGACCGAGATCTCGGCAAGATCCACAAAGCTGCCAGCGCGGGTAATGTGGCGAAAGTGCAGCAGATCCTTTTGCTCAGGAAGAATGGCTTGAACGATAGAGACAAGATGAACAGGTAATAGGCGTCGCAAGCCCGGACTGAGTGCCACTGGAGTAGGCGGGCAGGAAGAGGGGCCCCTTTTGTGGGAGCCACCCAGGGCCTGGATCAGCCTCCCGCGGGCTCCGTAGCCCCTGGGACGGTGACACCTTGCAGGGCTCCAGCGCCCAGGCCGCCTTTCTGAGCAGAAAAACAAAAACAGAACTCTAGCTGGTTTCCGATCCCCCCGAAATCCCTTAGAGAGCACTTAAGTGACAATTTTAAAGTGAATTAACGAACAAAAGCACGTACAGCGTTTTATTTTTAATGTACACATTTAAGATACAATGTCATACACTTATGGAAAGGTGCATAATGAGATAAGCAGTTTCCATAATATAGCAACTTCTGGGTTAAAAATTATTTCTATAAAATCTGTTATTCGTCAGGCGCGGTGGCTCGCGCCTGTAATCACAGCACTTCGGGAGGCTGAGGCGGGAGGATTGCTTGAGGCCAGGAGTTCAAGGCCAGCCTGGGCATTATAGCGAGACCCCCCCCCCCAACTCTAATAGTCTCAGCTACTTGGAAGGCTGAGGCAGGAGCATCACTTGAGCCCAGGAGTTCTAGGCTGCAGTGAGGTATGTCAGTGACAACAGAGCAAGACCCTATCTTTCAAAAAGAAAAAGAAATAAAATGCCTTTAGGAAATAGATATACAAGTAATTTGTTTTTCTCAGCATTGCTTAAGCAGTGTATTAAGGAGAACCCATAGAATGGATTTTGTGAATAAATGTCAGTGCATGATAATATGTGACCATTGAAAGTGGCAGTAGAGGCCAGGCGTGGTGGCTCGCGCCTGTAAACCCAGCATTTTAGGAGACCAAGGCAAGCGGATATCCTGAGGTCAGAAGTTCGAGACCAGCTTGGCCAACATGGTGAAACCCCGTCTCTACTAAAAATACAAAAATTAGCTAGGCATGGTGGTGGGAGCCTGTAATCTCAGCTACTCCGAAGACTGAGGCAGGAGAATCGCTTGAACCTGGGAGGCAGAGGTTGCAGTGAGCCAAGATCGTGCCATTGCACTCCAGCCTGGGCAACAAGAGCAAAACTCTGTCTCAAAAAAAAGAAAGAAAGAAAAGAAAGTGGCAATAGATACAGAAGTGTATTGGCATGTGAGGATATACTTTGGTATCTCAAGTGAGAAAAAAAGTTTGATTATACATACAGACTGTGGTCTTGTGTTAGCTGAAAATATGTACAAAACGTGGTAAAATTTGGCCAGGCGCGGTGTCTCACGCCTGTAATCCCAGCACTTCGGGAGGCCGAGGCGGGCGGATCACGAGGTCAGGAGATCGAGACCATCCTGGCTAACACAGTGAAACCCCGTTTCTACTAAAAATACAAAAAAATCAGCCGGGCATGGTGGCGGGCGCCTGTAGTCCCAGCTACTCCGGAGGCTGAGGCAGGAGAATGGCGTGAACCCGGGAGGCGGAGCTTGCAGTGAGCGGAGATCACGCCACTGCACTCCAGCCTGGGCGACAGAGCAAGACTCCGTCTCAAAAAAAAAAAAAAGTGGTAAAATTTGTTATTTCTGGGCATTTGTATAATAAGTCAAACTTTTTTCTTTATGATTTCTGCAATGAGTATGTATAAAAGTTCTAGTGAAAATTTATTATTAATGAAGTAATCCTTGGGAAGAGAGGAATATGAATCTTGCACAGATAAAAATCATTTCCCACTTTCTTTTTTTTCTTTTTTTGGTGGATTGCTATCGTCTGACAACTTTTATCCTTTTCAGAAGTAAAGGGGATCTTGGCTGGGCACCTGTGGCTCATGACTGTAATCCCAGCACTTTGGGAGGCCCAGGCAGGAGGATTGCTTGACCCAGGAGTTCGAAACTAGCCTGGGCAACATAGCAAGACCCTGTCTCTATTAAAAATGAAAGGTAAAGCAGATCTTTGTTCTTGCCACCAAAAATTAAGAAGATAAAAAATAAAAATAAAAAAAGAAAAAGTAAAGGGTATCTTTTTATCTGTATTTATAGATTTTATGTATACATTTTATCATATACATGTTTTTATTATAGATTTATTATATATGCAAACAGGTACAATCATTTTATTTTAGTTGTGTCCTTATGACAATAAAAATACCAAATATAAATGATAATTAGGCTGGATGCAATGGCTTAGGCCTGTAATCCCAGCACTTTGGGAGGCTGAGGAGGGTGGATCACTTAAGTCCAGGAATTCAAGACCATCCTGGCCAACGTAGTGAAACCCTTCTGTAGTAAAAATACAAATATTAGCCAGGTGTGGTGGTACACACCTGTAGTCTCAGGTACTTGGGAGACTGAGGCAGGCAGTAGAATAGCGTGCACCTGGGAGGCGGAGGGTACAGTGAGCTGAGATTGCACCACTGCAATCCACCCTGGGTGACAGAGCGAGACTCCATCTCAAAAAAACAAAACAAAACAAAACAAAAAAAAGATAAATATTATTGCAAAAGAATAAAAGAATTACTCTACTTTATAAGAATTTTATTTAAAAATATTGAACTCCCTAATGATTTTTCCATTCTTTCAATCCATTTATTCATCAATCATAACCTGAATACCTGTTATGTAGCAGACATAGTCTACTATCTCTTTTTTCTTTTTTTCTTAGACAGAGTCTCCCTCTGTTGCCCAGGCTGGAGTGCAGTGGCCAGATCTCAGCTTTACTGCAACCTCTGCTTCCTGGGTTCAAGCGATTCTCCTGCCTCAGTCTCCTGAGTAGCTGGGACAGCTAATTTTTTTTTTTTTTTGTATTTCTAGTAGAGACAGGGTTTCACTGTGTTAGCCAGGGTGGTCTCGATCTCCTGACCTTGTGATCTGCCCACCTCGGCCTCCCAAAGTGCTGAGATTACAGGCTTGAGCCACCGCGCCTGGCCTTTTTTGTTTTTGAGGTGAAGTCTCGCTTCTTCGCCCAGGCTGGAGTGCAATGGTGTGATCTCGGCTCAATGCAACATCCATCTCCTGGGTTCAAGCAATTCTCCTGCCTCAGCCTCCCTAGTAGCTGAGATTCCAGGCACGTGCCACCATGCCTGGCTAATTTTTGTATTTTTAGTATAGATGGGGTTCTACCCTGTTGGCCAGGCTGGTCTCAAACTCCTAACCTCAAGTGATCTGCCTGCCTTGGCCTCCCAAAGTGTTGGGATTACAGGCGTGAACCACCGCTAGTTATAAGCATATTAATGTAAGTGCGTAGTATTTTAATAAAATGTGGTAGAATATAGACTTGATCTTTGAATTGGAAACATAACAGTAGTGGACATGAAGATTTGCAGAGCTGATTTTTTTTTCTTTTTTTTTTTTTTTTGAGATGGAGTCTCGCTCTGTCTCCTGGGCTGGAGTGAGTTGGCATGATCTTGGCTCACTGTAACCTTCTCCTCCCAGGTTCAAGCAATTCTCGTGCCTCAGCCTCCCAAACAGCTGGGATTCCAGGCACCCACCACCATGCCTGGCTATTTTTTTTGTATTTTTAGTAGAGACGGGGTTTCACCACGTTGGCCAAGTTGGTCTCAAACTCCTGACCTCAGGTGATCTGCCTGCCTCAGCCTCCCAAAGTGCTGGGATTACAGGCATGAGCCACTGCACCAGGCCAGAGTTGATATCTTTGAAGTGAGGATTTTACTTCTATGCAAATTCTTTTCTGTCAGAGGTGAATCCCTATTTTAGTCATGAATATGATATTTATTCCCCTTTCACAACAGGAACTTCATATATATGTATATAAGTGCTGTGTGGTGTTCTAAACTATTTCAGTCTTGCATTAGCATTGTAATACATAATGTAGCTAATCTGCTATGAATTTGGGAATGCATTTTATGACAAATTTACAGAGCTGTCAGGGAAGATGGAAAGTTGCTGATTTCTCATATAAAACTGTCTTCATAGAGCTTGATGTGAATCTCCTGCACTTCTGGAAGCAGGTATTTAACTCATCCCCAGGAAATCAAGCCTGAGAGAAGTTCTGGTGAGCTGCTTGGCTCCTGTGTTGAGACTGGTCTGGTCTCTTAGCATTTGTTTTGGCAAAGAATGTTTGGATGTTTATAGAGGACAGATGAGAGCTCTGGTCAAGTATGAGAGCTGTTGGTGGGAGGGAGAATCCATTTGGGATCCCATATGAAAAGTCCTGTTAAGGGTGTGAGCAGGCCTTAGAAGAGGGTAATCCAAAGTGGATCTGTGGATTCCTTAGGAGCTAAGAGGAAAGAAAGGCCAGAGTGGAGTGCATTCATTCAGGTCAAGGCAATTGCAGGTGAAAACATAGTCTACTATCTCTCAGGACCTTTCCATCTTCAAAACCTTTATGTTTGCATACCTGCCCAGCCTGAGCAAGTTGAGAGATTTAAAATTAGACTATTAGGGCAATCTCAATTGAAGCTTTTCCTCCCTCCTCTTATTTATTTATTTTTTTGAGAGGAGATTATGCTCTGACACCCAGGCTGGAGTAAAGTGGCATGATCTCGGCTTACTCCAACTCTGCCACCAGGGTTCAAGTGATTCTCCTGCCTCAGCCCCCTCGAGTAGCTGGGATTACAGGCATGTACCACCATGTCCGGCTACTTTTTGTATTTTTAGCAGAGATGGGGTTTTACCATGTTGGTCAGGCTGATCTTGAATTCCTGACCTCAAGTGATCTGCCTGCCTTGGCTTCCCAAAGTGTTGGGATTACAGGCGTGAGCCACTGCACCCAACCCCTCTTTATAAACAAAAGTGTTTCTGAAGGTAGAAAATTATAAGAAATAACCTTTAATTACCCTTTTGAAAATTTATGTCTTAAACACGAATATTAGTCATTGGAAATATCTGCATATATTCTATAAATCTAAATATTGAATAAAATGAGCCAACCTATTCATTTGAATCCTGAGTTTCTTTTGTGTTGAAGTTTCTTGAAAACACAATAAGAATTACTTTGTTTTAAAAATCTGTTTTTCAATTTTAAAAATGCTTCCAATTATAGTTGTAATAAATCATGAATTACAAGTGGCATTCCAATGTCAGAGATATTGAAATGTGAGAAAATGAGCATCTTAGAATCACTGAAATACTGTGTTATCTCTAATTTTTTTTTTTTTTTTGTAGACAGGGTCTCTCTCTGTTGCCCAGGCTAGAGTACAGTGGCACAATCACAGCTCACTACAGCCTCAACCTCCTGGGCTCAAGCGATTCTTTGGCCTTAGCCTCCTGAGTAGCTGGGACCACAGGTGTTCACCACCATGCCTGGCTACTTTTTAAATTTTTATAGAGATGGAGTCTCACTATGTTGCCCAGGCTGGTCTCAAACTCTTGGACTCAAGCAGTCATCCTACCTCAGCTTCCCAAAGTTCTGGGATTCAGGCATGAGCCGCCATGCCTGGCCTTATCGCTGATCTTTAAAACATACTGTCAACTAGGTATAATTGTATCATTTCATTTAATTAAAACATCTTTATTAAACAGTAGTAATGGTAATTATATCTAACAATTATTGAGCTGTTATTTGTGCTAGGAACTGTTCTAAACATTTTGCATAGATTCTCATGTAAGCATCCCAGTGGTGTCCTATGAGATAGCTACTATTTTGATCCCCATTTTATTGATGAGGAAACTGAGGCACTTACTAAGCCATAATGAGTAAGTGACAGCTTAAAGTAGGATTCAACCCCAAGTTGAACTGAATCTAAAGGTCAAGCCTTTTCTATTCAGATAGGTTGCTCTTTCATTAATGTGGTGAGTAGTAAGAGCTAATAAATATTGTACTGTTTTCAGAAGAAAATTAAATACTTGTTTTGAAGGCGGAGGATTAACATGTGTATTAGTCTGTTCTCATGCTGCTAATAAAGACATACCCTTTATTATATGGGTAATTTATAAAGGAAAGAGGTTTAATTAACTCACAGTTCAGCCTGGTTGGGGAGGCCTCAGGAAACTTAACAATAAGGGCAGAAGGAGAAGCAAACATGTCCTTGACATGGTGTCAGCAAGGAGAAGTGCCAAGCAAAAGAGGGAAAAGCCCCTTAAGAAACCATCAGATATTGTGAGAACTCACTATCACAAGAGCAGCAGCACGGGGGAACCATCCTCGTGATTCAGTTACCTCCCACTGAGTCCCCCTCACCACACGTAGGGATCATGGGAACTACAATTTGGGATTTGGTTGGGGACACAGCCAAGATGAGATTTGGGTGGGGACACAGCCAAACCATATCAACATGCTATTTAATGTTTATAATTTTATGAACCATTGTATGTTTTGAGACAGTGCACTACAGTTTATAAAAAGTCCTGTCACTCTCATAGGACGGCTCTACATTTGGCCTGTGCCAATGGTCATCCAGAAGTAGTAACTCTCCTGGTGGACAGAAAATGCCAGCTCAATGTCTGTGACAACGAAAACAGGACAGCTCTGATGAAGGTATATAGTAGCCAGCTCTTTCAGCATCAGATGGATTTGACTTAAATACATAGAATGAAAATGAATTTATCTCATTAAAATATAACTAATTGGTGAAACCTGTGGAGTGTTTATTTTGCATTCCTAGAATTTATGATCTGTTTCTTGGTCTAATACTCCCAGGCTGTACAATGCCAGGAAGAGAAATGTGCAACTATTCTGCTAGAACATGGTGCTGATCCAAATCTTGCGGATGTCCATGGCAACACTGCTCTTCACTATGCTGTCTATAATGAGGACATATCAGTAGCAACAAAGCTGCTTTTGTATGATGCAAATATTGAAGCAAAAAACAAGGTATAGATCAACCAACTTTATTTTTACAGTATTTGAAATGCGTTTGTTTCAACAGTGACATATGTAAGGGTTAGTTTTCTGTATTTGGAAGCGCAAGCATTCCCTGACTGAAAGTATTTTAAAATAACTTAATTGTCTAAGATTTTACTTTAAATGTTGATACTTTTAAAGAAGCATTAGGCAGTACACCTTTCTTTTATGCATTTATTGTAAATACTTGTGAAAACACAATTTGTTAAAGGCAAATCTTTTTTTTTTTTGAGACAGAGTCTTGCTCTGTCTCCCAGTCTAAAGTGCAGAGGCGCGATCTCGGCTCACTGCAACCTCTGCCTCTGCCTCCCGGGTTCAAGCAATTCTCCTGCCTCAGCCTCCTGAGTAGCTGGGATTACAGGTACCCACCACCATGCCCAGCTAATTTTTGTATTTTTAGTAGAGATGGGGTTTTGCCATGTTGGCCAGGCGGGCCTCGAACTCCTGACCTCAGGTGATCCACCCGCCTCAGCCTCTCAAAGTGCTGATATTACAGGTGGGAGCCACTGTGCTCAGCCTAGAAGCTCTTGGTTTTGATGGGAAACAATACAATGAATACAATATGCCATGCCAAATGATGTGATAGAAGCAAATATTCTTAGAACCGGTAAAAATTTGAAGTGAGTTTTGGAGATGAGTGGAGTTCATGTGGTGAGGCAGAGGAGGGGTGTTTCCAAGGGAAGCAAGTGTTTTTTATTTGTTTTCTATTTTATATGTTTCAGTTCAAAGGATCTGACATAGAGTTTTCAGTTCAGCCGAGAATTATGTAATTTTATGCATTTTAACTTGTTTTTGCTGTCTTACAGGATGACCTCACACCACTTTTACTTGCAGTAAGTGGAAAAAAGCAGCAAATGGTGGAATTTTTAATAAAGAAAAAAGCAAATGTAAATGCAGTAGATAAGTTGGAAAGGTACAGTAGCTGGTTTTGTTTTGGATTTTTAAACTTGTATGTTTAAAAGTTTTTTTAGATCTGTGTTTTGCATGTTACAGGTTTTTTAAACCTGCTTGTTCTTGAGGGGCAACAGTGATTCGTTGGTGTTTCTCACTCAAGTCAGAAATATTAATTTAATAAGAAGGTTAACATAATTATGGGGATATAGTGACAAATAGCAACACAAATCAGTTAGGAAGAAAAGCAGTTGCTTGGATTGGGCAATATAAAAGAAGACTATACAGTAGGATTCATCTTCTCTTATAATATTGACTGATGTTTGTTATTTGTAAACCCATGTTTTTGGCCATGTGATCTGTTAGCTAAAGAGGTTTCTTATCAGTTTTATTAGTTTTATAAAATGCGGACTTTAACTTTTAGTTTACTTTTTTTTTTTTTTACATGGAGTCTCCCCCGTCACTCAGGCTAGAGTGCAGTGGCGCAATCTCAGCTCACTGCAACCTCCACCTCCTGGGTTCAAGCGATTCTCCTGCCTCAGCCCCCTGAGTAGCTGGGATTACTGGTGCACACCACCACACCTGACTAATTTTTGTATTTTTAGTAGAGATGGGGTTTCATCATGTTGGTCAGGCTGGTCTTGAACTCCTGACCTCGTGATCCACCCGCCTTGGCCTTCCAAAGTACTGGGATTACAGGCATTAAGCCACTGCGCCCGGCCACTTTTTAACTCAATATTGAACTTCTTCACCCTTTTATGGTATTGTTCTAACCTCTGCTTATGTACTTTTCCTTCAGAAATGCTGTGTTAAACATCAATAGCAGTTTTTGTCTTTTGAGTGCCTCTTTGCTTTAAGTTGCTTTCTTTGAAGAGTACGGATGTTAGGTTATCCCTAGGTGATTGTTGATCGCTATTGCCAGATACTATAGTTTCATTATTTTTTTCCTTTTCTATTTCTAGTATATTTTGATGTTTTTATTTTTAATTGGTATGGGCAAAGGGAAGAAAGACAGCTTTTATTGGATAAACTTTTCCTTTATTGAAGACAAGCCATAGATGGGTGATAAAGAGAAAAGAGGCTTTAAATTCACACGAGACTGGATTTAATTCCTTGCTTTCCCACTTGTTAAGTGTGTAAGCTTGGGGACCTTACTTATCACCAAATATGTTTTCTGATATAAAAAGGGGGATACTAAATATATCTCAAGGTGGTTGTATTTAAATAAGATTATATAGCATTTGATTCAGTGCCTAGCCCACGCTTATCAGCATCATTGGCTGAAACTACTGTGACTCCTATTATTACCTTTATTATTATTATTATTATTATTTGAGACAGGGTCTGGCTCTGTCACGGGCTGGAGTGCAATGGTGTGATGTTGGCTCCCTGCAACCTCTGTCTCTTGGGCTCAAGCAATCCCCCTGCCTCAGCCTCCTGAGTAGCTGGGACTACAGGCATGTGCCACCACATCCAGCTAATTTTTGCATTTTTTGTAGAGATGGGATTTCCCCATATTACCCAGGCTGGCCTCAAACTCCTGGACTGTAGTGATCCACCCATCTTGGCCTCCCAAAGTGCTTAGATTATAGGCATGAGCTGCTGCACCTGGCTACCATTATTATTAATACTGTTTTAAGCCTGCAGATAGCTCTTATCTGACCCCTAGCTGACTGCAATTGTAATATATCAGACTAGAGAAGAAATGGAGAATTCTTCATTTAAATCTTTGCCTACTTTAGATAAGTAAACTCAGCATAGGTTTTTGCCATGAAAGGACTTCTAGTATGTAATACCCCAGTGAGACAAGAGGCCTCTTTTTTGTCCCTTCCTTTTAGCCTTGGTGGTAATTTACAAAGATGAGCACTTGAGCACCCAAGATGCTTATGTCTATTAGTAGATGTAAATAGTTAATTCTACACAGACAGGCAAGATACTAAATTGGTAAAGTATATCAAATTATCTGTGCACATAACCTTATTAAAGTTCCTGGGGTGAAATTACCTCTTATTTTATTTTTATTTATTTATTTTTTGAGATGGAGTCTTGCTCTGTTGCCCAGGCTGGAGTGCAGTGGCACAGTCGGCTCACTGCAACCTCTACCTCCCGGGTTTAAGCATTTTCTGGCTAATTTTTGTATTTTTAGTAGAGATGGGGTTTCACTGTGTTGGCCAGGCTGGTCTCGAACTCCTGACTTCAAGTGATCCACCCGCTTTGGCCTCCCAAAGTGCTAGGATCACAGGCATGAGCCACCATGGCTGGCCATATCTCTCTTATTTTAGAACACCCCTCATGCCCACTATATTTTATGAATCATCAAGTATAGTCAGGCTTTTTGTTCAGCAGAGTTTTGATGTTTTTTCTTAATATGTCTAGGGATGGACTACAGAAAAATATGCTGTTGTTAGTGGTTTAGTATGTAAATGTTTACAATAAAAGGCTAGTTAACACTAAATAGAGGTTTAAAATAATTATCATGATTGCATCTTATACATCAGTTGAGATTTCATAGTTTGGGTCAGGTAATTTTAGAATGGCAGTGAATTAGCCTACTTCATCAGCCAGAAATCAAGCAAAAGGCTAGACTAGTTAGAAGCAGCAATGCATGTAGGATTCTTTTTGTTTTGTTTTGTTTCTGAGACAGGGTCTCACTCTGTCACCTGGGCTGGAGTGCAGGGGCACGATCACAGGTCACCACAGCTTCAAGCCGTGGGCTAAGGAGATTCTCCCACCTCAGCCTCCCAAGTAGCTGGGACTACAAGCACATACCACCATGCCCGGCTAATTTTATGTATTTTTTGTAGAGATGAGTTTTGCCATGTTGCTTAGGGTGGTCTCAAACTCCTAGGCTCAAGCAATCCATCAACCTTGGCTTTCCAAAGTGCTGGAATTATAGGCATGAGCCACTGTGTCCAACCGGGTATAGAATTTTTTTATCTCAGGACTTTTACGAACTTAATCCATAGGGGTCCCAATATCATTCATTTCATTCCAATTATAACCCCTATGCATGGGATAAAAAATACTATCACATGTTTAATTTTTCTAGTTGGTTATTTGAGTCTTGAAATGTCCAGTTTGGCAGATAATCTTGAACTGTCCCCCTGGGGGCCATCTGCTATGCCCTCTGCCTTGAATTTTTCAGGAACCGAAGGGGTTCCTTAAGTCCAAGGAAGACAGTCCTCTTTTATAAATCAGGAGGGGACAAAGGACATTCTAATCATTCTTTTGTTACCAGTGATTTTGTTGCTGCATTGTTGCCACTGAGACTGGTCCTGCAGTCTGGAAATGATTGACCTTTGCTACAAGGATGCTCTTACTGATTGAGATCCCTCAGCCTTCATGGTGATCCATAGGTAGACTTCAAAGTTAGGACTTTTTTTCAGTTCACATACAAGTGTTTATATGCCCAGCCATTGTTCCTAAAGCACCAGCACCCTGCTCTGGCAGCTGGCCTCCTGGAAGCTTTAGCCACACACAGAGTGAGCAAATTGACCCTTCCACCTACACTCAAAACCTTATATGGAGACCATATCTTAGCCTTGACTTAGCCTTGACCTTCATGGTAAGTTACCCATGGAGGCTTTTGTTTGTCTTTTCTCTAGCAAATATTAGTTGGGATTGTTCTCAACTGTCAGGTTCAAATAATGTTGCAGGAAGAGATCAGAGTTTCTTTTTTTCTTTGCTACCAGGAATGTACTCCAAAGCCCCTTTACATTCTGTGTAGCACATTTTCTTAGGTAGTGAAAGGTTCCATATTGTCCTTCGCTGGAGTAGTGGCCACCAACTTGTGGTTGACCCCTAAAGTGATCTGTTTTTCATAATGAAAATCTCCCAAGCTGCTTGCATCTCTACCTTAAGTTTTTAAAATATTTTCAGATTGTACCTCACAAGGAAGCCATTCAACAGAATTCTCTGAGCGTAAAGTAGGTTAGTTGGATTGAACAGAGCTAAGCCTGTTCCATGACTCATCAGTATCCATGTATAAAAGTCGGGTTTTGTGCTTGCTTCAGCAGCACATATACTAAAATTTGAACAATGTAGAGAAGATCAGCATGGCCCCTGTATAAAGATGACACACACATTCTTGAAGCGTTCCATATTTTGCACAGTCCCTGGAAGGCCATTTTACTATTTGCTAACAGTGTGAGTCAAAGCAAAAGGGTGGCACCCAGTATTGAAATTGTGATTTTCATGACAAAAATATTCATGTAAGGTGATCTGTGAAATGAGAATGGAGCTAACACATGGGATGTTACGTGCAAATATGTTGTTAGTAGGTATCACAGAAATGAGAAAATGTCAATTCACATCTCCTTCATGGAACTTAAAATAAAAGTGAGGCCAGGTGCAGTGGCTCACGTCTTTAATTCCAGCACTTTGGGAGGCACAGGCAGGAGAATTGCTTGAGGCCAGGAGTTCAAGACCAGCCTGGGCAACATAGCAAGACCCCATTGGTACAAAAAATAATGAAGAAAAATTAGCCAGGTGTGATGGTGTGCACCTGGAGTCCTAGCTACTCGTGGGGCTGAGGCAGGAGGATTGCTTGAGCCCAGGAGTTCCAGGCGGCAGTGGATTATGACCATGCCACTGCACTCCATCTTGGGTGATAGAATACCTTGTCTCTAAATAAAAGTAGAGTTTTGTTTTCCACGTCAGTTGGAATGATGAACATGAAGATTAAGCACCGTTCTAACAAAGATCTGCTGGTTCAGAGTTTGAGGAGGTAGAGAAGCAAAAGTCGTTGTCTAAACCAGGCCTTAACATCTGTTAGTTTTCTGCCCTTGCTGTGATCAGTTAGTTCAGTAATAAGGGACAATTATGTTATCTAATTTAATGAGATGCTATATTTATAAGTGAATTCAGTTACAAATTATGAAATTCACTGGGATTGGAAACCACAAAGAATAGAATAACTAATAACCAAAATTAGGACTTAGTAACATTTTCTGAAAATGGCAACATTTGAATATTAGAACCTTTGGAGAAACATTTAATTGGGTTTTATTTGGGATTCCAAAATAGTTTTAGCAATAAAATTCAGGAACAAATTATTCCATTTCTTTACTATTTCTCTGAGCATTTGAAAAGTGTTATCTTGTTAAATCTTTATAACCCTAGTGAAATAAGGCAGTAAAATCCTTATGTTTTAGAAGAAGATGTTGAGCCTAAGGGAAGCCTCTTGTCCAAGAACAAATAGCTGTTGGTTACAGAGCCAGGACTTCTTCTGGGTTCAGGACACTTTCCATTATGTCAAGCTAACTCTAGTTAATTTGCTGAGCTCCACTGCCCTCACTTCATAACTATTTCACTTTAATCTTTTTCTCCTTTAATTTGAAGCTTAATAAGAAGTTTGGGCTGGGTGCAGTGGTTCACGCCTGTAATCCCAGCACTTTGGGAGGCCAAGGCAGGCAAATCATGAGGTCAGGAGTTCAAGACCAGCCTGGCCAACATGGTGAAACCCTGTCTCTACTAAAAATACAAAAAAATTAGCTGAGCGTAGTGACGGGTACCTGTAATCCCAGCTATTCAGGAGGCTGAGGCAGGAGAATCACTTGAACCCGGGAGGCGGAGGTTGCAGTGTGCCAATATCATACCACTGTACTCCAGCCTGGGTGACAGAGTAAGACTCTGTCTCAAAAAAAAAAAAAAAAAAAAACAAAAAAGTTTGTAGAGCTTACATATTTGAAGTGTATGGGATAATTAAAATTCTGCTGTTAGCTCTGATAATGGCTGAAATACTCAAGATTTTGAGATATTTGGTAAATATTTTTTGTATCAGTATTAACATAATTTTGTTACATTTTTCTATACATAGCAGTCACCAACTAATTTCAGAATATAAAGAAGAAAGGATACCTAAACATTCTTCTCAAAATAGTAATTCAGGTAAGACTTCCAATAGTGAATTTCTCTTGGTAATAGTACCATGGATAAAAAAGTAAAAGTAAGGAAGTGTTGATCACAGAAAAGCAGTTTTAAAAATCAGTGTATAAGGTGCATGTGTATTTTTTCTTAATTTCTCTTGGTAATCTAGAATTCAGAATTATTTAAGAAGTTACATGTAGATATTTATGATGCCAAATGGTACTATCTGAAAAAAATTCATTTACTTAATTATCATCCCTAAATTCCTATATGAAATTTTTGTATAAATAAAAAAGGTGTTTAAGTTAGTATGTTATGTGTTTCCTTTATAATTACATTATAATGAACTAGACTTGTTATAAAAAATGGATCTTCTATTTAATTTTTATAATAAATGGTTTGTGTTTATTAAATGAATATTAATTACAGTTGTCCCTTGAGCAACGTGCATATTAGGACTGGTGATCCCTGTGCAGCTGAAAATCTGCACTAACTTTCAAGTCCCCCAAAACTTAACTACTAATTGCCTACTGTTGACTGCAAGCCTTATGATAATATAAATAGTCAATTAACATGTATTATGTATATGTATTATATAATGTATTGTAGTAAAGTAAGCTACAAGAAAGAAATTATGATTAAGAAAATCATTAAAGAAGAAGAAATGTATTTACTACTCATTGAGTGGAAGTTGATTATCATAGAGGTCTTCATCCTGGTTGTCATCATGTTGAGTAGGCTGAGAAATAAGAGGAAGATGAGAGGTTGGTCCTGCTGTCTTGGGGTGGCAGAGATGAAGAAAATCCACATATAGGTGGATTTGTGCAGTTCAAACCTATATTGTTCAAGGGTCATTACATAGTGATTTGGGTCACTAAAAATTAACTATCTTTAAAAGGGGGAACTCAACAGTACCTTTCTGGTACCATAAACAAATGGCAATAAGAACTGCAGAACTTAGCCAGTGTGCACCAATACCAATAGGAAATTATTTTTTAAAGATACTGAATACAGAAGTCAGAAAAACAATTCCTTGTTGAGAAGCACAAGTCATGTTACTTATTCTTATACCAACAAAATCTTATTATTACTGACTTTATTCAGCCTAAGTTGAAATAGAATGAGATACATTTACTTCGTTAGAACAAGATGTGTTCTTCTGGCCAGGTGCGGTGGCTCACGCCTGTAATCCCAGCACTTTGAGAGGCCGAGGCGGGTGGATTATGAGGTCAGGAGTTCGAGACCAGCCTGGCCAACATGGTGAAACCCCGTCTCTACTAAAAATACAAAAATTAGCTGGGCGTGGTGGCGCACACCTGTAACCCCAGCTACTCAGGAGGCTGAGGCAGGAGAATGGCTTGAACCTGGGAGGCAGAGGTTGCAGTGAGCCGAGATTGTGTCACTGCACTCCAGCCTGGGTGACAGAGCGAGACTCCATCTCAAAAAAAAAACAAACAAAAAAAACAAGTGTGTTCTTCTGTCTGCTGAATAATTGTCATGATAACAGTAATCTTGCTAGAATGAAACACTCTGTTATCATTAGCCAAAAGATTATCATAATGAATATTCAAATATCTCAACTCTGCGCTCAACAAATTATAATGAAAGTACAAAAATGTCCAATGGGAGACTCTAAAAAAAAACAGGAAAAAAAAAGTAAGTACAGAAATTTTTTTTTTTTTTTTTTGAAATGGAGTTTCACTCTTGTTGCCCAGGCTGGAGTGCAATAATGGTGCGATCTCGGCTCACTGCAACATCCGCCTCCTGGGTTCAAGCAATTCTTTTGCCTCAGCCTCCCAAGTAGCCAAGATTACAGGTGCCCGCCACCATGCCCAGCCAATTTTTATATTTTTAGTTGAGATAGGGTTTTACCATGTTGGCCAGGCTGATCTTGGAACTCCTGAACTCAGGACATCTGCCCGCCTTGGCCTCCCAAAGTATTGGGATTACAGGCTTGAGACACCGCACCTGGCCAGAAATGTTTCGCCATAACAAAAATGCTACTATGCTACCTGGATGTGACACCAAATGCATTTTATAATCTGAACTGCATGAAGACACATTTAATTTGGTACATATTTATCAAAGAACTTTCATAGGTTAGGTTTTGCAAGTTGCAAGAAATATGAATATGGAACAGATTAGTTTTGGTCTTCAAAGTTTTCATAATAGAATAGAGCTGTTCTATTTCATTTGTGTTTTTTCAATGAAAGTATTTTAATTGATTTCTATAATTGTTTACTTAGCAAATAACTGTCAAGTATCTTTTAGATACTAAGCATTTTTCTAACGTTACAGAATGCAAACATTTTATTTCTTTTTTCTTTTTTTTTTTTTTTTTGAGATGTAGTTTTGCTCTTGTTGCCCAGGCTGGAGTGCAGTGGTGTGATCTTGGCTAGGCTCACTGCAACCTCCGCCTTCTGGGTTCAAGCGATTCTCCTGCCTCAGCCTCCTGAGTAGCTGGGATCACAGGTGCGTGCTACCATGCCTGGCTACTTTTTGTACTTTTAGTAGAGACGGGGTTTCTCCATGTTGCTCAGGCTGGTCTTGAACTCCTGGCCTCATGTTCTGCCCGCCTCAGCCTCCCAAAGTGCTGGGATAACAGGCATGGGCCACTGCACCCGGCCTAGGTGCTATGCAACTTAGGTCATAGCTATGCAACCCTGCCATTGTAATGTGAAAGCAGTCATAAATAATATGTAAGTGAATAACATGACTGTGCTTCCGTAAACCTTTATTTACAAAACCGTATGGCTGGCTGGATTTGGCTTGTGGCCTCTAGTTTGCTGGCCTCTTATATACAGGATAGATGGAAGGTAACCATGTAAAGGGATTGGGAAACAAGGAAGCTTTTGCAGTAGTTAAAGCCATAGTTTTTTTGTCACTAATCCTTGGACTAGTATTTATCCATTATGAGGTTCTCACCATCCATGGTGAAATACATAAAGTTAGGAAGCTCAGTTTATTAATTTTATTTTATTTCATTTTATTTATTCTTTTAGAGATGAGGTCTCACTATGTTAGGCCAGGCTGGTCTCAAACTCCTGGCCTGAAGTGATCCTCCTGCCTTGGCCTCCCAAAGTGCTGGGATTATAGGCATGAGGCACCATACCTGGCCAGTTTATTTATTTTAAAATGTTGGTCTTTTTCTTCATGTTATAACTTTTTTATTAGTTTTGCTTAAATTTTTTTTTTCATTTAAGAAATAACATTAAGAGTGCATGGGTTTTTTTTCCTTGTGAAAGCTATCAGTTAAGAGTGCATGTTTAACTAGGAAATATAAACATATTAAGTAAATATTATATTAAGTAAATAACACATTAAGTAAATATGTTTATATTTCCAGGAGTAGTGGAAATGTAAGGCAAAGGCAGAAGAGAGGTACAGTTAATAGGATTTAGTGATTATTGAGTGTAAAAAGTTAGGGGGCAGAGAGAAATCTCAGCTGATTCCTAGGTTTCCAGGTTGTGCACAAGCATTTAAACTGGACATGAGGAGTAGGAAATTGTCAGGTGAGTAGAGAAGAGTGGCAGGTCTGCAGGGAAGATTAACTTTTTTCTATACATGTGAGTATAATGGAATATTTATAGAGGATATTAATTCTATTATAGTCTCCAGATATGGTCCCAGAGGGATACTTTGTAACAAACTATCAGTCTTATGCTTTAAATTTTATATATTTTTCTATTGTTGATTTAAAGTGTGTTTTACTTTTCTCTTTAATAGTGGATGAAAGCTCTGAAGACTCCTTAAGCAGGTAGTATTTTACAGATTTTTAAAAATATATTTAAAGGAATACAGAGAAAAGAAACTGTTGAGTGCCCTACTCTGGGTAGACACCATATTATGTGCTTCTCCATATAGTCGTCCCAACAGCTTTGCAAAGTATCTGTGCTATATTACAACCCAACTGTGTGGTTCAGAGAGGTTGATTAATTGGCCCATGACCTCACAGTGAGCAAGCAGCTGACCCATGATTTGACCATCAGCCTGCTTGGCTCCCAAATCCCTTCTCTTGCCCCTCAGCATAGATTGATAGAGACCTGTGCGGTGCTGGATCAAGGTACAGGTCCAAATCAGATCAATTCAGAGACCTACATTTAGTTCTATGTTAACTCTCAGAGTTTTTCTTAGGAGCCTGGTTAGTCCAACAATTTGTCCTAATATGCTTGATAATTGCAGTGGTAATTAGTACTTTGACTTTATCATCAAAGGTTTTAGGCCAGATCTCACTTAGCTGTGGCCACAGGGCCATACATTTTACATAAGCAGACCACACAAGTCCTATAAAGGAATTATTTTACTGTAAGTGAAAACTATTTACCTATAGACCATATTGTGTTAATTATATTTAGCATCCAGTTAGAGGATATTTCTGGTTTATTTCTCTACCTACTGACTTCCCAGTTTGGTTTTCCCTTTAGGCTAGTACTCTAGCTCCATCTGAGTTGCTGGAAAGGATATGATTTTGTTTCTCTCTCTCCCTTTTTTTTTTTTTTTTTTTTTTTTTAAATAACTGCATAGGGCTGGGCGTGGTGGCTCACAACTGTAATCCCAGCACTTTGGGAGGCCAAGGTGGGCATATCACAAAGTCAGGAGATCGAGACCAGCCTGGCTAACACGGTGAAACCCTGTCTCTACTAAAAATACAAAGAATTAGCCAGGCGTGGTGGCGCACGCCTATAGTCCCAGTACTCAGGAGGCTGAGAAAGGAGAATGGCTTGAACCCGGGAGGCGGAGGTTGCAGTGAGCCGAGATTGCGCCACTGCACTCCAGCCTGGGTGACAGAGCGGGACTCTGTCTCAAAAAAAAAAAGCATAGTATTCCATGGAATATTTATACCACATTTTCTTTATCCAGCCAACTGTGTTCCTATTATTTTTTTCCATTTCTGCCAGCTAAGTATTCCTCATTTTCCTATCAACAGAATCAAAAGCACCTAGAATTTCAGGATTTTAAGGAATCAGACTAATCAGAATGCCATCTAGTACTTCAATCTGTGTTTAACATCTTGGTCAAATGGTTCAGATGGAGAACCTGAAACTCAAAGAGATTAAGGGGATTTATTTGGATATGATATTCAAACTAATTTCAGAGCCCAGTACTCTTCCTTCTTTATCATCCTACAGGTTAATATTTTAATAATAGAAAGGGTGAGTGGATCTAGTGAACCCAGCGGAAAAGGAAAGAATGGAATTAGCAGAGGAAGGCCAGGTTTGAAGAGAAACAGCACTGGGTTGGATAGGAACCGGGCTTTTGGAAAAGAGATCAGAATATTGGGGTTTTTGACAAGTTCGATAATGATAAATTACTGGAATGAAGGATACAGGATGTTTGGAATTATCTAGAAAGGCATATTAAAATAGGGGGTTCAGGGGAGTCCTGAACAGGTTGTTGCTTTTTTATATAATTGGAGGAACTGACAAACTCTCAAGGTTTCTACTGAAAAATGTTAAAATAATTTGAGCCACTGGGAAGAGTCTCTACAGCCAGTAGGAATGTACTATAACTACTTCTGCCTCAACTTATCGGTGGCTTTGAGCCCCTCAAGTACTTTGGAGCTGGAGGCTGCTGAACTACATAGATCTGTGGCCCAGGGCAGGTGTCCCCTCACCTCTGCCTCCTTTCCCAATTCTCTGATGTCCTTCTCATGGACATGTAGGGTAGGGCAGGGGTAGGATTAGCTGGCAAGTCAGTCATGGAGCAACCCAAATCATGGAGTTGGGTAGTTGTTAACATGCCTGTGCTGCTGGCAGATGACAGAGACTCCATTTAGCTTGTTTTCCAGGAGCAGAGATATAGAGAGCTTCTACTCTTGGGCATTTGAGACCATCCTTTCAGGAATTTGTGCCTTCATAGGCTGAAGACTTAAAGGTTGGAGATGCTATGGAGCCCTGCAGAAGAGGGATCTGTAAGTGGGAGCTTATAGGAAGGAAGGTGTTTAGATAGTACTTAGGGAAATATAGGTACAACTACCAGGACTCTTTCTCCAGCATTCTTTCTCTTTAGGTATCTGAGTGCCTGTAAAGATTTTTAAGGGCTTGCTAGTTTAAGGCAGGACCTCTATAGGGAAAATAATTGGATTTTATAACTTTTAATGTTTTAATATTTCTGGGGTGAGTAGTCCCAATAACAGCATATACGTATGTGTTTTGACTTTTGCCCATCTAGCTTTCAAACATTTCACACATTTCAGGGGACTCCTTATACTGTTTTAGGGTGAAGGGAAGCAATGAGGCCTTAAGTGGTTTTCATGTTGAAGAACCAAGACTGCCATTTTTGAGTGACACATATTAGTCTTTGAAATGGAGATAGATAGTGGAGAAAGGACAGTGTATCTTTCTACCTTGTTTTATGTATTTATTTATTTATTTATTTTATTTTATTTTATTTTATTTTTTTTGAGACAAAGTCTTGCACTGTTGCCCAGGCTGGAGTGCTACAGCATGATCTCAGCTCACTGCAATCTCTGCTTCCTGGGTTCACACAATTCTTCTGCCTCCACCTCCCAAGTAGCTGGGACCACAGGTACACACCACCACACCCAGCTAATTCTTTGTATTTTTAGTAGAGACAGAGTTTCACTATGTTGGTCAGACTGGCCTTGAACTCCTGACCTCGTGATCTGCCCGCCTCGGCCTCCCAAAGTGCTGAGATTACAGGGATGAGCCACCGTGCCCAGCCTATTTATTTATTTTTATTTTTTTGAGACAGTGTCTTGCTGTGTCACCCAGGCTGGAGTGCAGTGGCATGATCTCGGCTCACTGCAATCTCTGCCTCCCGGGTTCAAGCAATTCTCTTGCCCCAGCCTCCTTAGTAGCTGGGATTACAGGCACATGCCACCACGCCTGGTTAATTTTTGTATTTTAGTAGAGACAGGGTTTCGCCATGTTGGCCAGGCTGATCTCGAACTCCTGGGCTCAAGTTATCTTCCTGCCTCCGCCTCCCAAAGTTCTGGGATTACAGGCACGAGCCACCGCATCTGATCTCCACCTTGTTTTAGATTATCAGGTTTGTGCTGGTTCAGGTAACGAAAGTTATATCAGCCATTAATTGGATTTTCAGTTCAGCCTTCGGGACAATTTGTGAAGACAAAGTATTCCCAGGTTCTGCCATTATCTTGGCTGTCACTATTAGTTATAGAACTAAGGTTGAGTCTTTATCGAATATTTTATAGTTTCGGAGAGGTAGAGGCAGCAATTGGTAACTAAAATATTTTTCAAAAACAAGATCAAATTTTAATTAGATCAAGAAACATCATTTAATATGCAGACAGTTGACCTTTCACCAGGTTTTTGTTTTTTTGGAGGGGGCATCCAGATTGAAAATTGTAAGCTGGTTTTTGTTTTGTTTTTAAAGAAATGAATTCACTCATTTTTCTATATTTTTGTTCTAAAGGCTTTCTGGCAAACCGGGTGTTGATGATTCATGGCCTACCTCAGATGACGAAGACCTCAATTTTGATACTAAGGTAAAGTGCTCTCTCATGAACTTAATTTTCTTACTCTGAATCTAGTTTCGTATAGTATTCTCTTAAAATTTTGCAGTGGTCTACTTATCATTGTTTTCTGTTTGTAATGGAAAGGTGGTCAGGGGAAGCCATTTTATAGAAATATGGCCAGTTGAATTCTTTTTTTTTTTTTTTTTTTACTTTGGTAAATAACAAAGGATTGATAAGTACTTTGAGGGAGTGGGGATTGCAAAAAAAAGAATATACTGGAAAATACATAGTGACAGGAAAATTATATTGGGAAAAGTTTTCCTACAATAGAGGAAATATGAAATTTGGTCAAAGTTTATATGGATAAGCACTCCTACTATGATTTTAAAATCTTTTTCCATTTTTCTCTCTCTGTAGTAAGAATGTTACAGCTTTCAGGTAGTAGTAGATGATCATTTTTAACTAATTGGATGACTTAAAATTAAACTGTTTACTACAGAAGTATTTTTTAAAAAACTGGTTGTAAATACTAATCAGTATTATCAGGGATATCCTATGAACAAAAGTCTGTTACAGGTCTGTGTTTCTCAGTGTGCCTTAGTATACTTAAAGCCTTTCCTTTTCTTCCTTGACTTAAGCTCACACTCGAATGGTCATGCCTCTATTTTTTTTCTCCCTACTCTTTCATCTTTTAAAAATGATTTATCTCAGCCTAAATGTTTCCTTGCAGAATACATTTCTTCAGTTCTGTTATTTCAGTCCATGTCTGTCTCCATTTGCAGCATATTTAGGTGCAGCTTTCTATTTATGTAGTTATGTGTGGCTTTTGTTCAGCAATCATTGCCCCACAAGGATTATTTTTGTTTTTTTCTCTGTTTCTTGTAAGGAGCTGAATTTATACAATCATTTATTTTTAGCTTTTTGACAGAATAGAAGCAGCCTATACTATTTGCAGTGCCAACCCACTTTCATAAAATATACTAAGAACAAAATGCTCACAGTTTTTCTCACAAGAGGTAATTCATGCAAATATAAATCATGCATACACATTTCAGAAAATAATATGTAATTAATTTAAATGTTTTAATGTTTGACTTTTATAATACTCTACCTAGGAAAAAATTTTCATTTTAGGCTACTGTGGTTAAGAAAATAATCGAACAGATATCATAGTATTTATATAATAATCAATTAGGGGTAAGGGGAGTAACCTTTGGAGGATATCTGTATCATCTCTCATAATCCTTACCCCATGAGAAGATGTAGCAAAGGGCAGAACTGAGGTTTAAATCTACATCTGAGTGACTCCAAAATCTTTGTTCTTTGTGTTAGATCATGTAGTAATGGTGACTATCTATTACGATTATTTTATCAAATTTGATACTTGTTTTTTTAAAACTTGTTATTCTTATTTTTGTTTTCTAGAATGTCCCAAAACCAAGCTTAGCAAAGCTAATGACTGCTTCTCAGCAATCCAGGAAAAATTGTAAGCTGTTTGAAAACTGCTTATTCTTGTGTTATTCACTGATTCTTAATTACATATATTTTCATTTACTCTTTATTTTGTTTTTACTGTAGTAGAAGCAACATATGGCACTGTGAGAACAGGAAATAGAACTTTGTTTGAGGATAGAGATTCCGATAGTCAAGATGAAGTTGTGGTTGAAAGCCTTCCTACAACATCAATCAAAGTCCAGTGCTTTTCTCATCCTACCTATCAATCACCTGACCTTCTTCCAAAACCTTCCCACAAGTCGTTAGCAAACCCTGGTCTTATGAAGGTAAGTTGTTTTTTAAAAAACTTTTTTCATGTACCCTTCCCCTGCCCCAACAATCCTCATAATGATGCATCTATTGAGATGATCATACAGTTTTTGTTTCTAATTATGTTTATGTGATGAATCACATTTAAGACTTGCATATGTTGAACCATCCCTGCATCCTTGAAATGAAACCCACTTGATCATGGTGAATTATTACTTTGTGATGTGCTGTTGGATTCGGTTTGCTAGTATTTTCTTGAGGATTTTTGTATCTATATTCATCAGAGATATTGGTCTGCAGTTTTCTTTTTTTGTTATGTCCTTTTCTGGCTTTGGTATTAGGGTGATACTGGCTTTATAGAATGAGTTAGGGAGGATTTCCCCCTTCTCAACCTTTTGGAGTAGTTTCAGTAGAATTGTTATCAGTTCTTTTTTGAATGTCTGGTAGAATTTAGCTGTGAATCCGTGTGGCCCTGGGTTTTTTTCTTGTTGGCGGTTTTAAAATTACTGATTCAATCTCACTGCTTATTACTGGTCTGTTCAGGATTTCTATTTTTTCCTAATTCAAGCTAGAGGAGTTACGTGTTTCCCGGAATTTTTCAGTTTCCTCTAGATTTTCTAGTTTGTGTGCATAGAGGTTTTTATAGTAGTCTTGAGCTATCTTTTGTATTTCGGTGGTATCAGTTATACTGTCTCCACATTCATTCCTACTTGAGCTTATTTGAATCTTCTCTCTTTTCTTAGTTAATGTAGCTAGTGGTCTATCAACTGTGTATCTTTTAAAAAAAAGCTACTGGGCACGGTGGCTCACACCTGTAATCCCAGCACTTTGGGAGGCCTAGACGGGCAGATCACCTGAGGTCAGGAGTTCGAGACCAGCCTGGCCAACATGGTGAAACTCCGTCTCTACTAAAAATACAGAAAAATTAGCCAGGCATGGTGGTGGGTGCCTGTAATCCCAGCTACTTGGGAGGCTGAGGCAGGAGAATCACTTGAACCTAGGAGGTGGAGGTTGCAGTGAGCCAAGATCACGCCATTGCACTTCAGCCTGGGTGACAAGAGTGAAATTCCATCTAAAAAAAAAAAAAAACCAAACAAACAAAAAACAAACTTTTTGTTTCATTGATCTTTTATATTGTGTTTTTGGTTATAAATACATTTAGCTCTGCTCTGATCTTTGTTATTTCATTTCTTCTGCTAGCTTTGGGTTTGGTTTGTCCTTGTTTCTCTAATTTCCTGAGGTGTGATGTTAGTACTGATTTGCTGTAAGAGGTTTTGATAATTTGTAGCACTGTTATTTATTTCAAAACATTTTAAAATTTCCTTCTTGATTTTATTATTAACTCCGAAATCAGGAGCAGATCATTAAGTTAAATGGGAATTACCATATGTTTGTATAATTTTGAGGGTTCCTTTTGGAATTGATTTCTATGTATTCTGCTGTGGTCTGAGAAGATACTTCATATGATTTCAGTTTTTTAAAATTTATTAAGACTTGTTTTGTGGCCTATCATATGGTCTATCTTGGAGAATGTTCCATATGCCTATTAAAAGCATGTATATTCTGCAGTTCTCAGGTAGAATGTTTGGTAAATATCTGTTAGATTCATTTGTTCTTGAGTGCAGTTTAAGTCCAATGTTTCTTTGTTGGCTTTCTACCTTGATGACCTGTCTAGTGCTGTCAGTGGAGTGTTGAAGTCCTGTACTATTATTGTGTGGCTATCTCTTTTCTTAGGTTTTCTTAGGTCTAGTAGTAATTGTTTTATTAATCTGGGAGCTCTGAAGATAGGTGCGTATATATTTAGGATTCTTAGATCTTCTTGTTGAATCGATCCTTTTATCGTTATATAGTGACAATTTTTATCTACTTTTACTGTTGTTGCTTTAAACTCTGTTTTATCTGATATAGGAATAGCTACTCCTGCTCACTTTTGGTTTCTCTTTGTGTGAAATATCTTTTTCCACCCCTTTATCTTGAGAGTATAGGAATCCTTACATGATAGGTGTGTCTCCTGAAAACAGCAGAGAATTTGGCTTGTGATTTTTAAAAATCCATTCTGCCAACCTGCATCTTTTAAGTGGAGCATTTAGACCATTTACTTCAATGGTAATATTGAGATCTGAGGTACTGTTCCAGTCATTGTGTTGATTGTTACCTAGTGACTTTGTTTCCTCCATTATGTTATTGTTTTATAAACTTTGTGAATTGTATGCTTTCAGAAGTTTCTATTCTGTTATGTATCAACCTTTTATTTCAACATTGAGAACTTTTATAAATATTTCTTGTAGGGCTGGTCTAGTATTGACAGATTCCCTCAGCATTTGCTTGTTCAAGAAAGACTTTATTTTTCCTTCATTTATGAAACTTAGTTTTGCTTGATACAGAATTCTTGGCTGATGATTTTTTTCCTATTTAAGGAGACTATAGATAGGACTCCAGTCCCTCCTGGCTTGTTAAGGTTTCTGCTGAGAAGTCTGCTGTTAGTCTGATAGGTTTTCCTTTACAGGTTATTTTTAAAAATTCTTTTTATTTAATCTTATTTATTTATTTTATTTTATTCTTTTTATTTTTGTCTGATTGGATTAATTTGAAAGCCTTGTCTTCAAACCCTAAAGTTCTTACTTCTATTTGGCATAGCCTACTGTTAAAACTTCCCACTACTTTTTTTCTTTTCCCCCCTCGAGACAGAGTCTCTCTGTCACCCAGGCTGGAGTAGTGTGATCTCAGCTCACTGCAACCTCCACCCCCTGGGTTCAAGCACTTCTCCTGCTTCAGCCCCCCTAGTAGCTAGGATTACAGGTATACGCTACCATGTCCAGCTAATTTTTGTATTTTTAGTAGAGACAGGGTTTCGCCATGTTGGCCAGGGTGGTCTCAAACTCCTGACCTCAAGCGATCCACCCACCTTGGCCTCCCAAAGTGCTGGGATTGCAGCCGTGAGCCACCATGCCCAGCCCCCCACTACATTTTGTAGTTCCCTAAATGTGTCTTTCATTTCCAGAAGTTCTGATTGGTTTTTCTTTAAAATATCTTTCTCTTTAGAAAATTTTTCATTAAGATCCTGAATTGTTTTTAAAAATTTCTTTATGTTGGTTTTTACCTTGCCCTTGTATATTCTTGAGTAACTTAATAATCAACCTTTTGAATTCTTTATCTGGTATTTCAAAGATTTCATCTTGTTTTGTATCCATTGCTGGAGAGTTAGTGTGATCTTTTAGGGGGATTATAGAATGCTGTTTTTTCATATTACCAGAATTATTTTTCTGGTTCCTTCTAATTTGGGTGGACTATTTCTTGTAATTATTTTTGAATTTATTTTTGATTTGACTGGGTTTTTTTTTATTTATTTTTCCCCCCTTGAGGATGTGACTTGAATGTCTATAGTTTATTGTCACCTAGCTTCAGCTCTGGGTGCTTTCAGTAGTGAAGACCTTGTAGTAGTGAGCTCCTTCGTTACAGAGAATCTTTGTGTGATGATTTTCTCAGATGTTGGTAGTAATAACGATGTACTGGGTCTGTGAGCAGGTTTACTGTTTCCTGTGGGACTGGAATGGCAGAAGTCTCACGAATCTTATCTCATTCTCCAGTGTTGTGCACTTAAAAATTCAGATGCCTACTCTGTTTCCTAAAACATTTTTTTCCCCAGTATTTTATTTACTGGATTGAACATTTCAGGCCTCAGGCTGAAGGAGCCCATGGGTAAAAACTGGTTGCAGCTAAAGCAGGTGGATAAATGCAGTACCCCAAGTTTGGCCTTGACAAATGTGGCAGGGGGAGCTCTCAGTGATATGCACTAAAGTGTTTTCAGGGGGAAGGGAGGGAGCCACAGGAAAGCAGTCTGCCTCCCAGTCACACTCTTGACCAGGTGTTCCAGCTAATCAGATCAGACAGGCACCTTTTTTAATCTTCAGGAATACTGATGTTCCATATAGAGAGGGATTGTGGTCCTCATGCAAGCCTGAACGTGGAGGGCAGTCCTGTGGGATGCAGTCACCCTGAAGTGCTTCAGGAAGGCTGTCTACAGATGCACGCACATCATGCTGTCGTGGGAAAAGCCCCAGCTGTGTCTGCAGTGGTGGGCAAGAGGGAGAAGTTCTCTTCTCCAAGACCCTTCACATGCCCCAGGGCTACCTGTTAAGGGAAAGCCTTAGATTTTCTCCACTGAGCCCAGCACTGCACCTGTCCCTCTGCTGAAGGAAACTTCCCACAAGCGGAAGGCCTGCAGTCTGGTTTCTTTTTTTCCCATGGGGTGCCCTCTCAATGTGGTGCATTCCTTCCCCTGGGAGTAGCAGCCCCTGAGAACCTGGCTGCTGTGAATCCTGCTGCTCCTCTGGGTCTAGCCACCCAGTGGGCTGCCATACTCCAGGGTGGTGCTGGGGAATGTCTGCAAGGGATCCAGTGAGATGACCTGTCCTCGAGTCTCCCAGCAGCGGGTACCAGCACCTGCTCTGATAGGGTGGGAAGGGGAATGATGTAGACTCTGTGAGATTTCCTGCATTACAAATAGCCTTTGTGTGTTTTTTCAAATGCCAGCTGTAGTATTAATGTGCTGGGCACATAGACAGTTGCAGGACCTCCTGGTTAGCCAGAAAGATGCAGGCAGTGGTGATTAACTGAAGATGCACAGAAGTTTCCTACTTCCTTGGTGCTGTGTCATTGTGCTTGCAGACGTTGTGATGGGCTGTGCTTGTTGAGTTTTAGCCAGGAGGTGGCGCTTGCAAAAGAGCGCCAGTTGCAGTGGTAGTGGTGGGATTTGATTGCCTTAGGTTACCCAAGGGAAATACTCTGGAGTCTCAGACAATGGTTGGGGCCATGGATCTCCCAAAAGTCCCTGTCCATTGTGTTATGCTACCATGGCAGGTGGAGGGCAAAGCCGGGTGGGGGCTGGGTGAGGCCAGTCCACACTCTGGCTCCCCACATGTGGGTGCAAGCAGTGGAGCGGCCCCATTGGGGATCAGAGGGCAGTTCCCTGGCTGCTAGAGTAGTGTTCCAGGGAGAAGCTCAGCTGCCTCTGCTGCACAAAAGAATCCACAGAAGGAGCTGGGGATATCAGGCAACAGTATGTCTCATGCAGCACGGGCTTGGCAAGGCAGGTCTCACGCCTATAGGGTTCTGCTGGCAGCAGCAAGCTGGATTCCAGTCAGCTTGTGCTTGGAACTCAAAATTGTCCCAGGCCATAAGCCTTCCTGAGGGACAGAAACCGCACTTTCAAGCCATGCCCCTCCTGATCCGCCTGTGGAACAAGGGGCATCCAGCTCCTGCAGCCTGGGCACACTTCTTGTTCACCCTGTGGTTCTGGCCGATGGGGTTATCCCCACTCAAGATGATATGGCAGCTCTCATTTGGGAGCTTCTCTCCACCTGTGATGGCAGCCTGGGTCAGCTGGCTGACTTCCGGCAGGACGCCTGTGAGGTAGGATCAAGAATGGCTTCCCTCTGTCCCTCCTGGAGTCAGGGAATGCATGCAATGTATATGGGGATGCCGCTTTTTCTTGTGTGCCCCCACTGCTCACTCAGTCAGCTCCAGCGCGGGGGGAGTTAGGGCTTCCCCGTGGCCTGGATTGCCGGGCTTCCCAGTGGAAGTGTGTTCCAGGGACCATCTCTCCCGTTCACACTCTAGAGGCTCACGATTTTCTACCTGGTTCATCGTGTACACTGCTGCCCGCCTGTTCTTTCACAGGGTCTCTGGTTTCTTTAAGTTTTTCTGTTAAGGTCCTGTGTTGCTTCTTGGAAAAAAGTTTGCAGCGCAAATCCCTACACACTATTTTGCCTTTCCAAGAGGGAGAGTCTTGGTCACAGTGCCTCCCATCTGTCATCTTGGGAAAAAAATTAGGGAAAATTAATTTTAGTATAAGCATTGTTAGAGAAATGAATGTAGTCCCGGCCGGGTGTGGTGGCTCATGCCTGTAATCCCAGCACTTTGGCAAGCCGAGGCGGGCGGATCACGAGGTCAGGAGATCGAGACCATCCTGGCCAACACGGTGAAACCCCGTCCCTACTAAAAAAAAAAAAAATACAAAAAATTAGCCGGGCTTGGTGGCGGGCGCCTGTAGTCCCAGCTCCTCGGGAGGCTGAGGCAGGAGAATGGCGTGAACCTGGGAGGCAGAGCTTGCAGTGAGCCGAGATCGCGCCACTGCACTCCAGCCTGGGCGACAAAGCGAGACTCTGTCTCAAAAAAAAAAAAAAAAAAAAAAAATGAATGTAGCAATTGTTTATTTCTGCAATATTCTGATTTATCTTGTGCTAATAATTAATATCTGTATGTAATGGACACATACGCATACACCAAATGAAAGCGGTCAAAATTTATTATTGTTTTCTAAAATAAACTACCTATTATAGAATCATAAGGAAGGAAAGATTGCCAAGGGAGTTTACAAAATTATCTCTAGGCTGGACATGGTGGTTCACACCTGCAATCCCAGCACTTTGGGAGGCCAAGGCGGGCAGATTATGAGGTCAGGAGTTCGAGACCAGCCTGGCCAATATGGTGAAACCCTGTCTCTACTAAAGATACAAAAAATTAGCCGGGCGTGGTGGCACGTGCCTATAATCCCAGCTACTCAGGGGGCTGAGTCAAGAGAATTGCTTGAACCCAGGAGGTGGAGGTTGCAGTGAGCCAAGATCGTGCCATTGTACTCCATTCTGGGCGACAGGGCGAGACTCCATCTCAAAAAAAAAAAAAATCTCTAGAAGATGATTTTTTACTTTTAAAAGTACCTCCAGCAATGAGGACATTTTATATTCTCGTCAGGAAGCTTTGTTAACTTTAGTATTCATAGTTGTTAAACCTTGCTCATAAATTCATTCATCTCTAAAACTCAGAATCCTGTTGACTTGATTTTTTAGTCCTTTTCTGTGTGTGAATACTGGTCTTGCTTGATAATCATAGATATATTTGAAGACTTTTAAATCTTCAACTTGGATAATCATAGCTTTCTTTTCTTTTGTTTTTTGAGACGGAGTCTTGCTCTGTCGCCTAGGCTGGAGTGCAGTGGCGGGATCTCAGCTTGTTGCAACCTCTGCTTCCTGGGTTCAAGCAGTTCTTGTGCCTCTGCATTCTGAGTAGCTGGGACTACAAGTGTGTACTACCAAACATGGCTAATTTTTGTATTTTTAGTAGAGATGGGGTTTTGCTATGTTGGCTGGTCTTGAACACCTGGCCTCAAGTGATCCGCCCACCTCAGCCTCCCAAAGTGCTGGGATTACAGGCATGAGCCACCACGCCTGGCCTTTTTTTTTTTTTTTTTTTTTAAATACAGAGTCTCTGTTACCCAGGCTGGAGTGCAGTGGCATGATCAAGGCTCACTGAAGCTTAAATCTTCTGGGTCTGGCTTCAGCTTCCCAAGTAGCTGGGACCATGGGCATGCACCACCATGCCTAGCTATTTATTTATTTTTTGTAGAGATGGGGTCTCGCTATATTATCCAGGCTGGTTTTGAACCACTGGGCTTAAGTGATCCTCCAACCTTGACCTCCCAAAGTGCTAAGATTGCAGGTGGGGCCCACTGCACCCATCCTCAAATGTTGAAATATGTAATTGAAACCTTAAATCCCATGTTTTTTTCCCTCTTTGTCTTTTCATTTTCAAAATTTCAGAGTTCTGTGTAGGTTCATATTATTTAATTCTACCAGTTTAGTGTATTTTACAAATATTTATCTACTTAAGACCATATGCTTTTCCTGAGGTCATCTACTTCTACTCTAAACGTATTTATCCAAATCTGTCTTCTAAATCCCCTGGGTAGGCGGGGTCCAGTGGCTCACGCCTGTAATTCCAGCACTTGGGAAGGCGAAGGCTGGTGGATCACTTGAGCTCAGGGGTTGGTGACCAGCCTGGGCAACACAGTGAAACCTTGTCTCTGAAAAAAAAACCACCAAAAACCTAAGTTCCCTGGGTGCCTCAAATTTTATATTAATATGTCCCAAACTGTGGACATTGTTCCTGACGCTTTCCTGATTCTTTGTAATTTACTCAGTCCTCTGGTTTCCCCATCCTAGTAAATAACACCTAGGAAGTAGCACTGAAACATTGAAGCAGGAGAAATCTTGCACTCCAGTTTTCCCTCAAATTACGAATCCAGTCACTCACCAAGTTCTTTATTTTCTACCTGCTTATCATTTCTCATATCCTTTTTTTTTTTTTTTTTTTTTTTTTTTTGAGACGACGTCTCACTCTGTTGCCCAGGTCAGAGCGCAATGGCGTCACCTCTGTTCACCGCAAGCTCTGCCTCCTGGGTTTAAGCAATTCTCCTGCATCAGCCTCCCGAGTAGCCAGGATTACAGGGCATGTGCCACCACACCCAGCTAATTTTTGTGTTTTTAGTAGAGACAGGGTTCCATCATATTGGCCAGGCTGGTCTCGAACTCCTGACATCATGATCCGCCCACTTCTTGGCCTCCCAAAGTGCTGGGATTACAGGTGTGAGCCACCGCGCTGCGCCCGACCTCGTTTCTCATATCTTATTATTGCAATTCACTTTTTTTTTTTTTTTAGGATGCCCAAAGAAAATGTGACAGTTCACTTTCTGACCTGTAATTTTGGAATAATCTTCTCTATTTTTGTCCTGACCACTCCCCCAACCCCCATGTTTATCTATGTTTACATTGCTGCCAGGGTGACCTTTCTGAAATGTATCTGTGATGCTCTAACTCACCTGCTTACTGACTGGATCCCCAGTACATGAAAGGGAAAGTTCACATTCTAGCATAACACAGGTCCTTGGTGGTTTGGCCTGATTTTTCTGTTTTTTCTCCTCATCCTGTTCCCTCTGACTGTGTTCCAGTTTTACCACATTACTTTGGTACCCTCATTTGTCGTGTTGTTTCATGCCTCATCCTTTTGTTTATGGTGCCCTGTCTAGAAACCTTTTACATTCCCACTCTGCATGTATTACTCTGTTGTCACATTGCTAAAAAGAAATACCCCAGACTGGGTAATGTATAACAGAAAGAGGTTTAATTGACTCTCAGTTCCTCATGGCTGGGGAGGCCTCAGGAAACTTACAATCATGGTGGAAGGCAAAAGGGAAGCAGGCACCTTCTTCACAAGGCCGTAGGAGGTGAATTAATGTATGAGGAACTACCAAACACTTGTAAAACCATCAGATCTCATGAGAATTCACTCACTATCATGAGAACAGCATGGGGGAAACCACCGCATGATCCAGTTATCTCCTCTGGTGTCTCCCTTGACACATGAGGATTACAATTCAAGATGAGATTTGGGTGGGGACACAGAGCCAAACCATATCACTGCACTGGGTCTACCTCATAGTATGGCCCTATCTTTGCATCATTTCCTGAGCTTCCCAGGTGGAACTTACTGTTCTCTTTTGTGCCCTTACTGTCCTTTATTCACCTCGGTTGTAGAACTAGTGAATTATACTTTTCTGTTCTTACTTGGTTTTATTTATCTCTACCCGCACTTGATGAATATAGGACAGAATCTGTCTTCTGTTTATATTTTTAGTTTTTCCCAGGATAGTGCCTATGATGTGATAGACACATAAGTGCTTATTGTCTTACTGACTGGTATAGTTTGGAAGTGTGTCCTGCCCCAAATCTCATATTGAAATGTAATCCCCAGTGTTGGAGGTGGGACCTGGTGGGAGTTGATTGGATCACAGGGGCAGATTTCTAGTGAATGGTTTAGCACCATCCCCATTGGTCCTGTCCTTGAGATAGCAAGTGAGTTCTCATGGGATCTGCTTCTTTAAAAGTGTGCAGCACCTCCCCACCTTGCTCTCTTGCCCTGGCTCTGCCATGTGAGACACCTGCCCCCTCTTTGCCTTCTGCTGTGATTATAAGCTTCCCGAGGCCTCCCCAGAAGCAGAAGCTGCTATGCCTCCTATACAGCCTGCAAAACCATGAGCCAGTGAAACCTCTTTTCTTCATAAATTACCCCGTCAGGTGTTTCTTTAAAAAAAAAAAACTATGCCCCCATCTTGGATGACCAGGTATTTCTTTATGGTAGTGCAAGTACGGACTAATACAGTGATTGAATGGGTAAGTGAATAAATACAGTGTTTTCTGAAGTTTTTTGTTTGTTTGTTTTTGTTTTTAATAGGAAGAACCAACAAAGCCAGGCATTGCAAAAAAAGAAAATGGTATTGATATTATTGAAAGTGCTCCACTAGAGCAAACAAATAATGACAATTTGACTTATGTTGATGAAGTGCACAAAAATAATAGAAGTGGTAAGTTAGTGGATATCTCTGAATATTTTTCTATCCTTAAGTTCTATTCTGGGGTCCAGATGTGGCTCACACCTGTGATCCCAGCACTTTGGGAGGCTGAGGCAGGTGGATCACCTGAGGTCAGGAGTTCGAGACCAGCCTAGCCAACATGATGAAACCCCATCTCTACTAAAAATACAAACATTAGCTGGGTGTGGTGGTGCGTGCCTATAATCCCAGGTACTCGGGAGGCTGAGGCAGAGAATTGCTTGAACCTGGGAGACAGAAGTTGCAGTGGGCTGAGATTGCGCCACTGCACTCCAGCCTGGGCATCAGAGCAAGACTCTGTCTCAAAAAAAAAAAAAAATCTATTCTAAGACAACCAATTAACATATGCAGACCCAAATATTATATTCATTTTAAAAATATTTTTCTTTTGCTGTCTTTCTTCATATTACCAATTTTTTCCTGAGACTGCATCAACCTTGTGAAATTCTTTTTTTGCTATTATTTTTATTTTATTGAAATATTCATGAATGGAGATAGACTTGTATATGTATTTAATTATGTATTTAAAATTTACAATAGTAAATGTTCTCATGAATATATCTGTGTATCACATTTGATAGATATGATGTCCGCATTAGGATTAGGACAAGAGGAAGATATAGAATCACCTTGGGATTCTGAGGTACTTTCTATGGTTGTTACTATTATTTTAAAATATAAGCATTGAGTGATGTTAAAACATAAAGAGATGCTTTGACTTGACTTTTTTACCTCTGCATACATCCATAAGGAACTACTTTCTTATATTTTTCAGTTCATAATTAATAAAGTATGTGCTAAGTATATTACTGCTGCATAGTATAATTCTGCTAATTTGCAGGATTCATTTAAGAATCCAGTGAAGGATAGTGCAAAAAAAAAAAGAAAAGAAAAGGCTTAGAAGTCACATGGAATCAGTATGGGTTCTGAAGTTAAGTTTATCTAAAAACTAAAGAATTATTTCAGGTCGGCCAGGCAAGGTGGCTCATGCCTGTAATCCCAGCACTTTGGGAGGCCGAGGCTGGCGGATCATGAGGTCAGGATATGGAGACCATCCTGGCCAACATGGTGAAGTCCCATCTCTACAAAAATACAAAAAATTAGTTGGGTGTGGTGGCGTGTGCCTGTAGTCACTACTCGGGAGGCTGAGGCAGGGGAATCGCTTGAACCCGGGAGGCAGAGGTTGTAGTGAGCTGAGATCGCGCTGCTGCACTCCATCCTGGCAACAGAGCAAGACTGCATCTCAAAAAAAAAAAAAAAAAAAAAAAAAGAAAGAATTATTTCAGGTTAGCCTATGGCCAAGTGTATGATTCTGTGTTATGTATGGATGAGTAAACGGCCTAATGAGATTCAGAGAGAAACAGTTTGGAATGTAGTTTTTTTTGTTTTTTTTTTTTGTTTTTTGACAACTTAGAACTTGAAAAGATAATGCCTGGTACTTTAAAGTATTAATATATATTTGTATAGATCTGCAGGGAACATTTCAGGAGAAAGAAGAATATGGAAAATAATAACAATTTGGTTGAGTGGTAGTGTAATAAGTAGAAATGATTTTCAAAATCATTTCCAGTGACAATAAATATTCAGGGTACTTTTTGTAAACGTGAAGGCAGTAGTGTCAAGAAAAGAAAGGGAAAGTTGGAACAGGAATGTGGATTTCTAATTTGGGGTATAAGTTTCAGTAGACAGTTACTGGAGATATCCTATAGGAATATAGTGAATTGACGCTTGAGACCTTCCCAATGAGATTTTAAATGTTTGAACTTGAATAAATTTCTGTTTATTGAGTACCAACCATGTGCTAGGCTGTTAGACACCGCATATACAAGGTGGGGGCTTATGCTCTACTAGTAGGAACTGAAAAACAAGTAAACCACAAACACTTATAAGTCACTATAAGTGCTTCATATGAAGAAAACAAAGTATTAGGTTAGAGAAAATTGAGGGAGTTTGTAGTTAGGATGGGGATCAAAATGGGAGTGAAATTCTGTAGTCAGAGAAGATCTTTCTGAGTGTGACCTTAGATTGCCAACTAAAGGAAGAGAAGGAGCAGCCATCCGAAAGGCTAGAAGGAGGGCATTCTGGGCAGAGGGCACAATCTTCAAATCTGTTCATCATTTTGCTTTTAACATCTTAGAATGACCAAGAAGCAGGAAGCGGGGTAACCATCATCACCATCATTTTTATTATTATAGGGCATAGAAAAGAAAATGTGCAAATAAGTGCCTGGCACATTTCACATGCTTAATACATAAATGTTCTTATTCTTCTATTTTTATGAAGGCTTGCTATACTTTTTTGAAATTATTTCTTAATTGGGAGAGTTTGTATTCTGTATCTTGTATTTCCTTGCTTTTCTTTAGACATAACATAAAGCAAAATTTTTCTTACTGCTTTCTCATTTTAGTCAACCATTTTCCTATCAGTAAAAGTTGTATCAAAAAGTATTTAGATTTTTCTAAGCCATTGTTTACTTAAATGAAGCAGCTTCTGCAGTGTTCTATTTATACTTAACAGGGCATACTCCAGAGTTTCTTATCATGCCACATATCTTAACACTAAATATTTCTATAATTAGAAATATTTTAAATGTTTAACGCTGTACTATAGCAAGTGTATTCTATTTTTTAAAATACACTTTTTTTTCCCTCTTAATCAGGCATCCCCCGAACCGGAATAAGTTCAGAGAAGCTCCCCTCTTATTTTTGGTGGGGAATACAAAGTAGAGTTAGGTCTTTTGATATTAGTTCCTTGTTGAACTGTGCGCGTAAGTTAATATTTTGTCTGTTAATATGTGTCCTTGGGACTTCCATGTTTGGTTTGCAGAGTCAATAGCCATCTGAAGATGAAAAGATAAGCTTAATCTAGTGAGCATATATGAGGTTCTTTATTGAAATGTTTTGGTTTTCAATACATGCTTATCTTATTTTTAAGCCTAATTGCTTTTAAAATAGGAAATTCATATTATATTTGAAAGTGATTAGAAAATCTTTAGCAATTCATTCTTTTTGTAAAATTGAAACTCATTATTGATACTAATTTTAACAGAGTATCTCTGAGAATTTTCCACAGAAGTATGTTGATCCTTTAGCTGGGGCTGCAGACGGAAAAGAAAAAAATATAGGAAATGAACAAGCAGAAGGTAAGAGCTATATTTCATTTTTAAAAAGCCATTGGACAGAGTGTTTATTTAAAAACATGACTGTTGATATATTCTAATAGCCGAAGAAAATCACCTATTAAATGCATAGTAAGAATAAAGAGAGGTAAAATTGTGATAAGTTGTATATCTTAGGTGTCAGCAACAGATTAAATTGCTAGTGCCACTAAGGGAACTGAATTATTAGATCCATTTCAAAATACATTAAGACCTGAGGGAGCCAGGAAATAAGGAAGAGGAGAGGAGTAAAAGAGGACATGAGAGTGAGGAAGGCAGAGAGTACAGGGAGTGAATGAAGGGCAAAGAAGCAAGTGTATGTAATGGAGAGTGGTAAAATAAAATAATTCTAGGGCCAGGCGCGTGGCTTATGCCTGTAATCCCAACACTTTGGGAGGCCGAGGCGGGCAGATCACTTGAGGTCAGGAGTCCGAGACCAGCCTGGCCAACATGGTGAAACCCTGTCTCTACTAAAAATACAAAAATTAGCTGGGTGTGGTGGCACGCACCTGTAATTCCAGCTACTTGGGAGGCTGAGGCAAGAGATTTGTTTGAACCTGGGAGGTGGAGGTGGCAGTGAGCTGAGATCACGTCACTGCACTCCATCCTGGGCAACAGAGCAAGACTTCATCTCAAAAAAATAAAAATTAAAAAATAAAATAAAATAATTCTTTAGAAAATGGAAAAGCAGGGTATTAGAAAGGTAGGAAGAGTTTAAAATGAGCTTCCAGTACCAAAACTTGTCAGAGAAATAGAGCAAAATTTACCCACTCTTCCCATCCACCTCACTGTTGGGAAGGCAAGGATGGAGGTACTGGACCATCTATGGCACATTTCATCTGCTGTAGATGAATACAGGCATATGTGGTCAGCCATACATATCTAGAATTTAATGTCATAGAAAATGTTACATCAGGCTGGGCACGGTGGCTCACGCCTGTAATCCCAGCACTTTGGAAGGTAGATCACCTGAGGTCAGGAGTTCGAGATCAGCCTGGCCAACATGGTGAAACCCCGTCTCTACTAAAAATACAAACATTAGCCAGGCATGGTGGCATATGCCTGTAATCCTAGCTACTTGGGAGGCTCAAGTATGAGAATCACTTGAACCCAGGAGACGGAAGTTGCAGTGAGCCGAGATTGTGCCACTGCACTCCAGCCTGGGCAACAGAGCAAGATTCTGTCTCAAAAAAAAAAAAAAAGAAAGAAAGAAAGTGTTACTTCATAGGATAGTATCTCAAAGGCCAAAAGAAAAGAATTGGAAAGAAGAGAGTAGGGTTGGTTATGGAGAGATCAAGGAAGCCATACTATGATTAAAAGCCCACTAGCAACTTTATGACTTGCAATACAATTTCAGTTTGGGGGACATAGTAGGGAGGAGCTTGACACCAGATTCCAAGAGGGCAATCTAACATAAAAGAATGTGGAAGCAAACTAAGTATGGACCAGAGCTTCTTAAAATTTAATAAATCAGCTGGGGATCTTGTTTAAAATGTACATTTTGATTGAGCAGGCCTGGGGTTCTGCATTTCTAGTAAGTTCCCACATAATGCTGATGCTTCTGGTCCTTGGACCACACTCTGAGTAACAAGGGTATAGACTTCCTTTTTGAGAAATCTGAAAGAAGCGTCATTGGACAATAATTCAAGGCATAACAGGATCAGAATAAAGCATTATTTTTCTTTTATTTCTGAGCATGTTTCTTCCAGAGGAGAAGAAACAAAGAGATGGAGAAATAGAAATTGTAGATATAAGATAACTATTGTTAAATGAAGAGGAAAGAAGTGCTGAGAATGTTCCATAAAAAGAATATAGAATGGGAAGAATCAAGACCACAGATCTGGAGATTACTTTTGCAAAAGAAGAGAGATCGTGAGTGGGGAAAGAGAAGAAAGAAAGAAGTTAGCTAAGTCATCTTGGAGTTAACGATGAGGAAACTTGAGAGAACTCATTTCAGATGGATTCATTGCATTTACACTCAAACAGACGATTAGATCATTTCTGCTCCAGAGATTATTGCAAGCAGGAGGGCATGCTAGAATTGGGGTAAACTACAGTGATTCATATCTCCTTTCTATAACTATCAGACATCAAAGATATATGTTGCTTTGGACTGATCTTGGTGGTTTGCCTGTCACTCAGCACTTTGGGAGGCCAAGGTGGGTGGGTTGCTGGAGCCCAGGAGTTTGAGACCAGCCTGGGCAACATGGCAAGACTGCATCTCTACAAAAACATACAAAAATTAGGCGTGGTGGTGCATGGGCCTGTAGTTCGGCTGTTCAGGAGGCTAAGGCAGGAGGATTGCTTGAGCCTGGGAGGTTGAGGCTGCAGGGAGCAATGAGCCATGATTTTGCCACTGCACTACAGTCCGGGTGACAGAGTGAGACTCTGTATCAAAAAAAAAAAAAAAAAATAGATGTTGCATTGATATTAATCAAATGAGTTTAATTTGAATATAGAAGCATTGGCTTTTTTCTTAAAGTTGCTTTTTGATAACGATAGCTGTTTCATAAAATCCTTTAGAGGATAACATTTTAGAAATGAAAAAATTACAGTTAATAATTCCTTGAATACTAAAATTGTTATTTTAAATAAACACTGCATTGATTTTAAAAAACTGCACTAATTTTGAAATATAAAATGTTATTAATATCTAATTCTGTGGCAATTAAATTTTTTCCTTTTGATAAATATTACAATATTGAAAGCTTATTATGTATTATTTCTTAGATGTGTTTTATATACCTTCTTGCATGAGTGGATCAAGAAACTTTAAGATGGCTAAACTAGAGGATACAAGAAATGTAGGCATGCCAGTAGCCCACATGGGTATGGAAAAAAAATGCGTATTTTTGTTAACTGTTATTCTACAAGTGTATATCCAAGCTGATCAATTCAGAACACTTTCTCTGATGAGAAATAAGTTATATATCCAAGTAAAGTGGCATCATAACTGTGTGCTTCCTAAATTACAGGACAAGTTGAAGAACATGATAAATACTTGTAGTATAATGGTATAAATGATTCTGATGTGTTGCATTAAAGATATGCTGTCGCATTTTACCATCAGCCTTGACATTTCTCCTCTCAGGGTCATGATTTGCTCCTCTAATTAAAGATTACTTTTCTCCACATCGACCAGCATGCTCACATTGGTATATGTGCACTTTTCTATTTTAGTTATAGTCACTTGGAACATAATCTTACATTCAAATCATAACTGCATGTTTTATTAAACCTATATTCCTGTTTTTTTCTCCAGTATACTTCTGTCATGTTGCTGTCCTAACCAAAATAAAAAACATCCCAAAAATTAACATAATCATTTTCAAACCAAGCGTGATGATTCTGGTCATACTAACACTGCATGAATTTATGATTGACTTTGTCATATTTATGTATAATTGATTATATGTCCCTTTTGGTTTTTAGAGTCTCCTGAGAGATATCTTCACTTGAAGGTAATAAGTTTTATATTTTTATCTTGAATTATTAAGTGCATATTGTATAAAGTATACATTATTTATTAATCATTTTGTTTCAAAACCCATTCAGCCTACCATTGAAATGAAAGATTCTGTTCCAAATAAAGCAGGAGGAATGAAGGATGTACAAACATCCAAAGCAGGTAAATGTTGCAATATATATTTAATCTTGGAAGGAAGTACGTTAAAATTTTTGAAATATTTGAAATGCTCACAGTTTTCTTATTCCTAATTCTTTTTTTCTCCAAATTTGTTGGAAGGATTTAAAAAAATTTTTTTTTAATTGAGACCGAGTCTTGCTCTGTCACCCAGACTAGAATGCAGTGGCGTGATCTCGGCTCACTGCAACCTCCGCCTCCCAGGTTCAAGTGATTCTCCTGCCTCAGCCTCCTGAAAAATAGCTGGGATTACAGGTGTGCATCACTACGCCTGGCAAATTTTTGTATTTTAAGTAGAGATGGGGTTTCACCATGTTGGCCAGACTGGTCTCAAACTCCTGATCTCGGGTGATCCACCCGCCTCGGCCTCCCAAAATTCTGGGATTACAGGCATGAGCCACCATGCCCGGCTTTTTGTTTTTTGTTTTTTGTTTTGATACAGAGTCTCACTCTGTTGCCCAGGCTAGAGTGCAGTGGCATGATCTCGGCTCACTGCAGCCTCCGCCTCCTGGGTTCCAGCAATTCTCCTGCCTCAAGCTCCCCGGGCACACACCACCATGCCCGGCTAATTTTTGTATTTTTTTAGAGACAGGGTTTCACCATGTTGGCCAGGCTGGTCTCGAACTCCTGATCTCAGGTGATCCGCCCGCTTTAGCCTCCCAAAGTGCTAGAATTACAGGCATGAGCCACCATGCCCGGACAGTAATTATTTTTAATTACTATTTGGTAGACATAGTCTTTTAAAACAACAATTCTGAAACTTTTTGACTTTGGGGTCCTTTTATGCTATTAAAAATTATTGCATAGAGGTAACCAACACGCTGAATTCGCTATCGTTCCCATTCCCATGCTCTTTTAAAACATTTTCCTGTGTATGTATACGTCTATAAATAATACATAGAATTTGTTTACATGTCCTAGAATTTTATATAAATGGTTGTACATTGTACATATCATTCTTCAACTTTCTTTTGTTTGCCTAGCATTATATTTTTCAGATCTACCCGTATCGACACAAGTAGCTCTGGTTTAAGTTCTTTATAGTATTCCATTTTATTACTGTACATTTAATTAAACTCTCTTCATTCGGATAAACAATAATAAACATAAAAATCAGGCCAGACATGGTGGCTCACACCTGTTAGCCCAGCACTTTGGGAGGCTGAAGCAGGTGGATCACGAGGTCAGGAGATCGAGACCATCCCGGCTAACACGGTGAAACCCCATCTTTACCAAAAATACAAAAAATTAGCCAGGCGTGGTGGCAGGCTCCCGTAGTCCCAGCTACTCAGGAGGCTGAGGCAGGAGAATGGCATGAACCCGGGAGGTGGAGTTTGCAGTGAGCCAAGATTGCACCACTGCACTCCAGTGTGGGTGACAGAGCGAGACAACGTCTGAAAAAAAAAACAAAAAAACAAAAAACAAACAAACAAAAAAACATAAAAATCACTGTGGGCTGGGCGCGGTGCCTCACGCCTATAATCCTTGCACTTTGGGAGGCTGAGGCGGGCAGATCATGAGGTCAGGAGATCGAGACCATCCTGGCCAAGATGGTGAAACCCCGTCTCTACTAAAAAAATACAAAAATTAGCTGGGCATGGTGGCACATGCCTGTAACCCCAGCTACTCAGGAGGCTGAGGCAGGAGAATTGCTTGAACCAGGGAGTTGGAGGTTGCAGTGAGCCGAGATGGCGCCACTGGACTCCAGCCTGGCGATAGAGTGAGACTGGTCTGAAAAAAAAAAAAATCATGGTGGAGTTCATTTTTGAAATGAAAATCATGCTTACCAATGAGGAGAAAAGTGATTTTTAAGTGGTTTGTAGCTGTTGATATGTATTATATTAGAAATTAAAACTGAAAAATAGAAAATACATGCATGTACAGCCACGCATTTGAATAGACTTTAGAGCTATGACCCATGAACCATTAGCTTATGATGTTACGATACATCCTAGCTTCGAAAAAGTCTACTGTACACTTCTCAGAAAATGAGAGTGAAAATGTCAAATATATTATGCATTATGTGACCTCTTGTACCCTTGAATGGATATTGGATTCTAGGGATTCTTAAATCAAAATTTAGAACCACAGTTTTAAACCATATGTATGGTTTGTAGATGTCAAATAATAAATGGTCCCTTGATGATGAAATGGCCTTTAAAGTTTCACTTCTATGGTTTTTACTTTTTTCTTTTGCTTGTCTTAAAATGTTTAAATCCAACAATTTTGTTTATAAAGAAAAAAGGAAAATATTTTTGTTATATACTCATTTCTTGTTTCATGGCACTGTGTACTCTCTGGATCAAGTGTGCACCTAGATTTATTTTCACGTGGGAACAATTAGGTCACTTAAGGCCATCATTGTTTCTTTCTTTTTTCTTTTTTTTTTTTTTTGAGATGGAGTCTCGCTCTGTCACCCGGCTGGAGTGCGGTGGCACGATCTCGGCTCACTGCAGCCTCTGCCTCCTAGGTTCAAGCGATTCTCCTGCCTCAGCCTCCTGAGTAGCTAGGGCTACAGGCGCGCGCCAACAAGGCCAGCTAATTTTTGTATTTTTAGTAGAGATGGGGTTTCACCATGTTGGCCAGGATGATCTCGATCTCTTGACCTCGTGATCCACCCATCTTGGCCTCCCAAAGTGCTGGGATTACAGGTGTGAGCCACTGTGCCTGGCCAAGGCCATCATTTTGTCTATAAATTTCTGATGTTTACCCAAGGCTTAAAAAGTAAATTCTGAACATAGTGGTACGTTGAGGAAAGAGCATTTCATTGTAATAAGTTTTTATTTAAAGTTTATTTATTAAATGTTTTTGTCTTTAGAACACACACACAAACACACACACACAATACTGTCATCCATATTTAAACCTAAAATGGTTAGACATAAAGTTTGTTCATAAAAAAATTCATATCCCTGAAGAATCTTAATTATTAATAAACAAATCTCTTATGGAAAACAAAATAGGTAACAGACATTGCTGAGTGAATCAAAGTAAATAAGTAATACTGAAAAATAAAAACAGAAAAAAATCCGAGAGATGACAGTCAGTTAAACTTCTGTGAGCAAATGGCAAGTAAAGGACATGTAAAATACAATTCACCATGGAGGAGTAGTGTGTTTGTAGCATAGAGGTTGACATGGGACTTCTTCTATGAAGAAAGTTAGTCAAACCTATATTATTTACATTCTAATAAGTGAAAACTTTATTTTCAGAGTTTTCAGATTGGGACTCTACTAGTTTGACCCTCAGTAATAAGACTTGCCAAAGACCTGGGACTTTGAAAATCAATGATAAATATCTATCTGTATCACAGTCAGTGACCAAAAATCAGTCAGCATCCGCAGAACTGGGACAAACAGCTAAAGGAAAGATTACTATTGGAGCTTAGTTTCTATTAGAGAATAATACTCTCCATGACCTTTGTGAATCACAGCTACCAGAAAACAAAAAGCAAAGAAGGTAACACAGAAGCACAGAGAATTCAGTCCTAGAGTACCTTTGCTTGGCTTCATAATATCATAGTTATGACTTTTATTTTTTATTTTATTTTTTGAGACAGAATTTTGTTCTTGCTGCCCAAGCTGGAGTGCAATGGCATGATCTCAGCTCACTACAACCTCTGCCTCCCGGGTTCAAGCGATTCTCCTTCCTCAGCCTCCCAAGTAGCTGGGATTACAGGCATGCACCATCATACCTGGCTAATTTTGTATTTTTAGTAGAGACAGGGTTTCACCATGTTGGTCAGGCTGGTCTTGAACTCCTGACCTCAGGTAATCCACCCACCTCAGCCCCCCAAATTGTGGGGATTACAGGCATGTAACCTTGCCCAGCCTAGTTATAACTTTAAAAAAAATTATTTTTGGCTGGGTCACACCTGTAATTCCAGCACTTTGGGAGGCCAAGGCGGGTGGATCATCTGAGGTCAGGAGTTCAAGACCAGCCTGGCCCACATGGTGAAACCCCATCTCTACTGAAAATACAAAAATTAGCTGGGTGTGGTGGCGGGCGCCTGTAATCCCAGCTGCTCAGGAGGCTGAGGCAGGAGAATCACTTGAACCTAGGAGGCGAAGGTTGCAGTGAGCCAAGATCACACCATTGCCCTCCAACCTGGGCGACAGAGCAAGACTCCGTCTCAAAAAAAGAAAGAAGAAAAAGAATCATTTTTAGCGAAAGTACTTTGTGTTTATTCTCCTTATGTAACCTACAACCGGACAAAATACCTTTTAGCAGGGCATTTGTAGTCTTCCTCTAACAAAAACAATCTATGAATCACAAAGAGAATTAGGAGGGACAGTAATTTTGTTTAGGCCAGTATAGAGCATAAACTTGAGAGTCAGTAGCAGGGTTATATTTAGAGTTTTGGGACTGGATGGAAAACTAGGTAGAGATCTAAAGATTGCCTACTCAAGCACAATGTGGTTTTTATGCTTTATTTTTACAGCTCTGAATTCACAAGTGTTAGTTATAACTACATGTAATGTAACAAAAAAGCACCATTCAAATCAAATATTATTTCTTATAATTTCTATGGCTTTAGATATTATAGAGTGGACTGCCCCGTATTAGTGGGAATCATTGAGAATTTGCTCTATAGTGTATCCCCAGCTGTGTACACATAGTCTGTCACCTTGTTTTAATGAATAGTTGTTCACTAGGAATATTTGTTTTAAGGAGTGCTCTATCATTTAAAAAAGATATATGAAATTCAATTTTATTAATAATTCTTTTAGGACACCCAGTCTGTTGATTAACTGCATCTAATGTGTTTTACTTTATGTACCAGTTTAACTCGGTGCCCTTAATCATGTGATCTGGTCTACAGTAATAAATCATATAATTTTTTTATCCCAATAGTTTTGTTTTCTTTTTCCCCCTTACTTGTAGAATTAATGTTGTATTTTACAGAAGATGATCAGTTATCCCCTAGAGTAGTGACTGCAAGCTATAAATCTAAAGTTACTCACCTATACATATATATGCTTGTTTGCTCTCATTTCTTCATGAGCTTAGTAGATCCAAGAAGCAGGACTTTTAAAACAAAATACCTAAATGAAATCCCTTAACACAGGAAGACATGAAACAGAAAAAGTATGAAGTAAACAACTTAAACAGTGCCTGTAGATTGTTTCACTTCTCATTTAATACCTTTTATAAGGTAATGAATAGAGTCTAGCTCTCCAGGGACCCAGATATATACATCTATTCATTTAATAAAAATTCACTCTGTATTGGGTACTGATATTCTATATCCTAAATATTTTTGGAAACATTCCCTCAGTTTAGGCCTGCATTATCCTTGTTCTGCAATATTGTCTTCTAATTAATCTCCCTTTATTTATTCATATGCCCCTGAAATTCATTCTCTCCACAGTATTTAGGGTGATCTGTCTCCAATGCAAATAGGACCTTGAGTCCCTCTTGAAAGCATAAATGTTCAAACATCTTAAGATTACATATAAGGCTTTCATCATCTGACTTCTGCCTAACTCTCCATCTTTAGCCCTTTCCCCTTTCTGCCCTTTTCTCTGGGATTACTCAACTGCTGGTGATGCTCTCTTCTCTGGTGCTTGTATTTTAGACAAATATATAACGCTATTTGAGGCTTCTTTCCCTCTCTTGTTGCTGCCTTGCATGCTGTTACCCTTTCCTGCCCTTTACCCCTTTTAGTCTGGCTAACCTCACTTTTTAAGTCTCAACTCAGGCATGATCTCTAGCAAAGCCATCTTTGACACTTTTATTTACATTCTTTTTTTGTGTGTGTGATGGAGTCTCAGTGGAGTGCAGCAGCACGATCTTGGCTCTCCGCAACCTCCGCCTCCCGGGTTCAAGTGATTTTCCTGACTCAGCCTCCCGAGTAGCTGGGATCACAGGCACACACCACCACGCCCAGCTCATTTTTATATTTTTAGTAGACAGGGCATTTCATCATGTTGGCCAGGCTGGTCTGGAACTCCTGGCCTCAAGTGATCCACCCACCTCGACCTCCCAAAGTGCTGGGATTACAGATGTGAGCCACCGTACCCGGTTTTATTTACATTCTTTAAACCTCAGTGTTTAGAACTTAGCAGGAACTCAGTAAATAATTATCGAGTAAAATAGATAAAGACTGTTTATACAAAGATAACTTGAAAGATTGTCCCCTACCGTCTGGGAGCAAGGGCATAAACATATAAATAAATAATATACAGTTCAGATGGAAAAGATACAGTACAAAGATAAGGTACTAAGGCAGCCCCAAGGAAGGAGACACCTGTTTATCTGGGGGAAGATAGCTCTAATCGAGGAAGACTTCACATAGCTGTCTTAGTCTTAAAAGATGAAAAAAAATTTGTCAAAATAGCAGAAAACATTTCAGATGTAAGGAGCGTGATGTACAATGATAAAGATGTAAAAAGTAGCAGTAATTTTGGAATTCATTAATAATGAAAAACACTCTTTGTGCCTTGTTAAAAAGATACTGTTATAGAGAACATTATACAATGTTACTTTATATATTCCTACTGTATCATAAAATTTTGTTTTGTTTCTGACAGTTTAGCTTATTTATGTTGGGTGAATGAATTTGTGAGTGAATATTTGAGATGTTTGTATGGGTTGAACCTGGTATTGTCTAGTGTTACTAGTTTCCCCAAGTGGTTTGTTGAAGTTTTAGATAATGGTTGAAATTTTAATTAGATACCTCATTAAGTTGATACTTAGAAGTATTTCTTACTGAGAAGTAAATATTCCACTAAAGATTAGGCTTCATTGAAACTTTGTGATTGCGCCACTGCACTCCAGCTAGGGCGACAGAGTAAGGCCCTGTCTCATAAACAAATAGAAGAAAACCCTCTCGATTTATAAAATAAAATAAATATTATTTTCTATTTCTGTAAAGACTATACCTTTTACCTAACTGTTCTAAGTAGTTCATTAAACTAAATATTTGGATTTTTTCAGCTGAACATGACTTAGAAGTAGCATCAGAAGAAGAGCAAGAAAGGGAAGGGAGTGAAAATAACCAGCCACAGGTATTATATATTTTTAAAAATTTCTGGTTTAATATTGTTTTCTTTGCTTTAATGATGTAACATAGTCCAAATGAAATTACTTTTCAGACTAGCCTTTTAGAATCAATAGATCATCATTTAATATTTAGTATTAAAAACGTTTTGACTAGTTAAAATGTTCTTAGAATGTGTAGTAACCTATAGCTAATCTTTTGTTTTTGTTTTTGTTTTTGTTATAGTTAATCTTTACCCTTGGAATTGAAGCCAGAAATTTCCTGAGTATTGTTTCCTCTTTCATTTTTATAACTTCCTTATATGATAAAGATGGTAACATCAAATATTGAATCATATTATTAAGCAGTAGAAATTATGAACATTTTAACACTGATGGCCACTGAGTTGGATTCATCTTAAAGGAGTAATCATTCCCAGTGGTTCAGGATTTACATTCTTATATTGCTGGTCACTGATTCCAAGGTTAAAGATTTATTCTGCCTTGTGATCCCTGTTGATTTCAGTGTCTACATTCAGGGAAAGAATGAGGTCAGAAAATCAACCCAGTTATTAAGAGAATCATTCCTTTCAGAATGGGATCTTTCCATTGTTAGGATATACACAATAACTTTCTGATTATTTCAGTCTAGGAAATCAGTAAATATTATAGAATTTTTAAATCCACTATTAATGAACCTTAGGATATTTAAGAATTAGACTTAAGTCTTATATAGTTTATACAGATGCATAACACCATATTATGGTATATAATTTCAATTAAAATGTAAGAGTTAACTTTTCTTTCTGATTGGTGTTTATTTTGGCTCCTAATAATTTAAACTTTCCCTACTCTCCAGTTAGAAATCTTTACAAAAAGTACTTAAATGCACTGTAGGGGCTCAGTATTTGAGGTATGGTAAGGTAAAATCTTTTAAAATGAGGATGCCTTTATAATGCTACAAATCATCTGCTAATTTATTTTTGGTAGATTTAACACATAATGAATTAAGTTTAATCCAAAGGAACAGTGATAAACTTAACTTTGCTGGTTCATGTTTTTCTCCTATTTTAGGCTAAGGCAAATTAGTTTTTACTTCTTAGTTACAATCCAGTGATTTGGGAGTAACTAAACATAGACTAAGTTTAACAGTTGAATTTTAATTATTTCCTAATTTTTCTTTGTCCGTACTTGATTACTCAAGGATAAAGTTATTTTAAAAACATGCACCCTGACAGAAAAGACATCTGAAAAACAAAACAAGCAAATTAATCGTCCACTTTCATGTCTGCAAAAGATGTCTCAAGAACCAGAACTGAATAAGGAGTGTGATAGAGAGGATGTATCTGTATATTCAGGACTTCCTTGTGTGCAAAATGATGAAGAAATGTGGACCAAACAAGGCAAATTAGAGTGGAAAAATAACTTAAAACTCATCACAAATGAGTTAAAGCAGAGCTGTGGTGAAACTTGTGAAAAATACAAAATTACTGCTTCTCCTGGGGAAGAGTCACTACATGATAACTCTAAAGGAGGCACAAACTTAAAGGAAATACCTTCTTCTTTGACAAATAATATACTTGATTGCGATGAAAAAGATTCTCCTGTCTCTGTACTATTCCAGGCATTGCCTGAACAAAAAGTACTCAGTCTCGAAAATGGCTTTTCATTTCCTTCATACTCTGGGTCCCCAGAATATGCTTGCCAGTCATCTTCTAAGCCTTATTTAAATGAAAATAAATTAGGCCATGAAAATGTTAACAAACCAGACACTGAACATGTTTTTAACACAGATGAGAATTTTTATAATGATACAGAAAATAAAAAAGTAAGGAACCCAGAAGTAGTTACAGGTGTAATGAAAGAAGAGTTTGATAAGACAAAAAATATGAACCGAAATACCACTAACTGGAAATTAGACATCAGACGTGTGCCTCAGTATAGTGATCCAAAAAGACCTTTTGATTTGATCTGCTCCAAAGAAATGAATCATATGTTTCACATAAAAAGGCATAGTATTTCTGCTGGTACAGACGCTTACAAGAAAACAAAACCAATACAGAACTTGTTCCAGAAGCCATTATATGATCATTGCAGTGCTAATAACTATAAAAGCATGGAACCTGAATTAGAAAATGTGAGGTCTTCTCCACCACGTGGTGACAGAACATCAAAAGTATCTCTAAAAGAAGAATTACAGCAAGATATGCAAAGGTTTAAAAATGAGATAGGCATGTTAAAAGTAGAGTTCCAGGCTTTGGAGAAAGAAAAAGTCCAACTTCAAAAAGAGGTAGAGGTTTGCTTGCTGCTACTCTTTGTTTTTTTCTCTATCAATTATTTGATCCATTCTGATTTTCTGCTTATGAAGAGCTCATGTATAAAATGGTGTTACCTAAATATGTAATTGTGTTTAGAAATAGATATTATTCTGCTATCTAAGTAACAAGAGTTAAGGAAAACATTCTCAAAATCTTTGTTCCTTAATCAACCTAAGAAGTCTATCAGTCTTCCAAGTGACATATGGACTGGGAAACTAATTTAGCCATATACCGTGTGACCTTGTGAACCAGTATAAGCATAAAGGAAATTGCCTTATGAAAGGTAATAAGTGCTAGGGTTTTTTTCCCTATTTTCTTAAAGATGAATTTCTTTTATTTAAACAACAACATGGCAATACAGTGGGAGAGAAGCAGTGACTGAGAAGAGATATAAAAATATATCTAGCCCTGAGTATTGTTAACAAATATTCCCAGCCAAAGGGATCTTTTTAATGTGCTTTCGTGTGTGTAAAGCTTATCTGTTTGACTCAAACTGTTGGAACTTATAATTCCATTCTGATCACTTTAAAGATTTTTGACAACAAATACATGTACTTTCACATATTTTTTAAAACACCAGTCAAATGTTTCTGTTGAACCAGACCTTTACATTATGTTGTTTAATAAAGTATGATAAGTTTGGGCATGTATACCCTATCAGTAGCATAAATCCTCAGCCAGAAATTTAGTATTTAACTCCAAAGTAGAAAGCTGAGTTCTGTACATTGAGTTGTAAAGATAAACAATAATCTGCAGATATTCTTCTTTTTCTTTCTTTCTTTCTTTTTTTTTTTTTTTTTTTTTTTTTTTTGAGACAGATTCTTACTCTATTGCCCAGGCTGCAGTGCAATGGCATGATCTTGGCTCACTGCAACCTCCGCCTCCCGGGTTCAAGCAATTATCCTGCCACAGCCTCCTGAGTAGCTGGGATTACAGGCGCCCACCACCACACCCGGCTAATTTTTGTATTTTAGTAGAGATGGGGTTTCACCATGTTGGCCAGGCTGGTCTTAAACTCCTGACCTCATGATCCACGCACCTCGGCCTCCCAAAGTGCTGGGATTACAGGCGTGAGCCACTGCGCCCGGCCAATATTCTTCTTTAAAAGTAAAAGCAGACGAGACTTCCCACACCCTGCTATGGCATTAAATTACTTTGCCAGTGTCACACTTAATTCATCTGATTAATTTGATGAATTTATCTGGTAATTTATCTGATTCAGCATTATGGAGTTATATCATCTCTTTTGGTGCCATAAAGTGCTAGATAATGCCACTTTAGGAGCTCTGGATGGATCATTTAATCTTTCTTGTTTTAATCTGGATGGATCATTTAATCAGTAGATAATGAGGTTAACTTAGATAATTAATACTTATACTATATATCCTCCAGCTATAAAATTTTAGTTATTGAATGTGAAATTCGGGAAGCATCTCATTCTCCAGAATTCCACACCAGCAACTCAGCAGTTTCACTCTGTTCCTTATGTTGTGGCAAACCTTGGTTTCTGTATTTCAGTGAGCACCTTCACTTTGTTGATATCCCAGGATCCAAACGAAAAAAAGAATTATAAAAGACACTGGGGAAAAGAATATCTTAGTGCAGAAAGGGGGAAGATTCCTTTCTCTTCCTGGCTGCGTAGTGTAAAATCCAGGTGGTAAAAAGGCAGAAGAAGATGCATCTTGTGTCTTTGTCTTTTTATTTCTCTGTTTCTGCCAGTAAAATGGGGTGAAAATTCATAGTAGATAGTGAAGATTGGATGGGAATAAAAGCACAAAATTAAGAAGAGCCTTTGAAATTTTGGAAAATTCTGTTTTACCCAAACAGAAATGAAGCAGACTTTACAAAAATTTCGTTGATAAAATTATAATAATAGCTGATAATTATATAACAATTATGTATACAATGATCCCATTAGAGTAAGCAGAAAATATTTTTATTGGCTAAAGTTACCATAGTTAAACTGAGTCAAATGATAAACTCAATGAAAACAAAGAAATTATTATTGAATAAAGTAATAGCAATTCCTTAGTATCAAACTTTCATTAAAGGTTGAAGAAGAAAGGAAAAAACACAGAAATAATGAAATGGAAGTATCAGCAAACATACATGATGGTGCTACTGATGATGCTGAAGATGATGATGATGATGATGGATTAATTCAAAAAAGAAAGAGTGGAGAAACTGATCATCAGCAATTTCCCAGGAAGGAAAATAAAGAGTATGCTAGGTAAGCTGATAGCATATTTAACAGCAGATAATTGTTATTGTGCTATAAAAATTCTAATTTGGACTAATATTCATGATTAATAAATTTTATACTTTTACTATGCAAGGGATATGCAACCTTGCCTTGCAATTAGAAAAATGCAAATTAGCAAACAATGAGATACCAGTTTTTTCAATCATATTGATATTTTATTTAAAAAATAATACCCAGTGATGGCAAATGTGAGAAAAAAGGCATTCTCATACACTGTTGGTAAATGAAATTGGTAAATCCTTTTTGAAGGATAATTTAGTATGTATCAAAATTTCAAATATTTCCTATCTTTAACCTAACAGCTTCACTTCTGGGACTAGATTCTACAGGAAAATATGACTTACATAAAAATGCACACACACAAGTTAAGGACATTTATTATATATTATGTGTAATACACAGTAAGCCTATGTATAATATATGTATAACATGTTAAATAATGTATGTATTTTAAGGATATTTATATAAACACATTACATATATACACATGTTGCTAAGGATATTTATTATAGTATCCCAAATGTTGGGCTCTCAAATTAATTTGAATTTTGCCAAGGGATTGCACAGAGAGATCTGTAGTACATGTAAACATTTCAGTATACTGGGTATTTTTAGGGGCTCATGCTCAACTCTTAACACAGTGGGAAATTTCAGTCTCTGTAAATTATATAGGTATATGATAGTGATATCCTTGTGCATGTTTTTAGACCGTAAAAAAGTAGTTATGGCCAGGTGCGGTGGCTCATGCCTGTAATCCCAGCACTTTGGGAGGCCGAGGCAAGTGGATCACTTGAGGTCAGAGTTCCAGATGAGCCTGGAAAACATGGTGAAACCCCATCTGTACTAAAAATACAAAATTAGGCAGGCATGGTGGCAGGCGCCTGTAAACCCAGCTACTGGGGAGGCTGAGGCAGGAGAATCACTTGAACCCGGGAGTCGGAAGTTGCAGTGAGCCGAGATTGTGCCACTGCACTCCAAACTGGGTGACAGGGCGAGACTCCATCTCCAATAATAATAATAATAATAATTATTATTATTATTATTAGTAGTAGTAGTAGTAGTAGTATTATTACAGTTTTTCTGGTGGTAAATCCAACTAGGCTAAAAGTCTATAAAAGTTACCAAATTCTTTTATTTTCTTTCTTTGAGATGGAGTTTTGCTTTTGTTGCCTAGGCTGGAGTGCAGTGGTGTGATCTCAGCTCACTGCAACCTCTGTCTCCTGGGCTCAAGCAATTCTCCTGCCTCAACTTCCCGAGTAGCTGGGATTACAGGCCCGCACCACCACACCAGGCTAATTTTTTTGTATTTCTAGTAGAGATGGGGTTTCACCATCTTGGCCAGGCTGGTCTTGAACTCCTGACCTCATGATCCACCCGCCTCAGCCTCCCAAAGTGCTGGTATTACAGGTGTGAGCCTCCGTGACCAGCCCATTATTTTATTTGCAAACAAAATCATAACTAATCAGAATATTGCTATTTTGGAACTGCATATAATGACATATAGGTATTCTAAAAGGATTTTTCCCCCACCCAGGATATTTTCCTGATTTCTTCTTCCATGTTATATGTGTATCATGCTATTTTTAAAACTTCATTTAAAATAAACTTCATTTAAATGAAACATTATGATGTTTAAAAACAAAACAAAAAATATAGCCCAAATCTAATTGCTACTTCCATGTCTAAAGACCATTGTTTGTAGGCAATGAGCTCCAGCCTTTTACTGTCACATTCAAGTTTAGTGTAGCATTCACCTGTCTCTAGTTTCTTTCTCTTTTTCTTTCAAGTTCCTAGGAAACATCTAGATGCCGTGTGCCTAATCTGTGCTCACCTTCTATTCTCTAAGTAGAATGGTTTTCTCCCATTTTTTGTCTCATGAACTCCTCTATTTTGTCTCTTCTGTTTTAAAGCTGTCCTTGTGTTCAGATATATCTTTTCATATATCAACCTTACATATCACATTTTATCATAATGGTATGATAAAATTATGGTTTTTGAAGCAGGGAATATACATTTTCTCTTATGTTGTTGGTAATTCGTGTTTTTTGAATTAGTGAATGAATTGAGATGGGGGAAATGTTGGAATTTTATAAAAAATTATTTTTATTCTTTGTTAGAATTACTAGAAAACATTGGCTTTTTAATGGATTTTTTATTCTTTCTTTTCCTTAACTCTCTTTCTGCATGTTGTTTCTTTTTTTCTTTTTTCTTATGTAACTGTCATTTCCCATGGATTTTTTAAAGTAGTGGTCCTGCCTTGCAAATGAAGGAAGTAAAGAGCACTGAAAAAGAAAAACGGACCTCGAAAGAATCTGTGAATTCACCAGTGTTTGGGAAGGCCAGTTTACTAACTGGTGGCCTGCTACAAGTGGATGATGACAGCAGTTTAAGTGAAATAGATGAGGATGAAGGAAGGTAAAATCTATGATTTCTTTATTTTTCTATGGAGGAAGGTTAGTAGTAATTTTTTTCTGAAAATAGAATGATGTAGTCTCCCAAAGCTAGAGAATATCGACTGTTTCCATGCTGCTGAAAGATTAAGATGAGGACAAGTGACTTTGACAAGCAGCCATTTCAATAAATGGTCACCATGGAGCCCTGACTATAGTGGATGGGCACAGACGGCGTTTGAGAGAACTTGGACTGAGAGGCAATAGGTAAATGGGTGGTAACTGAAGAAGAATGTGGGATTCAAGGGAGCCTTCTTTCTTTTTTATTTTAAAATGCAAGCTTTTAGAGTTTATTTGCATGCTTTTGGGAGTGACCCAGTAGAGAAGGAAATGCTTATGAAATTTAGTTTTGTTTGCATGTCAAAGCCTCAGAAAGCTTGATCCATTATCTTTTAAAGATTTATAATAAACTAATTGTCCTTAGAACTTCTATTAATGTAGTTTTTTGCTAAGAGGTTGTTCATTTGGAATTGTTTCAAAAATGGAGTATTGTAATATAATTGAATGTGTCAATGATGATCTTAAAGTTAAACTATCATATATGGATTTTAAAAAATTATCTAATAATAAACATGCAAACATATAGGCCATACTGAATTGAATTTAAACATTTCTTGATAATTGAAGATATCAGAGTACTTTTGACAGTAGCATCATGAACAGCTATGATTTTGTAAGACTAAAAGATCAGGTGTATTAACTTAATAGTTGTTTAGATTCTGGGGAGAAGGGGAGGATTTTGTTTATGTACAGTAGAAAATTAAACTATTGACAATCTATCACAGACTATTACTTTTAGATTATAAAGTTCTAAAATATTAAAAACCATGTTGCCTTATGCTAATAGTGTCATTGACATGTATGCTGAGTAAGGATTTTTTTTTTTTTTTTTTTAAGTCAGAGTCTTGTTCCGTTGCCCAGACTGGAGTGCAGTGACGTGATCTCAGCTCACTGCAACCTCCGTCTCCTGGGTTCAAGCAATTCTCATGCCTCAGCCTCCCAAGTAGCTAGAACTACAGGTGCACACCACCATGCCCGGCTATTTTTTGTATTTTTAGTAGAGACAGGGTTGCGCCATGTTGGCCAAGCTGGTCTTAAACTCCTGACCTCAAGTGATCTGCCCACCTTGGCCTCCCAAAGTGCTGAGATTACAGGCGTGAGCCAGCACGCCCAGCTTCAATAAGGATTTTTGAATGCATGAATAAAGAGTTGAGTAGATGAATGAATGAACATTGATGAATTTCTTTAGAAAAAATAAATGTTGAGCTTATTGAAAGTAGATTTCCAAATTGGCTAGATTTAAGGTCTTTTTATTTTAAAAATATTTGCAAGATTCAGAAATTATTTATAATTATAACCAGAAATAGAATGAAAATATAGATTCATCTGCTATCATATCACTTAAAAACACTTGAAAATAAATATTACTTTCACAGCACAGCAAAATATGTTTTGGAGCTAGAATTTTTGGGTTTGAATTTTGGGTCTGCTACTGACCAGCTATATGTGCTTGGGCAAGTTACTTGGTTTTCCTGTGCCTACTTTCTTCCTTTATAAAATACCTAATATGTTATCAACCTCACAGAATTATTGTTAGGATTAAAATGAGTTTAATATATGTACAGTGCTTAGGATAATGCATAGTACCTGCATTGTGAGTCCTGAAAAAAGCTAACTAATACCGTCATTCAAAAAGGGTTTCCATCATGTAAGGGTGTTAAGTAATATATTCCAAATAGGTTTTAGTGCCCGTAAAAGCTTGTTTTTATTGAAAAGGTCGACAGCAAAAAAAAAAAACCTGGTATATTTCTTTCTATTGAATAATGCAAGTAACACTATGTTTTCATTTTGCTTTGACTGTCAGGAAGCTTGATCTAAATTTGTTTGTTATGATATTGTTAGTATATTTTTCTTGTCCCTTACTTTTACTTTTTCTGTATATAGTTTAATACCCCTTGTAGAAAGTTATTATCTTTTATATTACCTGTAAAAAAGATTCCTGTAAACTTTATGAATAGGGTAAATAAATTACAAATGCAGAGCTTTTATTTAAAAAAACAATAGTTTTAGATATTCCTTGCATTTTACATGTTTACTATTTGCCTGAAAGGTATTTTTTTTTTTTAGGCCTACTAAGAAAACATCTAATGAAAAGAACAAGGTACTGTAAAAAATAAATTATCAAAATTATTGTTTAAAAAAATACATTATAAAAGATAAAGTGGGCTGGGCACAGTGGCTCACACCTGTAATCTCAGCACTTTGGAAGGCTAAAGCGGGAGGATTGCTTGACTCCAGGAATTTGAGACCAGCCTAGGCAACATGGTGGGAGCCCTGTCTCTACAAGAATTAAGAAAAAATTAACCAGGCGTGGTGAGCATGCCTGTAGTCCCAGCTACTTGGGAGGCTGAGGTGAGAGGATTGCTTGAGCCTGGGAGTTTGAAGCTTCAGAGAGCTATGGTCACGATACTGCACTCCAGCCTGGGTGATAGAGCGAGACCCGATGTCAAAAAAAAACAAAAACAAAAACATGAAATTAAAAAAAAGAGAATCTTTTGTTGTAAAGACATTTACTTTGAAAAAGTGATTAAGAAGCACTAGCTGTTGATAAATAAATCCTTTTAACAAAAATCAGTTCTTTTTAAGAAATACCTGTGTTTTTGCTCATTTAGAAAGATGGATAATTACCACTTCTGTATGTGCTATAAATATTCTGGGGACATTTTGAAACAGTGTTATTTATTTCATAGGTCAAAAACCAAATACAGTCTATGGATGATGTTGATGACTTAACTCAGTCATCTGAAACAGCCTCAGAGGATTGTGAGCTACCCCACTCTAGTTACAAGAATTTTATGTTGCTCATTGAACAACTTGGAATGGAGTGTAAAGGTAGGACCATTGCATAAATTTAAGGCCTTTTTATGTATCCCATTGTAATGTATGTAATGTAATAAATGTATGTACATTTAGCATACATTTTGCAGTGCTTCATTGGTGGCTATGATGCTGCCACTGTGCAAAGCTGAAGAGTTCTTTATATGATATATTCTTGATATTATTCCTTTATTAGCTATATTTTTTGCAGGGATTTTTTTCTCCCAGTTTGTGGCTTAACTTTTCATTCTCTTTTTTTTTTTCATTTTAATTTTTTATTTTTTTGTTGACTTTTCATTTTGTTAATGGTATCTTTTGAAGAGCAGAAGTTTTTAATTTTGATGAAGTCCAATTTATCTGTTTAATTATGGATTTTGCTTTTTGTATCGCATTTAAGAAGTCTTTGCATAACACAGGGTCACAAAGATTTCCTCTTATGCTTTTTTTCTAGAAATTTTATAGATTTAGGTCTTTTTTTTTTTTTTTTTGAGACAAAATTTCACTCTGTCAATCAGGCTGGAGTGCACTGTCACTGCAACCTCCACCTCCCGGGTTCAAGCGATTCTTGTGTCTCAGCCTCCTGAGTAGCTGATATGATAGGCGTGTGCCACCACACCCAGCTTTTTTTTTTTTTTTTTTTTTGTATTTTTTTGTTTGTTTTTTGTGTTTGTTTGTTTGTTTGTTTTTTGAGATGGAGTCTCGCTCTGTCGTCCAGGCTGGAGTGCAGTGGCGCGATCTCCGCTCACTGCAAGGTCTGCCTCCTGGGTTCACGCTATTCTCCTGCCTCAGCCTCCCAAGTAGCTGGAACTACAGGTGCCCGCCACCAAGCCTGGCAAACTTTTTGTATTTTTAGTAGAGACAGGGTTTCACCGTGTTAGCCAGGATGGTCTCAATTGCCTGACCTCCGGATCCACCCGCCTTGGCCTCCCAAAGTGCTGGGATTACAGGCGTGAGCCACCACGCCCTGCCAGCTTTTTTGTATTTTTAATAGAGGCGGGGTTTCATCATGTTGGCCAGGCTGGTCTCAAACTCCCGACCTCAAGTGATCTGCCCACCTTGGCCTCCCAGAGTGCTGGGATTTCGGGCGTGAGCCACCGTGCCCAGCCAGTTTTGCGTCTTACATTTAGGTGTGTGATCCATTTTGAGTTCATATTTTTGTATGGATTGAAGTATGGATTCAAGTTCATTTTTTTGGATATGGACATATTGTTCCAGCATCATACATCAGAAAGGCTAGCCTTTTCCCACTGCATTTGCCATTGTGCCTTTGTCAAAAATATGTTGGCTGCGTACATGTGGTTCTGCTTCTCGACTCTGTTGTGTTCCATTGATCTACAGATGCTCCTGAGTTTTATCTCAGGTTTTTGGGTTTGTTTTTTTTTTGACTTATAAGCTATGACTCTTTGTTTTGCTATCTTAGTGGTTGCTTTAGGATTTATAGTATATGACTTGAATTTATCACAGTCCACCTTCAAATAATATCATACCACATCATATATGGTATAATTTTGTTATAGTTCTGATATATGGTATAATTATAATAGTTTGCTTTCATTTTTTTCTCTCCTGGCCATATCCTTTCTGAATCTGTGGGATTATAGTTTTTATTAAGTTTAGAAAGTTTTGGCCAATTTTTCTTCACATTTTTTTTCTGTCTCTCTTCCTTCCTCTTTGGGGGCTTATATATTAGCTGCTTGGATTTTTTTCCGTAGTTCATTGATGTCTCAAAGTTATGAATCTTTTCTTTTGTGATGGTTAATCTGTGTTTATTTTCATCTAATTTAGTTTTCATCTTTGACATTGTAATTTGCATCTCTACAAGTGCAATTTGGTTTTTAAAAAATATCTTCCATGCCTCCACTTATCTTCTTGAGCTTTATTTTGAGGTACAGTTGAGTTACATATAAACAGCTTGACTTTTTCCTATATTGCTTTTATGATTTGGGCTAATTCCCCACTCCTGAGGCAATACCTTTCTGATTATTCATTGTCTTGAGAAGTATGAGTTTTTTCAGCCTGACTGTGGGAATGAACACTCTTCCTGGTGCTGTGGAAGCACCAGGCAGGATTTCCTCTCCTTTTTTTAATGGGGTTTTTTCTTTGGTTTCAGATAGTTTCCTAGCATACATGCACTGTTTATTACTTTGCTCAATACCCAAGAGGGGATCTCTGTAGATCTCCAGGGTTCTCTGTACCTCTCGCTCCTCTCTAGTGTCCTGTGATCTCTGTCTACTTTGCGTTTACCAGACTCTCAGCTTCATCACTTCAACTCAGGGAGTCTGCTGGACTTTATGTCAGTTTTTCCTCCCCGCATCATGACCTAGAAACTCTGAAAGCGGGTCTCTGGGCATTCATAAGACCATAAAACTTACTTCCTTTGTTTGTTTTCTTTTCTTTTTTTTTTTTTTCTGAGGCAGAGTCTCGCTCTGTTGCCCAGGCTGGAGTACAGTGGCGCAATCTCAGCTCACTGCAACCTCCACCTCCTGGGTTCAAGCGATTCTCCTGCCTCGGCCCCCCCAAGTAGCTGTGATTACAGGTGCCTGCCACCACGCCCCACTAATTTTTGTATTTTTAGTTGAGACAGGGTTTCACTATGTTGGCCAGACTGGTCTCGAACTCCTAACCTCAGGTGATCCGCCCACCTCAGCCTCCTAAAGTGCTGGGATTACAGGTGTGACCCACTACGCCCGGCCACTTCCTTTGTTTCTTGTCTGTCAGGGATCCTTGTGTTCATTGCCTGAGTCCACTCTCTTGAAACTCGTTGTTTCATGTATTTTGTCTGTTTTGTCTTTGGTCGTTTCAGGAAAGAAGGAAAGTTAGTACCTGAAGCAGACTGCAGTAGAGCCTCAGCACACGCTGCAGACTGCCTGGAATGCTTTTCTTCCCCATTTGCTTAACTGCTGCCTTCTCGTCCTTCATTTCTCAGTGTAGCCACCTCTCCCTCAGGGAAATCTTCCCTGGACCCAGTATAGATCAAATTCTCTTTTGTGGTCATAGAACTCTGTTTCCTTACAGCATCTATCTGAATTCATAATTGTCACTTTTTTTGTATTTTGTCACTTTTTTTGTCTTCACTATACTTTAAGCTAAGCAAGTGCAGAGGTCTTGCCTGTTTTATCTTCAGAGCTTAGTTTAATGTCTTCCACATTGTAGGCCCTCAATATGTAATTGGTCAGTGTCTTAATGAGTGAATGTTATAGTGCACAGTGTGTTATATGGAAAAATGCTCATATATTTCTATCTTGTTTTCTTCCTGATACAGATTCTGTTAGCCTATTGAAAATCCAGGATGCAGCTCTTTCATGTGAAAGATTATTAGAACTTAAAAAAAATCACTGTGAACTACTTACAGTAAAAATTAAAAAAATGGAAGACAAGGTTAATGTACTACAAAGGGAGCTATCTGAAACAAAAGAAATAAAATCACAGTTAGAGCATCAAAAAGTTGAATGGGAACGAGAACTGTGCTCTTTGAGGTATGATAGCCTAGTTTTAAAGAAATGTTTAACTATTTGTACTAAAGATATATAGAATTCTTGTAATTGCTGACTTATCTTCTGGGGCTTAGCAGGGAAGAAAACTTCTTAGTCTTGTGGAGTGTGAAATTCTTGGAAATAATATAACTAGTTCTTAACTATGAACTTCTACTAAATATATATTCTTTTAAATCACTTTAATGGCTATGTAGAAGTTTGTCGTATGGAAGACTCATTATTTAATACAGTAAGTTTTGGGTTTACAGTTTTTTTGTATTATAGTTAATGCTGGAAGGAATACCTTTTTATAAATCTTTTTCTACATTTCTAATTATTTACTTTGAATAAATTCTTCAATATAGAATTATTCGTTTAAAGTATAGGAATTTTTTTTAAAAAGGCCTTTGGTCCAGATTTTTAAATTGTTCTCAGGAAAGTTTAGTTAATTTACGTTTCAATCAATAGAGAATGAAATGGCCATTTTTTCAACCTAAATTTTTTTTTTTTTTTTGAGATGGAGTCTTGCTCTGTTGCCCAGGCTGGAGTGCAGTGGCGCAATCTTGGCTCACTGTAACCTCCGCCTCCCAGGTTTAAGCAATTCTCCCACCTCAGCCTCACAAGAAGCTGGGATTACAGGCGCACGCCACCATGCCCAGCTAATTTTTGTATTTTTTTAGTAGAGACGGGGTTTCACCATGTTGGCCAGGCTGGTCTTGAACTCCTGACCTTGTGATCCTCCCGCCTTGGCCTCCTAAAGTGCTGTGATTACAGGCATGAGCCACCGTTCCCGGCCAGAACAATTTTATAGCTTTACTCTTAAGATGCATGAATTAAAAAATAAAATGGTGAGTGATTACTGAAAGTGATCTCTCTCTAATACACAGATAAAATTCATTCAAAGTTCTGTGTTGAAAATGCATATTATTCTTTACGGTTTACTTAAATATTAGATCCTGTTTTGTTCCAAAAGAGATTTTAAAATTGTTTATGCAATATGTAATAATCAAGAAGGTATGTCGAAAGTGTTACCAGAAAAAAGAAACATAAAAAGTATGGGGTAACCAGTATTAGGCTCGTTAGCCTAATCTTTAATTATGCTATTATACAGATATATGTTGTATGAAAGCATCTGAGGGTGTTATCTTACACTGTAATAATTTTTAGGGATACTTGCAATATTTCATAAAAACAAAAATATATTTCTATTGGATTTATAAACATTTTAGTAAACTAACTTCTTTTTAGTTAGTTTAATGATCTTTCCTAATTGAGGAGTAATTATGACTAATTAAAAAAAGATTTTTTTTTTTTTTTGAGATGGAATCTCACTCTGTCGCCCAGGCTGGAGTGCAGTGGCACAATCTCGGCTCACTGCAACATCCGCCTCCCGGGTTCAAGCGGTTCTCTTGCCTCAGTCTCCTGAGTAGCTGGGATTACAGGTGTCTGCCACCACACCTGTCTAATTTTTTGTATTTTTAGTAGAGATGTGGTTTCACCCTGTTGGCCAGGCTGGTCTCGAACTCCTGACTTCAAGTGATCTGCGCGCCTCGGCCTCCCAAAGTGATAGGATTACAGGCATGAACTACTGGCACCCAGCCAAAAAGATAATTTTCAACTTGCATCTTTACTGAATCATTTCCAATATCTTTTTCCATAATATTTATCAGAGGTACTCATAACAGAAACTTACCAGTTAGCAGAATGTTCTTTCATCACTACCTTTCAAGTATATATGTCCTTTGGAAAAGACTGAAGTGAGAAATTAAAAATCAGAGAACTAGAAAGGAAAAATATTCAAGAACATAGAAATTGTATTAGGGTAATAAACCAACATACAAAGCGGCATATCACACAATGAACTTTTTATTTTGTAACAATACAGATTTTAAGATAAACATATTTAACTGCAGATTTAGCTTAAACCAAGAAGAAGAGAAGAGAAGAAATGCTGATACGTTGTATGAAAAAATTAGGGAACAGTTAAGAAGAAAAGAAGAGCAATATAGGAAAGAAGTTGAAGTGAAACAACAGCTTGAACTGAGTCTCCAAACACTGGAGATGGAATTGAGGACTGTAAAAAGTAATTTGAATCAGGTAAATTAATTTTTGATAAAAATTTTATATTTTTAACTTTATTTCATCACTATTATCACATCCTTTTGATTTAATATATGTTATCTAGGTTTAAAACAAAACTGTTATCTCAAGCTGACCTGTGACCTTTATAACTAAAATTATTCATGATAAATCTTGGCACCTAATAGATGCTTAGTCTCTGTTTTCTGAATGAAGGAATGGAGGGTAAGTTGAGTTTAATCACTAACATAAATGTTAATTTAGGCATTTAATGTTAAAATACAGGCTAAATAGCTCTAAAATTATGATGAAACTAGTAAAATGTTTTGACATTTTATTTCACAATTCTATATTTGCCTGTATTTATTAAGAACCATTTTTGCTTTTTGATTAATTTAGCTGTCACTTAGGTGATTAAAATTTGAGTAATTCTTGAGTAATAAAGGTTCTTGCATTTTAATGTGCTATTTCCTTTTTATAAGTTTTTTGTTTTAAAATTCTGCTCTTGTTAACCTTTTAGACTTTTACAAAATGCTAATAGACCTAAAACTTAATGTATCTCTAGGTCGTTCAAGAGCGAAATGACGCTCAGAGGCAACTTTCTCGAGAACAGAATGCCAGAATGTTACAAGATGGAATTCTGACCAATCACCTTTCCAAACAAAAGGAGATTGAAATGGCTCAAAAGAAAATGAATTCTGAGGTATTTCTATTTCCTTTAGTCATTTTCAAATATGTGTGTATATGTATTTATATGTGTATATATTTTAAAAACCAACTATATATGCATCTTGGAAAGTGTCGAGGATTTTTAAACCATATATGTGTATCTTGGGGTAGTGGTAGTGTTTTTGGTCCATTGGATAAAGTGATGTTCTTAATTCAGCTCCACTTGTCTGCAGCAGTCAAGTAATGACATTCAGAATGGCCTCATCCAAAGGAGAAGCTTTTAATAATATCTTCCGTAAGAATTGATGGTCTTTCCACAATCTCAAAACCCTTGCTACTAACAATAGATGCTTGAGATTTTGGAAGTGATTTCATCACCTTGATATATTAATGGAGAGGTTAGTTTATTGCTTCTACCCATAGGAAAGGAGGAAAAGTACAGCCAGTTCAGTGACATATTTTGGATGTTATTCTTCTCACTGTTGAGAAGAGTAATGGTTTACTGCAAGTAGTATCTTATTTTGGTACAAAGAGCTTTTGAAACAATGATATGCCATGATATATAGTTAGTGATAATTTAGTGATAAGTATTTTGTTCCTAGTAAAACAGTTCAGCATATTTCTCCCTGTTTCACATTATTACATTTTCAAACATTATGAAGAGGAAACAAAAGTTATTGCGACAACAAATAATCTCGTGATTTTCCAAGAGGAACTCTACAAATTTTGTCCTATTTACCATTAGTGTTGTAAAATAAAAGGCTTCTTTTGTATTTAAATATTTATACCACAGAAATAACTGATTTAGTGAAAGAACACTATAAATAGAGTCAGAAGACCCAGGGAAAATCATACAGCTGCTTTTTTTTTTTAACTTTTCCTTTTCAAAACTGTGATACTAAATGAGTTCATTGATATATGTAGAAGTGCTTAGTACAATGCCTAGATTTATTATTCATCAATAAACGTAATTGATAACTGACTATAAAGATGTGAGAAAAGTAGAGTATCTATAGAATATGCTCAGAAAAAAGGAACTTGAAAAACTTCAGGAAATTTCGTCTGTCCAAATATATGTAGAGCCAAGGCTCTTACTATGGGTTGGTGTATGGGTTAGATATCAGAGTATAAACCCAATTTTTTAATGTGGTCAAATTATTAATCTTTTATGCTTTTGAATTTGTTGTACTTCAGTAAAAGGCCTTTCCAATTCTGTGATTCTTAAAAATTTTCTAGTGGTTTCTTTTTTACTTTCATGGATTAATTGTCTTCAAATAAATTTTTGAACTTTTGGGAGTTTATGCTCTATACGGTTTGAGTTTTGATCCAACTTTTTTTTTTTCAATTGGATATACACTTATTGCAACCCTTTATTGTAAAATGTACAGTTTATTCTTTAATTTCAGAGGAAATCATGATCTGTCATTTTCTTGGGTGCTAGCTCAAAGTTTCCTTTGTTTTACTTAGAATTCTCATAGTCATGAAGAAGAAAAAGACCTATCGCATAAAAATAGCATGTTGCAGGAAGAAATTGCTATGCTAAGACTAGAAATAGACACAATAAAAAATCAAAACCAGGAAAAAGAAAAGAAATGTTTTGAGGACCTTAAAATTGTAAAAGAAAAGAATGAAGACCTTCAGAAGACTATAAAACAGAATGAGGAAACATTAACACAAACAATATCCCAGTATAATGGACGGCTTAGTGTTCTGACAGCTGAGAATGCAATGCTAAATTCTAAACTGGAGAATGAAAAGCAAAGCAAGGAAAGACTGGAAGCAGAAGTTGAATCATACCATTCTAGATTGGCTGCTGCTATACATGATCGTGATCAAAGTGAGACATCAAAAAGAGAACTAGAACTTGCTTTCCAGAGAGCAAGAGATGAATGTTCTCGTTTACAGGACAAAATGAATTTTGATGTGTCTAACCTAAAAGATAACAATGAGATTCTTTCTCAACAACTATTTAAAACTGAAAGTAAACTCAATAGCCTAGAAATTGAGTTCCATCACACGAGAGATGCCCTCAGAGAAAAGACTTTGGGTTTAGAACGGGTACAAAAGGACCTAAGCCAAACACAGTGTCAAATGAAGGAAATGGAACAAAAGTATCAAAATGAACAAGTTAAAGTGAATAAATACATTGGAAAGCAGGAGTCTGTAGAGGAGAGATTGTCTCAACTACAAAGTGAGAATATGTTGCTTCGACAACAACTGGATGATGCCCACAACAAGGCTGACAATAAAGAGAAGACAGTGATTAATATCCAAGACCAGTTTCATGCTATTGTGCAAAAACTTCAAGCTGAGAGTGAAAAGCAAAGTCTTCTGCTAGAAGAAAGAAATAAGGAGTTAATCAGTGAATGTAATCACTTAAAAGAAAGACAGTATCAATATGAAAATGAAAAGGCAGAAAGAGAAGTAAGTATCAAGAAAGATAAATATTTTTCAAACCTCCTGAAAGAAAATTTAAAATAATATATAGTTATGTAGTTAACTATAAAAATAAATAGATAAGCTTATTTACTCTATCAGTTTAGAAACATCCCTTGTTTTCAGCAAATAAAAGAGCTGAGAGATGCTTTACTTTGAGTAAAGATATTGTATCATCTATGAAATTTTGAGTTTTAAGTTATGAATTGTTATAGACTAGTATGAATAGTAAACTAATGTGAATAATGTAGTCTTTTACTGCTGAAGTAATAATTTTAGTGTCTTTATGTTGCCACATCTTAAGAACATTTCCATTTGTCTGCCACCATGAAACAGATAAATGGAAATGCTTATACCTGAAATGAGGATTTTGAAGTTAAGGTTCAATTAAGTGTGTTATTTTGACAGTTAATTCCAGATTTCCAGATAAACTGAAGTATATTGCTATATCTCTTAATACTTTTCTGTCAGTAGCTTTTTATATATTTCAGTTGATGTGATTTTATTTTTATTCTTGTCAATTTGACTTGTCTAAAAATATTTCAATCTCAAATTACATATTGTTATGATCTCTCAATTCTTTAAAGCATGTACTTTTTATTAAACCATAATTTGGGACAAATGTGAATTTTAGCAACCATATTTGACTTAATCTCCCCAGTGGTATTTATAATTTACTTTGAATATATTATGAGCAAATAATTTGCTCATAATTTTCATTTCAGTGCCCAATGACTATCATTTGGGTATAACTTTGTTCAGTATAAAGATAAGTAAGTGTAGCGATTTGTGATTTATTAGTTTGGCATTGGACCACCATTTTCACACTAATGAGGGGTGGCAGGATGCACAGGCAGCAAGAATGGAGTGAGTAGGGGAGAGTCATAGCAGCCGAGGTCAGGGAGGCAAGTGGAGGCCAGGTTACCTAGGGCCTCTAAGGCCATTGGAATTTACCTGTATTCTGAGATAGGAATCTATTGGAATAATTTGAGCAAGCAATTAAGTATCTGAGGAGCTCTGAAGTTGATTTGATGTTCTAATAAAAAAGAGCAAAAATGTTTCATAGGGTACAATTAATCACTACCAGTTCCACTCACATAACTATTTCGAGACTTCAGTAGATTGTTAAGCAGTGTAAATTCATGGGGGGATGAATGAATAATGGGCTGAATCTGTTGTTTAAGTAACGTCATACCTAATTGGCAGGAAGATAACACCTGTGTCCTTAACTGAATTCAGTAATAAACAGCAATGTGTACATATGAGGACAAGAAGGTGAATCAATGTATGTGGTAATATTTTTTAAGTTGTATATGTCATAGTTAAATATTATTAACATAATTTATTTTTTAACATAACTTAATAATAAGGTGATTTATAAAATCAGTAACAAAATGTCTTATCAGGTTGTTGTGAGACAACTTCAACAAGAACTAGCTGATACCCTAAAAAAACAATCTATGTCAGAGGCTTCACTGGAGGTTACGTCACGTTATCGTATTAATTTAGAAGATGAGACACAGGATTTAAAGAAGAAATTAGGTCAAATCAGAAATCAAGTATGTATGAAATTTAACATGTCAAACAGTTAATCTATAACTGGTTAAATATATAGTGTTTTATCATACTAATTTAGTGGGTAGCCTTCTTTTGTGTTTTCATTATAATTAATTTAAATTTTATTATCTTTTTTTTTTTTTTGAGATGGAGTCTCGTTCTATTGCCCAGGCTGGAGTGCAGTGGCACAGTGGCGCGATCTCGGCTCAATGCAAGCCCCACCTCCCGGGCTCACTCCATTCTCCTGCCTCAGCCTCCCGAGTAGCTGGGACTACAGGCACCTACCGCCACACCTGGCTAATTTTTTGTGGTTTTTTTTAGTAGAGACGAGGTTTCACCGTGTTAGCCAGGATGGTCTAAATTTTATTGTCTTTATAATACACTTGCTTCTTTATTTATTTGTTTTTTTTTTGAGACAGAGTCTCACTCTGTTGCCCAGGCTGGAGTACAGTGGCACTGTCTCAGCTCACTGCAACCTTCACCTCCCCGGTTCAAGCGATTCTTTTGCCTCAGCCTCCTGAGTAGCTGGCATTATAGGTGTGTGCCAGCATGCCCAGCTAATTTTTGTTTTTTGTTTTTTGTTTTTTTTTTGAGACAGAGTCTCGCTCTGTAGCCCAGGCTGGCGTGCAGTGGCATAATTTTGGCTCACTGCAACCTCCGCCTCCTGGGTTCAAGCAATTCTCCTGCCTCAGCCTCCCGAGTAGCTGGGATTACAGGTGCCCACCACCACGCCTGGCTAATTTTTGTATTTACAGTTAGAGATAGGGTTTTGCCATGTTGGCCAGGCTGGTCTCAAACTCCTAACCTCAGGTGATCCACCCCCCTCGGCCTCCCAGAGTACTGTGATTACAGGTGTGAGCCACCGCACCTGGCCTAATTTTTGTATTTTTAATAGAGATGGGGTTTCACCCTGTTGGCCAGGCTGGTCTCGAATTCCTGACCTCAGGTGTTCCACCTGCCTGGGCCTCCCAAAGTGCTAGGATTACAGATGTGAGCCACCGCACCCATCTTGTTTATTAAACTCTTTCATTCTGCCATTTTTTTCTTATAATTGCACATTTTTAAAAATAATATTTAGTCTTAGGAAAGTTGAGAATTATACATCATTCCTCATGGAAGTTGAGAGAGTTTTTTCCTGTTAAACAGTATTTTATAGTGATTTTTCTATTGTCATGGCAAGCCAGATTAAGTTAGAGGATAATGTTTAATGGAATGTTCCAGAAAATTGTCTTATTTCTTATTTTCACTTTTGTGAATGGATACAGAGTCTGTGTTGATTTATTTTATGGATTTCAAATTAATTTGTACAGAAAGGCCATTAACTTTTCTCCAAAATGCAAATGTTTTAGGTTAATTTATAAACTATTTGAAATAGGCATTTCCTTCATTTTCCTTTCATTTAAAATATATTATAAAAACATAGAAATATTTAGATTATGTATAGCATGTACATCTAAACTAGAGAATTAAGAAAATTATCTAGATCCCTCCACTGGATTTTTAAAGAACATTATTGAGATATAATTTATATACCATACAGTTCACTCATTTAAGGTGTACAATTCAGTGTCTCTTAGATTATTTACAGAGTTGTGTAACCATCACCACAGTCAATTTTAGAACATTGTTATCACCCTGAAAAGAAACCCCACATCCCTTAGCCATCACCACCATCCCTGTCCATGTCCCTCCACCTTCTCCAATCCTAGGCAACCACCATCTACTTTTTGTCTCCTTAAATTTGCCTGTTCTGAACATTTCATATAAATAGAGTCATACAATATGCAGTCTTTTATGAGTGGCTTCTTTTACTTAGCATGTTTTTGGGGTCCATCTGTGTTGTAGCACATATCAGTACTTCATTTCTTTTTATTGTCTAATAATATTCTATTGTATGGCTATACCAGTTATCCATTCATCAGCGGATGGGCCTCTAGATTGTTTCTACTTTTTGGCTACTGTAAATAATGCTGCGATGAACATTCATTTATAAGACATATGTTTTTATTCTCCTGCCACTGGATTTTATCTTCAGAGTTAATCAGGCTGCTTTCACCATCTCTCTGCTTGACTCCTGCTGTTCTTCCTGCCTTTGCAGTTTCTGTTCATCTAGCCTCATTCATTCAGACCTGGCACACAATTCCCCCTCCTTTCGGAAGCTTTCTCTGACTGTTCTGGATCTCATTGACCTCACATTTTAGCACTCTTTGTCTAGTCTGTGTAGAACAATTTGCCCTTAATTTAACTTCACTTTTATTTTTTTTCATAAGAGAGAAACTTGTCTAATTATAAATTTGCCTACGAGGTGAATAATATCTGATATGCCTGTCACCTATCCTTGTATAAATTGAAAATATTTTAGCTTAGCAATTGTTAGGTTAAAATTACTTTATATTATACTAAGAATTTCTTCTTTGAGACATTGATATAATAAAGCTTTTATTCTATTTTTATTATTTTATTTTTTTACAAGGCCACAGCTAACATAGGTGGTTATTCTAAATATATTTTAAGTAATTAAATATAAGTAGAAACCACTTAATCTAGTAAAGGAAAGTTATTCAATCAAATGCTCATGTTTTTCACCCTGAAAAGAAATCTACATTTCCATTTCTTTATTACGTAGCCAGAGCTGGGATCCGTAGATTCATACCGCTTTCCCACCCAAAGAGCTCCAGCTTTTCTCCTACACCGTACGACATAACCTTAGCCTTAAGCCCACCAGAGTGCTCGCTAAAGCAGCTCAGCATAGACAGTTGTTGCAAATGACTTGATTTGGGAACCTTGTTTCGCAGCAGAGTCCAGTGTTTTCAGTCCAGTGCTCTGATGGCCATGTAAGTTATGTATTACTTATTCCAGGAGGTGCTGTTTGCATTGTGGTCATTGCCCACTGAGTAAAGCAGAGAGAAAGTAATCTATAATTGTTTAAAGTACTGTCGGCTTAGTGGAATTGGCAAAAGTTCTGTGAAGTACTAGGGGTGTATTCTGGGCCTCATGCTCCCCATTTGCTTTCACTTTCAGTGGTGTGAAGAATGATTCAGTGCAGCTATAGTAGACCACTTCCATTGGCATGCCATCTGCCTAAAATATACAATTTTATTAGAACATAAAATACAGTAAAAAGAATCACACAAACAGCAAATATTATATATAGCTCACTATATGCCATGTACTCATCTAAGTACTTTATGTATATATTCCTTGACTGAATCTTCTTACCATCCCAGTGAAGTAATAGTATTACTGTCTCTGTTTCTATTTTACCACTGAAGAAATTGAGACACTGAATGTTAATTTGCTCAAGGTCACACAGCTGGTAACTGGTGGAGCTGGGATTCCCACCCGGCCATTCCCGCTTCTGTGTGGATACGGCCTCTCAGTTTCATGAATATCTAGTTGTCACCTAACATGTCATCATGTTAATTTTTATAATCACTGGCATTGCCATGGTCATTCACATCTATAAATATTTAAACTTATAGTTCATGTGGTGGTGCTTGGAATGCAAAAATATAAATGCTTATCGTAAGGTAATTTCCTATCTTTCTACATTTTACCAAGTTTGTAAATTTGAGTATTTATCTGATAAAATATAGTTTGAAAACAAGAGTAATATGTTTTAGTTCTAGAACGCAGGTTGATAAACTTTTCTGTAAAGGGCCAGATAGTATTATTTTAGGCTTTGGGAGCCGTAGATACCACCTGCTGCAACAGATCAGCTCTACAGTCACAGCACAAAAGTAGCCATAAACAATATGCATATTGAAGGGGTATGACTGTGTTCCGATAAGGTTTAGTTACAAAAACAGGTAATGGACAGATGTGTACTAGATTATTAGTAAAGTGGGTTTTTTTTATTCTTTGTTTTAGTTGCAAGAAGCACAGGATCGACATACAGAAGCTGTCAGATGTGCTGAGAAGATGCAAGATCACAAGCAAAAGTAAAATTTAAAGCAGCACACAGAAAAACATGATTATTTATAGAGCAAATAAGCAGTGTAGTATGAGAATTATATCAGCTATGATCATAAGTACATCTGTGTGAAGTCAAGGAAAAATTTCAGCATTAAGCAATTTTGAAATGCGGATTTTTTTATATTATCCTAGAATTTTGTGCATTATCCACAAACCACAACTAGAAAAACGATAGAGTTGCCAAATCACCTACTTTTGAAATCTTTAAGAATTTATGTAATTATGCCTTCAGGTGTTTGCTAAGAAATTACACAGTATTTTAAAAATTTATCTGTGAGAATAATTATTTTAAAATATACATTTCAGGCTTGAAAAAGATAATGCCAAGTTAAAAGTTACAGTCAAAAAGCAAATGGACAAAATTGAGGAGCTTCAGAAAAACCTGTTAAATGCAAATTTGGTAAGTCAGCCACTTAATTTCTGTCGTACTGAAAAGGAATTTTATTGCTTTAGTAGGACAAGTTGAGTATCCCTTATTTAAAATGCTTGAGACCAGAAGTGTTTCAGATTTTGGATTTTTTTTTATTTTGGAATATTTGTACATACATAATGAGATATCTTGGAGACAGGACCCAAGCCTAACATGAAATTCATTGATTTTTCATATATACCTTATATATGTAGCCTGAAGTTACTTTTATGTAATTTTTTTTTTTTTTTTTTTTTGAGATGGAGTCTCACTCTGTCGCCCAGGCTGGAGTGCAGTGGTGCGATCTCAGCTCTGCCTCCCGGGTTCACGCCATTCTCCTGCCTCAGCCTCCCGAGTAGCTGGGACTACAGGAGCCCGCCACCACACCCGGTTAATTTTTTTGTATTTTTAGTAGAGACAGGGTTTCACCGTGTTAGCCAGGATGGTCTCGATCTCCTGACCTCATGATCCGCCCGCCTCGGCCTCCCAAAGTGCTGGGATTACAGGTATGAGCCACAGTGCCCGGCCACTTTTATGAATATTTTAAAAATAATTTTATGCATGAAACAGAGTTTTGACTGTGTTTTCACTGTGACATGTCACATGAGGTCAGGTGTGGAATTTTCCACTTGTGACATCCTGTCCACACTCAAGAGTTTCAGATTTTGGAACATTTTGGATTTCAAATTTTCAGATGTTCCTCCACTTATGATGGGATTACATCCTCATAAACACATTGTAAGTTGAAAATATTATAAGGTGAAATTTAATACACCTACTGAACATCATAGCTTAGCCTAGCCTATCTTAAACCTGCTCTGAACACTTACATTAGCCTACAGTTGGACAAAATCATCTAACACAAAGTCTATCTTATAATAAGTATTGGATATCTCATATACCACATATTGCTAGCCTGGGAAAAGATAAAATTCAAAATCTGAAGTATGTTGAAATTGTGATGGTTTCACGCCATTATAAAGTCAAAAAGTTGTATTAATAAGTTGACCCATGGTAAGTAAATCCAAATTGTAGTGGTTTCACACACTCTTAAAGTTGAAAAATTGTAAGTTGGGCTATTGTAAGTTGGGGACTATCTGTATGTAAGAATATTTTAGATAATATGAAAATCCTTATTGATAAAAATATTTATTGTATTCATGGTAATACTACTTGCTACTAGTAGTGCAAGTCCTCTTGACTTTATAGAAGTTGACTGAATTCATAACATTAATGAGTTTGGTAGTAAGATTTTAATAAAAAAGATTATGATAGACTAAAAACAGTGTTTTTTATATACATTTTGTTTGTTCACTCATCCATTGATGGACGTTCGGATTATTTCTGCCTTTTGCTTATTGTGAATAATGCTGCTATGGATATGGTGTACAATTGTCTGAGTCTCTGCTAATATTTGTAATATCTTTTGAAATTCTAAGAAATTTGAGTAGTGACTTGATCTACAATTCTGAATTTCTTTTATAATCTAAACCCTTCAGTGAGAATTTCAGAATGAATTGCTTTTAACATGGTAGTTTTTATTCCTCATCAAGAATGGATACTATGTCATTATACAAGCATTCTTTTCCCCCAAAGTAATGTGTTTTTCTCTTTGGATTTTAAAAAAGAAAAACCTGTGAAAAAGTAGAAATGGCTGCTCCAGCAGGACATTACAGAATAACACAGTGCTCCTAGCATTGCAGATTCAGAAACTTTTTTTCCCATTTATCTGTGTTCATCAGTCTTTCAAAACCTTAACAGTTCCTGTCAGGCGCAGTGGCTCATGCCCAGCACTTTGGGAGGCCGAGGCGGGTGGATCACCTGAGGTTAGGAGTTTGAGACCAGCCTGGCCAACATGGCAAAACCCTGTCTCTACTGTAAATACAAAAATTAGCCAGGCGTGATGGCAGGCCCCTGTAATCCTACTACTCAGGAGGCTGAAGTAGGAGAATTGCTTGAACCCAGAAGGTGGAGGTTACAGTGAGACGAGATTGTGCTATTGGGTGACAGAGTGAGACTCCATCTCAAAAAAAAAAACTAAAAAAAACCAAAACCTTAACAGTCCAGTCTCAGAAAGGATGGCCGTGTAATCCACAATACCAATTTATTGATGTACCAATTTAGTGATTATTTATTGATGTTCTGCTTGATGTTTAACAAGCAGAACAGGATTCTCTGGTCATTCACACTTTCCTGTGTAGAAATGAAGATCAGAAGGTTGCATTGTAAATACTAAAGTGGAGCAATGAGGTTGATGCTTCTACTAATGAGTTTCTTTAAGTCACAACAGGAAGATTTATGCTACTCTCCTATACAGATACACCTATCAGAAGAAACATTGACAAGTTTTTTTTCTAGATTTCATGTGTTAGTCCTACTTTATTGGCATCCTTTTCACACAAGTGACATGACAATATATTGATATGAAGTCTCCTGTGAATGAGAGTGTGGGGGACATCCCCTTATATGGATGTCATCCAGGAATATATCAACATCTCAGAAATGGAAAATTTAGTAAAAGTACTCAAAACCTGCTAAGCTTATTCAAAAATAATGGGGGATTTTCTGTAGATTCCCATAGAAATGAGTTAGGAATATGGCATATAATTATTAGTCACTTTGAAATGTACACTGTGAATCAAAAATTTAATAGAGACCGCTTTCAACCAACTCATCAATAGCCCCTAACTTTTCCAGAAGGTTCTCATCTCATGTCTTTATGGAAAAGGGAATTAGTCAAAAGAAAGCAAAGGCAAACAATCAATAATCTGACCCTTGTGGAAAAGTTTTGCATTATGAAAGAAAAACAAAGACAAAGTATGCTGGTCAACATCCTAAGGGTGAGTGTGCCCACACAAGATGAGAAAATAACACTACACTCAAAATAACACCAATAAGAATCAACATAAAATGTACAAGATTAGCTACCTACAAAAGGAATCTGCACCAAGTAATGGTTTATGAGTGTGTGGTTGAGAATATGGTTTATGAGAAGTGAAACAGAAGGAAGAGACCTCAGGAAAGAGGTCTGGGCTGGAAATCTAGATTAGGGAATCTGGGATGAAGCCTTGAGATTTAAGGAGCTCTTAGAGAATTTAAAAAAGAGGAATGGAAGGGGACAGGACTCAGCATGAAGGGTTGCTGCATTTAGAAATGAAGTGAGGTCAGAGACGCCTAGGGGAGGGTATGGTCACTGATAGTAGTTGCTGCTGAGAAGTAAAGCAGATTAAAGACTAAAAAATAGGGCCTTGATGACTTTCAGAATTTTAAAATGAGAATTATAAGACTGAAAATTAGATTTTAGTATAAAAGAAGACAAGTGATGAAGAAGTAGATCTCTAGATGAGACCGTGTATTAAAAAATATTAGAGCCTGATGAGCACAGTGGCTGACACCTGTAATTCCAGTGCTTTAGGAGGCTGAGGCAGGAGAATCGCTTCAGACTAGGAATCAAGACCAGCCTGGGCAGCATAGCAAAACTCTGTCTCTAAAAAATATGAAATAAATTAGCCGATGTGGTGGTGCATGCCTGTTATCCTAGCTACTGAGGAGGCTGAGGTGGGAGGATTGCTTGAGCCCTGGAGTTCAAGGCTGCAGTGAACTATGATTGCACCATTACACTCCAGCTTGGTTGACAGAGTGAGACCCTGTCACAGACAAACAAACAAACAAACAAAAAAGAGAGTCCAATGGAAAAACAGGTTGATTAAAAAAGCCACAAGAATCAGGCAAAAGTTATGTTTTTGTTTATTGTGGAGAAGAAAAACTTTATTTAAAGAGAAATGGTTAATAGAACAGGAAAAATTGAAACCCATAGAAGAATGTTTATAGAGAATGAGAGATAGCTCATCTTGAAGTCAGGTGAGTATAAAAAATGTAACGGGAACCAGATGAAAGTTTTCTAAAAATTGTCTTAGTAAGATTTGATTTAACAAAAACTGGAATATCTTGAACTACTGATGACAGTGTTTCTAGAGCAACTTCAGAAATGAGAACGTACATCTAAAATAACTTTTTAAAAAGGAATTTTCATTAACACTTAGTATTTTATATGTAAAAACTTCTATTTTTAACAAATTTTGGTAATTTAAATTCCAGAAAAGAGATATGAGCTGTTTTAAGAAAAGTCATTTTTTCAAATCCGTTCTTATTGCCATTAGGTTTATAAACTGCATTTTATATGCCTAAACATATGTTACTCATGAACTCATAAGAAATAATAGTTTTAAGAAAAAAAGTGTTTCCAGAGTTTTAAAAGTAATTGAAAATATTTTGTTTCAAAGTCTGAAGATGAAAAGGAACAATTAAAGAAACTTATGGAATTAAAACAGTCACTGGAATGTAATTTGGATCAAGAAATGAAGAAAAATGTTGAATTAGAAAGAGAGATAACTGGGTAAGATTTTAATATTTCAGATCATTTTAACCATTCATTAATTGATTTAATATAATTTTACTTTGTTCAAAACTAGATATAAATTCATTTAATATCTACTTTTTCTTAATGAAATTATTCTCTTTTAAAATGGTTTTAGAAAGTTGCAGCACAATCTGAAACTTTTGGAATGCCTAAATATTACACTTATTCTTTAATGATTTTGAAAGCAGTAACAATGCCTTTGGCATATAATGTCAACTGCACTCTTCATCTTTTACTTTGAACTTTTATTTCTGAAGATATTTTCACTTTCTTTGGTAATCTTTCTCTCTTTGGTAGTGTCCTTCCCTTCAAAGAAGATATTCAAATCTTTTAATATCTAAAAACCTATCTGTGTCATCCTTTGGAAGCATCAAAAATTATCTTGATTTAGCTTATGCTTTCTTTCTGCCTCTTTGTGTGTGTGTGTGTGTGTGTGTGTGTGTAGTAATAAAATATATCATGAAAATTTACTCATTTCCCATGGATATCCCCCATGTATACCTGAGGTATACATGTTATTAAACTTCTGTTTGTTTTAAAACATATATGCCTCATACATATACAAAAGTATGTATGATTTAAGAGTGAAATGAGCAATCATGTTTCTACTATCCAGATTTAAAAATGGAATGTTACCCATTGCCTTGGAAGCCCCTAACATGGCTGCTTTTCTGTTTATTTGCTGAGTACTTACGTTTGTTCTGATTCTAATTACTATTTTTCTCTCATTGTCTTTCTCTAACGTGGTTTGGCATCCCTTTTACTTTGTTAACGTTGTGCTAGTAAAGATTTCTGGATCTCTTCTGAAAGCAGCCTTTGTGTCTTTATACATGCTTTCTCTGCTCATTTCCTTTCTTCTAAAACTCTGCCTGTTTCCTTTTCCCCTTAACTCAGACGTCAAAAATGTTTCTTTCCTGTCTCTTATCTACTTTGAATGATCTTGATGTTTTTTGTGTGTACTTTCTTTTTTTTTTTGTACTTTTCTTCTTATAAACAGTGGTCAACGGATATCAAATGTATTTTTGTGTCTTTTTCAACCATTCATGTATAAGTATGTGTATGCTTTTCTTTTCTTTTTTTTTTTCCCTGGAATCTCTCTGTTGCCCAAGCTGGAGTGTGGTGGTGCAGTCTCGGCCCACTGCAACCTCCACCTCCTGGGTTCAAGCCATTCTCCTGGCTCCGCCTCCCAACTCAGCCTCCTGAATAGCTGGGATTACAGACATGCACCACCACGCCTGGCTAATTTTTGTATTTTTAGTAGAGACAGGGTTTCACCATGTTGGCCAGGCTGGTCTTGAACTCCTGAGCTCAAGTGATCCGCCTGGCTCGGTCTCCCAAAGTGCTGGAATTTTAGGCATGAGCCACTGGTCCAGCCTAAGTATGATTTTCCTCTTCACCTTGGACTCTGATCTCTGGTTTATAGCTAATATTTGATAATAAGTTAATGTTTTATATTAACATACTAAAATGGATAGGAATAATTTATTTATAAAAACTTCATGTGATTTTAATGTTAACTCTTTATCTGCCATATATGTCATATAATTTTTCTTCACATTATTTACCTAAGATTATAATTTCATTAGAGTGTTTTCAAACTATGTCAGATTGAAATAAACGAGAGAATCATGATTCATTTGTTTTTCTTACATGCTAAAACATAATATCTGTTTAAATAATTATTAAATGTTTGCCTTTTTAAAACTTGAGTTACTCATTTTGTACCTTCCTGCAGATTTAAGAACCTCTTAAAAATGACAAGAAAGAAGTTAAATGAATATGAAAATGGAGAATTTAGTTTCCATGGAGATTTAAAAACTAGTCAATTTGAAATGGATATTCAGATTAATAAGCTAAAACATAAGGTAATTTTTAATAAGTTTTGGGACCAAAAAAGTCACTTAATTTTGGGAAATATAGACTTCTCAATGCTTTGAACAGTGAAATAAAGATTTTTTTTTTTAACTTTAGGGACTTGATACTAATAAAAAAACTTTTTTTAAACTTTTAAGTTCAGAGGTACATGGGCAGGTTTGTTATGTAGTTAAACTTGTGTCACGGGTGTTTGTTAAACAGATTATTTTGTCACCCAAGTATTAAGCCTAGTGCTCATTAGTTATTTTTCTTGATTCCTCTCCCTTCTCTCACCCTCCATCCTCTAGGAGGCCCCATTGTCTGTTGTTCCCCTCCGTGTGTCCCTGTGTTCTCATCATTTAGCTCCCACTTAGTAGTGAGAACTTGCAGTATTTGGTTTTCTCTTCCTGTGTTAGTTTACTAAGGATAATGGCTTCTAGCTCTGGACATAGGAACAGACAAAGATTTCATGGCCAAGACACCAAAAGCAATTGCAACAAAAGCAAAAATTGATAGAATCTAATTAAACTAAAGAGCTTCTACAGAGCAAAGGAAGTATCAACAGAGTAAACAGACAACCTACAGAATGGGAGAAAATTTTTGCAAACTATGCATCTAACAAAGGTCTTATATCCGGCATCTATAAGGAACTTACACAAATTTACAAGGAAAAAACAACCCCATTAAAAAGTGGGCAAAGGAGATGAATAGACATTTCTCAAAAGAAGACATACATGCAACCCAACAAACATGATAAAAAGCTCAACATCATTGATCATTAGAGAAATGCAAATCAAAACCACAACAAGATACCATCTCATACTAGCCAGAATGGCTATTATTAAAAAGTCAAAAAAATAACAAACTATTCATCTGACAAGGGACTAATATCCAGAATATACAAGGAACTCAACTCGACAGCAAAAAGAATATTCTAATTCAAAAGTAGGCAAAAAATCTGAAACAGACATTTCTCATAAGAAGACATACGAATGACCAAAAGGTATACGGAAAAAATGCTCAACATCACTAATCATCAGGGAAGTGCACATCAAAACCACCAAGTGATATGATCTTATTCCAGTTAGAATCGCTACTATCAAAAGACAAAAAATAACAAATGCCAGCAAGGCTGCAGAGAACAGGGAACTCTTAGACATTGTTGGTGGGAATGTAAAGTAGTACAGCCATTATAAAAAACAATGTGGAGTTTCTTCAGAAAACTAAAAATAGAACTGCCATATGATGTAGTCGTTCTACTACCAGGTATTTATCCAGGAGAAAGGAAATCAGCATATCAAAGGGATATCTGCATTCCCATGTTTATTGCAGTACTATTCACAATAGCTAAGATGTGGAATCAACCTAAATGTCCATAGACAATGGAAAAGAAAATATGGTGTATACAGATACATAAAGGTGAAAACAACAGACGCTGAGGTTTCCAAGAATGCAGGATCTGTGCCAAGAAATGTGTTCAGAATCTGGGTGACAGGATCAACAGAAGTCCAAACCTCGGCATTTTGCAGTATAGTAACAAGCCTGCATATGTACCCTTTCAATCTAAAATAAAAATGGAATTTTTTTTTTTAAAGGAAAAGATTTGGTGGCTGGGTACGGTGGCTCATGCCTGTAATTCCAGCATTTTGGAAGCCAAGGTAGGCTGATCACCTGAAGTCAGGAGTTCCGAGACCAGCCTTGACAAAATGGCAAAACCCCGTCTCCACCAAAAATACAAAAAAATTAGCTGGACATAGCGGCACACGCCTGTAGTCCCAGCTACTCTGGAGGCTGAGGCAGGAGAATTGCTTGAACCCTGGAGGCGGAGGTTGCAGTGAGCCAAGATTGCACCATTGCACTCCAGCCTGGGTGACAAGAGTGAAACTCTGTCTCAAAAAAAAGAAAGATGTGGTGTATATACAGGATGGAATGTTATTCAGCCAAAAGAATGAAATCATGTCAGTAACATTATGTTAAGTGAAATAGGTCAGGCAAGGAAGATAAATATCTAAGGTTCTCACTCGTATGCAAGTGCTAAAAAGAAAACCGAGCTCATGGAAGTACAGAGTAGAATCATGGGTATTAGAGGCTGGGAAAAGCAGGAGGGAGGAGAGGCAGGCAAAGGGGCGGGGAAGGGAGGAGGTGTTGGGTGATGGCTACCAAATTAGAGCTAGCTAGGAGGAATGCATTCCGGTGTTCTATAGCACCACAGGGCGAATACAGTTAAATATAATTTATTGTGTATTTTCAAAAAGCTAAAAAGAGGATTTTGAATGTTCACAAGACAAATAAATGATAAATGTTTGAGGTGATGGATATGCTAATTCGCTTATACATTGTATACATCTATTAAAATATCTCTCTAGCCATAAATATGTACAATGTTGTGTGTCAACTAAAAAGGAGAAAATAATTCATCCCATGATAAAATAGAACATGGGCCAAACTCAGTGACTCATTTCTAATGAATAGAATGTGGTAAAGGTGACAACATGTGACTTCGGCATTAGATTAGAAGAGGCTTCCTATCTCAGACTCCTTGCCGTTGGAACCCAGCCCCGATCTTGTGAGGAAGCTCAGGACACAAAGGCAGCCTAGGAGTTCCAGTCCCTCAGGCTTTGAGCTGTGTCCAGGGAACCTGAGGGGAACAGAGACAAGCTGTCCTGGCCGAGATTTTCCCAAACCACAGATTCCTGAACAGAATAAATGTTGTTTTAAGCCATAAATTTTGGGTACTTTGTTAGGAAGCAATAAGCAGAAAAAATGTATTTTACAAAAAGAGACAATAAGAAACATAACTTACACAGGAAAAATTAGTCTCATTTAAAGTAGAATCTGATAAATGTTGAGATTAATTTATTCATGGCAAACAATGTTAAGCAGATAGCCAGGAGAAAGACGTAAGAGCTATTGAGGAGAAAGTTTTTTCTCCAGATTTAAAGGTCTGGAATCTGAACTCTCCAAAATAAAAACTTCTCAAGAAGACTTTAATAAAACTGAACTGGAAAAATATAAGCAACTCTATCTAGAAGAATTAAAGCTTCTAGATAGAGGGGGACTAGAATCTTCTGGTTTGTGCACTAATGTGTCTGGTTGCTGATGGTGGCCATTGGCTGGAACTTTGGTTGGGGCAGGAACCCTGAGCACCTACTCGAATAGTTTGCAAATAGTGTCTCCCATTCTACAGATTCTCTCTTCACTCTATTAATTATTTCCTTTGCTGTGCAGAAGCTTTTCAGTTTAATATTGTCCCATCTTTATTTTTTATTACTATTTTTTAAAATTTTATTTTATTAATTTCTTTTTTTTAACCCAGGCTGGAGTGCAGTGGCGTGATCTCAGCTCACTGCAAGCTCCGCCTCCTGGGTTCATGCCATTTTCCTGCCTCAGCCTCCCGAGTAGCTGGGACTACAGGTGCCCACCACCATGCCTGTCTAATTTTTTGTATTTTTAGTAGAGATGGGGTTTCACCGTGTTAGCTAGGATGGTCTCAATCTCCTGACCTCGTGATCCACCCGCCTTGTCCTCCCAAAGTGCTGGGATTTACAGGCTCAGTGAGCCACCGCACCTGGCCAGTATTGTCCCATTTTTCTATTTTTGTTTTTTTGCCTACGGTTTTGAAAATAGCCATAAAATCTTTGCCTAGACCAATGTCCTGAAGCAATTTCCCTGTCTCTTCTAGTAGTTTTATAGTTTCAAGGTCTTACTTTTTTACATCTTTATTCAATTTTGAGTTGATTTTAGTATATGGTGTTCGATAGGGGTCTAGTTTCATTCTTCTGCATGTGGATATCCAGTTTTCCCAGCACTATTTATTCAAGAGGATGTCCTTTCCCCAATGTATGTTCTTAGCATCTGTTTAAAATCAGTTGGCTGTAAATACACGAATTTATTTCTAGGTTCTTTATTCTGTGGCCTTAACACCAATAATTATTACCCCTTGGAATGCAAGTCAAATTAGCATAAAACATTTGCAGCTCAGAAAAAGGCTTATGGCATTAGAATCTATATTACAAGATTCATTAATTAGAGTCTTATTTTAAAAGTCTTATTCTGGGAGCCTTTTTTTTTGATGAGGCCTAAATAACTCAATAGGATGTCCGAAAACTTCTTTAGAAATTATAGGGCATGTTGGGGCTGGGAGCAGTGGCTCACACCTGTAATCCCAGCACTTCGGGAGGCTGAGGCAGGCAGATCATGAGGTCAGGAGATTGAGACCATCCTGGCTAACATGGTGAAACCCTGTCTCTACTAAAAATACAAAAAATTAGCCGGGCCTGGTGGTGGGTGCCTGTAGTCCCAGCTACTGAGGAGGCTGAGGCAGGAGAATGGCATGAACCCGGGAGGCAAAGCTTGCAGTGAGTGGAGATCACACCACTGCACTCCAGCCTGGGCGACAGAGCAAGACTAAAAAAAAAAAAAAAAAATTATAGGGCATGTTTATGGGGGAAGTAGTAAGACTTTCTGCTACCCCTTAGAGCCATTTAAGGAGGAAAGACATGAAACAATCATAGAAAAATACAAGTCGAAGATCAAGTGCAAATGTTGTGTGGCAGAGATGATAAAAATAAGGAATATATTTTTGTGACTCCTGGTGGCTTTGACTTTGTTCTTGATTTTCTGGGTAATTTAAGGGTCCACATTTGAAGAATCTTTTATGGTTCAGGTGACATTTTATTGCAACTGAATTTATTTCAAAATTTGTTCTTGGTTTTATGTTAGGCTATTCTCAGGCTACTTCCTTCATTATTACACTATATTATTGTCTTCATTCAGATTGATGATCTTACAGCAGAACTGGAGACTGCAGGTTCAAAATGTCTACATCTGGATACAAAGAACCAAATTCTTCAAGAGGAGTTGTTATCTATGAAAACAGTACAAAAGAAATGTGAAAAACTACAGAAGAATAAAAAGAAGTTGGAACAAGAAGTGATCAACCTGAGAAGTCATATAGAAAGGAATATGGTAGAACTTGGTCAAGTCAAACAGTATAAACAGGAGATTGAAGAAAGAGCAAGACAGGAAATAGCAGAAAAATTAAAAGAAGTCAATCTATTTTTACAGGTTAGCTTATGTGTAGTGTGCCTTTGTTCATTTCACTGCAAATTGTATTTTGGATATATACATTATATGTGTTTCCTCTACATCCCTTATAGCAATTTGTTCTGTAGATTTCTAGAAGGATGATGGCATCTGTTTCTCCCTTTAGATATTCCAGTTTCCATCATTATTATAACTAAATTGATGATTTAGAATAATGATTTTCATCAGAGAATTATTTGACTATTAAGACCAGTTGGCATAAAACAAAACCATCAGGAAAAGAAAGTATTGTGATTTAGAAATTATACCATATTCTTGAATTGTTCTTAAATTACATTGCTCACTTTTTAAAATTTTTAATTAATTTTATCTTTAAATTATCAGAGTTCATGAGTACTAATGAAACAATGATTCAAATGTTTATACCTCAGCCTTTGGATAGCTGGGACTACAGGTGCACATCACGATGCCTGGCTAAATTTTTAATTCTTATTTTTGGTAGAAACAGAGTCTTGCTTTGTTGCCCAGGCTGGTCTCGAACTCTTGGCTTCAAGTGATCCTCCTGCTTAGGTCTCCCAAAGTGCTGAGATTACAGGCATGAGCCACCAAACCTGGCTGATAAATATTTTAAACTTCAGCTTTTTTTTCACATATTTAAAATTACTCTCTGAATCACTAACTCAAAAGTAAAGGAAAAAAATACACAATAATTACCCAGGTTTTATATAAATTAAATTTTATTAAGGGATAATTTACAAATAATTAAACACAACCATTTTAACAGTTTGACCCAAGTATATACTTGCTTAACCACCCTCTCAACAGAGAACATTTCCAGAAAGTTCTCTCTTGCCCTTTTGCAGTTAATTCCCCCTACTTCATCCCAGGAAACCACTGGGACTTTAACACAACTTGTGTTGTTTTTGCCTTAAAAAAAAAAAAACAAAGCTGGGCACGGTGGCTCATGCCTGTAATCCCAGCACTTTGGGAAGCCGAGGTGGACGGATCACGAGGTCAGGAGTTCCAGACCAGCCTGGCCAACATAGTGAAAACCCATATCTACTAAAAAATTTAAAAAAATAATCAGCCAGGCGTGGTGGCACATGCCTGTAGTCCCAGTTACTCGGGAGACTGAGGCAGGAGAACTGCTTGAATCTGGGAGGCGGAGGTTGCAGTGAGGCAAGATGGTGAGAGCTAGACTCCGTCTCAAATACAAAACAAAACAAACAAATTAGGCTGGGCATGGTAGCTCACACCTGTAATCCTAGCACTTTGAGGGCTGAGGCGGGAGGACCACTTGAGCCCAGGAGTTCAAGACCAACCTAGGCAACAAAGTGAGACCCCATCTCTACAAAAATTTAAAAAAGTAATTAGCCAGGCATGGTGGTGCATGGCTGTAGTCCCAGGTACTTGGGAGGCTGAGGTGAGAGGATCATGTAAGCCCAGGAGTTTTCAAGGCTGCGGTGAGCTATGATTGTGCCACTGAACTGAAGCATGGGCGACAGACTGAGACCCTGTCTCTAAAATAAACAAAGCCAAAGGAATGTCTTTCCTCTCTTACCCACATGGGTATATGAGTGTGTGAGTGTGTGTGTGTCTGAGTGAGTGATAAAAATCTACTTAATAACATGAGTTTGTGTGTCTATGAGTGATTAAAACTCAATAATTTAACAAATTTGTTTTAGTTGGGATAAAGAGCGATTGAGAACTGCGTGGGACCCCTGTGCTTATGAGAGAGGATGGAGGGTGCAAACTGGTGGAAAGGATGTGAAAATTAACAGAGAAATTTCAACTGGGCCACTTGAAAATATGTAGCCGTTGTGAGAGTAGAAAGTCTTCACTCCTCATTCTCAGCTCTTTCCCTTCCCTCAGGCTAGTGAGAGATAGGAGTCTTGGAACACAATCTACAAGGCCAAGGTGGTAACAATCCATGATAACACAGATTTCTTCACATGGTATTTATGATAGTCTTACAAAGCTCTGCATGTTAGCTCTTAGAGACATGGAATGAGAATAGGAAGAAATCTTAGTGATAAGCCAGTGTAGTTTCCCATTTTACAGATGAAGAGACCTAGGGAAAGGTTAAACAGCAGGGCCCAAGCCATAGAGCTAGTCAGGCTCAGGATCACACTCCACATTCCTTTACTTGTAGTCCAGGTGATTCCATAACCTTATGCTCCAGCAGGTAGAATTACTGTAAGAGATCCAACACCTTGGGCTTTTTTCTCAGCATGTATTGATGCGCACAGCATTTATCCCTAAGAAGCTCTAAGTTCCTGTATCTTACATACAGATGATTGCTTTAATTTACTTTGCCAGGTGTATTCATAAAATGGAATATCACATCAAAATTTTTAAGCATATTCAAGTCTTCCCCATGAATATATTTTAACACAAAAATAATTTTTATAAGATTTTTCATTCGAAAATATCTCCACATTTGTAGTCATTTTCTTTCTTAGGTTTTCCTTATGTTACCAATTATAATTTTTTATTTTCTATATGACATTTCCCCCCATCGTTAGACATCTGGGTTGCCAGTCAGCCTTTATTGTTTTGATTACTTCATCAAGGATGAAAATGCTTCTCTAGTAGAAACTCACTTTCATTTCTTTGGAAGTATTTGGATTCCCTTTTCAATTAGAACCCTGGGATGTCCTCTTATCTCTTTGACCAATGCCTGCTGGCACAGAGATCTTTCTCTTTTTGGAGTTTGGGTTAAAAACAAAACAGCCCTTAGACACCGAGTAGGTGACCATGGTCTTACTCAGGTTATATATTTTTAAAACATATGCTTTTAATTTGTTTTAGGCACAAGCAGCATCTCAAGAAAACTTAGAGCAGTTTAGAGAGAATAATTTTGCTTCAATGAAAAGTCAGATGGAACTCAGAATTAAAGATCTGGAATCTGAACTCTCCAAAATAAAAACTTCTCAAGAAGACTTTAATAAAACCGAACTGGAAAAATATAAGCAACTCTATCTAGAAGAATTAAAAGTTAGAAAATCTTTGTCAAGTAAACTAACCAAGTAAGTCAAAATATAGAATCATAGGAAATAAATTAAGCTCATTAATTTGCCTTGAAAGCATAATTCTTAGGTTCATGAGATTAATGGGAAGTGAAAGCTAAATAGGTAATATAATTTTGGAAAATGTTAGTAAATTAACTTACCTTTAAAATGTGAGTCCAGGACAGTTTATGTCTTTCCTCTGTTTTTTTTTTTTTAATTTTATATGGCTTTTCCGTTAATATTCTTAGGTAGTTAACTGGATCTATGTCTTTCAGCTATGTGCTTTTAAAACTTTGTAATTTAGACATTGATATTGTCATCAGATTGCTTATCAGCATTGCCATAAATATAATTATTAATGAGTTGGGCTGTTTTTTGGAAAATTACAACTTAAACCAGAAGGGTCAAGTATCACTACTACTCTGCACATTCTGGCACTCCATAAATGAACTTTCCTTGATTGTGATATCTGGTATTATCACTACAGGGTGCCATGAGACAAACTACCCTGTATAGTTTTTCTACTACTTAAAGGCATGCTAGTGAAATAGGGAATGATTAACGTAGGGATGAAGGGAAGTATATTTTATAAAGTGGTTAAAAATAACACCTTGGTCAGCCTGAGGGAGTGTGTGGAAAACAGGTCAGGCCCCACCTCTGATGCCTTGGGGACAATGTTAGGAGCTAACTGCCTTTGAGACTCTTTAGTTCTTTTTGATCACCAACTCAGCTATCTTCTTTTCCCCTACAATTTTTTGCTCTGAATTATTCCTTGGGGCCAGATGCCTAATATTTTTCCAGATAATGGGTGAAATAAATGTAAAAGGGTGGTGAAAGCAAATGCTTGCACATGTCTTGAGGAATTTTTTAATCTCTAAACTGGTTTACTAAATACAAGTATTTTTAGCTGGGCTTTTTCCTTTGTTATTAGTTTTATTAATTGTATGTATCAAAACATGATGTTTTTGATATATTTGTACATGGTGAAATGGTTATTATAGTCAAGCAAATTAACATATTTATCATGTCACATATTTACCCTTTAAAGACAAGTATTTTTAATGGCATCCTCAGGAATCTTACCAGTGGAGCATTCCAGAAGGCAGCAGGTGTTACCTGTGAAGTTATACATCATTGGTAGCCATTTTCTTCCCTTCCCTACTTTGCTTGAATTACTTGTTTGTTGGAAACTACCCTAGAAACATATGCACTTCTTTAGAACAGTCTAAAAATTATAATTGCATACAGTAGGCATGGTCTGACACATTTTTCAGTGTTAAAATACTGGTTAATGGGAAATTTCATTTACTCCTATGGTAACTTTTTAAAAATTGCAAGTCTTTTAGGAATCATTTAGGGAAAAGTAAAATACTAAGCATGTGTCTTCTGCAATCTTCACAGAACTAATGAGAGGCTAGCAGAGGTCAACACCAAACTTCTTGTGGAAAAACAGCAGAGCAGATCTTTGTTCACCACTCTCACTACCAGGCCAGTCATGGAGCCACCTTGTGTGGGAAATCTTAATAATAGTTTAGATCTCAACAGAAAACTTATTCCAAGAGAAAACTTAGTGATCTCTACCTCAAATCCACGGGCTTCAAATAATAGCATGGAGAACTACTTGAGCAAGGTTAGTTATGTTGTCTTTTTTCCTTTGGGTTTCAAATTTCTCATGTAATTCTTTTTTTGTTTGTTTTTTTGAGACAGCGTTTTACTCTGTTGTCCAGGCTGGAGTGCAGTGGTGCCATCTTGGCTCACTGCAACCTCTATGTCTAGGTTCAGGCAATTCTTGTGTCTTAGCCTCTCAGATAGCTGGGATTACAGGTGTGTGCCACCACACCCAGCTAATTTTTATATTTCTAGTAGAGACTGGGTTTCACATATTGCCAGGCTGGTCTCAAACTTCTGGTTTCAAATGATCTGCCTGCCTCACCCTCCCGAAGTGCTGGGGTTACAGGTGTGAGCCACCATGCCCAGCCTCAAATTTCTGATATAATTCTTGTTTTTAATTTGGTGAAATACCGAGTTGTTTAATTGACTTATGCTTGATAAGTAAAGGTCATAATTATCTGTGCTAATAAAGTGAGGAAACAGAAATTTTAGTTTTTTTTTTTTTTAGTCCCTAGAGCTCTCATTTTCAAGAGGTACCATTTGTTAACTTTATTCAATAAATGTAACTGAACTGTCACATTTTAAATTTCTTTAAAAGCTGAATTTATTAGAAATGGAATATTATTGCCTATTGCCTGATAGCAAAAGGTATACGTTGAGATACTTTGGCTTTCCTTCTAATGGATTTGAGTTTGGCTGTGGTTGATAGCACTTTGATAGTTTTCTGGCACCATCTCAAGTGTTCCACCCTTAATCATAAGTGAATGAATGATTGGCATCCAAACACTTAACCACATATGGAAATTTATTACTTAAAGAACTCCAAGATAAATACTTCTTATGAATTAAACAAACTCTAACACTGATTAATTTGTATTTTTAAGTTTTGTCATTTTCTTACTTAGGAGTACATTCTTAGTTGCTATTGTTACAGCATTTTTCTCTCAATTTTTGTAAAATGTGTCTATTACTGGGCAATTGCACAGTGGTTTTTAAATAGTTAAAGCAAGCAAATATGTGAATTTAAAAAATGCACTTGTGCCATTACTTGAATGATTGATGTCTAAGATGGCAGTGATATCAAGAGTGTTTAGTAAGTATGATCAAACAATTATTTTCTTCCTACCCAGAATTTCATGTTAAGCTTCACAGGGTCCTCATCTCCCCTGGATCCTAGCTTTACAGTAACAAGGTCCTAGCTAGCCAATATTATGTTCATATTGTTAGCTTAGTTTTGTCTTGCTCTTCTAGAACAATAGAAAACCCATTGAAGAGGAACCTTGCAATCCAGCCTTACGATTTCACTCATAGTACGACTTCATTTCTGGGGATCTCAAGATGAATTCAACAATGACAAGTTTTATCAATTGTAGACTTGGTAGGGAAAAAAAAAATCAACTATGCTTGATCCAGTTTAAGATACTTGTCTAACTTTTGACCATTTTTGACTGGGGGAACAAATTACAAAAGCTGGTTGCAATGGTGAACACTTGTAATCCCAGCTACTTGGGAGGCTGGGGCAGGAGGATTGCTTGAGCCCAAGAGTTTAAGGTTGTAATGTGTTTTTACTGCAACTGTGAATAGCAGCCGCACTCCAGCCTGGGCAGCATAGCAAGACCCTGTCTCTTAAAAAATTACAAGAAGCATAAAACATTTGTTTGAACAAAAATAAATAAATAGCAACTAGTTTTTGTTGTGTATCATTATGAAAATATCCATTTTAATCAGTGCACGTTAGCTTAAGATTTAATGGTATTTTCATGATCTTAATGCAGAGAAAAAAAGTGTAGACTCATGTTAAATGAGACCTCAACCTTGTTTCTTTACCAGGCCTCATGTCCTAACAAATCATAGAAGACCAAGTCTAAGGTTTCTTAGACAGCACTGCAGCCAAGTGGCTTAACAAGGAACAAATCAAATGATTGTTTTAATACATAAATTATAAGATCTATCCAGCTAATTTTTTTCATCATTTTGTTAGCTTAGTTTTGTCTTATTTTTCTGACAATGAGATGATCAGGGTCTAAATGCTTCAGAGTCATGAAATTTTCCTACTGGGTACAAAAAGAAAATGAATGTCAAATACTTGTGTAGGCCGGGTGCAATGGTTCATGCCTATAATCCCAACACTTTGGGAGGCCGAAGCAGGAAGATCACCTGAGCTCAGGAGTTCAAGACCAGGCTGGGAAACATAGTGAGGCATAGTGAGATCTCATTTCTACAAAAAATTAAAAAAAATTAGCTGGGCATGGTGGTGCACGCTTGTAGTCCCAGCTTCTTGGGAGGCTGAGGCAGGAGAATCACTTGAGCTCAGGAGCTCAAGGCTACAGTGAGCTATGATCGTGCTTCTGCACTCCAGCCTGGATGACAGAGTGAGACCCTGTCTCAAAAAATCCAAAACAATAACAAAAAACCTTCTGTAACTTACTAAGCATGATGCAAATATAAAATTTTCTCATTAGTTCCTACCAGAAAACTCAGGTAACAACATTTTATAAGATGATGAAAGAATATGTAGATACGCAATGTAAGGGAAGATTTTTGAGGAAATGTTTTTCCTTAATTGATTTTTTTGGGGAGCAAGGAGGTGTTTATTTTTAGTATTTCTAGATAAGCTGAAAAATATTCCATTGGTATACATGGTTTCTTTGTGGGGCACTGGTTTGCCAAACCATGTTAGATTTAACAAAAGAGATTAAAAAGAACCATTCTGTCAGGTCAAGTGACTTTCATACATTAAAAAAATTTTTTTGAAAGAATAGAACTTTTAAAAAATGGCATGAAACTATATTACATAAAACAGATAGAAGTAGAGCTCTCTGGCTAAAGGACAGGTAGGGGCTCTGAAGCTGTGACTTCCTTATCCCTTAATCCTGCAATATCCTCTGTAGAACCTTAGATTTCTGTGGGACATAGTTTGAAAACTACTGGTTATGAAAGAATCCTTCTAATTAGCCAAAACTTGTTGGTACATTGTTCTTTTATAATTTTCTCCTATTCTTATATTTTAAAATGAAAAAGTATACATGAAGTTGCAGATGTGCTCCCTTTATTAATGTTGGACCTCAGGCTGCCTCCGCCACCTGAAGCATAACCCCCACCTGGAAATAAACAAAGTCCACAGAGAAAGGAGGAGCATTTTTATAAAACGTAGTTTATTTATTTTACTCCATAATAGCTTTCGATTTTGTATTATGCATTAAATTATTAGCGTAAGAGATTAGTAATTTATTAAGCTTTTTAATTTCCTCTAGCAGTGTTCAGTTTCTCCTAAGCTATTGCTCTATACATTTCAAAAACCATCGATGGCACCTTGTCTACCTCAATAGGACAGTTATTAATGTCACCAAGACATTTTTCTCTCCTTTTTTCTTCCATAGTCTGTATCAGGCACTGTGTTAAGTTATTTAACTGGAGACAATAATTTTAAATTTGTATTAAGGGAAATATGAGGAAAATGTGTGATTTAATGGGAAATTAGGAATAAAATGAAAGGGACTTTTTCAAAGTCATTTAATGTTTGCCAGTTTTCACTTTTAATATAGGTAAAACCATCCCAGTTTCCCACCAACCAGGACAAAACCAGACTTGTCAACACAGAAGACCCTTTTCCTAAGCTTTCAAGTGTCCCTCCCAGAGCACCTCCCTCCTGGGTTCTGGGTCTGCCCCTTTTCCCTTTGAGCCTTTATGTCTGACCTGGTGTCCTTTTCTCAAAAGTAGTTGCCCTCAGCTGTCATTTATGTGGTAAAATATTCAAGGGTTGGCCAGGCATGGTGGCTCCTGCCTGTAATCCCAGCACTTTGGGAGGCCCAGGTGGGCGGATCACGAGGTCAGGAGTTTGAGACCAGCCTGTCCAATATGGTGAAACCCCGTCTCTACTAAAAAATACAAAAATTAGCTGGGCGTGGTGTTGCGCGCCTGTAGTCCCAGCTACTCAGGAGGCTGAGGCAGGAGAATTGCTTGAACCCAGGAGGCAGAGGTTACAGTGAGCCGAGATTACTCCACTACACTCAAGCCTGGGCAACAGAGTGAGACTCCACCTCAAAAGAAAAAAAATAAATTCAAGGGTCATTGAGAGGCTGGAAGAGACTTTATGTAGCGGGAGGCCACTCCAGGGCTGGAATAGAGGCAACAACTTTATACCATATACCCTTTAAGTGTTAGGCGAGAAAAATAACCTGTATTTAAATTTGTTATGCAGGAAGTTTCTCTGTCTAGACAGTTAAGATTTCTTCAATATTAGAGTAAGCAATTTGTTAAGAGTATTTCATTTTTATCTAAGCAAAACGTACATATTATGGAAGTATTTGTAAATAGAGTATAAAGAAATAATAAAATTTATTACACGTAGGAAGTAAATATTTAGGAGAAGTGAGAAACTACATTACATTAGTAGTTCCTTAATACAAGTCATGTAAAAATGTATATTTTACGTCATGTTTATTAATGAATAGCAATATAAGATTCGTTCAATAAAGACTTCTCCTTTTATTTGGTATTGAGTTATTACTTTTACAGGACCTGTCTACTAATGCTATTGTCACATTATTCATTGTATAAGGCCTATCTATAATGTTATTGTCACAGAAATATATGGAAAACAGTCTTACAAAATATTGGAAAACCTGTTAGTCAAAAAATTTAATCTTCATACCTAACATTTTTAAAGGCATTGGATATCATATTATCATTATCACCACAAAGTACCTATTATGCTCACTATATAGTGTACTATTTCAGACCATGTTCTGGGTATTTAGTGAGAGAATACCTTTTATAAAAAAGATTTAAATAAGAGCACTCTAAATAGGCCACTTGCAATATAGTTTGAAATATTCCCACACATTTCATAATTAAGTATATAAATATAATTAGATATTTAAAAAATTGGTACTAATTTCTGAAATCAAAATTACAATTAAAGAGCTATATATTTTTTGTTTATAATTCTACCAAGTTGTGAATCAAAGAAACTAAGCTTGAAAACTAGCTCCAACTTATATTTATCATTTTTTGAGCAAATTTTGTGTTTACATGAATAAAGAAATGTTATTTATAATATATAGATAGGATAATATTTATTTTCACTTTTTTGCCAGTAGAATTTTCACATGACATTATAATAGCATCACTTTCTTCATGTATATATTGATGATTCTGTACCAAAAAATAGCATAGAACATACTTTAAAATTTTAATTCTCTAAAAGTAGACAATGGAAAGTGGTTTTTTTGTTTGTTTTTTTGAGACGGAGTCTCGCTCTGTCATCCAGGCTGGAGTGCAGTGGTGCAATCTCGGCTCACTGCAACCTCCACCTCCTGTGTTCAAGCAATTCTCCTGCCTCCGCCTCCCAAGTAGCTGGGACTAGAGGTACAAGGCACCATATCTGGCTAATTTTTTTTGTATTTTAATAGAGACGGGATTTCACTATGTTGCCCAGGCTGGTCTCGAACTCCTGAGCTCAGGCAATCTGCCTGTCTTGGCCTCCCAAAGTGCTAGGATTATAGGCTTGAGCCACTGTGCCCCACCAGAAAGTTTATTTTAAGGAAAAATCCACTAAAGTGAAAAAACTGATTAAGCTTTATAAAGGTCAGAGTTTTGCTAAGAATTACAAAGTAATGCATTCATTTCAAACTATGACTTCAGTTGTTTGAACTTGTACAAATAAGAGAAAATATCACCTTTCTGACATTATATATATGCAGTAGACCAATATTAATTGTACTTTTTATCAGATTAAACAACATTACACATTTTTTAAATCTAAACTTAAAACAAGTAGGAATTTTATTTATGTGATTATTTTTATATTTAAGCAATCAAGTTAAGTGTAGTCTTTAAGAGTATTACAGGCCACATTTTGTAAGTGATACATCATTTCTATGTTAATGTCTCTTGTCTAACTTAAACATTATAAATAACATTTGACTTTTTTCAGATGCAGCAGGAGTTGGAAAAAAATATAACTAGAGAACTCAAAGAAGGTATGTTGCCAAACTTCATGAATTAAATTTAGATTAATTAATTGATTTCTGAAATAAATTGTAAATCGTGAGTGGGATCCCTTTCCATTGTTTGGCTAATAGATACTACATTAAATGTTCTTTCTTACACACATCTAATGAAAGATGTGAAAACATGAATATTCATAGTGAAGAGTATACTTACTTTGTCTCATTAATTCATCATGTTCCATAGCTTTAAAAAAACTCAAGAAATCTTTGCACCTCTTTTTTTTCCGGCTCTACACTTTCTTCACTTCTGCCATCCCCATAGAACTGTAGCCAGCATGCAGAAATTATTCTTAGAAAACAAAGACATCATCAACTTCTCAAGGTTATGGTGGTGATTTAAGGCCCAAAGACCCCAGACTCACTAGTAATATCTAGTCTGGAATTACAGTTCATAAGCAGTTGCTTGACAGGTGACATTTGAAATCTCCAGTCATTTACTTTGTCATTGGTTTCCCTTTGCCCTCAGGAGAAGTTCCAAATTCCTTAGCATGGAATAAAAATACCCACATCAATGTGGTCCTTGTGACGTTATTCAACCTTATTTCTCACCCCTTGCTGTTCTTCGGGCCCCTTTGCTCTGGCATCCAGCCACCCTAGACCACGTGGAATTCCACAGGGAGCTTCCTCAGCTCCAGCTCTTGGCATTTGCTTCTTCCTTCCGTCTGGCATATGTTTTCCTTGTACTTCAGGTATCAGTCTACATATTGCCTCCATCAAAAAGCCTACGTTATTGACTCAGAACTGGGATAGGTGTCCCTTCTGTGTGTTCCAGTAGTGCCCTGTCTTATACCTGTCATGATATCTGTGACTTTGTATGGAAATTGTATGTTTGTCTGTTTTTTTCAGATTATAGCATATGTTTGTTAGAGGTGGATCATATCATCTTCATCTTGTAATTCTAGTGCTTACTTTGCTCATGGTTGTTGAATAAATGAATGAAGAGTGAGAAAGCCAGAAGCTCTGATATTTAACCACAAGGATAATTAATTCAGTGTGCAACCATGGGCAAATTATATTTAATAGTAATATTGTATAATAGTTGTGCATACATATTTTTCTTTCTTATTAATACTGACAAAATTCTCAACTCTTTTACTGACTTCCACTTAGTTAACTATGAAATCTTTTAGGTAAGGAATATAATTCTTTCTTTTTCATTCTAGCTGCTGCTGAATTGGAATCTGGATCAATAGCTTCCCCTCTAGGGTCTACTGATGAGTCAAATCTAAATCAAGATCTAGTTTGGAAAGCATCAAGAGAATATGTACAGGTTTTAAAGAAAAATTATATGATCTGAAAGATAAGATTTTATTACTGGGCTGTTTATGTGACATTTTGTTTCTCATTAAATATTAATATATGACATGTAAAAATATTAAAGGAACGTATTTTTGTATCATATATGTCAGATCAAAATTTATATAGTATTTTAAACAATGTTACTTGGCTTCTTTAACTTTTAAGTGGATTTTGCCAATGAAAACCAGGAATATTGAGTTTTACATACTCAAACTGCCCAAATGTGAGCTGTTTAAACAGCCAAACCACTAAGTTGTCATTAATACTTTAGTGCAGTTAATTGATGGCTTATTTGTATTTTGTAATTTTTATCACTATATGTAGTGGTAGATGTCTAATTGGACTTAGACATCATTTTGTTGTGCAGGAACTGTGGTCATTGTTCATGTTTGGATGTATTACAATTGTTACAGTGCCATCAAATTTACATAATTTTAATTTTAAGCACTGATTTATATAGCTGTTCTCAGGGAGAAACAAGATTTGCCTGATTCACCTTTTCTGTTTGTTTATTTATTTTTAATTAACCTTTTGGAAATAGCCTTCAGTTTAGAGAAAATTTCGAAGTTTTAGTACAAAGACTTTCTCCTCCGAACAATTTGAGAGTAAATTGCTGACATTATGTCATCACCCCTGATTACTTTAGTGGGCATTCCTACAAGTCAGGACATTCTACATAACTACAGTGCAAACCTTGCAATCAGAAAGTCAACATTAATACATTCTAGTTTGTTACTTCTCTGTAATGTCCTTTATAGCAAAAGGATCCCATTCTAATCCATGGCTTGTATTTAGTTGTTGTATCTGTTAGATCTTTCAGTCTGGAACAGTTCCTCAGTCTTTCCTTGACCTTCATGACCTTGAATATTTTGAAGAGTAAAGTCTGGTAATATAAGAATGTCCCTCAATTGGGTTTCATGGTGATTAGATTTAGATTATATGATTTTTTGGCAGGAGTATCACAGAAGTGACCCAGTGATCTTCTCATTGCATCTTACCTGTGACCCTACAGTTTTGATTTGCCCTGTTACTGGTAATGTTAGCATTGATCACTAACAGTGGTATCTGCTGAATTTCTCCTCTGTAATGTTATTTTTTCACCTTGTGGTTAATTAGTATTTTACAGGGAGGTAATTTGAGACTATGTACATATCTCTACTCCCCATCGAACCCTCAATTTATTCATTTGCTTGTATCAAATAAACCATGGATTCATGGTTTATTTTATTCAGTGAGTTATAATTCATTAATATTGTTATTAAAAATTTGTTTTTCTTTTAAGAAATGTTATATTTTGACAACTTCAGACTTACAGAAAGATTATAAGAGGTAGTACAAATAATTTTTGGATATTATTCCCCAAATGTTAACATTTTACTGCATTTACTTTATCCTTTCTCCCCCTTCTCCTCCTGTCTTTCTAGATGAATATGAATATAGGTACTTAATACAGATTTTTTTTCTAAACTGTTTGTAGGTTGCAGACACGATGCCTCTTTATTTCTAAATAATGTGTATTTCCTAAATAAAAGGAATTACCTTACATAACTGTAGTATAATGGTCAAAATCAGGATATTAACACTGGTTCAATGTTAATATCTAATCTATAGACCTTACGCAGATTTTGCCAATTGTCTCCAAAATATCCTTGATAGCCGAGGAAAATTCAAGATGGGGGATTTTCACCAGGTGTGATGTGTTGGTCCAATTGTTCCGTTTCTATAGTCTCCTTTTATCTGGGATAGTTCCTGAGTCTTTCTTTGATTGTAATGACATTTATGTTTTTGGAGAGTATAGGTCAGCTGTTTTGTAGGCGTTCTCTCCATTTTGGTTTGTACAGTGTTTCCTCATGATTAGCTTTAGGTTGTGCCATTCGGGCGGGGCTTTCACACAGGCTGAGTTCTCTGCAATGCAGCATCTGGAGGCATCTGCTGTCACTCACTTCCATTACTGGCCAATGTTGACTTTGATTATTTGATTTGTTGAAATAATCAAAGTCAACATCCTGCCATGTTTGTCCATGGTTAAGCTACTATATACTTTGTATTTCATAAATATCTTGTATAAAGATACTTTGAGGCTTTGTAAATATCTGGCTACTACTCAGAACTTCACCCACAAGATAAAGCATTTCATTGGTGATTTGTGCTTGAATCAATTATTATTATGATGGTTGCCAAATGATGACTTTCTTATTCCTTCATCCCTTCTATATTGATAAATAGAACAAAATCAGTGAACAAATAGGGGGAGAAGGGAAAGCTTACTAATTTGGTGTTCAGATGCCCCCTGGACTTGGCCAGTAGTAGCCATTTCAAGCTGACTTTGTGTCCTTCTGACCTGTCCCCCTTATTCTTTGAGCACTTCAAGGGTCAACTGTATTTTTAACTTCCTTTTCTGACAGCAACCTGGCTCCCTTCATCCTGAATATATATTAAGTACTCATTTAATGCCGTCGATAGGCTTTGGAATCTGACTGTAAGTGAAATGACATATAACAGAACCAATTTGGCATAGGCTAAATGATACAAATAAAACATAACGTTCCTATGACATATTGTTGGTCACAAAAACATCACTAATCTTCTAAGTAAAGACCCCAAAACATGAATACTAAACATTGAAATAAATGTGAGCTCTACATATATTAGGAAAGATTAATTTAAAAAATTAAGATACTACCCAATTTTGGGTGCGTCAGTGAGTGATAGTGGTTGTAGTGGTGGTGCTGTGTTAAATCAAGGAATAAATGTTGCAAAGTGAAAAAATTGTCAGGAGCACCTGCTGCCATCATGCAGCTATTTGAACACTATTTTTGTGTTCAAAAATAGTCACAAATATGGCAGGCTCATGGAGCACTTTCATACCACATAATTGTGTACCACAGCATTTGTGTTATGACCATAGACCCTACAACATTTTATTTTATAGTAATTTGCATTCATTCATTCCTTTCTTAACCTGCTTATCCCAGTTCAGGGTCACACATGGTCAGAGCCTCTCCTGCACTTAAGGGTGCAGGGTGGGAACCAGCCCTGGACAGGACATATCCCATTGCAGGGCCACTCACATACACCCACCCTCACTCTAACTGGGACCATGTCATGACGTCAGCACATCAGATAACCTAACATGCCCAGCTTTGGGATGTAGGAGGAAACCAGAATACCTGGAGGAAACCCACGCAGACAAGGGGAGAACGTGCAAACTCCACCCAGATGGGGCCCCAGTTGGGAATTCTTTCTCTCCTCAGCATGACAATGAAATGATGTTGTTCAAGAATCTGCTGTATTTACTGATTTGTTCAATCCTCTTGTGTGTAACCAGTCTCTTGTGTCCCGGCCCCTAAGCAGCTGTGCTTCCCACTCCCCCTTGGACTCCAGCACCCTTTATCAGGTTGCCTTCACCACTTTCCTCCCAAGCTGATGCTGTCTTCACCCCATCCTTTCCCAGACACCCTGTGCCAGGCCACCCTCTTATGCTGATGCTTCTGCCTCAGGTGCTGAAAACCCACGTGGGACTATCCTTTCCCCCGTATGGTTGCCTCCTGACTCTGTTCATCTTTGATACCTCATTCTATCCCATCTACTTTTCAGGAGTGCCCTTACTTGACCTCCAACCCTGTAGAGGGTGACACTCCTGATACAGGAGATAGAAAGAAATTATTTAGGCAGATAGCAAGGGTAAAAGAGTCCTTGGCAAAATTTCCCTTTTAACAAAAAGCAGGCCCCAAATCATTTCTTTTCTAACAAGGAGCAGCCTGAAAAATCGAGCTGCTGACATAGATAAGCAAGCTGAAACCTTGCATGGGTGAATGCCGGAAATTGTGCCAATAGAAAAGGGCTACCTCAGGGCTGGGGATGTTCAACATGGAGGCTTCATCTTCCCTATTCTTTGTACAGTAAAGGAACAGGCAACATGGCACTGGCCAGGCAGAGAACCCATCTGCATAATAAAAGATTAGGGTGGGGGCGGCCAGATTTTCTGCACTATGCAAATGGCACACCTAGCCCTAACCAGTTTTTTGCACCTTATACAAATAGCATACCTGGTCTAACCAATCTTTTGTGCCCTATGTAAATCAGACACCACCACCTCAAGTTCATCTATAAAACCCTGTGCATTTCACCACGGACTGGAAGACCCGCCCAGGACCCTCTCTCTGCAGGGGAGAGCTTTTCTTTCTCTCACCTATTAAACCTCTGCTCTTAGCCTCACCCCTTGTGTGTCCGCATCCTTGATTTCTTTGGCATGAGACAATGAACCTCAGATATTACTCCATCAGTGATGCTGCTTCACTCCCACGCTTAGGCCCTTCTCATTTTATCCAGACTCCAGCCCCTAACTCTGGGCCACCACAACTCTAATTTTGTTTCCAGGCTTAGTCCCCATACTTTTGAACCGAAATGTTCAGGAAGAGAAAGGAGAATAGGACTCCATATACCATTTATAATCAACATGCCGAGCTCTACAAAGCAAGCATTTTTTATTGGAATTGCATTGAATCTATAATTTGGGGAGAAAAGACATTTAGAATATTGAGTTATTCTGTCTTTTGTTTGTTTGTTTGTTTGTTTTTGAGACAGAGTCTCGCTCTGTTGCCCAGGCTGTAGTGCAGTGGCGTGATCTTGGCTCACTGCAAGCTCCGCCTCCTGGGTTCACGCCATCCTCCTGCCTCAGCCTCCCCAGTAGCTGGGATTACAGGTGCCGCCACCATGCCTGGCTAATTTTGATTTTGCATTTTTAGTAGAAACGAGGTTTCATCACATTAGCCAGGATGGTCTCGATCTCCTGACCTCAGGTGATCCACCTGCCTCGGCCTCCCAAAGTGCTGGGATTACAGGTGTGAGCCACCGTGCCTGGCCTATTCTGTCTTGTTAACTTATAGAGATCTTGCATATATACATTTTTAGATTTATTCCCAGTTATTTGATACTTTTGATTCTATTATGTTACCTTCCTTACATTTTATTTCCTGTTTCTTATAGAAGTAAAATCTGTATTTTATGTATTAAACTTGGATTCAGCTATCTTGCTAAATTCATATTTTTTATTTGAGTATTTTATCTGTAGAGTCTTGGATTTCCCATATACACACAAAAAATATCTGTAATAGTGACAGTATTGTATCCTTTCCAATTCCTGGAGTTTTTGTTTTTCTTTCCTACTTCAAGAATGATGTTGAATAAAAGGGGAAACAGTAGGCATCCACATTTTGTTGAAATTGCAAAGGGGAAACAATATTTTTCAATAAGTATGTAGATGGCAGGCTTTTGTTTTTATGATGAATATTCTTCATTATTGTATAGGTTTCCTATTGCTGCATAATAGGCCATCACAAACTTAGCATCTTAAAATCACACACACTTATCTCTCGGTTTCTGTGGGTCAGGAGTTCAGGCATGGTCTATCTGGGTCCTCTGCCCAGGGTCTCACAAAGCAATTGTAAGATCTGAGGTTTATTTTGCTGTAAAAAACTTTTTTCCTGTGAGTTTCAGCTGGTTTCCATCAGGGAAGCTGAGCTTGTCTGCTTCTGTGTGGGCGGAGGGTCATCTTCAATCTGGGCCCCATTGCTAGGTAAGGAGCTGAGCTGGGAGTTTGTCTTGCAAATTCTCTATAATGACTAAAAGTTTTAACAACCAGCTGGTCTTAATTTCTACTTACAATTCGAGTTCTCAGAAATTGTATAATTTGTGTGATCATTGTTTTGCTTAGCTGGTTTTGCTTGTTTGTTTCTGTCTTCTTGGGATTTTGTTGGGTTTTTTTTTTTTTTTTTTTTGGTTGGTTTTGGTCTCAAACCTATCAGATTTGATGAATTCTGAACCCCTCTAGCCTATGAGTGTGGAATTTTCACTCCAAAGGAAAAAAGAGCACCATGCTTTTCTCAGCCTTTCAGGGCATTCTCATGTGACTGAGAATCATGTGAAGGTGTCTGGGAGGAATGCCTCCTAAGAGCAGCAGTGGCTCCAATGAGGTTTCTCCTTCAGGAGAACATAACTAGGGACTATTTTCACCTGGCAGGTGCATATAAGGAGCTGACCCCTCCCACATCTTAAGCCCCTGACATATTGTGCCAGGTAGTTGTGACACAGGTGGACCGAACCAGTTCAGAGAGTAATTGCCCTGGAAAGCTAGGTCCACAAGCAGCACACTTTGGGTCTGACACACTCACTGACTTAATAATATCTGAAGGAGAACCCTAACTATAGGAAACGAGGCCTCTACATTGGCTAAAATCCCAGCAGCTGCGCAACAAAAAGTTACAACCTTAGAAACTCTGGCTGGGTATTTGCAAAATGCTTATGGCGAATTGTCATGCAAATATTTAGTCAAATGGACAACTATAACTGAAGCAGACTCTAAGTTACAATGGCCTAGATGGGGATCTTCTGAGATGCCCATATTAGTGCACCTGTGAACTAGAACAGAAAAGGCATGCACAAAAACTAAACAGCCAGAATGGGAGAGTTGCTTTGAGTGATATCTGGAGAGGAGCAAAATGGGGGAAGATTGCCTCATCTCCTTACAGGAGGCCAAGAAACAATTTAGAGATGCTGAGAACCCTCTAGTGCTTTATCTCAGAGAAATCTTCAGAATCACTTACTTCCTCTTGGTGCCTCCCCCACCTCCACGTATACCGCTACTTTATCCCGACCTCTTTGAACTTCCTGGACCAGATCTGTTCCCTCCTCCTGCGTGCTCCATTCTCCATTCTACCATCTTCCCCTCCTCGACTGCTACTCACTCAACAGAAGGCAGCTGGGGATCTAACTTCCAAGACTCTATCTCCTGCTGATTCTCTGACAGCCCCAATGGCACCCTCTCATCTGGAAGATGGGAAAAGGGGGACCCTATAGGGACATCTCTCATGATTGCCCTGGTTTGAAAACAACCAATAATAGAGGAACCCCAGCGTTTGTCTATCAATTCTGGTCAAAGGCTGAGCTGCGAAGCACAGTTATAGAATTTCCTGACTTCCATAAAGATCCAATTGGGTTTGCCCACGAATTTGAGCTCATTATCAGAACCTATGACCCAGGTCATTCAGACCTTTACCAGCTGGTACACATACTTGTTTCAGAGGCTAAAGCTAAGAGATGGCTAGAAAAATCACAGAGGTCAGACCCGTTAGCAGACTTAATCCTCAAAGGCCCAATAGAATGACAACAATCAGCCCCCAAAAGTCCAGAAGACAGGCTCAAAGATGCCTGGGAGCGAGCACCTTCTCTGCTAAATGTCATTCCCTCAGTGTTCCAAAGGGTTGTGGATTGAATAAAATCTAGCAGTGCCACCAGAACCCAAAAGAATCAGATTAGATCATTTTACATGTTTTAATAAAACTTTGCAACAGTATTGCAAGATGTCAGCTGATTGCTTTGAAAACAGTAAAAATGATACATTATTAAATGCAAACTTTTAAAACAGACCAGATGACGATTTAGCCACCCTAGTAAATTGGGTCATGGCCAGGACTAATAAACTAGTTACCTTAGCTGACCAGTTATCCTGGGCTATGATAAAAAAGAAAAAACAAGACTGCCCAGTTATACATCTACAGTTAAAGCAATTTGTTGGGGTAATCAGACCCAACACCAGGCCGTGGGGGCTATGAAGTCCGGCAGAGTCAAAGGAATGAGAAAAGACGAGAGAAAGTGGGACCAGGGGGCCGACGCTAGTATGGATGCTGTGAAGGCCCCAAGCTCTGGGAGCCCATGCTATTTATCAGTGATCAAACAAAGAAACAAGTGGTGAGGATGTGGGGGTTGAAAGGAAGCAGTGCATCAAGCAAACAAGCCACAGCTGTGGCGGTTTAGCATTTTCTCCGAAACACATGGCTACCTGAGACAATGGGAGTGCTAGAAGCAAGAAGCCAGCAAGTCCAGACACATTCCAAAGGCCACGAGGGATTTTAGACCCTGGACCCCGGACATGTTCCAAGCCCTGCCTCAGCTTCTCTCCCAACACTCAGCTTTTCTCCCAACACAATTAACTTCTCAAACCTCTCAGTCTCAGAAAAATGTTAAACCGCCTCAGAGGACTCTTCCCTCAGCCTGTTACTACTGTAAAAGACTGGGACACTTGAAACGGGACTGCTTTAGGCTGAAATGGAAGCCACAGCAGGAGGATACAACTCAGGAAGACCAGGGGTGCTCTGAGGAAGTTAAAGTGTTTCACCTCTCCTAGTATTCTACCTTGACAAAACAAATTGGGAGAGATTAATATAATCATTAACCATCCTTGACACAGGAGCAGCCATATCTGTTATAAATCCCACCTTGTTTAGAAATCCCATTTCTCAGAGTAATGAAAGGATTAGCATCATGGGTGTATCTAGAAAAACTATCTCAGGTTTTAAATCAAAACCTATACCTTACAGTTTTGTCAGGTTTGGTGCCCTACCAACCAAGGGCCCTAAATGTGACCCACTCAGTCTGTCCCACATGTTCCTAATATGCCCTGAGATCCCTTTCAATCTTTTGGGCCACAATCTCCTCAACATCCATAATGACCGTATATTTTTTTTTATCAAAAGGTGGATTTTTTTTGGAATATGAGCCAGGAGACAAAACAAAAACAACCCAAAACAAACAAAACAAGAAATTAGAGAAACATCCTGACAATGTACCATAGTTTAGTACTAGTAATGTTAAAATATCATCTTGTGTCTGGGAAATAAACTAAAGACAGAAAAAGGAAACATTAGCGGAGAAGAGAGAAAAGTGAAATAAAAGGCAAGGAGCCGTAAACCTCCCTTTAGCCTCCCCAGTTTTCCTGTAACCCCAGAAGTGGAACATTTGGTTAAGGCCATCCTCTCCCACTTATGGTCACAGTCAAATACAGACACAGGAAAAATATTCCTAAAGATACTGCTCCCCAACATTGTATAGTATCCTTCTTGACAGTAAGACATAGATGGAATTGTCCCTATCATACAAGATTATCTCATTATTCCCTGTACCAAGCCCTACAACACCCCTGTATTCCCTGTAGAAAAACCAAATGGTAGAGAATGAAGACTCTTTTTCTTGAGATGGAGTCTTGCTCTGTTGCTAGGCTGGAGTGCAGTGGCGCAATCTCAGCTCGCTGCAACCTCTGACTCCGTGGTTCAAGTGATTCTTCTGCCTCAGCCTCCTGAGTAGCTGTGATTACAGGCATGAGCCACCACGCCCAACTGATTTTTGTATTTTTAGTAGAGATGGGTTTTCACCATGTTGGCCAGGATGGTCTTGATCTCCTGACCTTGTGATCCTCCTGCCTTGGCCTCCCAAAGTGCTGGGATTACAGGCATGAGCCACTGTGCCCGGCCTTTTTTTTTCTCACTATATTTCCCAGGCTGGTTTCAAACTCCTGGTCTCAAGATATTCTCTCTTCTTGATCTCCCAAAGTGCTGGGATTAGTTATGAACCACCATGCCTGGGCTGAGGGTGGAGATTTGTACAGAATTTGAGAGCAGTAAACAATATCATAATATTTAGACACTCACATACCCTTCTATCAGCTGTACCCACTCCCAGTCAGTATTTCTCAGTTGTGCATCTACAGTGCCTTCTCAAGAATTCCTGTAGATCCACACAGCCAATAGTTGTTTGCCTTCACCTGGAGAGAATGGCAATATACATGATATACGTGGACTGTAATGCCTAAAGGGTGCACAGAAAGTCCCACTTATTTTTCCCAAATATTAAAGGCCGATTTAGAGGACCCAATTTTTCCCCAGGACTCAGTGCTCATCCAATACGTGGATGACATTCTCCTTGGGTTAGACACACTCTCTTCCCCTCAGGAAGATATTTCATATTTACTCACACAATTAGCCAATAAGGGACAAGGTGTCTCAAGATGAATGTCAACTGTGTTCACCCCAAGTCAAATATTTGGGGGCATATTATCTGAGTCCAAGGACTGAGCATTAACCCTGATAGAGTGAGCGTAGTTTAACTTTCCCCATGACCATCACTAAAAATCAACGTTTAAAGGGTTTTCAGGGCTGGCTGGCTATTGTAGGAACTGGATACCATATTTCTCCCTTGCCCACCAACTTCTGTGCATACCTATGAAGTGAATGGTCTGATCTCTTTTCTCTGCCTTCCTTTTTTTAGCATATGAAAGTGGAGGAATTGCATCTGGGGTAATGACCCAGTAACATCATGACCATCAGAGAACTGTAGGCTATTATGGCAACAGTTAGACCCTGTAGCTCAAGGGCTGCCTCACTGTATGAGAGCAACATCAGCCACTTCCCTTCTATACAAGTCTGTTGAAGAAATAATCATGGGTTCCCTTCCTACTGTTTGTGTACCGCATTCTCTTGAGACCCTTCTAAACTCTCATCATAACTCAACACCTGTCAATAGGTTAACCTCCGTGAAGTTTTGCTTTTATCTCCAAATATTATCATATCCCAGTGTAATTACCTTAATCCTGCCACTCTATTCCAGGGACCTTCTGATGAAACCCCTCATGACTATGTTCTGATGACTGACCAATGTCTCACTTCCAGGACAGACCTGCAATAGATGCCACTGGATAATGCTGAGATAGACTGGTATGCAGATGGGTCTGATTTAAGAGGGGAGCATGGAAATGTTAGAGCAGGATATGCTGTGATTTCCTTATTAGAGGTAATTGAAGCCAGTCCTCTTCCCCAAGGCAGATCAGCTGAAGTAGCCAAGTTGATTTCCCTGACCCGAGCTTTTCAATTGGCGAGCTCTATGTTCACAAGGTTGTGAACATAGGCCCTGACAGCTGCTCTGCATTTGGGTTTGCTCATGACTTTGGGATGCTACAGAAGGAGAGAAGATATTTAACCTTCTCGGGGCAACCCATAAAAAATGACCAACAAGCATCAGAGCTGTTAGAAACCATTCTAAAACCAGAACTTCTGGCAATTATAAAAATCCCAGGTCACTCTAAATTGGACACCACTGAAAGCAGGGTAACCAATCTGCTGATGCTACAGCTAAAAGAGCAGTATTTGAGCCACCAGCCCCCATCTGGGGAATGGCCATAAAACCTGAAACACTTAAAAACATGTTGAAGAAAACCCAGAGCATAGCCCAAACGAGAGGGAAATCTACTTGGAAACAGAAAGGGGGATACCTGTCTCTGCAAACTGAAATATGATGTGAACCTAATAATAAACCCATTATTCCAATGGGATGTCAGATGCCCCTTATGGAATATGTTCATCATCAGACCCATTGGAATCCAGAGAAAATGATATCCTGGTGTAAACAATATTATTGGAAACTGTCATTCCTGGTGGCACAAAAGGTTTACTCCTGATCTGTTTTTTGTTGCCAAAATAAGCCAGGGAAGCCCTTCTATGGGGCCAAGGGTCATTTTCCCCTTCTAGCTGGACCTTTTGAGGTTTGGCAGCTTGATTTTAGCCATAACATTTTATCCACAAATTTAGAGGATCTTCACACAGGACTGGAGAGAGCTGCTGTGGAGAGCTTTAACCCAAGACACCAGCCCAGACCTGTATACAAAAGAATGCCTATATTTAGTGTATGATAGCCATTACAATGATTGTCCTAGAGATACTGGCAATTGCTGTGTTATGCAGAACCAGGCACCAGCCTTGTCTGATTTAATATCCTTTTAGTAGTTAAAATGAATTTCACAACCTTGTTTCTGTTTATCCTCTGTCCCTGTGCCTTGCCACTGCCACCCACTGTGGCCCATGAAACAAACCTGTTTCTACAATGGGCTCAGGATTATGCAGACAGATTATAAAAAGATGCCTCCTGGATATGCAGACTCATGCCTCTTTCCAATGGCTCCAGCCTTCCATGTTGGGTATCTCCTTTCTATGGTCAGGACTGGATAGAATACCAAAAATGTATTACATCACAGAAATGGTCTGGTATCCTCAGTGCTGGTGTAAGAAAATACAATATATATAATTAGCCCATTGAAAATACACTTAAGAGCAAGGCACATGGGAAAAGGTTTTCAGAGGAAAGGTCCAGCTCAGCAACCCTCACCTTAGTCCCCTCTCTGCAACTAATAGAGAAGTTGGTAACCACACCCCAAGTAACTGCTGAATTTCAAGATGAGATACTGCAAAATTTGTGATTAGTTTAACTGAATCACCCCTTTATTAGGCCAACTCAGCCAGAATGCTCCTTTATTCTGCAAAGAAAGAAACCACACAAAGGGCCAATGGTGAAACAGTCCAGGAGATATGGGGTGGATACCTGGAAAGCATTGTGACCACATTATTACGTTACAAGGCACTGGCATGACACCTATTGGGTACAGTGACCAGATATTAATTGGCTAGCAGTAAATGGGACATATTGGCTATGTTGCTTTAACTTATGGCCTTGATTACCCCCAGGATGGTTAAGATGATGTTCCCTAGATTAAGCTTGGGCACGAGGATGAGTAATTCAGACCCTGCCAAACTAGCAACGCTTTTTCACTTACAGTCTTGCTGGACACGTTCTGTATTCCAATGGTATGATCACTTAGCTTCTGTCTTTGTACCATAAATAGCTATTGAACGTGTTATATGGCATACAGAGGCCTTAACAAATTATACCCAAAAGGTCCTAAATGATAGACACATGAGTATCTCTTTGCTAAACAATGAAGTCTTACTAATGAGGAAAGCTGTGCTGCAAAACCATATGGCCTTAGATATACTCACAGCAGCCCAAAGCGGAACCCGTGCCATCATAAAAACTCAATGTTGTATTTATATTCCAGATACATCAAATAATATAACTTAACTTATGGCTGATATGAAAACCCAGATAACCAACCTGTCAGATCTAAAACCCTTGGTAATTGACTGGTTGAGTGGTTGGTTTGGATCCTGGGGAACTTGTGGCAGAAGATATTGCTCATAATAGGAATAATAATAATAATTAGTGTTCTGCCATGCTTTTGCTTACAATGTTGTAATAGTATATTCTTGCAAGTAAGTCAACATGCAACCAAAAAGGCTAGAGTAATAGTTGTCCAAAGAACTGCTCTAATTGAGGAGGCAGTAGCATAGCCTGAACCAGCTTCTAGGTTTGCTTTCCATTTTGCTGTAAATCTGGGAAAGTCTCTCTCTTTTTCTCTCTGTGTGTGTGTGTGTGTGTGTGTGTGTGTGTGTGTGTGTACGTGTGTGTATTTTATCTTTCTTTTTTACGTATCATATTTTATCTCCATGAAACATGACCTTAGGAATAAGCCTTCCAAGTAATGTGGGACCTGAACATCCTGGCGACAAGGGACAAGCTCAAAAAAGAAAAAAGAAAAAACCTGAAACCAGAGACTTATTTACCTCTAAAATTCTTTCTCCATAAGATTTTAAAGAAAAAATGGGAGGAAAATGTAAGAGGAAAAGAAATCTTGGGACCTCAAACTCATAAAGCCAAAAGAAAAATAAAGCGAAGAATTAGATCAGGCAATCCTGCCTCCCATTTGCTTCCTAAATAAGATGGCTGCAAAGATAAAAAAGTTACATACCTCCCTCACAATTTGCCCACAAGGAGATTCTTTTATGGGCCCCAAGATCTTTACCCTAAAACAGTTATGTGGAATTTCACTCTGGCAATGTAAATTGATAGCTTATCTTCGCAGGTGCAGGACAAAGGACAGAACTCAAAGTCATCCCTCTGCTGACCTGAGACAAATGTGTATCTGAGTGCTTCCTCCGCCCTATTGTCTATGTCATTTTTTGTTAAAATGCATAAAGTACTGATGTCTTCAGCAAGCCAGATGAAGTCATGAGTGTCTATTTCCTCTGCCTCCCTCACACATGAAAATTGTGTATTCAGTGAAAGGCTGATCAAAGGCTCAATAGGATGCAACCATTTTGTCTTTTTATCTACTGAGACACGTTTTAAAAATATTTCTTTGGTTCACACCCGTAATCCCAGCACTTTGGGAGGGCGAGGCAGGTGGATCACCTGAGGTGGGGAGTTCGAGACCAGCCTGACCAAAAAGGAGAACCTCGTCTTTACTAAAAATACAAAATTAGCTGGGCATGGTGGCGCATGCCTGTAATCTCAGCTACTCGGGAGGCTAAGGCAGGAGAATCACTTGAACCTGGGAGGCAGAGGTTGCAGTTGCAGTGAGCCAAGATCGTGCCATTGCACTCCAGCCTGAGCAACAAGAGTGAAACTCCGTCTCAAAAAAAAAAAAAATTACCTTCCTTCAATATCTACCCTTTCCCTTTTAAATATTGAAGCCCTCAAAATCATCTTTGGAGAAAAGCATAGACCTGTCTCCTGGGCACACATCCTTAATTTTGGCAAATAAACCTCCTACAATGACCGAGAGTTGCCGTGGTCATTTTCTTTTATTTACATCTAGCAACCACGAAGGGATTCCTGAATGAAGGTGGCCCAGGCCTGCAGCAACTCTCCTATTGGTGCTTGGTACTGGCTTGGGCTGTGTTTATCACCCTAAACGATGGGACGATTTGCTGAGGTCTGGGACCTCCTTCCTCCAGGGATCCCTGACCTCCCCAATTTTGTTGTTTAGTTGAGGGGGAGGGTCTGAGGTTTATTTTGCTATAAAAAAACAAACTCCTTTTCCTGGGAGTTTCAGCTGGCTTCCATCAAGGAAGTCGAGCTTGTCTGCTTCTGCGCAGGCAGAGAGTGGTCTTTAGCCTGGTCCCCATTATTAGGTAAGGAGCTGAGTTGGGATTTTGTCTTGCTAATTCTCTTTAATGACTAAACGTTAGTTTATTCTTCATTTCTCCTTACAATTAAAGTGCTCAGAAAGCATAATTGGTGTGATCAGTGTTTATTTTGCTGATCTGTTTTTGCTTGTTTTGTTAAGGTTTTTAATTTGGTATGTTTTTATCTTTCTTCTATCATATTTGACCAAGTCTAAATCCCTGTAGCCTATGAGTGTAAAATTTCCACTCTGGAGACAAGAAGAGCATCTTGCTCCTCTCAGTCTTTCTGGACATTCTCATGTGTCTGAGATCATGTGAGGGTGTCTGGGAGGAATACTCCATAGACATGGCTCGGATTAGGTTTCCCCCTTATAAGAACATACTTAGGGTCTATTCTCAGCTTGTAGGTGCATATAAGGAACTGACCTCTCCTGCACCTTAAGCCCTTGACACACTGTGCCAGGTAGCAGTGATATGGGTGGACCAAACTGGTTCAAGAACTAATGGCCCTGAAAATCTAGGTCAACAAGCAGCACACTTTGGGTGTGATACACTCCCCAACTTGTTTAAATTTAGTTTTCCTTTTTTTCTACACTTGGTTAAATCTTAAAGAGAACTCTAAGTTAGGAGGAATGAGGCCTCTAAGTTCGCCAAAGCCCCCACACAGCTGTGGAACATAAGTTTCATCCTTAGAAACTCTGGCTGGGTATTTGCAAAATACTTCTAGTGAATTGCCATGCACATATTTAGTCAAGTGGACAACTATAACCAAAGCAGACTCTAAGTTACAATGGCCTAGAAGGGAATCTTCTGAGATGCCCATATTAGTGCACCTGGGAACTAGGATGGAAAATGCATGCACAAAAACTCAACAGCCAGAATGGGAGAGCTACTTTCAATGGTACCTAGAGAGTAGCAAAATGGGGGAAGACTACCTCACTTCCTTACAGGAGGCCAACAAACAACTTAGATATGCTAACCGAGAACTCTCTAGCACTTGATCACTCTTAAAGAAATCTTCAGAATTGCTTACTTCCCCCTTGGTGCTTCCTTCACCTCCATTTACACCCCCACTTTACCCCGCCTCCTCTGAACTTCCTGGACAAGATCTGTTCCTTCCTTCTCTTGCATGCTCCAGGCTACCATCTTCCCCTCGTCCTCATCTGCTGCTCATTCAACAGAAGGCAGCAGGAGGTCTAACCTCCAAGACCCTACCTCCTGATGATTCCATGACAGCCCCCGTGGCAGCCTCTCATCAGGAAGATGGGAAAAGGGGGACCCTGCAAGGACACCCCTCATGATTGCCCATTTAGGGAACAATCAGTAACAGGTAGGGGAACCCCAGCAATTGTCTGTCAACCCTGGTCAAAGGTTGAGTTGCGAAGCATAAAGAATTTACTGTTCCCAGGGCTCTAAATGTGACCCACTTGGTAGGTCTCACATGTTCCTAATATGTCCTGGGAACCCTGTCAATCTTTTGGGCTGCAATCTTCTCAACATCCTTAATGCCCATAAGTCTTTTTCATCAAAGGTGAATCTTTTTGGAATTGGAGCCAGGAGACCAAAAATAACAAATTTTAAAAAGTCTTGACAATTTACCATGATTTAGTAATGTTAAAACATCATCTTGTGACTGAGAAAATGAACTAGAGACAGCCAAGAAAATGTTAGAGGAGAAAAGAGAAAAATGGAATAAAAGGCAGGGAACTGTATGATTCCCTTTAGTCCCCCCCAAAATTCATATTAACCCTAAAAGGGGAACATTTGCTTAAGGCCATCCTCACCCACTTATGGTCCAAGTCAAAGACAGACTTAGAAAAAATATTCTCAGCCACTCCAATAGATGTTGAGATAAACAGAAAAAAAAATATCTTGCCCGATATTAATACCCTCTCAGAAAGGAAGCCATAGATGGAATTGTCCCTATCATAGAAGATTATCTCAAAAGGGGGCTGTGTCCTCATTATTTCCTGTACCATCCCCTGCAACACTCCCCTTCCCCACCACCATATTCTTTGTAGAAAAAACAAACAGGAGAAGATAAAAACGAACAGGAGAAGATACATTTTTTTTTTTTTTTTGAGAAGAGGTCTCACTATGTTGCCTAGGCTGGTCTTGAACTCCTGAGCTCAAGTGATCTTCCTACCTTGGCCTTCCCAAATGCTGGGTCTATAGGTGTGAGCCATCATGCCCGGCTTGAGTATGGAGATTTATACAGGATCTGAGAGCAGTAAACAATAGCATAATATTTAGACACTCACATACCCTTCTATCAGCTGTACCCACTCCCAGCCAGTATTTCTCAGTTGTGCATCTGCAGTGCCTTCTTTAGTATTCCTGTAGATCCACACAGCCAATATTTGTTTGCCTTCACCTGAAGAGAATGGCAATCTACATGATATACGTGGACTGTAATGCCTCAAAGGTGCGTGGAAAGTCCCACTTATTTTTCTGAAATATTAAAGTGTGATTTAGAGGACTCAATTTTTCCCTGAGGCTCTATGCTTATCCAATAAGTGGATGGCATTCTCTTTGGGTCAGACACACTCTCTTCCTCTCAGGAATATATTTCATATTTACTCAAACTATAAGCCAGTAAGAGACAAAGTGTCCCAAGATAAACTTCAGCTGTGCTCACCCCAAGTTAAGAATTTGGGGGCATATTATCTCCATCAAAGAACTGAGTATTAACCCTAGTAGAGTGAGAGAAATTTTAGCTTTCCCAATGTCCATCACTAAGAAACAACATAGAGGGTTTGTGGGGCTGGCTGGCTATTGTAGGAACTGCACACCAGATTTCACCCTTATGGCTCAACCTCTGTATGCATACCTAAAAGATGAACAGTCTGATCCCATCATGTTTACTCCAGAGGGACAATCAGCTGTGCAACAAATAAAGGAAAGTTTCAAAATGCCCCAGGCTTAGGGCACCCTAACTACAAATTGCCTTTCTCCCTATTCATACACAAAAGTGGAGAAACGGCACCTGGGCTACTGACCAGAAACCTAGTGATCACCAGATAACTATAGGGTATTACAGCCAACAGCTAGACCTTGTGGCCTTACCTCACTGTGTGAGAGCTGTATCAGGCACTTCCATTCTGTAGAAGTCTGTTGAAGATATTATTACGTGTTCTTCCCTTACCATTTATGTACCGCATTCTCTTGAGACCCTTCTAAACTCTCATCATACTTAATATGTGTCTGTCAATAGATTAACTTTCTATGAAGATTTGCTTTTATCATCTCCAAATATTACCTCATCCCACTGTAATAGTCTAAATCCTGCTACTCTGTTCCTGGGCCCTTCTGACAAAACCCCTCATGACTGTTCTGATGACTGACTAACTTCTCACCCCCAGGACAGGCCTACAGGAGATGCCACTGGATAATGCTGAGATAGACTGGTATACAGATCGGTCTGATTTAAGAGGAGAGGGTGGAAATGTTAGAACAGGCTATGCCGTGGTTTCCTTATTAGAGGTAATTGAAGCTGGTCCTCTTCCCCAAGCCAGATCACCTCAAGTGGCTGAATACTTTAAGTTTTAGGGTACATGTGCATAACGTGCAGGTTTGTTACATATGTATACATGTGCCATGTTGGTGTGCTGCACCCATTAACTGGTCATTTAACATTAGGTATATCTCCTAATGCTATCCATCCCCCATACCCCCACCCCACAACAGGCCCCGGTGTGTGATGTTCCCCTTCCTGTGTCCATGTGTTCTCATTGTTCAATTCTCACCTATGAGTGAGAACATGCAGTGTTTGGTTTTTTGTCCTTGCAATAGTTTGCTGAGAATGATGGTTTCCAGCTTCATCCATGTCCCTACAAAGGACATGAACTCATCATTTTTTATGGCTGCATAGTATTCCATGGTGTATATGTGCCACATTTTCTTAATCCAGTCTATCATTGTTGGACATTTGGGTTGGTTCCAAGTCTTTGCTATTGTGAATAGTGCTGCAGTAAACATACATGTGCATGTGTCTCTATAGCAGCATGATTTATAATCCTTTGGGTATATACCCAGTAATGGGATGGCTGGGTCAAATGGTGTTTCTAGTTCTAGATCCCTGAGGAATTGCCACATTGACTTCCACAATGGTTGAACTAGTTTACAGTCCCACCAACAGTGTAAAAGTGTTCCTATTTCTCCACATCCTCTCCAGCACCTGCTGTTTCCTGACTTTTTAATGATCACCATTCTAACTGGTGTGAGATGGTATCTCATTGTGGTTTTGATTTGCATTTCTCTGATGGCCAGTGATGATGAGCATTTTTTCATGTGTCTTTTGGCTGCATAAATGTCTTCTTTTGAGAAGTGTCTGTTCATATCCTTCGCCCACTTATTGATGGGGTTGTTTGTTTTTTTCTTGTAAATTTGTTTGAGTTCATTGTAGATTCTGGATATTAGCCCTTTGTCAGATGGGTAGATTGCAAAAATTTTCTCCCATTCTGTAGGTTGCCTGTTCACTCTGATGGTAGTTTCTTTTGCTGTGCAGAAGCTCTTTAGTTTAATTAGATCCCATTTGTCAATTTTGTCTTTTGTTGCCATTGCTTTTGGTGTTTTAGACATGAAGTCCTTGCCCATGCCTATGTCCTGAATGGTATTGCCTAGGTTTTCTTCTAGGGTTTTTATGGTTTTAGGTTTAACATTTAAGTCTTTATTCCATCTTGGATTAATTTTAGTATAAGGTGTAAGGAAGGGATCCAGTTTCAGCTTTCTACATATGGCTAACCAGTTTTCCCAGCACCATTTATTAAATATGGAATCCTTTCCCCATTTCTTGTTTTTGTCAGGCTTATCAAAGATCAGATAGTTGTAGATATATGGCATTATTTCTGAGGGCTCTGTTCTGTTCCATTGGTCTATATCTCTGTTTTGGTACCAGTACCATGCTGTTTTGGTTACTGTAGCCTTGTAGTATAGTTTGAAGTCAGGTAGCGTGATGCCTCCAGCTTTGTTCTTTTGGCTTAGGATTGACTTGGCAATGAGGGCTCTTTTTTGGTTCCATATGAACTTTAAAGTAGTTTTTTCCAATTCTGTGAAGAAAGTCATTGGTAGCTTGATGGGGATGGCATTGAATCTATAAATTACCTTGTCCCTGACCCAAGCTTTTCAACTGGCAAAAGACAAGGCTGTTGAAAGTATTGCACTGACAGCTGCTCTGCACTTGGTGTTGCTCATGACTTTGGGATGCTACGGAAGGAGAGAGGATATTTAACCTTCTTGGGGTGACCCATAAAAAATGGACAAGAAGTGTCAGAGCTGTTAGAAGTCATTCAAAAACAGAAACTTTTGACAATTATAAAAATTCCAGGTCACTCTAAGTTGGACACCACTGAAAGCAGGGTAACCAATCTGCTGATGCTACAGCTAAAAGAGCAGAATTTAAGCCACCAGCTCCAATCTGGGGAATGGTCATAAAACCTGAAACACTTAAAAACATGTTGAAGAAAACCCAGAGCATAGCCCAAATGAGAGGGAAATCTACTTGGAAACAGAAAGGGGGATACCTGTCACTGGAAAGCGAAATATGATGTGAACCTAATAATAAACCCATTATTCCAATGGGATGTCAGATGCCTCTTGTGGAATATGTTAATAATCTGACCCATTGGAATCCAGAGAAAATGTAATCCTGGTGTAAACAATATTACTGGAAACTATCATTCATGGTGCCACAAAATATTTACTCTCCATGTGTTCTCTCTCCCAAAGATAACCCAGGAAACCCCCTCCATGGTGCCCAGGATCATTTTCCCCTTCTGGCTGGACCTTCTGAGGTATGGCAGCTTGATAGTATTCAGCTGCCATTATCTCCAGTTTAAAAGTATGTTTTAGTAACTATCTACGTGTCTTCCCACTGGGTTGAAGCTTTTTCCTGCAGGCAAGCAACAGCGATGGCAGTTGGAAAAATCCTATGTGAAAAAATGATTCCACTCTGTGAAGTCCCCTCTGAACTTCACAGTGATAGGGGAACTCATTTTACTGGCCAGGTTTTTCAAATTGTTTGTAAAATTTTCCTCGTACTTCAACATTTCCGTTGTGCCTACCACCCTCAGTCTTCAGGGCTGGTGGAAAGGACCAATGGTATAATTAAAACACAATTGGCTAAGTTCATAGGGGCTTTTCACCTGTCCTGGCCTAGAACTCCTCCTGGCACTCCTTACACTCTGATCCACCATTTTGTGAAACATCAACTATACCCTTATACAATTATAATGGGAAGGCCCATGTGTCAGGAACCCAAATAACCGACCCAACTTTTCTCCAGGGAGATATATTGCAATATATTGTAAGGGACTAATTCATCACCTTATGAAAAGCCAAGTTTTGGTAAAGGATTCTTTTTACAGTGCCCTCCCTGAAGATGAGGTTTCTGGTCATAATCTGTAGCCTAGAGACTTTGTCTCTTACAAAAGAGAAAGTCTTTGGTAAAGGACTCCCTTAATCCCCAATGGAAGGGTCCATACCAGGTAGTATTGACTAATTCATGTGCTGCACAATTAGGGGGTATAGACTTATGTATTTACATGTCTCATCTTAAAAAGGCACATCCTCCTGAGTGAACAGTGATTCCAGCCAAGGATCTTAGCCTCCAGTTCACTAAACAATATCAACCTTTGACTTGGGACTAGAAGCAGATAACAGCTGTTGTTGACAGCTTTAACCCAAGACACTGGCCCACCCATGCCTATGTACAAAAGAACACCTGTGTTTATTGTGTATTAGCCATTATGATGATTATCCTAGGGATACTGGCAATTGCTATCTTATGGAGAACCCAGCACCTGGTTTATCTGATTTAGTGTCTTTGCAGTAGTTAAAGTGAATCTCAAAACGCTGCAGCTATTTATGCTCTTTTCCTATGCCTTCTTGCCTTCTTGCCTTCTTGCCACTGCCGTCTGCTGTAGCCCGTGAAATAAACCTGTTTCTACAGTGGCTCAGGATTATACACACAGATTCCAAAAAGATGCCTGCTGAATATGCCAACCATGCCTATTTCCAGTGGCTCCAGCCTGTCATGATGGGTATCTCCCTTCTGAGGTCAGGACTAGCTATAACACCAAAATGTATTACATCACAGAAATGGTCTGGTGTCCTTAGTGCTGGCATAAAAAAGGACAATACGTATCATTAGCCCATTGAAAAGACTCTTAGGAGAAAGGCACATGGGAAAAGCTTTTCAGAGGAAAGGACCAGCTCACTAGCACTTACCTAAGTATCCCCCCATCCAGTGAAAAGAGTGGGTGATAACCACACCCAAAGTATCTGCCCATTTTCAAAATGGGGTAATGCAAATTTGGGATGGGTTGATCTGTCTTACCCTTTCATTTGGCCAACTCAGCTAAAAATGCTCCTTTATGCTGGGAACCAAGAAACCACATTAAAGACCCAGACCAAACAGTGCAGGAGACATGTGGTGGATACTTGGAGAACATTGTGACCATATTATTACTACAAGACACTGGCTAGCATACCACGAATTGGGTACAGCAACATGGTATTTATTAGCTAGCTCCAAATAGGACATACTGGCTATGTAGCACTAATTTATGGCCTCAGTTAACCCCAGGATGGTTAGGACAATGTTCCCTAGGTTATGCTTGGGCACAAGGATGAGTAATTCAGACTCTGCCAAACCAGCAGACCTTTTTCATTTGCAGTCTCATTGGACACATTCTGTATTCCAATGGTATGATTACTCAGCTTCTATCTTTATACCACAAATAGATATTAAAGATGTTCTATGGCATATAGAGGCCTTAACAAATAATACCCAAAAGGCCCTAAATGATAGCTGCATGGCTATCTCTTTGCTAAACAATGAGGACTCACGTATAAGAAAAACCATGCTGCAAAATTGTATGGCGTTAGATATGCTCACTGCAGCCCAAGGTGGAACCTTTGCCACAATCAAAACTGAATTTTGGATTTATATCTTAGAGGAATCAAATGACAAAACCTGACTTATGACTGACATAAAAACCCAGATAACCAACCTGTCAGATCCAAAGCCCTTACGAATCGACTAGTTGAGTGGTTTGTTTGGATCCTGGGGAACTTGGTGGCAGAAGCTATTGCTCATAATAGGAATCATAATAATAATTTGTGTTCTGTCCTGTTTTTTTACTTAGGTTGTCGTAATGGTATGTGCTTGCAACTAAGACAATGTGCAACTGAGAAGTCTAGAGTAATGGTTGCCCAAAGAAGTGCTCTAACTGAGGAGGCAGTAGCATAGCCTGAACCAACTTCCAGGTTTACTTTCCCTTATGTTGCTATAAATCTGGCCTAGCTCCACATACATATTGTTTTTCTTTTTTTCTTCTTTCCTTCTCCTGTTTTTTTTTTTTAAATCTCCATGAGACAAGACCACCTAAGAATGAGCCTTTCTAGCACCATGGAACCTTAACTTCTAGGAATAAAACATCCTAGGTACAAGGGACCAGCTCATAAAAGAAAAATCCTGAGACTAGAGACTCATTTCTTTTTAAAATGCTTTCTCCAAATGATTTTAAGTATGAAAAGGAAGCTGGGGGAATATGAAAGGAAAATAAATTTGGAACCCCAAACTCATCAAGCAAAAAGGAAAAGTCAAGCAGAGAACTGGGTCACACCAACCCGCCTCCTATTTGGTTTGTAAATAAGATGGCTGCAAAGATAAAAGGCTACTTAGCTCCCTCACAGTTTGCCCAGAAGAAAATTACCTTTGGGGCCCAAGATCTTTACCCTAAAACAGTTCTCTTGAATTCACTCTGGCAATGTAAATTGATCACTTATATTCACAGGTGCAGAACAGAGGACAGAAATCAAAGTCATCTCTCTGCTCACCTGAGACAAACACATATCTGACTGCTTCTTCTGCCATATTGTCTATGTTGTCTTATGTTAAAATAAAGATTCACTGAGCCAGACAAAAACATGGGTGACTATTTCCTGAGAATTAACATGAGGATGTCTGGGAGGACTGATTCCTAAGAGATCCAGTGGCTCTGATTAGGTTTTTTCTTCAGAGGAACATAATTAGGGTCTAATCTCACCCAACAGGTCAGCCCCTCCTGCGCCTTGAGCCCCTGCCACACAGATTCAGGTAGCCACGACATGAGTGGACCAAACTAGTTCAGGGAGTAATTGCCCTGGAAAGCTAGGTCCACAAGCAGAACCCATTGGGTCTGACACACTCCTTGAATTGGTTAAATTCAAAGGAAAACTCTGAATTCTGGGGAACAAGGCCTCTAAGTTGGCTTAAGCCTCTGCAGCTGCAGAACATGAAGTTCTACCCTTAGAAACTCCCGCTGGGTATATGCAAAATACTTATGGTAAATCATTCAAATATTTAGTCAAGTGGATGTTGAGTTCTAATTAGGGATAAGAAGTCAGGCTGGTGGGAGCAGGAGAAAGCAAGAACAAAAACCAAATAAGCCATAAATCTGCCTTTTTTTCGTGGTCCAGGACACACAGCCCTACTGCGCAAATAAGTCACAATCTTCCTGCACCCAGCTGTCACCAGACATCTTAACTAATCAAAAAGAACACGTAAGTTAGCTCACTGCAACCTTGCTGTTATCAGTATTGCACACAGCCCTCTTCAGCACACAGCACAAAGACCATCCTATAAAATCCTCAGGATGCCTTTGTCTCCTTGCAGTTAGCTCCTCTTTTGCTGACTTGCCTGTTGCTTTTTTGAAACACATTTCCCTACTTTGTCTAATAAATCTGCCTTTTAAAAATCTGCAACCATTTTGGTAAGTATTTTTTACCACCCATGCAACATCAGCCCCAGATAGTCAATACCTGTGACAGTGGCCCATTATAACCACAGAGGTTCTAACTTAACAGTGGCCTAGATGGGGATCATCTGAGATGCCCAAATTAGTGTACCTGGGAACTAGGATGGAAAATGCATGCACAAAAACTCAACAGCCAGAATGGGAGAGCTACTTTCAGTGGTACCTAGAGAGGTAGCAAAAAGGGGGAAGACTGCCTCACCTCCTTACAGGAGGCCAACAAACAACTTAGAGATACTAACTGATAACTCTCTAGTGCTTTATCTCTCTTAAAGAAATCTTCAGAATTGCTTACATCCCCCTTGGTTCTTCCCCCACCTCCAGGTACATCCCCAGCTTACTCCGACCTCTCTGAACTTCCTGGACCAGATCTGTTTCCTCTGCCTGCATGCTCTAGCCTACCATCTTCCTCTCCTTGTCTGCTACTCACTCAACAGAAGGCAACAGGGTGGTCTACTTCTACAACTCCGTCTCCTGATGATTTCACAACAGTCTCCCTGGCAGCCTTTCATCTGGAAGAAGTGGAAAAGGGGGAACCTGTAGGAACATCTCTCATGATCACACCATATAGGGAATGACCAGTAACAGGTAGGGAAACCCCAGTGATGGTCTTTCAAACCTGGTCAAAGGCTGAGCTAGGAGGCAAAGTTAAAAAATTTCCTGACTCCCATAAAGATTTGCCCAAGAATTTGAGCTCATTGTCAGGTCACTCGTCATATGGCCCGTGTCATTCAGACCCTTACCAGCTGTTCCACATGTTGGTTTTGGATGCTAAAGCTAAGGAATGGCTGGAAAAAGCACAGTGGTCAGACCATTTAGCAGAGTCAATTTCCAAAGGTCCAATAGGATGACAACAAGTCCCCAAAAGTTCAGAAGACAGGCTCAAAGATGCCAAGGCATGAGCCACTGCTCTGTTAATTATAATTCCTTCAGCATTCCAAAGGTTTGTGGATTGGAATAAAATCCAGCAATGCCACCAGAACCCAAAGGAATTAGTTTGAGATTATTTTTCATGTTTTGATAAAACTTTGAGACAATATTATGGGATGTCAGCTGATTGCCTTGAGAACAATAAAAATGGCGCTTATTAAATGCAAACTTTCAAAACAGACCAGATGATGATTTAGCCACTCTTGTAAAACACCACATAACAAATTGGGCCATGGTCAGAACTAAGGAACTAGTTAACTTAGCTGACCAATTATCCTGTGCTATGATAAAGGAAAAAAAAAACAAAAGACTGCCAGAGTTATGCATTTATAGTTAAAGCAATTAACTTCTCAAACCTGTTAGCCTCAGAATAATGAAAAGCCCTCTCGGTCTGAGGACTCTTCCCTCAGCCTGTTACTATTGTAAAAGACCAAGACACCTTAAACAGGACTGCTTTAGGTGGAAGTGGAAGCCACAGCAGGAGGATACAACTCAGGAAGACTAGGGGTGCTCTGAGGAAGTTAAAGGGTTTCACCTCTCCCAGTATTCTACCTTGACAAATTGGGAAAGATTAATATAATCATAACGTGAGCTCTCCATTGCCTTACTTGACATAGGAGCAACTATATCTGTCATAAATCCCACCTGCTTTAGAAACCATGTTCCTCAGAGTAATAAAAGGACTAGCATGATGGGTGTGTCTAAGAAAACTATCTCATGCTTTAAATCCAAACCTATACCTTACCGTTTTGTCAGGTTTAGCACCCCCTCAATCAAGGGCCCTAAATACAACAGTCAGTCAGTCCCATGTGTTCCTAATATGCTGGGTAAGTGTCTGTTTTGTGGACCAGCCTTCTCTTTGTTCAGTTTCCAGAGTCAAGACTAGGAGAAAATACTAGAAAAGTCTTTTTTGGTCAAGGCATCAAGTCACATTTGGCTTGATATCCTTCACCAGGAATAGCATCTTTGGATATTGATGTGACCTTTTGGTTTTATTTCTTTTTCTTTTCTTTTTGAGATGGAGTCTCGCTCTGTCGCCTGGCTGGAGTGCAGTGGCGCGATCTCGGCTCACTGCAAGCTCCGCCTCCCGGGTTCACACCATTCTCCTGCCTCAGCCTCCGGAGTAGCTGGGACTACAGGGGCTGCCACCATGCTGGCTAATTTTTTGTATTTTTAGTAGAGATGGGGTTTCACTGTGTTAGGCAAGATGGTCTCGATCTACTGACCTCGTGATCCGCCCGCCTCGGCCTCCCAAAGTGCTGGGATTACAGGCTTGAGCCATCGCGCCCGGCCCTTTTGGTTTTATTTCTAAGTTGGTGTAGGACTGAAACAGGAGGGTATGTTATCAGTTTATATCCCTAAGGCCTCAACACTTATGAATCCACTTAAATGGAATCTAGAACTCTGACAAGCAGATATAAAATGTTTATCTCTGTCCAACGGTGATTACTGTGTTGCAGCCGCATTGTAACTGTGTTGCTGTTCATAAGTAGAGTCTGTGCATGTGGCTTGCGCATACATGCCCAGGGGGCCAGAGCATTACATTTCCATCAGGGCGTGGATCCCAGGGATACCAGACAGGACCAGGCAGAGGATGAAACAGGCCATGATTTTCAGATTCTGCAAGTAGGAGGGAGGATGCACCTCTTGGCTGGGGCTTGTAATTGGGAGATACCAGAAAGTTATGACCAGATTGAATAATGACCAGCAACTCAAAACATGGGCCACAGCAAATTTCTATAAGCCAAACATTTTATTTTATTTTATTATTATTTTTTGAGATAGGGTCTCACTCTGTCACCTAGGCTGCAGTGCAGTGGCATGATCTTGGCTCACTGCAACCTCTGCCTCCCGGGTTCAAACGATTCTCCTAGCTCAGCCTCCCCAGTAGCTGGCACTACAGGCACGTGCCACCATGCCTGACTAATTTTTGTATTTTTTACTAGAGACAGGGTTTCACCATGTTGGCCAGGCAGGTGGGTGGATCACTCCTGACGTCAGGTGATCCACCCACCTCGGCCTCCCAAAGTGCTGGGATTACAGACATGAGCCACTGCACCCTGCCTCCAAACACTTTAGATGCTCGTTTACCTTTGCAAAATTATTCTAGGTTTAATTGCTCAGAATGGTTTGCGATCATGACAAGGCAGCAGTGTAGAGAAAGGATGGTTGCTAAAATAATTACAGGTCTTATTCAGGCATGCATAGAACTGTAGAGACAGCTTTGCAAAGTCAAAAGAAGCATTCAAAGCTTTATTCCTGGGGAATTTGGGAGCCTGTTTTTTTTGTTGTTGTTGTTTGTTTTGTTTTGTTTTTGGTCTCCTCTCAAGTAGCCATAATATCTGATTATGCAACATGGGATTAGTGTTAGGGCGTTCAGAAGTAGGGCAGGGCACATTCTGCAGGGCAGTAGCGGGCTTTCTCCTTTGCCCTGAAGGTATAGTTTGTCAGGGCCTTCTGCAGGCAGCTGGAAAAAGTAATGCACCTGCCTTGGCTGAAGTGAATCCTGTATTAAATCAGGTGCTTAATGAGAGGACCAAAATGGACTTGTGTCTCTGTCTCAATTTAGCCTACCATTGTATACAAGGCAATCAATCCTTAGTTTACATCCCTGAGTTGTAAGAGATGCATTATAAACGTGCATTAGTACAGTGCCTTTTGCCTGTGCAAAATGCATATTTTTATCTGTATTTTATCCCTTTGTGTGTGTATGCTACAAAATGTAACAAAATATCATTATGCTCTGAAGAAAAGAGAAAATATTATATCTTCTGAGTCTGTGGCCCACAAATCCCTGAGAAGCCGATATAAAAAGGTTTATCCCTGGCTCCATGACTTGAACTCATTTCGATTCAAATAGATGAAAGTTATAATCCACCAGTTGGCTCCAAACACTTTTTTGAGACTTTAATACAATTTTAGACATGTAGATAAAGATGTACATTCACCTGACCTTTTCTCCATTTGACCCACTTTACTCCTAGGGAATACACGGGTAGTAAAGAAATGGGATCTGTTTTCTTTGGGATGCACAAAAAGTTCCGGTCCTGGGTAAGCAAGCAATGGCTATTTATAAATAATTTGAAGTATACCTTCAAATGGGAAGTATTATTAACTCAGGTTATAATAACAGAATAGGTATTAAGCAAATTTCTAAATCTATTGCTTGAAGCATCGAAGTTTCCGGGGGTGGGGACGGTTTGATAAATGCCAAACTGCCAAACACTGAAGGAACTGAGCTTTCCCTACTCATCGTCTAAAGGTGAGCCTGCCGCATTATCACGGATGCTGTGATGGGCAGGTGTGTTCGTAGTCCTCTGAAAATAGTGGATTTCTTACGTGTGAGGTTCCTTGGCTGTGACCAACACATGGCAGGTGCACCTTCCATCTGGCTGCTCTGTTTTGTGCAGTGAGACTTGGAAGGAGTGTGGGGGACCAAGGAGAATGAACATGCACATGAAGCCCATCCTGGCTGCTGTGCCACGAGAAAGTCCTTTGCACACGCAGTGAGCTTGTGTGACGGCTAAGAAGCCTTAAACTTAAGAAACCTCAATAAAAAAAAAATTGAAGTGCTACAAAATATGAAGTGCTACAAACAAACCGCCCTCCCTTCCAGAAAGTCATTATCATTGTACAGCAAACAAATCTATCCTCTGACCTAGAGGAAGACATTATTCCTATGTTTGCTGTGCAAACATCCTTGGAAACATACAAGATATGGTTGGATGCGGTGGCTCAGGCCTGTAATCCCAGCACTTTGGGAGGCTGAGGCGGGCAGATCACCTGAGGTCAGGAGTTCGAGACCAGCCTGGCCAATATGGCAAAACCCCATCTCTACTAAAAATACAAAAATTAGCCAGGCGTGGTGGTGGGCACCTGTAATCCCAGCTACTCCGGAGGCTGAGGCAGGAGAATCGCTTGAACCTGGGAGGTGGAGGTTGCAGTGAGCCGAGATCACCCCACTGCACTCTAGCCTGGGTGACAAAATGAGACTCTGTCTCAAAAAAAAAAGAAAAAAATTACAAGATATGCTGATACAAGAGGTGCAAAGAATGCAAGATGAGGAATTGTTAGTTCTAACAAGAATGTGATGTATAAGTTGAGTAATTTAACCAAGCCCCCATTGGTTTCTTAATCGAAGAAAGAGATTTTATTTTCCTGATCTTTTGTTCTTTTATTTATTTTTTTTAGCTGCCAATCAGATTAATCAAACATGGAAAAAAAAGATGAGGTTGCAATTGGGGGAATAGGATGCAATTTTCCAGGAGGTAAGAGTGATAAAGCAACAATAATCTTATCCTACGTAATGCCTACGTTACTAAAACAACCCTTGTGGTAAGTTGTCATTTATTTATTATTTATTTATTTATTTATTATTTATTTATTTATTTTAAGGTGGATACTCACTCTGTCACCCACACTGGAGTGCAGTGGGGCAATCTGGGCTCACTGCAACCTCTGCCTCCTGGGTTCAAGCAATTCTCCTGCCTCAGCCTCCTAAGTAGCTGCAATTATGAGGTGTCTGCCACATGCCTGACTATTTTTTGTATATTTTTTAGAGATGGGGTTTCACCATGTTGGCCAGGCTGGTCTCGAACTCCTGACCTCAGGTGATCCACCTGCCTTGGCCTCCCGAAGTGTTGGGATTACAGGTGTGAGCCACGATGCCAGGCCTGTAGAGCTCCTCTTTAGAAACTGTGTGCAGAGGGCAGGGCACAGTGGCTCATGCCTGTTATCCCAGCACTTTGCAAGGCTGAGATGAGAGGACTGCTTGAGGCCAGCCTGGGCAACATAGAGAGACCTCAACTACACCAAAAAAAAAAAAAAAAAAGCAAAAATTAGCTGGGCGAGGTGGCTTATGCCTGCAGTCCCAGCTACTCAGGAGGCTGAGGTGGGAGGATTGCTTGAGCCCAGGAGTTCAAGGCTTCAGTGAGCTATGATCACACCACCATACTTCAGTCTGAGTGACAGAGAGAGACTCTACCTCTAAAAAGTAATAAAAAAAGAAACTGTGTGTAGACATAAATTCAATTCTCAGAAACTCATGAAATTTCTGTCATTGTATTAGCGAAGTCATTCTGGTTAAAGAGTCAAACAATTCCCCTAATTTAACATACACTTTTAGTTAAAACCATGCCCTAGCTGAGGAGGCATAACTCAAGACAAGTCTCCTGTAACACAACCCCCTGGTTTATTTCAATTAGAATCTAGTGATACAAGAGGCCCTATAAAACAGGATAAATAGGAAATTCAAGTCTAGACATATTGTAATAAAACTGCAGATATCAAAGAAAAAGAGATTCTAATAATAGTGAGAGAGAAAAGACTGATCACCCACAAAGAACAATAACGATGAACTGATAGCACTTTTCTAAATGCAACAATAGAAGCCAGAAGGAAGTGGAACGATATCTTCAGAACGCTGAGAGCGAAGAATTCTCAACCTAGAAGTATTCCAGAGAGCGTACCTTCTATGAATGCAGATAAAATAAAGACAATTTGTAGATAAACAAAAACTGCAGCATTTATTACCAAGGGACTAAAGTAATGTCTAAAGAATCTATTTCAGGAAGGAGGATAAACATGCAGAGGTAGGCCGGGCACGGTGGCTCCCGCCTGTAATCGCAGCACTTTGGGAGGCCAAGGCAGGCAGATCAGGAGGTCAGAAGATCAAGACCATCCTGGCTAACACGGTGAAACCCAATCTCTACTAAAAATACAAAAAATTAGCCAGGCGTGGTGGCGGGTGCCTGTAGTCCCAGCTACTCTGGAGGCTGAGGCAGGAGAATGGTGTGAACCCGGGAGGCAGAGCTTGCAGTGAGCTGAGATTGCACCACTGCATTCCAGCCTGGGCAACAGAGCGGGACTCCATCTCAAAAAAAAAAAAAAAAATGCAGAAGTAATGTCTAGAATGTGCAAAGGAATGATGACCCAGAACATTGGTAATTATGTAGGTAAATCTAAAAGAACATTGTAAAAAATAATAATGTGATGTCTAATTTGTGGCGTTAAAAAAGGAACATGTAAAATATTGAGCAACAATAGCATGTAAGTATAGAGGGGTGGTGAGTATTTTTCAGGAAAGGGGTTAATATATTCAATTTAGGTCTTATTAACTCAGGTATTCAGGGTATCATTTTAGGATAATTGCTAAAAGAGTAGAATAGAGTATGTAACATTCATACCAATAGAAATATAAAAATGGTTTGAGAAAATATTAAGGAAGCATCAATGAATCCTAGAAGCAGGTGAGAAAATGAAAAAGAAAAAAGAACAAAGCCAGGCACAGTGGCTCACGCCTGTAATTCCAGCACTTTGGGAGGCCGAGGTGGGTGGATCACCTGAGGTCAAGAGTTCGAGACCAGCCTGGCCAACATGGCGAAACCCCGTCTCTACTAAAAAAAATACAAAAATTAGCCAGGCGTGGTGGTGTGTGCCTGCAGTCCCAGCTACTCAGGAGGCTAAGGCAGCAGAATCACTTGAACCCAGGAGGCAGAGGCTGCAGTGAGCCAAAATTGCACCACTGCACTCCAGCCTAGTTGACAGAAAGAGACTCTGCCTCACAAAAAAAAAAAAAAAAAAAAGGACAAATAAAAAACAAAAGTAAAATATTGGAAACATCTCAATATATTAATAATTACAATAAATTGAATGGGCTACAGTTGCCATTTTAAAAAGAGATTATCAGGTTAAATTATAAAACAAAATCAGCCTCTTATGCCATAAGGAGATACACCTGAACCAGAAAAACAGAAAGATTAAAAGTAAAAAAAAAAAGGAAAGATATATATGGCAAATAGCAAATATTAATCAAAATAACAATTATATTAAAATCAGACAACCTTTAAGAAATAAAGAAAGCATCATTAGGGAAAAAGTAGGTAACTACAATGATTGCAAAGAATTTGATTTATTAGGTAGGTAACAATCTAAACTTATATATACCTAATGAAATAGACTCAAAATGGATAAAGCAAGCATTTATAGAGTTTTGTAAAGAAAGTGACAAATTAATTCATAGAATTTTAATACACTTTTCTCAATTATTAATAACTAAAGGAAATTTTTTAAAATGCAAAAAAGTAGATATAGGCAATCTGAACAACATAATGAACACATTTGTTTTAACAGGTATATATCGAGGCCAGAACTCAACAAGGAAAGGCTACACATTCTTGACAAGCACACAGGCAACATTTAAAAAAAATGAGGTCAGGAATCTGGATATGAGCATGGTATGGCAAGTGGTAGTTAAGAACATGGAGTCAGAAGCTAGACTTTTTGTTTGAATTCCAACTCTACTACCTACCAGCATTAAGATAGCTTGAAAAAATATTTAACCTCAGCCGGGTATGGTGGTTCAGGCCTGTAATCCCAGAACTTTGGGAGGCTGAGGCGGGCAGATCACAAGGTCAGGCGATCGAGACCATCCTGGCTAACACGGTGAAACCCCGTCTCTACTAAAAATACAAAAAATTAGCCGGGCACGGTGGCGGGCGCCTGTAGTCCCAGCTGCTCGGGAGGCTGAGGGAGGAGAATGGCGTCAACCTGGGAGGCGGAACTTGCAGTGAGCCAAGATCACACCACTGCACTCCAGCCTGGGCGACAGAGTGAGACTCTGTCTCCAAAAAAAAAAAAAAAAAAAGAATCACTTTGTCAAGTTAAAAAAAGAACAAATGGTTGGTTATAGTTGTTTTACTAAGTAAGAATCAGTATCTTGAACGAGTCTAGCAAGAAGCGGTTGTATCTCTTAATTTCTTCAAGGCTTGTTTCATGCCCATTTTTAGCTTTAGTTTTTTTTCTTCACATAAATCTTGCACATTTCTTAGTACATTTATTCCTCGGTTTTTCATTTTAGAATTTTGAGAGTATACTTCTGAATTATAATTCCTAACTTATTACCGACAGTAATTAGGAAAAGTTTTGATTTCTGTGTATTTATTTTACAACCAGAGTGAATAATTTTTTGGACTATAATTTTCTTTTTTTTTTTTTTTTTGAGACGGAGTCTCGCTCTGTCGCCCAGGCTGGAGTGCAGTGGCACGATCTCGGCTCACTGCAAGCTCCGCCTCCCGGGATCACGCCATTCTCCTGCCTCAGCCTCCCGAGTAGCTGGGACTACAGGCGCCCGCCACCACGCCTGGCTAATTTTTTGTATTTTTAGTAGAGACGGGGTTTCACCGTGTTAGCCAGGATGGTCTCGATCTCCTGACTTTGTGATCCGCCCACCTTGGCCTCCCAAAGTGCTGGGATTACAGGCGTGAGCCACTGCGCCCGGCCACTGGACTATAATTTTCTAATAGGAGAGGGAATTGACAACTTCTGGCAAGTGCTTATGGAAGGCAGAAACTGCACGGTAGAGATTTTACCAGAAAGGCTTAATATTGAAGGATGGTATGATGCAGATGACACCAAGCCAGGTAAAAGCTGGGCAGGAAGAGCTGCTTCTATTGAAAGGTAAGATTATTGCTGGAATTTCCAAAAATAGTTCATCTGGTTAGTTTATTTAAAATCCTGTTAATGAAATTCTTTATGTTTTCTTTTTTTTTTTTTTTTTTGAGACATGGTCACACTCTGTCACCTAGGCTGGAGTGCAGTGGTGTGGTCTCGGCTCACTGCAACCTCCACCTCCTGAGTTCAAGCGATTCTCCTGCCTCAGCCTGCCTGAGTAGCTGGGATTACAGGCATGTGCCACCACACCTGGCTAATTTTTGTATTTTTAGTCGAGATGGGGTTTTACCATGTTGGCCAGACTGGTCTCGAACTCCTGACCTCAGGTGATCTGCCAACCTCAGCCTCCCAAAGTGCTGGGATTACAGGCATGAGCCACCACGCCTGGCTCTCTTTTTTTGAGACAAGGTTTCACTTTGTTGCCAAGGCTGGAGTGCAATGGAGCAATCTCGGCTCACTGTAACCTCTGCCTCCTGGGTTCAAGTGATTCTCCTGCCTTAGCCTCCTGAGTAGCTGAGACGAGAGGTGCACACCACCAAGCTCGGCTAATTTTGTATTTTTAGTAGAGACAGGGTTTGGCCATGATGGCCAGGTTGGTCTCAAACTCCTGAGCTCAAGTGATATCCACCTTGGCCTCCCAAAGTGCTGGGATTACAGGTGTGAGCCACTGCACCCAGCCAGTGAAATTCTTTAGTGATTTATTGGTAGGGCACTTTAACTTTTTAATTTCTTCTCAACATGCTATTTCTTTACATTTTCCACCCAAGTCTGTTCCCCACTCCTGTATCTATCCTGGGTAGACCTAAAATTGCCCTATTACAAAGTCTCTCTTGCCTTCATTTGTCTTATATTTTTTGTAGTCATCCAAACTAGAAACCTAAATAATCATGTCCCCTTACTTCCTCTTTCCTCAACCTGCAACTCCTGTTTTTACTGTCTTTCTTATATTTCTTAGTAAGCAAATGTGCTGGCTCCGTATTTGATTGAAACTGATATAAACGGGCGAGAGTGTATACGGAAATTCCTTGAACCTTTTAATCTAATACTTGATCCAGTAATTCCATTTGAACTATACCCAGTATTGTTGGTAAGACAGAAGAGAGCAGGAGTGGGCCTATATTATTTCATTCTTGCATTGCTATAAGGAAATACCTGAGACTGGGTAATTCCTAAAAGAGGTTTAATCGGCTCATGGTTCTGCAGGCTGTATGGGAAGTATAGTAGCATTGGCTTCTGGGGGACCTCACGAAGCTTCCAATCATAGTGGAAGGCAAAGGGGGAGCAGGCACCTCACATGGGGAAAGCAGTATTGAGAGACAGCATGAGGTGCCACATATTTTCAAACAGCTAGATCTCACAAGAAGTCACTCACTAGCTAGATCTCACAAGAAGACACTCACTATCTAGATCTCACGAGAAAACACTCACTATGGTGAAGACAGCATCAAGAGGGTGATGCTAAACCACTCATGAGAATTCCACCCCCATGATCCAATCACCTTTCGCCAGGCCCCACCTCCAATACTGAAGATTATAATTCAAGATGTGATTTGGGTGGGACACATATCCAAACTCTATCAGGGCCCCAAAGAAATCACCTAGTTTATGATGTACTTTACAATTATCTAGTATTAAACAAAATAACAGCTAACAGAAACTAGGGCCGGGCGAAGTGGCTCACACCTGTAATCCCAGCACTTTGGGCGGCTGAGGCAGGAGGATCACTTGAGGTCAGGAGTTTGAGACCAGCCTGGCCAACATGACAAAACTAAAATACAAAATTAGCTGGGCATGGTGGCACGCACCTGTAATCCCAGCTACTCAGGAGGCTGAGGCAGGAAGATCGCTTGAACCTGGGAGGCAGAGGTTGCAGTGAGCCGAGATCGCATCACGGCACACCAGCCTGGTCCCACCTAGGCAACAGAGCGAGACTCCATCTCAAAAAAATAAAAATTAAAAAAAAAAAAAAAACAGAAAGTAAAAGGTAACAGAAACTAATGATTACATGAGATGAGCCAACATAATCTGAAAGTTTGGCAACCACATTTTACAGAAGAAAAAAAATGCATAAATACTAATCTAAGTAGGTATTCTTCAGAGGCCATTTAATGCCATTTTGTTCTTTGTAGATTGAATGAATTTGACAATAACTTGTTTGGAATTAGTGACTTGGAAGCTGAATGTCTGGATCCTCAGCAGAAATTGCTTCTGGAATGCACCTATGGAGCCCTGGAGAGTGCTGGAGTCCCTGCCAAGGAGGTGGCTGGTTCCAGGACAGGAGTCTTCATTGGTGAGAGAGCAATGAACAGAAACCAAAAACCATCAAACAACAATTCTCAGGCCAGCTTTGCTATGGTTTTGATGTGTGTGGCTGGTTTCAATTATGATCACTGAGTATTTGCCTCCTCTCCAGCCTTGCCACAAAAACATTTCTCTTTCTAAAACCGTGTAGTTATCACTCATATTTCTCTTCTCAGTATTCCCCAGGGTTTCCAGGAAGACCAGTAAAACCTCTATACACAGAGATATTTCCTGACAGCCTGGAATGAGTGTCAATGACTATAGGTCCATAGGAGCCACACATCAGACAACTTGATAGATTGCAGAGATCCGGGCACTTCATTGACCCTAGTGGATCAGTGTAGACCGCAATGACTCAAGGAGTATATATTAGGAAAATATATTGACTCAAGGAGTATATATTAGGCTAACTTTGAGCTTCTGAATTCCAGAGTCTAAACGGGATCTGGATCCCTAAGGAACTTCTTGGAGCCAATTGAAATCTGAGATTTCCTACTCCCAGATGTCTTTTGAAATTAACTTCGGATCCAGGGCAGGTACCCTCTAGGTAATGGGCACTTAAATTTGCAGACCTATCTTGTTCTCAACCTTTATTCTAAGCCTCAAATAAGGCACTGGTGAAATTTAATTTTTGTTAATAAAAGTAATAATGTATTACAGCAATAGTTGTTTTATAATAAAAAGCAACTTAGGGTGGAATGCCACTAGCTAAATTCTACTAACTAAAGCTTACCAAGCTTCTCAATTTAAGGCTGCCCTAAGTATTTTCTCCTTATCAAGTTACCAAGAAACTCATCAAAGTCAGCCTCCACGTTTCCTCAACTAAGTCTTTCTTTCTTCATATTTTCCACTGTGTCTAGACAATTCAACTGAAACTGTCTTGGTATTAAACCATGATTAGAATATGAAGGCTTATGTGGTTCATGTGTGTTGGGGCTAATTTGTCCGTACCTACTGAAGATTTATACCTGGGAGAATCACAGCGAGGTTACCATGAAGTTACATGGAGGGAGATGATTTTTATATGAGTGACAAGTAGCACATTCAGGGTGAGCACAGGGGCTGTGGAATCCACAGGGAAGAGAGTGCCAACCTCAGTCTTGGTGAGTGAGGGCAGGCTGCACAGGAAGAAGTAACATCAAAGCTGAAACCTAAAGGATGCCCAGAAGTGACCCAATAAGTGGGGAGAGAATGAAAGGAAGAGCATCCAGAAATAGGGAATTTTAAGAATAGTCTTTCCAGAGGTGAGGAGGTAAAAAAACCCAGGTTGAGTTCCTGGAATGGAAAGTTTGGTATGGCCAGTCCTAGAGTACAATATCTCTTGAGGAAACAAGTCTGGAGAGGTTGGTGGTGGAAAACTTGGAGACCTATAAAGGAGTTGGACTTTCTTGAGGACCGTGGGAAGACACTGAAGTGTTGGAAAGCAGGAGAAAAGCGTGACCCAGAGGAGATCATGATTGGATTTCTATTCTTCAAAGATCACACTGGCCACAGAGTCGAATGCGGATTGAGGGGTTGCAGGGAGGGGGCAAGGCTGGAGGCAGAAACATCAAGTTGGAGACTAATTTAGTAATTCAGGGAAGAGAGGATGCTGTCCAGAAGTAAGGTAGAAGAGTCTGCAGATTTAAGAGAAATTTATAAAGGCCCAATGGACAGTACATGGTAAATGATTAGATGTAGGTTATTAAGAGTAGAAAGGAGTCCAGGATTCCACTGAGGTTTGTGGCTTGGTGGAAGCACTCACAATATAGGTAGGATGTACAAGTTTGGGTTTGAGGAAGTGGAAAGAAGTTGAATTCTGTTTTGAATCCGTTGAGTCTGAGATTCTTGTGGATCAACCTTGGTAAGGTGGTTGAATCTTAGGTGTCTGTAGACCATTGGAGGAGAGATGTGGAGTATGATTTAGAAACATGTTTTTGGAATGTAGGAGAGATTGGGCTAGAGAGATAATTGAGTGTCATCAGAACTAGATGGTAACTGAAGCCGTGGGAATGAATGAGATTTCCCAGGTAGAGGCAGAAAGGAAGAAAAAAAGATTGTGGTCTGAAGTGATGTGACAGCTCAGCCTTTAAGGGAAGTGAATATATTTCAGTGTGCTGAATCTGAAGCATTTAACTAGCATCCTGGCTCATCTCTTTTATAAAATTAAATGACCTTAAATGACTTTCTTTAGCTTTTCTGGGCTTCAATTTACATGGGTTCTAAGATTATGCTAAAAATATCTATCTATCTGTCCTTTAGCTATGGGAGGATGTGAACTCGGATGGTGAAATGTCTACGAAAGCATTTTGCAAAACTGACAAGTGCTTTTAGAGATGGCAAATGTTATTTTGTTGTAAGAAGAATGTCTATGTTATATCACTTGTCATAAAAATATGAAATTTAACAAAAACTTACTTACTCCCAGAAGTAAAGGATACTCACACGTCATCGGGTTTTACATTCTTTTATTATGATTAGTGGTCGTGGCCAATGTAAATGAAAGAGACGAGATGGATATCTTAATATGTTTTTAAATCTACATGGTAAGTAAAAAAGCAAGAAAGCTTTTTTTTCCTTTTAGTAAGAGACTCACTGAAAATCTTTTTGATTTTTTATAGGTATTATGAATCAAGACTATGAATTTATGTCCCGTAGAACTCCAAGAATGCAAACCACCGTAATGCCACTGGATCTGCAATGAGCATAGCTGCTAACAGGATTTCTTATGTGTTTAACCTAACTGGCCCCTCTTTTGCTATAGATTCTGCATGCTCATCATCTTTTGTTGCACTGTACTACGCCTTCCTTGCAATTAAACAAGGTATGCTGAAGTTAGGTAACCAAGACATGAGGCATGATTACCAAAAAATTGAACAATTTTTTTCTTTATTTCTTCTTAAAAAAATTGGGATACATGTGCAGAACGTGCAAGTTTGTTACATAGGTATACGTGTGCCATGGTGGTTTGCTGCACCTATTGACCCATCCTCTAAGTTCCCTCCCCTCACCCCCTACCTGTCAACAGGCCCTGGTGTGTGTTGTTTCCCTCCCTGTATCCATGTGTTCTCAATGTTCAACTCCCACTTATAAGTGAGAACATGCAGTGTTTGGCTTTCTGTTCCTGTGTTAGTTTGCTGAAAATAATGGCTTCCCGCTTCATCCATGTCCCTGCAAAGGACATGATCTCATTCCTTTTTATGGCTGCATAGTATTCCATGGTGTATATGTACCACATTTTCTTTATCCTTTGTAGCATTGAGGGCATTTGGGTTGGTTCCATGTCTTTGCTATTGTAAATAGTGCTGCAGTAAACATACGTGTGCATGTGTCTTTATAGTAGAATGACTTATAGCCCTTTGGATATATACCCAGAAAGGGGATTGCTGGGTCAAATGGTATTTCTGGTTCTATGTCCTTGAGGAATCGCCATACTGTTTTCCACAATGGTTGAACTAATTTACATTCCCACCAACAGTGTAAAAGTTTTCCTGTTTCTCCACAGCCTCACCAGCATCTATTGTTTCCTGACTTTTAATAATCACCATTCTGACTGGCATGAGATGGTATCTCATTGTGATTTGGATTTGGATTTCTCTGATGGTCAGTGATGTTGAGTTTTTTTTTCATATGTTTCTTGGCTGCATAAATATCTTCTTTTAAGAATTGTCTGTTCATATCCTTTGCCCACTTTTTGATGAGGTTGTTTGTCTTTTCCTTGTAAATATGTTTAAGTTCCTTGTAAATTCTGGATATTAGACCTTTGTCAGATGGGTAGATTACAAAAATTTTCTCCCATTCTGTAGGTTGCCTGTTCACTTTGATGATAGTTTCTTTTGCTGTGCAGAAGCTCTTTAGTTTAATTAGGTCCCATTTGTCAATTTTGGCTTTTGTTGCCATTGCTTTGGGCATTTTTGTCATGAATTTTTGCCCATGCCTATGTCCTGAATGGTATTGCCTAGGTTTTCTTCTAGGGTTTCCATGGTTTTGGGTTTTACATTTAAGTCTTTAATCCATCTTGAGTTAATTTTTGTATAAGGTGTAAGGAAGGGGTCCAGTTTCTGTTTTCTGCATATGGCTAGCCAGTTTTCCCAGCACCATTTATTAAATATGGAATCCTTTCCCCATTTCTTGTTTTTGTCAGGTTTGTCAAAGATCAGATAGTTGTAGATATATGGCATTATTTCTGAGGGCTCTGTTCTGTTCCATTGGTCTATATCTCTGTTTTGGTACCAGTACCATGCTGTTTTGGTTACTGTAGGCTTGTAGTATAGTTTGAAGTCAGGTAGCGTGATGCCTCCAGCTTTGTTCTTTTGGCTTAGGATTGACTTGGCAATGAGGGCTCTTTTTTGGTTCCATATGAACTTTAAATTAGTTTTTTTCCAATTCTGTGAAGAAAGTCATTGGTAGCTTGATGGGGATGGCATTGAATCTATAAATTACCTTGTCCCTGACCCAAGCTTTTCAATTGGCAAAAGACAAGGCTGTTGAAAGTATTGCACTGACAGCTGCTCTGCTGGGATTACAGGTGTGAGCCACCACGCCTGGCCCTTTTGCAAGATTCTTTAAACTAAATGAAGAAAGCTCACTATCAAAGTTTATCTCAGATTTGTATATTTGAGCTAGAGATATTAATAATATTAGAGATCTCTGGTTTAACCCATCTGTGTTATGGTGCCAAGAAATGAGTCCAGTAAGATTAAATGACTTGATTAATATCCATCCTTAAATGTCACCCCTAAATGGTGACAGAGCTAAGACCAGACTCCAAATCTCTAAATTCTCAGTTCTGTTATTTTTCCAGTCCTGTATCTCTACACTATACAACCTCAGGGGACCCCATTCACATTATATTCCATGAGAAGGGGACCCTTAGTGTTTACCTCCCAAGAGAGGTAATCTCTGATGAGATGGGAAGCCACTGTGTATATGAATCAAACACTATTTCTTCTCACTGGGTTTGCTATTTGTTGCTTGGTTGCAGGAGACTGTGAAACAGCTCTCTGTGGTGGAGTGAGCTGCATGTTAGACCCTTCGTTTAATGTCATGTTGAGCAAAGCCAAAATGATATCTCCAGATGGGATGAGTAAACTTTTCTCTAAAAGGGTAGGTGGCTATGGATGTGGAGAAGGGTGTGGTGTTGTCCTGCTGAAACCTCTAAGGAAGGTCAGTCAACTTAAAAATCAGTCTGGAGTGGTTCTCTGATCAGCTACAGGCAGCTTTCTGTACCCATGGCTTCTTCATCCATGGATTCAACTAACCTTAATGGAAAATATTTTTTACACAATACAACAGGCCAGGCATGGTGCCTCATGCCTGTAATCCCAGCCCTTTGGGAGGTTGAGGCAGGTGGACCATTTGATGTTAGGAGTTTGAGACCAGCCTGGCCAATATGATGAAACCTGTCTGTACTAAAATACAAAAATTAGCCAGTGTGGTGGTGCGCCTGTAATCCCAGCTACACTTGGGAGGCTGAGGCAAGAGAATCTCTTGAGCCTGCAAGACAGAGGTTGCAGTAAGCCGAGAACGCATCACTGCACTCCAGCCTGGGTGTCTCAAAAAGATCCTGTCTCAAAAAAAAAAAAAAAAAAAAAAAAAACCAACCAACCATCCAAACAAACAAACAAAAACCAATAAAAATAACACAAACAAAACCAATAGAGTTTAACAACTGTTAAACTACAAGGTAACTACAATGTAAATACATTGTATTAGGTATTATAAGTAATATAGAGATGATTGAAAGTATTTGAAAGGGTGTGTGTAGGTTATATGCAAACACTATGCCCTGTTATATTAGGGACTTGAACTGAGACCGCTATACCCTGTTATATCAGGGACCGCGGATTTTGGTATCCTGGGATTCCTGGAACCAATCCCCTGTGGATCCTGGGGAATGAATGGACTGGTTGCAGGGCAGTGCACTAACTTAATCAAGATCCTGTACTTACTCTGCACAGCCTTGCTATTCAATGTGCTATCCAGGAATGGGCAGCATGGTAGCATCATCAGCTTCACTAGGTGTTCGTCAGAATACAGAGTCTCAGGTGCTCCCCCAGACACTGCATTTTACAAGACTGTGCCAGAGCAGATTCACATTTACAGTCTGGTAGGGGGAGCATTCAAGGAAATTTGTGGCTCTAGTACAGTGTGGCAAATTCAAGGTTAGACCTGGAGTGTTGCCTAGGTCAGTTTGCAGGAATTGAGTTTTTCAGGTTAAGTAAAATTTGGAGAAGCAATAGATTGTGGGTGATGTGAAAAGAATAAAGGCTTATTAGGAAATGGAACAACATGCACAAAGACAGGCATCCTGAGACAGAATGAGGCAAAGTGGGGAGGAGAGGTGGCCGTTGGAGTAAAGAACCATCTGGAAATGAGCTGATTATAATCATTATTCTGAACTCTGTCACCTTTTTCCTTTGTGATCTTGGACAAACAACTTAACCTTTCTATGCCTCAGTTTTGTGCTCAGTAAAATGGGGATGACAATAATAGTGTATACCGAGTAGGGTTGCAGCAAGAGTTAAATAAGTTAATACTGAAAGGTGCCTAGAAAAGTGCCCAGAATGTAGTAAGCATGATATATGAGCTGTTGTTGCTGTTATTATTGCTATTAAAGACCGAGTGCATGGAACACAGATGCAAACCTCCTCCCTAACTTCTCCCATATCTTCCTCATGTAAACTGCTCCAGCCAAGCGATTTATCTGTTGTTGTTGTTCCATACACAGCTTTTTTGTTTGTTTTGTTTTTTTAGAGACAGGATTTTGCTCTGTCACTCAGGCTGGAGTGCAGTGGCATGATCACAGCTCACTGCAACCTTGAACTCCTGGCCTCAAGCAATGCTCCTGCCTCAGCCTCCTAAGTACCTGGGACTATGGTTGTGTGCCACCATGCCTGGCTAATATTTATTTATTAATTGATTGATTTAAGACAGTTTCACTCCTGTCGCCCAGGCTAGAGTGCAATGGCGTGATCTCGGCTCACTGCAACCTCTGCCTCCCGGGTTCAAGTGATTCTCCTGCCTCAGCCTACCGAGTAGCTGGGATTACAGGCACCCGCCACCACGCCTGGCTAATTTTTGTATTTTTAGTAGAGACAGGGTTTCACCATGTTGGCCCCGCTGGTCTTGAACTCCTGACCTCAGGTGATCTGCCCGCCTCAGCCTCCCAACGTGCTGGAATTACAGGCGTGGGCTGTACCTGGCCGCGTGGCTAATTAAAAATTTTATTTTTTGTAGAGATGGGCATCTCACTATGTTGCCCAGACTGATCTCAAGCTCCTGGGCTCAAGAGATCCTCCCGTCTCAGCCTCCCAAAGAGCTGGGATTACAGGTATGAGCCACCACCCCTGGCCCAAACATGTCTTTTAATTCCAGGGTCTGAGCCTTTGACTGGGCCATCCCCTCTGTCTGGAAAGCCCTTGTCTATCCACCATATCACAAGTGCCCAAATCTTCTGTTGGGATCCAAGTTAGTCCTCAAAACTCTTCAATGAAGCCCTTCCCACTTTCCCCCTCAGAATGTGTTTTCCTTCCTCTAAAATCCCGTGGTTCTTGTTATACACATATATTTTGTTGTCACTTTAATATATATTGGCAATTCTTCACCAGCATGTATTTGAACATAGGCCTTCCAGTTCCAGAGACTGTGTGCTTAACTGCTGGGTCCTGCTGCACACCTAGAGATAACAATGGTTATGGAGTTGTTTCCACCTACCAGGTGCTGCTTGAAGCATTTTGCATGGAGTAACTAATTTAATCCCTAGACCCTCTGAGATAGGTATGTTAATAGTCCCCATTTTATTATTATTATTATTTTTATTGTAGAGACAAGGTTTCACTATATTGCCCAGGCTGTTCTTGAACTCCTGGGCTCAAGCAATCCTCCTGCTTTGGCATCCCAAAGTTTTGGGATTACAGCATGTGCCGCCACACCTGGCCAATACTCCCCAGTTTATACACGAAGAAGGTAAAACACAGAGCAATTAAGTAACTCACCCAGGATGGTCCCATTGAGCAAGTGGCTGAGCTGGGATTCAAGCCCAGCGAGTCCTGTCACATAGGATCCCACGCTTATATCTCACTTTGCTCTATGGAAGTCATGCTTACTTTTGGGAAAATTGCCTTTGATTCAAAGTTGGGGACAGAATTTTATTTTATTCTATTTTAAGTTTTTATTTTTATGCATAGAATAGTTGGGACAAATAAACCAAATTTTAAGTATTATATTTCTTTTTGATTGAAGATCTTGCATGTTGAAAGTCTTCTTAGGATTTTTTTTTTTTTTTTAGATGGATTCTCGCTTTGTTGCCAGGCTGGAGTGCAGTGGTATGATCTCGGCTCACTGCAACCTCCGCCTCCCAGGTTCAAGCGATTCTCCTGCCTCAGCCTCCTGAGTAGCTGGGATTACAGGCATGCACCACCACACCTAGCTAATTTTTGTATTTTTTGTAGAGACAGGGTTTCACCATGTTGGCCAGGATGGTGTGGATCTCCTGACCTTGTGATCTGCCCGTCTCAGCCTCCCAAAGGGCTGGGATTACAGGCATGAGCCACTGTGCCCAGCCAGAAATTTTATACTTAATTTAAAGCCCTAGCAAAGAGGATGAAAGTCATAGGATTGAGGCTACCCCCCACTGTTGTTCCTGTCTGCAGGAAGGGTAACTTCAGAATTCCTTTCCACATGGAATCAATCCCACAAGCCTTGTATTCACAGAATCTGCCAAGTGTTACTCAAGTGAATGTTATCTCTACATATTTGAGATTTCAAGTAAATATAGGATAGTATTTATAAGATGGAAAGAGAAAAATAGAAAACAGTTCTCTCCTTTAAAAGATTATCAAAAGAGTAATAAATTAGCATATTTCAGTTACCAACATGTTGTAATGAACAGCCGCAAGTCTAGTAGTTTAAAACAATGACTATTTCATCATATGTCAGGATTTAGTGAGCCAGAAATTTGGGCAGAGCCTGGCTGGGTGAGTCTTCTGTTCTGTGGTCATATGGACTGGGTGTCGGGTGGTGTTCAGCTGGCAGCTAGGCTGGTCTGGAGGAGCCAAGATGCTTCTTATGAGCCTGGTGCCTTCACAGAACACCTGGAAGGCTGCGCTCAGCTGGGGCCGTCTATTTTTCATGGAGTCTCAGAGCCTCTCCACGTGGCCCTTCGGCAGGGTAAGCTAATGCTTCGCTCAGGGCCCCAAGAAGCCAAGGCAAAAGCTGCCGGTTCTCTTAAAAGCTAGGCTCCCAGAGCTGGCACAGGGTCATTTCTGCCACCTTCTTTTGCTTCAGGCAATCACGGGCTAGCCTAGATTCAATGGAAGGGAAAATAGACACTACCCCCCCTTTTTTTTTTTGGAGACAAGGTCTTGCTCTGTCCCCCAGGCTAGAGTGCAATGGTGCTGTCGCCTCCAACTCATGGGCTCAAGTGATTCTCGTGTCTCAGCTTCTTGAGTAGCTGAAACCACAGGCGTGTGCTTCCACTTCCAGCTAACTCTTTTTTTTCATTTTGTAGAGACGAGGTCTCACTATGCTGCATAGGCTGACACCACCTCTTGATGGGAGAGGTGTCAAATAATTTGTGGTCATCTTTAATCAGCCATAAAACATATACGCATCAATTAAGTCTTTACTAAGTTATAAGTTAACTATTAAATTGGAAGCATAGGACTGCAGCTTCCTTTGTCCACAAACGTTTGTCAGGAGGAACCTCAACAGTGCATTCAAAGTCAGGCCCAGTGGCTCATGCCTGTAATCCTAGCACTTTGGGAAGCTGAGGAGGACAGATCTCTTGAGGTCAGGAGTTCGAGACTAGCCTGGCCAGCCTGGTGAAACCCCGTCTCTACTAAAAAAAAAAAAAAAAAGTGCATTCGAATTATGTGGTTACTACTGTTCCATAAAACGGAAGCTTTCCTAAACAAATAATTTATATTGCTTTCTCTCTTCATAGTTATAGCCCAATTAGCTTACTTTCTCTACCAGCTGATGTTCTACTTATCTACTTATGTAGAAAGTCAAATCACAAAGTTTTCTCATAATCAAGGACTTCTGATTCTGCCATTTCCCCATCCTAAGATGAGCTCTCCTGAATCTGGGTTCACATGGCTTTTCTTGTACAAATAATTCCTTTTGATATTGTCATTTTGTGAGTATATAACCTCCACTTTCACTACGTTCATTTCGCCTCTCCAAGTAGTTTCTTTTTCTTTCTTTCTTTTTTTTTTTTTTTGAGACACAATCTCACTCTGTCACCGAGGCTGGAGAGCAGTGGCGTGACCTCGGCTCACTGCAACCTCCGCCTCCAGGTTCAAGTGATTCTCATGCCTCAGCCTCCCAAGTAGCTGGGACTATAGGTGCCTGCCACCACACCTGGCTAATTTTTGTATTTTTAGTAGTTTCAACACTCCTCAAAAGAAGACATATGCAGCCAACAAACATGAAAAAGAGCTCAACATCACTGATCATTAGAGAAATGCAAATCAAAACCACAAAGAGATACCATCTCATGCCAATCAGAATGCCTATTACTAAACACTCAAAAAACAACAGATGCTGGAGAAAAAGGAACACTTTTACACTGCTGGTGAAAGTGTCAATACTTCAACTATTGTGGAAGGCAGTGTGGTGATTCCTCAAAGAACCAGAGGTAGAAATACCTTTTGATCCAGCAATCCCATTACTGGGTATATACCCAGAAGGATATAAATCATTCTGTTGTAAAGAGACATAGACGTGTATGTTCATTGCAGCACTGTTTACAATAGAGAGTCATGGAATCAACTGAAATACCCATCAATGATAGACTGAATAAAGAAAATGTGGTATACACACCATGCAATACTGTGCAGCCATAAAAAGGAATAAGATCATGTCCTTTGCAGGGACATGGATGGAGTTGGAAGCCATTATCTTCAGCAAACTAACACAGGAACAGAAAACCAAAGACCGCACCTTCTCAGTTATAAGATGGAGCTAGTCTGAGAACATATGGACATGCCAGGGGGAACACATGGGCACACTGGGGGGAACAACACACACTGGGCACCTGTAGGGGGTTAAGGGGAGGGAGAGCATCAGCAAGAATAGCTAATGGATGTTGGGCTTAATAACTGGGTGATCGGGGCTGAACACGGTGGCTCATGCCTGTAACCCTAGCAGTTTGGGAGGCCAAGGCAGGCAGATCACTTGAGGTCAGGAGTTCGAAACCAGGCTAGCCAACATGGTGAAACCCAGTCTCTACTAAAAATACAAAAAGAATTAGCTGGGTATGCTGGCACGCACCTATAATCCCACCTACTTGAGAGGCTGAGACAGGAGAATCACTTGAACCCAGGAGGCAGAGTTTGCAGTGAGCTGAGATGGTGCCACTGGACTCCAGCCTTGGCGACAGAGCAACACTCTGTCTCAAAAATAAATATATATATATATATATAAAACTGGGTGATGGGATGATCTGTGCAGTAAACCACCATGGCACACATTTACCTATGTAGCAAACCTACACATCCTGCACCGGTACCCCTGAACTTAAAAGATGAAAAGAAAAAGAAATTGGTGTTCAAGTTTGTCACAGGTGACCCTTAAAAGTCCTCCTAATGGCTTGTATTACTTTGCCTCTTAGCCTACAGGACTTTGAAGAAGAAAGGAAATAACTAACCCAGCAAACCAGAACCTGATGTTACAATAATTGTAATAGTTAACATGTTAAGCACTTTTCATATATTTCCTAATCTAATCCTACACCAACCCTATGATACTTTACTATTTGTCTTAAAAATTGTTCCTGAGCAAACCAGCCTCAACCAAAAAGCCCCCAAACGACCAGAGAGTGTTAATCTTATCTAGCTTACAGGAAAGTCACAGAAATTTCAATGATTGGTCCAATGTTCCGTTTCTTTTTTTAATTAGTCAGATACCATACCCTGAACTTGTTTCAACATCTTGCTTTATTTCCAGAATGTGCCTTAATTGCTTCCTGATTTCTGCAGCCCATATAACACCTACAAGGAATCTTGATTTACTCCTACTGTAGTAGTTGTACAACTTTGTTCTATGGCTATCTTGATATAATTATAATCTATTCGTCTTTCTTTTTGTCTGTTTTATTCATTTATTTTTTGAGACAGGGTCTCACTCTGTCACCCAGGCTGTAGTGTGGTGGCCCAACTTTGGCTCACTGCAACCTCTGCCTCCGAGGTTCAAGAGATCCTCCTGCTTTAGCCACCCAAATGGCTGGGACCACAGGCACACATCACTATGCCTGGCTAATTTTTGTACAGCCATGTTGCCCAGGCTGGTCTTGAACTCCTAGTCTCAAGCTATCTGCCTGCCTCTGCCTCACAAAATGCTGGGATTATAGGCGTGAGCCACCGCACCTGGCTTATTTGTCCTTTTATACTGACATGTTGTACTGCTTCATTTTGCCAAAATCTCTTGCCAAAAGTGCACTGAATGAGTTCTCTAGCAATAACCCACAGAAATTTTCTGTTTTTGCTGCTCCAGTATTCTCAATGTCATTCAAAGTATTAGGTTCTAGCTTTAGCACAGCAAGAAATCACATCAGCTAATCTATAAACATCTTCTGATGACATATTCCTTTAGACACACCTTGTTGAACTCCCAATGCACTATTTTAAAAACTAATGCAAAATAATTTCTTTAGTAGGACAGCATTTCCATCAAATAATTCTATTTGCATAAGGGAAATGGTACTGTTGCTACTCTTACCTGGTGGCCTCCATATCGGTGAGCCAGTGGAATGGATCTTGGTAAAGGGACCTTGATAAATCAAGGTCCAAAATATCTTCTAGAACTTCCTGAGGCAGGAAAAACAAATTTACAAACCTAAGTCTTCTTTCAGTACTTTTTTTTTTTTGAGACACAAGCTCACTCAGTCACCCAGGCTGGAGTGCAGAGGCACAATCATGGCTCACTGCAGCCTTAACCTTCTGGGCTCAAGTGATCCTCCTACTTTGGCCTCCCAAAGTGCTACGATTACAGAAGTGAGCTACTGTGCCTGGCCTAATAATTTTTAAAAATAGAGACTTAATGGAAGAAAATTCAAAGAATAAACCTCTTCTGAAAATATATTATTAATATTTTTTCATAAGAGATGTACCATACTTTCTATGTTTATGCTATTTGGGAAAAATTAGTTCTTATTAGATGGTTCAGAAATTTTTATGGCTTTCTTATGACATATGGTAAAACAATGTTTTTCCTAGCACAAATTCATTTAAGGAAATAGAAAAAAGTAAATATCCTATTTTTAGCCCAAATTCATTTATATCATGAGAGAACAATTTAGAATTTATTGTTCTAAACCATTAGATAAAGGATATGTAAGATAACAATTTAACTCATTTTCTTCTTTTTCACAAAAGCATATTTTCCTTGTAAGACCACTTTAAGATGAAACTGAGTAAGTATCAAAGTGTGATTTCTAAGAATGACATCTCTAAATATTTGAATTTTAAACACAGATAGTCATTTATAATTAGACTAATAATATTAACTTTAAAAAATTATTTTAAACAAATATTTTAGTGAGTTAAGTATTTGTGTTATGAAAAAATATTGCCTAACCTTTGAAACTGCTACAAGACGTACTCTTGATTTGAAAGGAGTTGGGAAGGAGATTGAAAAAAATACAGTTTCCACTTTATGAACATAATTTTCTTCCACAGGATCAACAGGAACCACAGCTGATAAAATAAAACAGCCTTCTTAATGTTCTCACTTGTTGCATACACAGGACTAATATCCCTTAGAAAGTGTATGGTTCTTCAAGAAACTCAAGTCACTATTTTCTTTATGCTTTGTTATTTAAAGGCTACTTTGCCATTTCAACACGATCTAGCCAACATTCATTTAGGACAGTACATGGAACTGTTCAAGAGGCTAGGAAATGGAAAAAGTTTAATACAGGAAGACACATACCCTGTCTTCAAAGATCTTCTCACTCATGGAAGGCAAATTGGATTGGAACATATTTATACACATATATATATATACACACACATATATACACATATATGTACATATATACATACACACATATATATATATTTTTTTTTTTGAGATGGAGTTTCTCTCTTGTTGCACAGGCTAGAGTGCAATGGTGCGATCTCGGCTCACTGCAACCTCCGCCTCCTAGGTTCAAGCCATTATCCTGCCTCAGCCTCCCAAGTAGCTGGGATTACAGGCATGTGCCACCACGACCGGCTAATTTTGTACTTTTAGTAGAGATGGGGTTTCACCATGTTGGTCAGGCTGGTCTCAAACTCCTGACCTCAGGTGATCTGCTCACCTCGGCCTCCCAAAGTGCTGGGATTATGGGCATGAGCTACTGCGCCCAACCCCAAAATATATATTTTTAAATGGAGGTGAGCTGCATTATAGAATTACAAGTATAGTACTAGTTAATTCAATGGAACCAAAATCCATCAGGCACACAATCACATGCATTCTGCCCTTTGGAAACACAATTAGCTAAAGGAAACAGATGGACAAGAGACATAAATAACTTTAAGACCAGGCAATACATGGCTTACTAGATGCACAAAACTGCTATAGATCCCGCATTTGATAGCTGCCCGCCCACAAAGCTAAAAGTTTAGAAATTGCCTCTGCAGAGACAAACTATGTTTCATAAAGTCCATACACTAAAACACATGTACCATATTTTAAAAGCTGTAGAGGAAAAGAAAGCTTTGAACATGCTTTAGATTCTCAGAACATATCTACTCTTATTTTATAAACAATACCTAAACTCGTAATCTGTTTTTCCAATCCAAAGCAATTAAAACAAAAACAAATAGAAGAGAGTAGGTGTATTAATACAACTATAAGACTAAGGGACAAGAAAACCTGTTTCTGGATACAGATTTATTGTCAAAGTGTATCACCAAATTATTTAATAAACATAATAGAAATCCAATTAATACGCTAGCAGGATTTTTTTTTTAAGAAATAGACAATCTTAGTGTACAAATCTGAAAAAATAAACAGGTAAGTTTTTTTAAGCAAGAGAAACAAGTTTGCTTATGTTAAAAGAATACAATAACTAAAAATATTACTGTCTTAAAAATAGATGCAAAGATCAATGGATCTCAATAAAAAGCACAGAAACAACCCAAAGCTATAAAAGAATTTCCTGTATAGTGAAAATGACATTTCAAATCACTGGAGAAAGGTAGCATTAGGACAATTTGCTCCCTGTCTGGAGTAATGCCAATTTATTCCACCCAGGCTTAAGTGAATTAAATATCAGTTACAACAGCAATTTTCTAACTTCCTGAAATGAATAATAAAAATTGGCTAATATGGGCCACATTTCACCCTTTATATGTCCACTTAAGACCATGATGTATTACAAGGTAGCATCCTGGGGGAATAACTGTGTAGTCAATCAAAAAGTGGCAGATTTTAACATTCACGCCAGAAAACCAGACAATATAAGTGAAAGAACCAACAGTGTATTTTCTTGTTTTGTAGGAGAGCCTCTGTGTGGAATTAACTAGATTATATGATTGACTCAATCTCCCTTATGATGCTCTCACATTGGTAGGGCAGGAGCAGCATATCACGTTCCATTAGTAGTTATAATTTTGTACTGCTTGATGCACGTCCCAGCAAGATAGCTGCTGGGCAATACATGTGATCACCAGCCATGGAACAAAAAAGGCTATTTCAGGCATATTAAACCCTCACCCATGTGATGCTTTAACAAGCTAATAAGTCATAGACTAAAAACCCCAGAGAAAATTCCAAAAGCATACTAACCCCTTCTCTTAAGATCTCAGGAAAATCAGTACTGGCAAAATTAAATTCTTTAGAATTCAGTGTTGCATAAGACTATGAAATTCACAAAAACTAACAACAAAAATAAAGATTAGTGAAACTAACCTTTCACTGCAAATGTTTGAACCTTTTCTCCCAATAAATGTGCTTACCAGAGTAAGATAATTTGGATAATTCATTGATCATTTATCTAGTAACATCAGGATGAGATGTTTCACACAGTACTGTAAACCAAGACACAGTAATACATAGGATTATTTATTTATTTATTTGGAGACAGTGTCCCACTCTTTCATCCACACTGGAGAGCAGTGGCACGATCGCAACTCACTGCAGCCTCGAACTCTCGAACTTCTGGGCTCAAGCAAACATCCCTGCCTCAGCCTCCTGAGTAGCTAGGGTTACAGGCACACACCACCACGCCTGGCTAATTTTATTTTTTGTAGAGACAGGGTCTTGCTTATGTTGCCTAGGCTGGTCTCGATATCCCGGCCTCAAATGAACCTCCCACCTCAGCCTCCCAAATTGCTGGGATTACAGGCATGACCCACTCTGTCTGGCCTGGTATTATATTTACAATCTCTTTGGCTATAAAACCTGGTCTTATTGTAGATATTATGTTTTAAACAGTATAATCAATATTATGTTTTAAACGGTATAATCAATATTGGAAGAAAATGTCTTCGAGGGTAGCTAACACTCTGACATCAATACAACAGCCTTGGTCACTTTCAGTTACACATAGGCCATTTTGATCCATCTGTATTGGCTCTTTTCGTTTGTCTAAGGGCAGCAAAATAGACCAAAGATGTCTTCAGACTGCACAAGAGAAGTCTGTTCTTTAGCAGTTACCAGCATAACTCAGATAATGTTTTTAACTTCCTCAACTCATGCTTGGCCTAGTTGGGTCAAAAGAACTACTTGTGAATGCCGTATGTCCAATTGGTAGGTTACTGTTTTTTCTCAAGAGTTTAGCTATACAGTAATGTTGGAAGTCTTGAGGAACTTCATCTGCTGTCCCTACTTAGCCTTGCAATACTACAGCATCTTTGTTTTATTTTATTATTATTTTTTAAGAGAGAGTCTCGCTTTGTCGCCTATGCTGGTGTGCAGTGGCGCAAGCTTGGCTATTGTTCAATCAGTATCAGTTTTATTGGAAAATCTCATAGAAGAAAAAAACAAATAATTATTTCAATAAATGTCAAAAAGGCTCTTGATGAAATTCAACATCAAGGTGCCCAAAACCTTGATAAAAGGTGCCCAAAACCTACAGCAAAGGGCATATTTAACAATAAAGCATGAACAGAAATGTCATTTGCATTCATAAAACCCAGGATTTGTTTTAATCAGTAATGGCAAGACACACAAACACAGAAATGACTGTCATGAGGGAAGTAGTTTATTTTTCTACTCACAGTTCCCTAGAAGCTGTGGGCACAGCACACCACAAGCAGAAGGACAGGGAAACATCAAGGTCAGTCAGGAGGCAGCGTCAATGGGGGAAAACGTGGGAAAGAGGCTTTATTGCAGTTCCATGGGACGGGACAAGCAAGTCAGGTCAATCAGGCTTAGCATTGGCTAGTTTGAATAATTTCATTGGCTCCTGGAAAGAAGAGGCTGCTATCTGGCCCTGAAGAAATTAGGGAAGTAGAATAGTGGCCAGAATTGTGAGAGTGATAAGGAACATTAAGACTGCAAAAGAGATAAACAGAGATAAAGAAGAATAAAGAGTGATGAAGAGATGAGAAAGAAGGGGGTATAAACTCTGGGTTGGTTGGGTTATAGTAGGAAAGTCATGCATGCAGGCAAGTTGTTTATTACATCCAGCAATTAGCTTATCCTGAGAGGGGCAGTCCCTCCAGGGTCAACAAGGCCCAAATGTCAAAGCATCAAATTTAGAAAATAAGAGATATGACTAATACACCGTTAAAGTCAGTATTATAATTAATATTATTCAACATTATCCAACATTATCCTGGAGTCTCTAGCCAATGCATACAACAGCAAAACCACTAAGATAAACAAATATATGAATGGAAAAGACAGACTTTTAAATTCTCAGGCGATGTATCTACTTAAAATTTTAAAACAAAGTCAAACAATCCATTAAAAGCTATTAAGTATAGAAACTAAAAACTGTCCTGTGTACTATATATCAGTGAAGCTCATTTATAAAATGTAGTATAAAAGGTGAGTCACAAGAGCAACAAGAACTAAAATATTTTTAGAATTGCTAGAAAATTTCAAATCTATATAAGGAAAATTGTAAATATTTATTGCAGGTATAAAAGAAAACATCAGGAAAAAAAGAGGCACAGATCATCACTGCTCCACCTAATTTCAATAACCATGATTTAATTAAATAACGTAAGTACCCCAACATGGTTCCAAATTCAGTTCAACTGTGAGTGATTACACAAAGTACAAACTTTGTGTGAGCTCTTCAGTCCACAAATCACAACATAAATAACAGAAGCAATCATGATCAGTGACCCATCATTTCTTTCAAAGTATGAGGTTGTCAATCACTGCATATTTGTTACTGAGTTTATACAGAGAGCAAAGCATGTCACTGTCTTGCCTCCTTGTCTCCCAGGGAGAAGCCCACATGACATTTTACAAAAATGAATAACCAAAGAGGGAAGTGGTCAACAAACATGAAACTGCAAAAAAAAAAAAAAAAAAGAAAAAGAAAAGAAAAGAAAAAAGAAAAGGGATAATACAAAGTGAAAATCAAATGGAACATAAATGTAGTTATAGAAGAAATAGTGGCCATTCACTGAGGCAGTTGTATTCTTGGTATTTCAATTATTTTTGACAAATAAATCAATTCTGAATCAGACTGAAGCTCTATATTTACAGAAATACAGGAGGCACAGACACGTGTTGTGTTAGGTTGCTTTTCTGTTGCTATAAAGAAATACCTGAGACTGGGTCATTTATAAAGAAAAAAGGTTTAACTGGCTCACAGGTCTGCAGGCTTTACTGGAAGCATGGTGCTGGCATCTGCTCAGCTTTTGGGGAGGCCTCAGGAGGCTTCCATTCATGGGAAAAGGCAAAGTGGGAGCAGGCTTCTCACATGGAGAGACTGGGAGCAAGAGAGCAAGCAGAGGAGGTGCCACACACTTTTAAACAACAGATCTCCTGAGAACTCACTCATTATCAGTGGGACAGCACCAAGTTATGAGGAATCTGTCCCCATGACCCAAACACCTCCCACAAGACCCCACCTCCAACATTGGGGATTACACCTCAACATGAGTATATTAGTACGTTTTCACACTGCTATAAAGAAACTACCTGAGACTGGATAATTTATAAAGGAAGGTTTAATTGACTCACAGTTATGCATGGCTCTGGAGGCCTCAGGAAACTTACAATCATCACAGAGGGTGAAGGAGAAGCAAAGCACATCTTACATGGCAGCAGGAGAGAGAGAGAGCAAAGAGGAAATGCCAGACAATTATTAAACTACCATATGTCATGAGAACTCTCTCACTATCACAAGAACAGCATGGGAAAACTGCTCCCATGATCCAATCACCTCCCCACAAGTCCCTGCATCCACACATGGGGGTCATAATTCAAGATGAGATCTGGGTGGGGACATAGAGCCAAACCATATCAATGAGATTTGGAGGGGACGTCCAAACTGTATCACAGGTTCAATAAATAATACCATAGAATGCAATCAGAAAAATGCAGAATGCTGAAATACCACAGGATAAATAATCTGGTTTTTTCAATCATAACTAAAGGAACCAATAGATTGTAAGTGAAAAAAGGTGTAGGTGACATAAGTAGGTGATAAACTCAAAGATATCAAAGGAAGCTTAAGACATATTATCATCTAATTTTAATGTATACTCCTTATTCAGATCCCAATTAAAATAACTATAAGAGGCTGGGCACGGTGGGTCACACCTGTAATCCCAGCACTTTGGGAGGTCGAGGAGGGTGGATCACGAGGTCAGGAGTTCAAGGCCAGCCTGGCCACGATGGTGAAAGCCCATCTCTACTAAAAATACAAAAATTAGCCAGGCGTGGTGGCAGGCACCTGTAATCCCAGCTACTTGGGAGGCTGAGGCAGAGAATTGCTTGAACCCAGAAGGTGGAAACTGCATTAAGCCGAAATCTCGCCACTGCACTCCAGCCTGGGCGACAGAGTGAGACACTGGTCAAAAATAAATAAATTAATAAATAAATTAATTAATATAACTATAAGATAATGATGATAATTATAAGAAAATAGGAAAATCTTGAAAACTGAATAATGTGATACATTAGGAGTTACTACTAATTTGTCTCAAGGTCATATGATGTCATGGACTGTTTGTATTTTAAGTCATTAATATTTAGAGATGCAAACACAAATATTTGTAGAGGAAATGAAACAATGTCTGTATTTTCCAAAAAAATGAGGACATGTATATCATACTTCAATTAAGGCAACAATGAGGAATATGGGGGAAGGGTGTGGAGGTGTAGGTGAAGCAAAATTGGCAAGGTATTAATCACTAGTAAGCTGATTAAATGGTAAATTAGGTTCATTAAACCATTAAAATTTTCTGTACCTTAGTAAATGTTTGAAAATTCTATAATAGAATAAAAAACTCTAGGAGCATAATAAAACTAAATACCCACTGATATGCCCCAAAGTGCTGAATTTACAGTAAATACTAGATCAGTATTTAATAATGCATTTTTTTTAGATGGCGTTTCACTCTTGTTGCCCAGGCTGGAGTGCAATGGTGAGATTTCGGCTCACTGCAACCTCCGCCTCCCGGGTTCAAGCGATTCTCCTGCCTCAGCCTCCCAAGTAGCTGGGATTACAGGCAACCACCACCACGCCCAGCTAATTTTTTTGGGGGGTCTTTTTAGTAGAGAAAGGGTTTCACCATGTTGGCCAGGCTAGTCTTGAACTTCTGACCTTAGGTGATCCACCCACCTCGTCCTCCCAAAGTGCTGGGATTACAGGCGTGAGCCAGCACACTTTTGATTACAACTGTCATAAGATCTTGTAACCATTGAGAATAACTCATGTGGTTTATCAAAAACACCTTATTATTCCATTAAACCTACTGAATAGAACAAAAATGATCATAAAGATATTTCAAAGAATATGTTCCAATTTAATTGGCTCAAAATATTCACGTATATAATCATTATTACCAAATGAGGGATTGGCATCAAAATGTGGATGATCAAAAATAATTTGTTAAACAGATTATTCTATGTTGTGTATAGTGATAGAATAATTCTTTAATTATTTTTCCCGAATGAAGTCTGAGATCTTTAGCCCAAGAAGGAGTAGGTGAGTCTTAGCCTGCTTTCTTGGCTATTGAATGCTTCTCGAAAGGATGCCGAAGAACTTGCTGGAGAAGATGTACCTGGTAAATAACGTGGGCAGATAAATGTTGATTATAATTACCCAGGACCCTGATGAATTTCTACATTTCTAAAAGGCAAGGTCAATTTTAAATGTTTAAAAATGTTTCTACTTTGGGAAGCAGAAGCAGGCAGATCACTGGAGGTCAGGAGTTGAAGACCAGCCTGGCAAACATTGTGAAACCTTGTCTGTATTAAAAACGCAAAAATTAGCTGGGCATGGAGGCGTCTGCCTGGACTCCCAGCTACTTGGGAATTTGATGCAGGAGAATGGCTTGAAACTGAATGTGGAGGACGCAGTGAGCCGAGATCACGACACTATACTCCAGCCTGGGCAACAAAGCTAGATTGTCTCATATCGAACAAACAGCAATAAAAGTTCATACATTTTGTTTTATGAAAAATCTCAACTCTACTTCTTACTTAGAATTGTTATTATTGCACAGAAGTTCCTTAAGTATTATTTTTATACTAAACTAAGAGAAGGAATATGTACACTGTCACGGAGAGTACACATATATCCCATCATTTTAAGATCCCTTTACTGCATTAAGAGAATTCTAATTTTCTAACATATTTAGCAAAAAAAAGAAGGTCAATGATTTGCAATCTTTCCAAATGAAGGGCATGAATTCCAGCTCATGCCGCTTCCTCACTGAGAATTTGGCTCTATGATAATAAACTGAGGCACCAACGACACACTTCTTTCAACAATAAATCAAAGATTGAAATGTTTGTTTTCCGTGGTTTTGCTATTTCTTGGGGATTATGAAGGAAATATTTAGTTAGAATAGAGAGGGTGGATGATAATACCATGAAATTAAAGGTGAGAGATCAAGTAGAACATTTTATTGTATCACTAGTATTTTAAATATAAAGATTGCATCTTCATGAATACGGGGCTTTTGAAGCCCATCTTAGTACTTATCCCCAGGTACGTTCAATACATATCTTTTTATTGAAGTTGCTTGTATGCCTATCAGTCTCACCTACTAGTTAAATGGCTCCTCTAATTGATTCTTACATTTTTCTACCGCGTCTTGCCTTGAGTCGATTCTAAAGATATGTTTGATGAAAGAAGGTAAATACCAGTCACATGTGAACAGGGCTGCATCTAGAAAGCTGCTCTATCAACGAAATCATTTTAAAAAATGAGGTACTTAGTGTAAAAGTTTTAGGAAATTTCCCTATTATACTTACTAGTTTGAATATGTGTGCTATTTTCAAAAACATAAATTGAATATATAATTATTGAGTGCATGTGTGTGTGTGCATATACATATACATAAATATATGATACATTTATGTTAACATCACAGAGTAGACTTAACTCATGGCAAAGTTTTTTTTTTTAAGCAACTGCAGTAATCAGTCTTCTTTCCAGTTTCGAAAATCCTCACAAGCCATGGGCGAAAGAGGATCCTTTGGATGCCAGAGAGTGCACGAAGCACATTGGGTTACAGTAATTGTAAAATAATTCATAGTCATAATTCGTAATGAGGAAACCTGAAAATTGCTCGAAGCTATCAATGAATGAAAGGTGGGGCAGGGGAGCTTTGGGGGCGGAGCCTTGTCTGCCAGTGCCTGGACTCGCACATTACAAATGGAAAGGCGGCGCGTGGAGGGAACTCAAGGCCTGATTGGTTCGTCCTAAGCAGGACGCGACAGGGTTGGCAGGGCAACCGGCCTTCGGTTAGTGCCTTCAGTGGGTGCCTTCAGTTGGTGGCATTCGGTTGCCTTTCCTGGGGAGAGGTGGCAGGTGCTCTACTCTGCAGTCGTGGGGGCAAGCGAAGGCCCAAGCTGCCGGAGAAGAGCAGAGTTGCCCCATGGGGACCACGATGACTTGTCACATGTGCACCAAAGCCAGCCCCAGGCAGGGCCTGCGCAGGGCTTCTGCGGAGCCGTTCTGCGGCTCTGACATCTATGAGTGGGCAGCCAGCAAAGGCGCAGGCCCCAGCACAGAGGAGCAGAGGCGCCCGGAACACGCTGTCCCCCAATGCCAGCCCCAAGCTGGGCCAACACTGGGTGCAGTGTTGGGAGCAGTCCTGCAGCTCTGAGATCCACTAGTTGGAGGTGGGAGAAGTGCCAGATTCCACTGATTTGAAACCTGCCCAGCCTGATTCCGGAGCCGTGACTTACAGCACATTGGCTACCAGAAGACGCCCAAAGGTAGGGAGGAGACAGTTCGCTTTCCTATCCCCGGCCCCAAGCAGGAGGACTTGCTCTGACTGGATTCCCCACCCCTTCTTCTTTCCCTGTTGCATCCAGCCGGTTACTTTCCCTTGCCCTGCCCAAATGCCCACTTCGAGGCCCTCTTCTTCTTTTCCTAGGCTGGCTGAAAACTAAGTTTTCAAAATACAAAATGAAAAGTAAGATTTGATTGCTGTAGAGGAAATGTCCAACAGCTCTTGTATTTAAACTTAAGTAGCCCCATTGGGACTCCCAATTTCATATCTTGAGTTCTAGAGGTGCTCCTGCCGTATAGTTCTGAAACTTTCTGCACAAATTCAGTGGATCCTGTGTTTTTTTTTTTGTTTGTTTGTTTGTTTGTTTGTTTGTTTTACATGGAATAGCCCTTTTTTTAACTGCAGAGAAGCTAGAAAAGTCCCAGATAGCAACCTGTGGCCTAGAAAATTTTATTTCTTGATCAAAACAACTATTTATAGATGCTTGTGGTCCAAAGATGCAGATTTCTAATCATGCCCAGAAAGAAGTGATGTCCACTACAGGCAACCAGGGAGGGAGCTTAGGATTGTTTCTCTACCCATAAGAGGGTAGAGAAAGGGAATCCACATGTTTTGATCCCTCCATGTGCGGGGTATAACTGGGTGTTCCTGAATGTGCACCACCTTTGGTGTCAGAGAGAACTGGATTTGAATCCCAGTTCCATCACTCATTATGAAGTGATGGTGAATGAGTTTTTAAATCCTCTGAGCCTCAGTTTGCTCATCTCTAAAAGATGGGATTCTTATGAAGCTTGCATAAGATTAGTATGTAAAAATCTGGGAATAATGCCTGTAATTTAAAAGATGGGGTTATGATGAGGCTTCAATAAGGTAAGTGTGTAAAAACCTGGACACAATGCCTTTAATTTGGTAATCGTTCAATATATGGAGAAGAAGGATTATTTTTCTCTCCTTTAATTTTTAGAACAAGTCCATACAATTGGCATTATTCATATTTTTAAGATAATCAAAGGGTCAGTAAGTTTAAATAAATCACCATACTCACAAAGCAGTTCACAATATATTTACTGGGTAATTGCTACTTAAAAGTAGCAATGATGATCACATTGAAAATCTTGTATTATGTGGCAGTTTTCTTTTCCATGAGCCTCTTCATTTGTGGAAACCATAGAATCTAAGTTGCTCTATCAAAGTGATCATTAGAAAAATGTAATGTCCGTAGTGTATAAATTTTAGAAAATTTCCTCTGTTAGTCTTGTTAATTTGATTGAATATGTGTGTTTTGGATTATGAATATGAATATATATTGATATATGAAATAAGACTTGACATCATAGAGTAATCTTAGCTCATGGCAATGTTTTCTTCTGAAAACAGCTGCCGAACCTTGTCTTTTTTCTAGTTTCCAAAAAAATCAGAGGCGATGGGGCAAGGTGGGTCTTTGAATGTCAGATAGTGCGCGAGGTACATTGGTATACAGTAATTTCCGCATAATTCATATTCATAATTCACAGTAAGGAAACCTGAAAGTTGCTACCGGGTACTAATAAATGAAAGGTGGGGCGGGCTGCTGTGGGGGCGGGGCCTTGTGAGCCAGTGCCTGGACTCGCACAGCACGTCACAAATGGAAGGGCGGCGCGTGGGGGGAACTCAAGGCCTGATTGATTCCTCCTAAGCAGGGCGTGATCTGGTTGGCAGGGCAACCGACCTTCAGTTAGTGCCTTCAGTGGGTGCCTTCAGTTGGTGGCATTTGGTTGCCTTTCCTGGGGACAGGTGGCAGGTGCTCAGCTCTGCAGGGTGGGGGCAATTGAAGGCCCAAGCTGCCCGAGAAGAGCGGAGTTGCCCCATGGGGACCACGCTGGCCTGTAGCATGTGCACCAAAGCCAGCCCCAGGCAGGGCCCCCACAGGGCTTCTGCGGAGCCATCCTGAGGCTTTGACATCTATGAGTGGGCGGCCAGCAAAGGCGCAGGCCCCAGCACAGAGGAGCAGAGGCGGCCGGAACACCCTGTCCCTTGATACCAGCCCCAAGCAGAGCCACCTCAGGATAAGGTGTTTGGAGCCGTCCTGCAGCTCTGAGATCCACGAGGTGGCGGTGGGAGTAGCACCAGACTCCACTGATTTGGAGTCTGCCCTGTCTGATTCAGGAGACATGACTAGCAGCACATCGGCACCAGAAGACGCCAGAAGGTAGGGAGACTACAGATACCGCTTGGCATTAGGAGCTCTGGTGACCCAAGTATCCACAGCCTAGGGCTCCTCCCTCCTGCCCTAGTTTGCTTTCCTAGGCCCAGGCCCCAAGCAGGAGGACTTGCTCTGACTCCACTTCCCACCCCTTCTTCTTTCCATGTTGCATCCAGCTGGTTACTTTTCATTGCCCTGCCCAAATGCCCACTTCTGGGCCCTCTTCTTCTTTTCTTAGGCCTGTCAAAACTAAGTTTTCAAAATACAAAAAGGATGCCACAGATTTCATTACGGTAGAGGAAATGTCTGACAGCTCTTGTATTTAAACTTAGCTAGCCACATTGGGACTCCCAATTTCATATGTTGAGTTCTAGAGCAGAGCTCTCTCTCCTAAAGTAATGGCTGAGGGTTAGAGGTACGCTTCTTCATTCTAATAATAAAAAATGATTTCTTGTAGAGACAGGGTTTCACTGTGTTGCCCAGGCTGGTCTCAAACCCCTGGCCTCAAGTGATTCACTCACGTTGGCCTCCCGCTTTGTTGGGATGACAGGCAAGAACCACCACACCTGGCCTTGGGAGCTGCTCCTGCTTTGTGTGTTTTGGCTGGTCTTCCTGCACAGCTGTCGGTAAGATGCTCCTGCAGCATAGTTCCAAATCTTTCTGCACAAATTTAGTGGATGATGTGATTTTTTACATGGAATAGCCCCTTTATTTATTGCAGAGAAGCTGGACAATTCACACTTAGTAACATATGGCCTAGCAAATTTCATTTCGTGATCACCACACCTGTTAAAAGGTGATGCTTGTGGTCTAAATATGCAGATTCCTCATCATCCTCAAGGAAAAGGGAACCACAGCAAGGCAACCTGGGAGGGAGTTTAGGATTGCTCTGAGGCAGTGCAAGGCATTGAAATTCACACACGAGGGGGTAGAAAAGAGAATCCACATGTTTTGATCCCTCTATGTTCTGAGTATAACTTGGTCCTCCTTAACACGCACAATTTTTGGTGTCAGAGAAAACTAGATTTGAATACCACTTCCATCACTCTTTATGATGTGATGGTGAATGTGTTTTTAACTCGTCTGAGCGCAGTTTGCTCATCTATAGAAGATATGATTGTTACGAGGCTTCCATAAGGTAAGTGTGTAAAAACCATGGCAAAATGCTTGTAATTTAAAAGAGAGTGTTATTATGAGGCTTCTATGAGGTAAGTGGGTAAAAGTCTGGACACAATGTCTACAATTTTGTAAGTGTTCAATAGGTGGACGAGGAAGATTATCTTTCTCTCATTTTTTAGACCATTAATTTTTAGACCAAGTTTGTAAAATTGGGGATACTCATATTTCTTAGACAATCAAATAAATGATCAGAAAGACTAAATAAATCACCATAGTCACAAAGCAGTTCACAATACATTTACTGGGTAATTTCTAGTTAACAGTAGCAGTGATGATCACATTGAAAATCTCGTGTTTTGTGGTGGTTTTCTCTTACGTAAGCTTCTTGCTTTGTTGAAAGCATAGATTCTAAGCTGCTCTATCAAAATGATTATTAGAAAAATGTGATGTACTTTCTGTGTAAATTTTCTAAACTTTCTTCTGTTAATCTTGTTAATTTGATTGAACATGTGTGTCATTTTCAAAAATGTAAATCGAATATATGTGGATGGGATATATATGTGTACATATGAAATATAACTTCATATTACAGAGTAGGCTTAGCTCATGGCAATGTTGTTTTGTGAAAGCACCTGCAGAAATCTCTCTCATTTCTAGTTTGTTAATGTTTCAGAGATTGCGTGAGGCAGATTTGGTTTCAGTCATTTTAGCATCATTCATTGTAAGGTGATGATCCCTAGGAACTGCTTCACAATGAGAAACCTGAAAGGTCCCAGCAGTGAGCAATGAATGAAAGGTGGGGCGGGGCTGCTGGCAGGGTGGGGCCTTGTCAGCCATATGCCTGTGCTCTCAAGTGCCAAGTTTGTGGGGATGCATGCAGGGGATTCTGGACCTGATTGTTTCCTCTGAACCAGGATGTGGTCTGGTTGGCAGGGCAACTGGTCTTCACTTGGTGGCCTTCAGTGGGTGTCCTCATTGGTTGCCTTCAGATAGTGCCCTCAGTTGGTACCATCAGTTGGCGCTCTTCAGGTGGTGGTCCTCAGTTGGTGGTCTTCAGTTGTAGGGCAATGGTGGAAGGAGGATGAAACTGTGCTTTCTCCTCCCCCAGTCACAGCTCTCAGGCTTGCTGCCTCCGGGCCCTTCTAAAATAAACCAGACAGGTTGGCAGGTTTTTCTTAACAGACAAGTCAGCTCAGGGTACAGGGGTGACACAGGGTGCAGGCTGCTAGTGCAGTGCCACCCCATGGCCCAGGGGTGCCCGTGCCAGCCATGCCTTTGCCAGGAAGAGGCGATAGGTGTTGAGCTCTGCAGACTTGGGGACAAGCGAACACCCAAGCTGCCTGAGAAGTGCAGGGGTGCCCCATGGGGACCACACTGAACTGTCGCATGTGCACCAAAGCCAGCCCCAGTCAGGGCCGGCACAAGGTTTCTGCAGAGCCAGCCTGTGGCTCTGACGTCTACAAGTGTGCATACAACGAAGGCGCAGGCTGCGATATACAGGAGCAGAGGCACCCAGAACACGCTGCCCCTGCTGCCAGTTGCAAGTGGGGTCTGCTCAGAATGCGGAGGGTGAAGCTGTCCTGCAGCTTTGAGATCCACGAGGTGGTGGTGGCCCTAGCGCCAGACTCCACTGCTATGGAACCTGCCCAGTTGAATTTGGGAGCCAGTGAGGGACCTGACAGCAGCACCAGGAGACGCCCAAAGGTAGGGAGGTGACAGATACTGCTGAAGTTTAGGAACTCCTCTAGCCATTGCTGGCCCAAGAATCCTGCAGAGGCATCCAGAGTCTCAGTTTTCTCATCTGTAAACGATGTGCTTGTTATGAGGCTTCGGTAAGGTAAGTGTGTAAAAACCATGGCAAAATGCTTGTAACTTAAAAGAGAGGATTTCTATGAGGCTTCTATAAAGTAAGTGTATAAAAATCTGGACACAATACCTATGATTTTTTCAGTGTTCAGTATATGGAGAAGGAGATTATATTCTCTCATCTAATTTTCAGAGCCAGTTTATAAAAATGGTGATACTCATATTTCTTAGACGATGAAATCAATGATCAGAAAGAATAAATAGATCATCAAAGTCACACAGCAGTTCACAATGCGTTCCTTGTGTAATTTCTAGTTAAAAGTAGCAATGATGATCACATTGAAAATTTTGTATTATGTGGTAGTTTTCACTTACATAATCCTTTTGGTGTTTTGAAACCATATATTCTAAGTTGCTCTACCAAAGCGATCATTAGAAAAATGTGATGTAGTTAGTGTGTAAATTTTAGAAAATTTCTTCCGTTAGTCTTGTTAATTTGATTGCAAATATGTGTTATTTTCAAAAACGTAAATGGAATATATATTGATTGGACTTGTATGTGTATATATGAAATATGACTGGACATTATAGAGTAGGCTTAGTTCATGGCAATGTTTTTTTCTGAAAGCACCTGAAGAAATCACTCTTATTTCCAGTTTGTTAGTGTTTCAGAGATTATGGGGGAAAGGGGGTTCTATGAATGTCAGACACTGCGTGAGGCACATTTGGTTTCAGTAATTTTAGCATCATTCATTGTAAAGTGATGATCCCTCGGAACTTCTTCACAATGAGAAACCTGAAAGGTCCCAGCAGCCAGCAATGAATGAAAGGTGGGGTGGGGCCGCTGGCAGGGCGAGGCCTTGTGAGCCATGTGCCTGTGCTCTCAAGTCCGAAGTTTGTGGGGATGTATGCAGGAGATTCTGGCCCTGATTGTTTCCCCAGAACCAGGATGCGTTCTGGTTGGCAGGACAACTGGCCTTCACTTGGTGGCCTTCAGTGGGTGTTCTCATTGGTTGCCTTCGTTTAGTGCCCTCAGTTGTTTCTCTTCAGTTGGCGGTCCTCAGTTGGTGGTCTTCGGTTGTTGGGCAGTGGTGGGAGGAGGATGAATCCATTTGTGCTCTCTCCTCCCCCAGTCACAGCTCTCAGGCTTGTTGCCTCCAGGCCCTTCTAAAATAAACTAGACAGGTGGCAGGATTTTTTTAGCAGACAAGTCAGCTCAGGGTACAGGGGTGAAGCGGGTTGCGGGATGCTAGTGCAGTGTCGCCTCATGGCCCAGGGCTGCCCGTGCCAGCCATGCCTTTGTCAGGAAGAGGCGATAGGTGTTGAGCTCTGCAGTCGTGGGGGCCAGGGAAGGCCCAAGCTGCCTGAGAAGAGCAGGGGTGCCCCATGGGGCCCACACTGAACTGTCGCATGTGCACCAAAGCCAGCCCCAGTCAGGGCTGGCAAAGGGGTTCTGCAGAGCCAGCCTGTGGCTCTGACATCTACGAGTGTGCAGACAGCGAAGGCGCAAGCTGCGATATACAGGACCAGAAGCACCCGGAACACGCTTTCCCCCACTGCGAGCCGCAATTGGGCTAGCTCAGGGTGCGGTGGGTGAAGCTTTCCTGCAGCTCTGAGATCCACGAAGTGGAGGTGGTAGTAGCGCAGGACCCCACTGCTTTGGAGGCTGCCCAATCGAATTTGGGAGCCAGTGAGTGTCCTGACAGCGGCACCAGAAGACCCCGAAAGGTAGGGAGGCGACGGATACTGTTTAGATTCAGGAGCACCTCTGGCTGCTGATGGCCCACGTTTCCCCCAGAGGCATCCAAAGCCTCAGTTTTCTCATCTATAAAAGATGTGATTGTTATGAGGCTTCCATAAGGTGTGTAAAAACCAAGGCAAAAATGTTTGTAATTTAAAAGAGAGAGTTTCTGTGAGGCTTCTATAAGGTAAGTGTGTAAAATCTGGACACAATACCTATAATTTAGGTCACTATAACCTCTGCCTCCTGGGTTCAAACGATTCTCCTGCCTTAGCCTCCCGTGTAGCTGGGATTAGAGGCATGCGCCATCAGGCCTGACCAATGTTGTTCTTTTTAGGAGAGATGGGGTTTCACCATGTTGGTCAGGCCGGTCTCGAACTCCTGACCTCAGGTGATCTGCTCACCTTAGCTTCCCTAAGTACTGGGATTATAGGCGTGAGTCACCATCCTAGGCCAAAAATTTCATTCCTTGATCAACAAACCTGTTTCCAAGGAGATGCTTGTGGTCTACATATGCAGATTCCCAGCATTTCCAAGAAGAAGGGAATGACTGCAAGGCAACCTGGGCGGGAGTTTAGGATTGTTCTGAGGCTGTGAAAGCCATTGAAATTCACACATAAGAGGATAGAGAAAGGGAATTCACATGTTTGATCCCTCCATGTACTGGGTATAACTTGGTCTTCATTAAGTTTGCACCACCTTTGGCATCAGAGAGAACTGGAGTTGAATCCAAGTTCCAACACTCATTAGGATGTGATCATGAATGTGTTTTTAACTCCTCAGAACCTCACTTTGCTTATCTATAAAAGAGGGGATTCTTATGAGGCTTCCGTAAGTTAAATGAGTAAAAATTTGGGTGGACAAAATGCCTGTAATTTAAAAGATAGGGTTGTTATGAGGCTTCGATAAGGTAAGTGTGCAAAAATCTGGACACAATGCCTATAATTTTGTTAGTGTTCAATATATAGAGAAGGATTATTTTTCTATCATTTAATTTTTAGAGCAAGTTTATAAAATGGTGTTACTCATCTTTTTGAGAAAATCAGACCAAGGATCACAAAGATTAAATGAGTCGCCATAGTCACAAAGGAGTTTACAATACATTTCCTGGGTAATTGCCAGTTAAAAGTAGCAATGATGATCACATTTCAAATCTTGAATTATGTGGTGCTTTTCTCTTACGTAAGCCTCTTTGTGTGTTGAAGCCATAGATTCTAAGTTGCTGTATCAAAATGATCACTAGAAAACTGTGATATACTTAGTGTATATATTTTAGAAAATGTCTTCTATTACTCTTGTTAATTTGATTGAATACATGTGTTATTTTCAAAAATGTAAATGGAATATGTGTGGATTGAATATATATGTACATATATATGAAATATGATTTGTCATTATAGTGTAGGCATAGCTCATGGCAATGTGTTTTTCTGAAAGCAGCTGCAGAAATTTGTCTTTTTTTAGTTTGCAAAAATTTCAGAGGTTATGGGGGAAAGTGGGGTTCTATGAATCCCAGATAGTACATGAAGCAGATTTGGTTTCAGTAATTTTAGCATAATTCATTGTAAGGTGATGATCCCTAGGAACTTCATCACAGTGAGCAACCTGAAAGCTCCCAGCAGCCAGCAATAAATGAGGTGGGACGAGTCCACTGGCAGGGCGGGGCCTTAAGAGCCTGATGCTTGAGCTCTGAATTCCAAGTTGGGGGGACACATGCAAAGGATTCTGGGCCTGATTGTTTCCTGTAACCAGGATACAGTCTGGTTGGCAGGGCAACTGGCTTTCACTTGGTGGCCTTCAGTGGGTGTCCTCATTGGTTGCCTTTGGTTAGTGCCCTCAGTTGGTACCCTCAGTTGTTTCTCTTCAGTTGGTGGTCCTCAGTTGGTGGTTTTCAGTTGTTGGGCAGCGGTGGAAGGAGGATGAATCTGTGCTCTCTCCTCCCCAGGCCACAGCTCTCAGGCTTGTTGCATCCAGGCCCTTCTAAAATAAACCAGACAGGTTGGCAGGTTTTTTTTTAGCAGACAAGTCAGCTCAGAGTACGGGGGTGACACGGGGTGCAGGCTGCTAGCGCAGTGCCACCCCATGGCCCAGGGCTGCCCGTGCCAGCCATGCTTTTGCCAGGAAGAGGCGATAGGTGTTGAGCCCTGCAGACTTGGGTGCAAGCGAAGACCCAAGCTGCCTGAGAAGAGTAGGGGTGCCCCATGGGGCCCACACTGAACTATTGCATATGCACCAAAGCCAGCCCCAATTGGCACAAGGGTTCACAGAGCCAGCCTGTGGCTCTGACGTCTACCAGCATGCAGACTGTGAAGATGCAGGCCGCGATATACGGGAGCAGAGGTGCCCAGAACATGCTGTCCCCCAATGCCAGCCACAAGTGGGGCTATCTGAGGGTGTGATGGGTGAAGCTGTCCTGCAGCTCTGAGATCCACGAGGCAGAGGCAGCAGTAGCGCTGGACTCCACTGCTTTGGAGGCTGCCCAGTCGAATTTGGGAGCCAGCAAGAGTCCTGACAGCAGCACATTGGCCACCAGAAGACACCCAAAGGTAGGGAGGCGGCAGATACTGCTTAAGTTCAGGAGCTCCTCTGGCCATTGCTGACCCAAGTTCCCCCAGAGGCATCCACAGCCTGGGGCTCCTTCCTCCTGCCTAGAGTTTGCTTTCCTATGCCCAGGCCCCAACCAGGAGGACTGGCTCTGCCTCGAGTCCTGATCCCTTCTTCTTTCCCTGCTGTTTCCAGCCGGTTTCTTACTTTCCTCCTACCTACCCCAATGCCCAGTTCTGTTTCCTCCTCTTCTTCCCCTAGGCTGGCTGAAAACTAAGTTTCAAAATACAAAATGAATGCTACAGATTTCATTGCTGTAGATGAAATGCTGACAGCTTTTCTATTTAAACTCTGGTTGTTCTTTTCATTTCTTTAAACATTAGAATAATTAAGCCTCATGATAGATGTGCCTTTGTAACTTGAAAGTACGACACTCAATTGTCACAATTTAAAAAAATTTTTAATTTTTCTTTTCATAAATTTTTGGCAAACAGGTAGTATTTAGTTATTAACTCCTTTAGTGGAGATTTGTGAGATTTTGGTGAACCAATCACCCAAGCAGTGCACACGGAATCCAATTTGTAGTCTCTTATCTTTCTCCCCCTTCCTACCATTTTCCCCTGGTATCATTCTTTTTTTTGAGACTGAGTCTCATTCTGTCACCCAGGCTGGAATGCTATGTCGTGACGTCAGCTCGCTGCAACCCTTGCTTCCTGAGTTCATGTGGTCCTCCTGCTTCAGCCTCCCGAGTACCTGGGATTAGAGGCGTGGGTCACGACGCCCAACTAAATTTTTTGTATTTTTAGTCGTGACTGGGTTTCACCAAATTGGCCAGTCTGTTCTCGAACTCCTGACTTCAAGTGATGCGCCTGCCTTGGCCTCCCCTAGGGCTGTGATTACAGGAATGAGCCACCAGAACCCAGCCAAATATTCCCCACTGCCTTCTTTTTTGCTTTTTTCCTAATCTCCTGAAGTCATTCTTTGAGTTGTCATGTAGATTAATAGGTTTCTCAAATTACTGGAAAACTAGTTGAAGAAATAAACAGGCAGTTTGTGAATATTAGATAGAACAGTGGTGCTGAGCATGGCTAAAGCATCTCTGCATTCACAGGGAGAGGAGCGGAAGACCTTCTGGTGTGGGCTGGGCAGCAATTCACTTGAAGGAGAAACAGCCCCGGTGTGGAGAGGCGGCCATCCTTGGCGGGATCCTTTCTAAGGAGCCGAGAAATCAACGTAGAGCTTCCTCTGTCTGATTCTCTAACAACTGCAGACCTTCCATGAGTCAAGCTTTGTGTCAAAAGGACAAATAAAAAGGCAAGAAAATAAAATCGTAATACCAGGACTTTTGGGGAAAACAAAAAAACTCACATCTAATTCCAGATTATTTCCATTGTTTCTGTGTCCAATGTACTCTTTCGTTGTTGTTGTTGTTGTTGTTGCTGTTGTTGAGACTGAGTCTCACCCTGTCACCAGGCTGGAGAGCAGTTGCGTGATCTCGGCTCGCTACAACCTCCGCCTCCCAGGTTCAGCGACACTTGTGCCTCAGCCTACTGAGTAGCTGGGACTACAGGCATGTGCCACCACGCCCAGCTAATTTTTGTATTTTTAGTAGATACAGGGTTTCACCACGTTGGCCAGGATGGTCTCGAGCTCCTGACCTCGTGATCTGCCTGCCTCAGCCTCTCAAAGTGCGGGGATTAGAGGCGTGAGGCACCGCACTCAGCTTAATATACTCTTTGTTGAGAACAATGTTCAAACATTGTTCCTGCACTCAGCACGGTATGAAACTAGATAAATACATTTTAAGGAAATCAACAATACAATTTTTTTGAAAGAAAATTGGTTTTCAAGGTTTATTCTTCAATTATTGAAAGGTTTTCAAAAGTAAAACATACTATTCCTCTCCACAATCCCAGTTAATCCAGACCCTCCTCAGTGGGCTTTATCAAATACCCTACTCACCTTCCTGAATCTTTTGCTGAATCTCATATAAAGTTTTGTCACAGAACCTCAGCTTTTTCATACGGTTTTGTGTACCACGTCATGCCTGTGAATTGCTCTCTTTGCTTTGTTTTTATTTATTTATTTATTTTTTGTAAGAAGTAGCCAGGAAGTATCTTTCTTTGCTTTATAGATGTAAACTGCTTTGTATTTTCAGATTAACTTTCAAGAATGTTGAAAATTCTTTGCTCACTCTTCTTTTCTCACTTCCTCCCTCTCAGGACCTATAAAAGGCATCACCAAGCCCAATGGACAGATGCCCCAGGCTGCACATTCTGTCAGTGCTGTTCTGGAAAAGGCCCAAACACATGCTGAAACATCGAAGGTAAAACCAGCAAGCAGCTGACATACATTCCATCCAGCCGTCCCCCAAAGCCCATGTTCTCAACCATTCGCATTGTTCCAATAACTGCTCTTTTAAAAATAGAAAACACGCGGTGGCTCACGCCTATAATTCCAGCACTTTGGGAGGCTGATGCGGGCGGATCACGAGGTCAGGAGATCGAGACCATGGGGTAACCCCGTCTCTACTAAAAATACAAAAAAAGAAAAAAAATTAGCCGGGCTCGGTGGTAGGAACCTGTAGTCCTAGCTACTTGGGAGGCTGAGGCCGAGGAATGGCATGAACCCGGGAGGTGGAGCTTGCAGTGAGCCGAGATCCCGTTACTGCGCTCCAGCCTGGGGCGACAGAGCGAGACTTCATCTCAAAAAAAAAAAAAAAAAAAAAAAAAAGAGAGAGAGAGAGAGAGAGAGAGAAAACAGGCAAACAGGTTGGGTACGGGTACGGTGGCTTACGCCTGTAATCCCAGTACTTTGGGAGGCCGAAACAGGAGAATTGCTTGAGCTCCGGAGTTCCAGACCAGCCTGAGCGACAGAACAAGGGCTCATCTTTACAAGAAATTAAAAAATTAGCCAGCTGTGGTGGCGTGCACCTGTGGTCCTAGCTACTTGGGTGGCTGAGGTGTTTGAATTGCTTGAGCCCAGGATTTCAAGGCTGCAGTGAGCTGTGATCACACCACTGCACTCCAGCCTACGTGATAGTTAAAGACCTTGTCTTAAAAAAAGATAAAAAAGGGTTACACTAAAAATGTGCATTGTCTATTTTCCCCATTAATGTCCTACATACATCCCCAGGGTGATGGAGGAGAAAATACATTTTAAAATAATAGCCAATAGGTATGACATCCTCCACAGCATTTTTTCAACCAAATAGGTCAATGAGGATTCACTTAAATCTATCTTAAAATCATAGTTAATAATTATGATTTAGTTACTAATCTAGTTCAAAACCTCTCAGTTGACTGTATAAATTCTGTTGAGTATTTCTCACATGTGATTCAAAACAACCTTAAATAACTGTGACAATAGCATATTACCCAGCTAGGACAGGCAGGGTGCTTCACTTTAGCAATTTTTCACTTCTTTCACCCCTTCATTTTGTCCATCAGTCAGTGGTGAAAACAATTACATCTTAGTATTTATTGAACTTCTTATAACTTTGACAACCACTGCAGGCCTGTAAAAGTTGTATTTCTTTAATGTTCTCATTATCTTCTCAAGCCTCTGCTTCTCATGCAATGTGCTGTCAGCTATTACTATTTTCATTATTTCTACAATGCCAATCAAAGGAAAGCATTTAAAAATGCTGAAAGAAATAAAAGAATCCCAGAATAGAAATCACTTAACTATATGTGAACATCAATACCCAACCTACCTGCTCAGAAATTTTTTAAAAAGGAAAAAGTACATCGCCAGTTAATTAGCGTATCATGCTAAGTAAATAAACTAAATAAAATAGAAACTAAATCACAAGGCACTTTGTTAGAAAAAAAATTTGCAGATTTAATCTTCAGTGGTAAGAAACTATTAAGCAGAGGAAGAAATAAACTGGAACCCTGATGAAATGTAAATTGGAATGATAATTACCACTAAAACAGAGGGATTCAATCCAGCTGCCTGGGGACGTTTCATTATATAAATACAAATTATTATAATGTATTCCAGCATTGGCAGAGGAAGGGCTATGCCTCTAATAGACTTTAGCCAAATTTAGCATTCTGGTTTCTACCAGTAGCATGCTGATAATTTTTCTTTTTAGAACTCATATATATATATATCTCATTTTATCTCATCACAATCTGAGACACAGGTCATAATAGGGACTACAGGGCTCATTTTATACCCGGTGAACCAGCCAACTTTCATGCAGTTGAGAAAAGGTAAACTGTCCGGGTGAGGTGGCTCACACCTGTTATTTGGGAGGCCTAGGTGGGCAGATCACTTGAGCCCAGGAGTTGGAGACCAGCCTGAGCAACATGGCAAAAAACTCTCTCTACAAAAAATACAAAAATTAGCTGGGCATGGTGGCACATGCTTGTCATCCCAGCAACTCAGGAGGCTGAGGCATGAGGATCACTGAGCCCTAGAAGCAGAGGTTGCAGTGAGTCGAGCTTGCACCACTGCACTCCAGCCTGGGTGACACAGCGAGATCCTGTCACACACACACACAAAAAAAAAGCCAGGTGCGGTGACTCGTGCCTGTAATTCCAGCACTTTGGGAGGCAGAGGCAGGCAGATCATGAGGTCAGGAGTTCAAGACCAGCCTGACCAACATGGTGAAACCCCATCTCCACTAAAAATACAAAAATTAGCTGGACGTGGTGGCCAGCACCTGTAGTCCCAGCTACTCGAGAGGCTGAGGCAGGAGAATCGCTTGAACCCGGGAGGCAGAGGTTGCAGTGAACCGAGATGGCGCCACTGCACTCCAGCCTGGGTGACAGAGCAAGACTCCGTCTCAATAATAATAATAATAATAATAATATTAAAGACCATTTAGAGTCATTTCCCTATTCCAGAGTGAAGATGAGCTCATGAACAACCAGGGGTCTCAGTGACTGAGGGACGGAGGCTCCCCAGGGGGCAGACAGAGACCTCGCCTATCTATGGCATGGTCCTGTCCACTGGGGCTGTTTTGTCAAGAATAAAGAATGCTACTCACAAGACTGAGGCGGGAGGATCGCTTGAGCTCAGGAGATCGAGGCTGCAGTGAGCCCAGATCGCGCCATTGCACTCAGCCTGGGCGACAGAGGGAGACCCTGTCTCCATTAATTAATAACAATATATTTAAAATTTCGAAAATTTTAAAATAATGAATGCTGCCGTCGCTTGTTTGCAGGATAAGAAGCCAGCCCTCGGGAACCGGCAGGAGCACTCTGGGCCCCGCACGGCCCCAAGTCCAGCCTGCCCCGCCTCCTCTGGTGCAGAGGTCCAGGGATACCAGCAGCAGCCCCGCCACGCCCCTCCAAGGCCAAGAACACAGGCGGCAGGGGCTTCCCCTCCCTGCCAGACTACTTCCTGCCGCCACAGCCACCACCCTTGGACGACCCAGAGCTCCCGCCGCCCCTGGACTTCGTGCTCCCTCCCCCCGCGGTCGCCAAGAGGCCTCCTAATGCCCCACCCCCGCAAGAGACACGAAGCATCAATGTTCAGAAGCAGCAAATAAATAAAATAAATGAATAAAAGTTAAACGTTCTTCCTACAGTATTTCTATAAGGATTATTGGGTCAGTCAATCTTGAGGTCAATACTATAATTAAAAATAGCTTTCACCATCCCATGCCTTCTTAAGTCTTGGTGATCTTAGATTTTCATCTCTACCTCTGTGACCTTCAGAATTTTCAGGAAAATCGAGAAAGAAAAACGAGGAAATATGACCAGCAGAGCCTGTTCCCTTGCTCTGAGATTCCCGTTGCTTGATTGATTGGAGCCCTGGACACAGGCTGTTTTGGTTTTGCTTTTTTAGTGCTTGAATAACAGTAATTTAAAAAAATAGTCTTTAGATAGTTTTTGAATTCTCTATTATTACAATGCTGTTAGTATCCTGTAAAAAAGAATGTAGGGCCAGGTAAAAGCAATCTTATTGCTGTGTATTTCAATCTGGAAGGTTTTCCCTCAGAGATACATTTACTGCCCAGCTTATCCTAGCCTCTTGTTACCTATATCTCTTCTCTTTCAAATTGGCTTCTGATGGGCTAAAAGGCTATTTTCTTAAAATTAAGGAAGGCAATTAATGGTATGTTTTAGTATTTGGAGAAGAGTAAGCTGTAGATCATGCTGTCTCAACCCACGGGCTCCCGTGGCCCAGGACAACTTTGAATGCTGCCCAACAAATATTAAAACATTATAAGCTCTTTGTAGGGCGCGGTGACTCACACTTGTAATCCCAGCACTATTGGGAGGCCAAGGCTGGCAGATCACTTGAGATCAGGAGTTCGAGACCAGCTTGGCCAATATGGCAAAACCCTATCTGTACTAAAAATACAAAAATTAGCCAGGTGCGGTGACGCATGCCTGTAATCCCAGCAACTCCAGAGGCTGAGGAGGAGAATCCTTTGAACCCAGGAGGTGGAGCCTGCAGTGAGCTGAGATCTTGCTACTGCACTCAATCCTGGACGACAGGGCAAGACTCTCTCTTAAAAAAATTATGAGATCTTTTTGCAATTTTTTTTTTTAGCTGATCAGCTATCACGAGTGTTAGTAGGTCTTATGTGTGTCCCAGGGAAGCCAAAAGATTGGACACCCCTGCAGGCTAAATGGAAATTTAAAATGAAACAAATTTAGTTTTAAAACCAAAATATTTAGTAATTAAAACTGGCAAGGTGTTCTTAATTTTTTGAGCATATGCTTGAAATAGGATAGAAGGTAAATTTGCTTTACATTAAATTTTATCTCAGGAACAGTAACTCCAGTTTTAGTATATCATGTTCTTTTGATGTCAGATACAGTAATAATACGGCTTTTCTTTTTAATTTTTTTTTAAATTTTATTTTACTTTAAGTTCAGGATACATGTGCAGAACATGCAGATTTGTTACATAGGTAAACATGTGCCATGGTGGTTTGCTGCATCTATCAACACATCACCTAAATACGAGGCCCAGCATGTGTTAGCTATTTGTCCTGATGCTCTCCCTCCCCTCAACCCCCCACAACAGGCCCCAGTGTATGTTGTTCCCCTCTTTGCGTCCATGTGAAAGACACAGCTTTTCTGATACCTGACTACATAATGGTCATTATGCCGATCTCTGGGACAATACAGGAAAGGTTCAGCGAAGAGAGCTGTGAAAGTTGTCAGAATCAAAATGGGGTCACTCATGTTAAGAAAACCCTGACAAATAGAACCAGGCAAGTCCATGAATAGAGGGTTCTCATGACAATCGTCAACCCTGTGATTTTCACTCAAGTGGAACACAATCTTTGGTGTCTGGCTGAGAGGTCTTTACAAGAACTACCTCTACCTGAGTGGGATTATTTAGATTGACCCTGAAAATGCAGCAAACTTTGCTCCTTTATGAATATTTTAGTGAGATACTGGAGGTGGGGGGAGTGCAAAAAGTGGGGTGAAATTGGACATTAGAGAGGAAGTGCAAGGATAATAATATATTATGAACTGTATAATTAATGATATAGGGCAGTAATGCTATATCACAGCTTATGAAAATCCATAATTTCTTTTATAATGCTGCCACTGGGGCAAAGACCCATGTAATAGGCCAACTGCAGCAAAACCCACAGGGTTTGGTAGAGTTTACAGAAAACATGATTTAATCTGTCACATGATAGAATATGAACTAAGATTTTACAGTAGGTCCTCAAAGAGGAGAATGAATATTTAAGCCTCATATTTTGTTTGATCATAGGAATCTTGGCTGGTATGATACTGAAATGACCCAATTCCATGATAATTGAGCCTTTGAAGTGTGCTTGAGACTTATGGCTTGATGTGTGATCCATTTTTACCGATGGTTTATGTGTGCTTGGGTACAATGTACTACACGTGTTCCTTAGAACAAGCTTGTTTAGCATGTTCCACAAATTTTCTGCCTGCAGCTTGTTATCTGGTCTGCTGCATCCATCAATTACTAAGAAGGATATTTTAAAATCTTCTGAGGGCAGATTTGTCAATATCTTTTCATTGTTCTGGTGAATTGTGCCTTATATATTCTGACATGGTTAATTATTAAGTGTAAACAAAAATTATGTATGTGACTTCCTGGTGAGTTGAACCGTCCATCACCATGCAATGTTTTCTGCTTTTTTTCTTGTACTCATGCAGCTGTGTCGTCTTTTTTCAGGTATTTGCCTGACAAATCTATTCATGCACTTTCAAACTCTCTATGCCTTTATGTTCTATGTTTGCCACTTTTAATGACAGCAGATTTTGTTGTGTTTATCTCTACTTCAGGAATTATCTTTTAATTGCAAGTTTATTCTTTTTACTTTTTTAATTTTCTTTTTTTTTTTTTTAGAGTCAGGGTCTCATTCTGTCACCTAGGCTGGAGTGCAGTGGTGCGATCATAGCTCACTGCAGCCTCAACATTCTGGGCTCAAGCCGTCCTCTTGCCTCAGGCTCCCGAGTAGCTGGTACTACAGGCTTATGCCATCTGCCTGGCTAATTTTTATTTTTTGTAGAGACAGGAGTCTCACCATATTGTCTAGGCTGCTTCCTAACTCCTGGCTTCAAGCAATCCTTCTGCCCTGGCCTCCCAAAGTGCTGGGATTACAGGCATGAGCCACCACATCCGGCCTCTTCTTACTACTCTTACTGTGATTATATATTTGTATTTGTTTTTAACATCTTATTTTGTACTTCCTATTACCCTGGATTTTTCTGGGGTTTTTATCTTCCTTTCTTGTCTACTTCATGTGATTAGGATTTTTCCCTTACTCCTGTTTTTAAGCTTCTTGTTGAAAAGTTATATACTGTGTCTATTCTTTTAATGGCCAGTTATAATGCTAATATCCATACTCAATAAAGTCCCAAGTTAAACAATTTTAACCTAGGAAATACAGGGACTTTGGAACACTTTGGTTTCAAACACACACACACACACACACACACACACACACACACACACACACACACACATTATTGCCTAGTAGTTGAGTTATAGCTGACTTCTTTTTTTCCTAGATTATCATTATTTCACCCTCATTCTTCAAAGACAGTTTCAGTGGATGTAAAATTTCAATTGACAGTACAAACTCTCAGCTTTTTGAGGGAATTGTCCCCACTGTCTTCTCCCTTTCACTGTTGCTGTTGAGAAGTCAGCTGTCAAATTATTATTTCTATTAGGTCATCTCTTTGTTTCCCCTCTGCATGATTTTAAGACCTTTTCTTCGTCTTTGGTGCATACAGTGGGTATAACTGTGGGTTTCTTTTTACTTAAGTTGCCAGATATTTTACTGAGGTTTCTGAATCTAGAAATATCTGTCTTTCACTATTCCAAAAAAAATGTAATTTATATTGTTTTCAAGCATTGCCTCTCCTTATTCGCTTCTTCTAAAACTCTAATGAAATATATGTTAGATCTTCTAACACTAGCCTCCCTATCTCTTAATTGTGTATATTTTCCATTTCTTTATCTATTCTGGGTATATTAATCAGACATTAATTTCTATTCACTAATTCTTTTCTTCAGCACAATCTAATCTACGTTAAAGCCATCCATTTTTGGTTTCTGTTTTTTGACATAGACTTTACGTTTTAGACCAGTATTAGATTCACAGCAAAATTGAGCAGAATGTATTGGGAGTTCCCATTTTTCCCATCCCCACACATGCACAGCCTCCTCCACTACCAAAATGCTACAAAAATCATACTGAAACAATTGAGGAACCTACATTGACACATCATTAGTACCCAAAGTCCACAGTTTACTGCAGGTTTACTCTTGATGTTGCACAATCTATGGGTTTTCAGAAATGTACAATGGCATGTATCCACCATTATAGAATCATATAGATTAGTTTCCCTGTCCTAAAAATTCTGTGTTCCGCCTATTAATGTCTCCCTCCCCTTTAAACCCTGGAAACCACTGGTCTTTTTTACTGTCACTGTAATTGCACCATTTCCAAAATATATAGTTAGAATCACCATATGTAGCCATTTCTAATTGATTTCTTTTCCTTAATAATATGTATTTATGGTTCCTCCATGTCTCATTTTCTGTTCCTATAGCAGAATACATGGGTAGTTTATTTTAAAAAGAGATAATTTTGGATCATGCTTCTGGAGCCTGGGAAGTCCAAAGAGCATGGTGCCAGTGTCTGGGGAAGGCCCACTGACTGCATCATATCATGGCAGATAAGCAGAAGGAGAAGTGGCTGCATGCAAAAGGGGGACAAACCAGGAGAGGCAACCTTGCTTATAACAACCCAATCTCATGGGAAGTAATGCATTCCCATGAGAACTAACCCCGTAGCACCTGAAAGAGATTGATCCATCTCTTAAAGCACTGCCACCTTGGGGACCAAGCCTAAACATGAGTTTTGGAAGGGCCAATCCGTAGTCAAACCACAGCACTCCATTATCTTTTCATGGCTTGATAATTCTTCTTTAAGTTTTTTTTTTTTTTTGAGATGGGGTCTCACTCTATCATCCAGGTTGGAATGCAGTGGTGTGATCTTGGCTTCATTTCTTCTTATCACTGAATAATATTCCATTGTCTGGATGAACTATAGTTCATTTATTCATTCCCCTATTGCTGGACATCTTGGTTGCCACCAAATTTTAGCGATTGTGGATAAAGGTGCTAGAAACGTGCGCACACACTTGTGTGAATATCAGTTTTCAACTCACTTAGGTAAATAGGAGTGCAATTGCAGGATCATATGGAAAAAGTGTGTTTAGCTGTGTAAGAAACTGCCAAACTGTCTTCTAAAGTGGCTGTTTCATTTTGCTTTCCCTCCAAGAATAAATGAGAATTCTTATTGCTCCCCATCCTTGTCATTGTTTGGTATTGTCAGTGTCTTCTATTTAAGCATTTGAATAGGTAGGTAGTGGTATCAGTTTTAATTTGCTATTTCCTAATGACATATGACATTGAGCAATTTTTTCATATGCTTATTAGCCAACTGTAGATCTTCTTTGGTGAGGTGTGTGTTCAGATCTTTTGTGAACTTTTTAATTGGGCTGTTCCTTATTGTTGTTTTAAGAGTTCTTCATGTATTTTGATAACAGTACTTTATCAGATACATCTTTCACAAGTGTTTTTTTCCTGGTCTGTGGCTTGTCTTCTAATTCTCTTGACTGTGCGTTTCACAGAAGTTTTTAATTTGAATGAGGTCCAGCTTATCAATTATTTGTTCCATGGATCATGCCATTGGTGGTGTTGTATTTAAAAAGTCATTGCCATGCCCAAGGTTATCTAGGTTTTCTCCTATATTCTAGAAGTTTTATAATTTTGTGCATTATACTTAGGTCTATGATCCATTTTGACTTAAATTTTGGGGAAGATGTAAGATCTGTGTCTAGATTTTTGATTTTGCATATGGATATTAAGTTGTTCCAGTGCCATCTGTTGAAAAGACTATCTTTTCCTCATTGTATTGCCTTTGCCCCTTTGTCAAGTATTTGTATAGGTCTATTTTGGGACTTTCTATTCTGTTCCATTGATCTATTCATCTATTCTTTTGCCACTACCACACTGTCTTGATTGCTGTAGCTTTGTTGTAAATTTTGAAATTGGGTGGTATTAGTCCTCTGTTTTTCTTCTTTTCTAATATTGTGCTGCCATTTTTTTTTGCCTCTCCATATAAACTTTGGAATCAATTTGTCAATATCCAAGTGATATATTTCTGGGATTTTGATGGAGATTGCATTGAATCTAGAGAGCAAGTTGGGAAGAACTGACATTTTGTTAATGCTAGGCCTCCCTATCTGAGAACATGGAATATCTCTCTATTCATTTAGTCCTTCTTTGATTTCCTTAATCAAAATTATGCAGTTTTCCTCATAGATCTTTTATATATTTTGTTAGATTTATACCTAAATATTCCATTGGTGGTGGTGGGAATGTTAACATAAATGGCATTGTGTTTTTAATTTCAAATTCCAATTGCTCATTGTTGGTGTGCAGGAGAGCATCTGCAATGAATTTTTCTATACTAATCCTGTATGCTGCAACCTTGCTATCAATAGCAAGCTATTGATCAACTAGTAAGCAATAATAAATGCTTATTAGTTCCAGGAGTTTTTTGGTCAATTGTCCTGGTGGCCTCTGGAAGAGTCCTCCTCTAGACCCAGGGTTAAGAGTGTGCATTATTTTCCTTTCCATACATATGACTATCAAAGGCAAGGTAGGGGAGAGTGCAAGGCAGCAGCTCCCTGCAGTCTTCTCCACTCCACATCCTTTCATATTGTTAAAGTAGGTGAGGGGAATTAATACTTGTGGAGCAGGTTCTCAGATATTCGCTATGAAAACCTACAAACGGTGATTTAGACTTTCATAGCTATTATATCTTGGGAGTCTTTGATGAAACTTTAATTTTAACCTATTTTTCAATCAGTATAGTTTCTATTAGAAAAGTTCATAGGAGAAAAAACAACTATTTCAATAAACATCAAAAAAGCTCTTGATAAAATTCAACACCACTCCTTGTTAAAAAAAATTTAAAACTTCATAAGAAGCTAGCAATTTAGGAAGATGTTTCTATATTGATAAAAGTTATTAGAGACCTACAGCAGAAGGCATATTTAATTATAAAGCATGAATTGAAATGTCATTTATTTTTATGGCACCAAGGATTTGTTTTAATCAGTATGGTAGGACACATGAACACAGAAATAAGTGTCATGAGGGAAGCAGTTTATTTTGCTACTCAGGGTTCCCTACCAGCTGTAGGCACCTCACACCACAAGAGGCAAAACAGGGAAACATCACGGTCAGTCAGGAGACAGAGGGGACGGGGGAAAGCACGAGGAAGAATCTTTACTGCACTTTCCACAGGAAGGAACAAGCAAGGCAGGGCAACCAGTCTTAGGATTGGCTAGTTTGAATAATTTCATGCTGTCTTGGGGAGGAGAGGCTGTCCCTAGTTGTCTGCTACCTGGCCCTGAGGCAATTAGGGCAGGCAGATAGTGGCCTGGGACATGAAAGTGATAAAGAAGGATAAAGATAGATAAGAAGAATAGAGGGTGATAAAGAAAGGATAAAGAAGGGGGTATGAGCTCTGGATTGGTTGGTTTATATATGAAGACATACATGCAGGCAAGTTGTTTATGTCCAGGAATTAGCTTATCCTGAGAGGGACAGTCCCTCCAGGGGCAACAAAGCCCTGGATGTCAAAGCATCAAATTCAGAAAGTAAGAGACATGACTAATACACCATTAAAGTCAATATTATCATTAATATTATTCGACATTATCCTGAAGTCTCTAGCCAATGCATACAACAAAAAAAACAATAGGATGAAAAACGATTTGAATGAAAAAGACTTTTAAATTCTCAGATGATGTATCTACTTAAAATTTAAAAACAAAGTCAACCTATTAATTATAGAAACCAAAAACTGTCCTATATACTATATACCAGTGATGCTCAATTATAAAATGTAGTATAAAAAGTGATTCACAATAGCAACAAGAACTACATGTCTAGAATTGATAGACAATTTCAAAGTCTATATAAGGAAAGATGTAAATGTTTATTGCAGATAAAAAAGAAAACATCAGGAAGGTAAGAGTTATAGGCCATCACCACTCTACCTAGTTCCAATAACCACGATTGAATTAAACGACATGAGTTCCCCAACATGGTTCTAATTTCAGTTATCATGGTATTTTACCTGTAATTACATAAAGTACACTTCTTGTTAGTTCTTCAGTCCACAAACCACAGCCTAAATAACAGATGAATCATGATCAGTGACCCATCACTTCTTTCAAAGTATGTTGTTGCCAATCACTGCATATTTGTTACTGAGTTTATACAGAGAGCAAAGCATAACCTTGTCCTGCCTGCTTGTCTCCCAGTGAGAAGCCCGTGTGATATTTTACAAAAAGGAATAATCAAAAGTGGAAATTAATCAACAGGGCTAAAACTGCAACAGAAAAAAAGTGATAACACAAAGTGAAATTCAAATAGAACATAAATGTAGTTATATTTTTAGTAGAGACGGGGTTTCACCATGTTAGCCAGGATGGTCTCGATCTCCTGACCTCGTGATCCGCCCGCCTCAGCCTCCCAAAGTGCTGGGATTACAGGCGTGAGCCACCGCTACCGGCCTAAATCAAATTATAAAAATATAAACCACTTGGAAACCAGTACATTCTAGATCTCTATATCAGATTCGTTATCTGATTCTGTACATTTTTATCCAGTTTGAAATTTTCTGTTTGTATGTCTTTTGGCAATAAAATTTTAAGCAGTGGTTAATGAAGATTATGTCCAAACAAAAGTTCAACCAAAGTTTCATATAATATGTTAATCACTGATGCACTAGATCATAGGCTTTATTAATTTTTTTAAAAAATTTTTTGAGACAGAGTCTCACTCCATCTGTCAGACTGAAGTGCAGTGGCATGACCTTGGCTCACTGCAACCTCCACCTCCCAGGTTCAAGTGATTCTCGTGCCTCAGTCTCCCTAGTAGCTGGGATTACAGGTGTGTGCCACCATGCTCAGCTAAATTTTTTTGTATTTTTAGTAGAGATGGAATTTTGGCATGTTGGCCAGGCTGGTTCCAAACTCCTGGCCTCATGTGATCTGCCTGCCTCCGCCTCCCAAAGGGCTGAAACTACAGGTATGAGCCACCTTGCCCAGCTGATCATAGGCTTTTTTTTTTTTTTTTGAGACAGAGTCTCGCTCTGTTGCCCAGTCTGGAGTGCAGTGGCGCTATCTTGGTTCACTGCAATTTCTGCCTTCTTGGTTCTCTTGATTCTCTTGCCTCAGCCTCCCAAGTAGCTGGGAGTACAGGTGCGCATCACCATGCCCAGCTAATTTTTGCATTTTCAGTAGACACAAGGTTTCGCCATGTTGGTCAGGCTGGTCTCGAACTCCTGACCTAAGGTGATCCACCCGCCTTGGCATCCCAAAGTGCTGGGATTACAGGCATGAGCCACCATGCCCTTCCTGATCATAGGCTTTTTAATGGCGGGAATGAAATTCATCTTTGTGGCCTTAGTTTTAACCATTTGACTATAGAAAAATACACATAATAGGGACTTGTTATGTTTTTGCTAAATAACTTAATTTAGCTAGTACTGGGAAAAGAATTATGGCCAACCTAATTTTATTGCAGATACAGATATTTCAGGGTTTACAAAAATCTCCTTTGCAATATAAACCCAATCACACAATGCTAGCGCTATCTAGGGTAACATACTTAAATACATGGAAAGATTTCATTTTGGGACATCAGTTGTTTTCTTTTAGTAGCCTGATGATCTTATTCTTTCCAAAGAAACTATAGAAATGGAGGGTGGGTGCGGTGGCTCACACCTGTAATCCCAGCACTTTGGGAAGCTGAGGCAGATGGATCACGAGGTCAGGAGTTCAAGACTAGCCTGGCTAACATGGTGAAAGCCCATCTCTACTAAAAACACAAAAAATCGCTGGGCATGGTGGCAGGCACCTGTAATCCCAGCTACTTGGGAGACTGAGGCAGGAGAATCGTTTGAACCCGCGAGGCATAGATTGCAGTGAGCCAGGATCGCGCCATTGCACTCCAACCTGGGCAACAGGGCGATACTCCAACTCAAAAAAAAGAAAAGAAACAAGAGAAGGAAATGATAGAAATGACTACTTCCCTATCAATCTTTATAGTTACAGGGCTAAACACCATTAAAAAATCATCTTCTTGAAATATAAAATCAACAATGCCTGTCCCGAGAATCATAGTAAAGAAAATGAATTTTTTTTTTTTTTTTTTTTTGAGATGGAGTTTCACTCTTGTCTCCCAGACTGGAGTGCAATGGCGCGATCTCGGCTCACTGCAACCTCCGCCTCCCGGGTTCAAGCAATTCTCCTGCCTTAGCCTCCTGAGTAGCTGGGATTACAGGTGCCCGCCACCAAGCCCAGCTAATTTTTGTATTTTTAGTAGATACGCGGTTTCACCATGTTGGCCAGGCTGGTCTCAAACTCCTGACCTCAGGTGATCCGCCCGCCTCAGCCTCCCAAACTGCTGGGATTACAGGCGTGAGCCACGGCGCCTGACCATGATGCATTTCTTAAACATAGTTTTAACGATTCTGGGATGGGCACTGCTTAGCATGAAAAAGAAATGACCAATGCCTGCTGGTGGTTTATGATCTTCCTTAGAGTTATTTGGAGGTGTAAGAATAACAAATATTGAGCATTTAAAAAATATTTCTAAGACCTGTAAAACACTCATCTTTGACGTTCCCATTGCTTGCAACTAGATCATTTCTAAAAACTTTTAATAGAAAATCTTCCCCAATCTACTATTGAGTTTTTAAAACATGTTTTGAGGCCGGTGGCGGTGGCTCACGCCTGTAATCCCGGCACTTTGGGAGGTCAAGACAGGTGGATCACAAGGTCAGGAGATGGAGACCATCCTGGCTAACATGGTGAAACCCAGTCTCACTAAAAATACAAAAAATTAGCCGGACGTGGTAGCTGGCGCCTGTAGTCCCAGCTACTTGGAAGGCTGAGGCAGGAGAATGGCGTGAACCCGGGAGGCGGAGCTTGCTGTGAGCTGTGATGGCGCCACTGCACTGCAGCCTGGGCGACAATGCGAGACTCCATCTCAAAACAAACAAACAAAAAAAAAACATGTTTTGAAACTATGTAAAACATATATATAAGTTTTATGTAAATAAATATAAATGTTATATATGTATATATGTCATATATATATATAATTTTTTTTTTAGTATTCTGGTTTCTAAAAAACATTATTTTCATCCCAGTGTTTGCAACATGAAAAGGATATTTAATGCACTCCATAATAATACAATAGCTGGTATTTACTGAGTATTATCATGTGCCAACTACTATCTTTTTTTATTTATTTTTTTGAGATGGAGTCTCACTCCGTCACCCAGGCTGGAGTGCAGTGGCACGATCTCGGGTCACTGCAACCTCCACCTCCCGGGTTCAAGCGATTCTCCTGTCTCAACCTCCTGAGTAGGTGGGATAACAGGCGCGTGCCACCACGCCCGGCTAATTTTTCTGTTTTTAGTAGAGACAGGGTTTCACCATGTTGGTCAGGCTTGTCTCCAACTCCTGACCTGGTGAGTCACCCACCTTGGCCTCCCAAAGTGCTGGAATTACAGGCGCGAGCCAGCCAACCACTATCTTATTGAGTTTGTGCAACAACCCATTATACATATGCACTGTATAGTATAAATGAGGACACAAAAGTTAGGACAGGTTAAGTGGATAAAAATGTTTTAAAATTGGACTTCCGTGATTGCACAATTTCTTAAGTTTAGTAAAAAAAATTCTATACTTGAATGAATTTTATGGTATGTAAATTATATGTCGATAAAGCTGTTAAAAATTACACACCAGAGAGAAAGAAAGAAGTGGGGCATCAAGTGACAGGCTTACTGTCATCTAGGAAATGTTCGGTCAACCAGAACTCAAGCATAGCTGGTCTAACTCTGGACCCACGCACAGCTGTTGCTCCAGAGAAAGGAGCTACGCGGAAGTAAAAAGATTCCATGAGGGAAACGAGGATCAGACTTTACTCAGCTGTCTCCTGCTTAGATGTTTATTTCTTCCTGTCTGTATAATTCTTTAACTCCACATCCCGGCTATACATTGTTACATAAACATGTGCAACCAATATTTTATATATTTCCATTTACAGATCAATTAAATATATAAGAATATATGGAAGTATACCTTTAAAAAGTAAATAAACTGTCAATATAAACTCTTATTACACCATTGTTCTTTGCGGAAATTGATTTCTTCCCTTCTTTGAGCGCACACAGTTTAGCATTTATTACTTCTCTAAAATCACAGAAGCAAAGCTACAGCTGTGAACCCGCTTCATTTCTTTCATTTTGCCGTTTCATCCAATCTATCCTAACCAAGTAAATCCAAATACTAAGGACTGCCACCACATGGCATTTAAAAATATTTTAGACTTCTTCCTCTCAACTGCTGGGACTATTCACATTCTGAGCGGGCCTGGAAGTTCTGTATAATTGCCCAAACGGGCATAAATGGCTGGCAAGGAAATGAACCCCAAAGAGCTCACCTACTTCACTGTAAGAACTAAACTTGCTTTTATGTCTACAATAGTGTCCTGAGTTCAAGAAGCAATTTCATTCCCTAACCTAACATGGAATGCTAGTGTCATCCTTTCATGGACAGGAATCAGCCACCCTGATGACACATACATGCTCTCTATACAAGTCCTAAGGCAGAAGTACTCAAAGCCTCAGATCCTTCTGCCTTAACTTCTTTGATCTTGCTAGAACCTGCACTGCAAAAAGAATTACGTTCCTTTTTCTGTTGTTTTTTGTTTGTTTGTTTCTTTGTTTGGAGACAGGGTCTCACTCTGTCGCCCACACTGGAGTGCACTGGCACAATCATGGCTCATTGCAGCCTCGACCTCCCAGGCCCAAGTGATCTTCCCACCTCAGCCTCCCGAGTAGCTGGGAATACAGGCATATGACATCACTCCCAACTAATTTTTAAATTTTTTGTAGAGAGGGGCATCCCCCTATGTTGCCCAGGCTAGTCTTGAACCCCTGGGCTCAAGTGATCCTCCTGCCTCAGGCTCCAAATTGCTGGGATTATAGGCATGAGCCACCACGCCCAGCCCTGTTTTTTCCCTTCTCCAAGCCAAGTGTGAAGTCAACACAGTAAACTGAAAATCAAGGCCAAGTATGGTGGCTCACACTTGTAATCCCAATACTTTGGAGTTTGAAGTAAAAGAATGGCTGGAGCTTAGGAATTCGAGACCAGCCTGGGCAACATAGTGAGACCTCATCTCTACTAAAAGTACAAAAACATTAGCCAGGCATAGTGGCACATGCCTGTAGTCCCAGCTACTCGAGAGGCTGAGATGGGAGGATCACTTGAGCCTGGGAAGTTGAGGCTGTAGTGAGCGGTGATTGCACCACTGCACTCCAACCTGGAAGACAGAGTGAAACTCTGTCTCAAAAAAAAAAAAAAAAGGAAAAGAAAATCAATATATAGATGTGATTGATTTCTACAGCTCTAATTTACTGCATGAGTATTATGGCCCAGGCTATAACAAGATGCTTTGTACATACATTGCTCACATTATAGGATCCTTGTAAGACCGGGCGCAGTGGCTCATGCCTGTAATCCCAGCACTTTGGGAGGCCGAGGCAGGCAGATCACGTGAGGTCAGGAGTTTGAGACCAGCCTGACCAACATGGAGAAACCTTGTCTCTACTAAAAATACAAGAAAAAAAAAAAATTAGCCAGGCATGGTTGCACATGCCTGTAATCCCAGCTACTCGGGAGGCTGAGGCAGGAAATCACTTCAACCTGGGAGGCAGAAGTTGCAGTGAGCCAAGATTGTGCCATTGCACTCCAGCCTGGGCAGCAAGAGTGAAACTCCATCTCAAAAAAAAAAAAAAAAGAACTTCCCCCATTTCTCCATTTTCTCCTTTGCCCTGACATTTTTTCTTCCATGTTCACACCAGTACCCAATGTCCCAGGCATATGGACTTCATTGTTTCATGAATAGAGTCAACACATTTTAACTGCCACACATTTACTCAAACCATCTGGCCACCTGGAATTTCCTACCATCCCCCATAAAATTTAAATTAAAAAATTTCCAGTGTTCTGTCCTCCGTGAAGATGTCCCTGAACCTTTATTGAAACTCATTGACGTATCCTGTGATTCCCACAGCCTTTATTGTATATGTCATAATTTAGCATTTGTGATTCCCACAGCCTTTATTGTATATGTCATAATTTAGCATTTACATTATCCTACCTTACATTTTAGTAAGTTAATGACCTGTCTCTCTCCACTGTTAAAATAGTGTCAGGATTTTTTCATTTTTGTATTCCCTACTGGTCCACAGAGTGCTATGAACATATCATTTGCTAAGTTAATTTTAAATTGACTTAAACTTACTGGTGAATTCACTGATCAACTGTTCTTTTCAAGTATTTCTTTTAGAAATGTCCTTGCTTTGATAAATTTTATGTTCTAAAAAAGTTAATTTGATTTTTAGAATCACATCTTTCAAAAGAAACAAAAACTCCCACACGATTCTAAGGCTGGTTATGGGTAACATTAAAAATGACACACTAGGCCTGGGGCAGTGGCTCACACCTGTAACCCTAGCACTTTGGGAGGCTGAGGCGGATGGATCACAAGGTCAGGAGTTCAAGACCAGCCTGGCCAAGATGGTGAAACCCCGTCTCTACTAAAAATACAAAAAAATTAGCCGGGCACGGTGGCGGGCGCCTGTAATTCCAGCTACTCAGGAGGCTGGGACGGAGAATTGCTTGAACCCGGGAGGCGGAGGTTGCAGTGAGCTGAGATGGCACCACTGCACTCCAGCCTGGGCGGCAAAGCGAGACTCCGTCTCCAAAAAAAAAAAAAAAATTAGGCCGGGCGCTGTGGCTCTCACGCCCGTAATCCCTGCACTTTGGGAGGCCAAGGTGGGCAGATCACAAGGTCAGGAGATCGAGACCATCTTGGCCAACATGATGAAACCCCATCTCTACTAAAATACAAAAAATTAGCCGGGCATGGTGGTGCATGCCTGTAATCCCAGCTACTTGGGAGGCTGAGGCAGGGGAATCGCTTGATCCCGGGAGGCAGAGGTTGCAGTTAGCTGAGATCGCGCCACTGTACTCCAGCCTGGTGACAGAGTGAGATTCTGTCTCAAAAAAAAAAAAAAAAAAAAAAAAAAATCCCATGAAAGCCAGAGGCACAAAAGATCTCAGATAATAGTATGACTAAAAGCACAGGAAATTATATACAATGCACAATTTTAATGTCAATATTGTCATTTTTTCCTAGGTTAGGAGACAATATAACCACAATTATAAACTTGTTCTTTTTTTTTTTTTTTTTTTTTGAGATGGAGTCTCGCCCTGTCACCCAGGCTGGAGTGCAGTGGTGCAATCTCGTCTCACTGCAACCTCCACCTCCTGGGTTCAATCAATTCTCCTGCCGCAGCCTCCCAAGTAGCTGGGACTACAGGCACCTGCCACCACGCCTGGCTAATTTTTTTTTTTTTTTTTTTTTTTTTTTGGATTTTTAGTAGAGACGGGGTTTCACCATGTTAGCCAGGATGGTTTCAACCTCCTGACCTCGTGATCCGCCCGCCTTGGCCTCCCAAAGTGCTGGGATTACAGTTGTGAGCCACCGCACCTCGCCAAACTTGTTCTTTTCGTCTCTACTCTTGTTGACCTTATACATAGCATATTATGCCATTAAAACAACAAAAGGAAGGAGAAAATGGTATATTGAAATCCAGCATTTTCTTCCAATTCCTTACTGTGAATTTTTAATTAAAATCAAATTATTTAATCACTAGGAAAGACTCTGAGTGTGCAGGTGTTCCTTTCAGCTGATATAAACATTGAGAAGATCAAAGCTTGCCCTAAATGATCTGTCTTACCAGGTCTTGACTGAATCTGAGAAAAAAATCCTGTAGTTTCTCTTTATTTTGGATAAACCTTTGATCTTTTAAAAATATTGGCACATCTGGCTAAGAAAATGGCAGAAAAGACAAAAAGACATGCACAAAATAGTTAACCACTACTTGCATTGTAAAATGGGTTTAAGCTTAAGGTTTTGGCAAGTGTTTGAGACAAATATGAATTAAGTTCATTTTCTGTGGAGACAAGTAAGTCTCTAGGCATTTAGTTTTGGTTAAAGTAAATACTTAAATCTATTTAAAATTTTAAAGACCTTAGTAATGTAAACAAATGGTGCTGAGTTTGGACTTCTCTACAAAATCTATGTGGAATCTTAGGAAAGGAAGAATGAAAGGATACAATAGAGACAATTATTTAAATGGTAGTTCAGCCTAAATCCTAAGCATAAGCATTCTTTTTTCTTTTCTTTTTTTTCTGAGACAGAGTCTCGCTCTGTGCCCCAGGCTGGAGTGCAGTAGCGCCATATTGACTCACTGCAACCCCTGCCTCCTGGGTTCAAGCTATTCTCCTGCCTCAGCCTCCCGAGTATCTGGGATCACAGGTTGGCACCAGCCAGGCCCGGCTCGTTTTTTGTATTTTTAATAGAAACGGGGTTTCACCATGTTGTCCAGGCTGGTCTCGAACTTCTGACCTCATGTGATCCACCCGCCTCTGCCTCCCAAAATGCTGGGATTACAGGCATGAGCCACCATGCCTGGCCAATATGTTGCTTTTTAAAAATGAGTTATTAGCATTAATTTTCTTCTGTTGCTACTGAACATTTCTCTTTTCACTTAATTTACTCCGAATCCCGTGCCACTTTTGCATTCAAGGCTAAAGTTTGGATTGAAGGAAAGGATAGCAAGTCAATTCACAATCTGATTTTTTCAATACAGAGAGTGTACATGTTTACTAAAAGGAGTAGCCCTTAATTCTTTTTAAAAAGCCCAAAAGCTGCTGGGCGTGGTGGTTCACGCCTGTAATCCCAGCAATTTGGAAGGTCGAGGCGGGTGGATCACGGGGTCAGGAGATCGAGACCATCCTGGCTAACACGGTGAAACCCTGTCTCTACTAAAAATACAAAAAAACTTAGCTGGCGTGGTGGCGGGTGCCTGTAGTCCCAGCTCTTCGGGAGGCTGAGGCAGGAGAATGGCGTGAACCCAGGAGGCGGAGCTTGCAGTGAACTGAGATCGCGCCACTGCACTCCAGCCTGGGCGACAGAGCGAGCCTCCATCTAAAAAGAAAAAAAAAAAAAAGCCGAAAAGCAAACAAGATAATTAACAATTTGTATATGAACAAATGTCTTACAATATTTTAAACATCTAGAGAACACTGATACCATCTTCAGTTATTGGCAATGGCATATTATGAATTAACTTTTACAAAGAGATAGACTTTTACAAAGAGCTGACTTTTTTTGTTTTGTTTTGTTTTTGAGGCGGAGTCTCGCTCTGTCACCCAGGCTGGAGTGCGATGGTGCCATCTCGGCTCACTGCAAGCTCCGCCTCCCGGGTTCACGCCATTCTCCTGCCTCAGCCTCCGAAGTAGCTGGGACTACAGGCGCCTGCCACCATGCCCGGCTAATTTTTTTTTGTATTTTTTTAGTAGAGACGGGGTTTCACCGTGTTAGCCAGGATGGTCTCGATTTCCTGACCTCTTGATCCGCCCGCCTCGGCCTCCCAAAATGCTGGGATTACAGGCGTGAGCCACCGCGTCTGGCCTTTTTTTTTTGAGATGGAGTCTCGCTCTGTCTCCAGGCTGGAGGGCAGTAGCGCGATCTCGGCTCACCGCAACTTCCAACTCCCTGGTTCAGGCAATTCTCCTCCTTCAGCCTCCTGAGTAGCTGGGATTACAGGCGTGCACCACCACGCCCAGCTAGTTTTTGTATTTTTAGGAGAGACGGGGTTTCACCATGTTGGCCAGGATGGTCTTGATCTTACTCCAGCTCCTGCTGGAGTAAGAGTGTCTATCTGCTTTTGTTTTAACAACATTATAGATCATTTAGGCTTGTCTTGAAAGTTTTATTTTTATGCCCTTTAACTAAGTCAAATTTATATTTCTGGAATGTTGTTCACTAATTCTAAAGCACTATCAATTTTCAAAAGTGTTTTTGACGTGTCCTCTTGTTTTAGAAAAGTGTCTAGGGGAAAGCTAAAAACAAAAAACAAAAAACATACTGGAATGGATATTTTTATTACTTATTACCATTAATCATTTCAAAGTCTGGTCTATGGTTTCAGTTGCTCCACTCCTTTTTCAAATGAGTAATACGTGAAGCATCCTAAGGGCCCTCATTTGCTTCCTATGTCAATTAAAAGAAAGCATTTTATTGTCCTAATTAATTGCGTGATAAAATTAATTTTAGAATATATTAAAATGCATCATAATTGTGTTTCTTCAGTAAATGTCTTATTAATAGGAAATGAACTTCAATACTGAGTAGATTGTGAACCTGTCAGTTGTTTGCCTGCCTTGAGTTTTGAAAAGTTGAATGTTTTTATTTCCTAGTAGTTCTTTTTAAAATAGCTAGACTTCTTTCCACAATTATTTTACTGGGAACATTATATTTTATTTTAGAAGCCATTGAGGGTGGAGGGAAACTTCTCCTCTAAAGGGATGTTTCTTAAAATGTGGTACCTTATATAAAGTGGAAATGAAGAAAGATGATGATTTAATGTACATGTGGGGGGTAAAGCATGAGAGAAAGAGGCTGGATCAGTTTCCTTTATATATCTTGCTTAAATGCTATTCAGTGATGGCCCTCTATTAACTGGATTATGGCCATAGACCTCTAAATTGCATTCCTACTGCCAGTCTTGTTCCGAACACGGCCCATCTACCTCACACACTGCTGCCAAGTTAAGTCTCTGTATTACAAAAACAATTATATCCCCCTGGTAGGTGGAAATCTGTTAGCTCCCAATGCTGATTGGACTAATTCCAGTTTTCCTAGTGAAACAAGTAAGGCCCTGGACAATGTATTCCTAACAGCCTCCCGCCTCATTGCCCTCTTCCAATCTGGCTTTCACCTTCATCACCCTACCCCAGGGTCACCAGTGACCTCCTTCTCATTTAATAGAATGAACACTTCTCCTTCCTCGAGCACTTTCTTCTGCTACTGACTTTATTGACACATTTTGTCTGATTTTTCTCCCACTCCCTTTAGATGTTTTTTCTCTGACTCCTGAAGGTTGAGCAAGAGTCCAGGATGAACTGACCCCAACTACAATTTATACAGAGGTGAGTGGGTGTTTTAAAGGGAGAATGAAGGAATTATGAGGGGAATGAGTGGGGCTCAGTGGAATTAGGGAAGTGAAAATTGTCAGTGAAAGTGAAATGTGACAGCCATCTGGGTTAACCAGCACTTATTGAAGTTAACTAGGCTCCTACTCTCCCACAGAGACTGGAAGACAGGGGCCCTATCTTCAGGTGTTGGCTAGAACAAACAATGGGTTATTTTTGCAGCCCTGAGTTTTCTTAGGCAGGCATTGTATCAAAGATTTATCCAACGCATGTGAACGTGAAAGACAGTTGAATGGAAATTTAGGAAGATTTATTTTATGTGTGTGCTTCTTTCTTTCTAAGCCAATTAGGACAGAAATTTAAAAAGTAATTTTATTACTATAAATTGATTGGTAATTCTATTCAGGCATTGTCACATAACATGATAACATATGGGAAGTAGTACTGTATCACATGGAATTATTATATATATAATATATGTGTATTATGTGTATATATATGTGTGTATTCTTGAACGGAAAGACAGATGCAAATAAAGATCTTATGGTTTTCATTTAAAAGATTATAGCATAGTTAAGGTTACCTACTGAATGTAAGGTTAGTGCGTTTTACCAGCATATTTGAAGGAGACTTTGAAGATTTTCTTTTGTCCTGATGTGTGATCTTATGGAGACAAGAGACTGAGGGGACATCAAGAAGCTGTTGGGATGTCTCCAGAGCTCACCTCAGTGGATAGAACATCCAGTTTGTTTCAAATCAGCCTTTTTCCTTTGAAGCCTCAGGTAGTTTTTTTGGGGGGATTCCTGAGTCCCTTGAGAGCCCCTGATAGGCCAGGGAAATTAAAGTTCCAGTGACTGGCAGGGTGTGAGGAGCTGGAGTAAGAAGTTACATTGCAAGTCGCTGTTCTAAGTGCTAATGGCATTAACCACTTAGTCCTCATATTCTTACAACCAAAATTTATTACTATCCCATTTTACAGATGAGGATAATGAGGTGAGATTTAACTGTAAATTACTAACATGAAAATACAGTCTTTAAAATTTCTAAAAATAATTTATTCTTTGAAATAGCAAACAACATTTTTACCTTTAAAACATATTTACAAATTTAATGTCATAAAAAGCATTCTAGTAAAACTCAGTAGACTATAATGTGAAAACATTGTGCTGTCTTCTTTATGGCCTAATAAGCTTAAAAAGGCCGGGCACAGTGGCTCACACCTGTAATACGAGCACTTTGGGAGGCCAAGGCAGGTGGAACATGAGGTCAGGAGATCGAGACCATTCTGGCTAACACGGTGAAACCCCATCTCTACTAAAAATACAAAAAAGTTAGCTGGGCATGGTGGCTGGCACCTGTAGTCCCAGCTACTCGGGAGGCTGAGGCAGGAGAATGGTGTGAACCCGGGAGGTGGAACTTGCAGTGAGCTGAGATCATGCCACTGCACTCCAGCCTGGGCGACAGAGCAAGACTCCATCTCAAAAAAAAAAAAAAAAAAAAAAAAAAGACTTAATACCTGCTCTTGAAGAGTACATTCCAACCTGGCTGTACTCAAACTTTTATTCAAAATGGATTTTAAGAAAGTGGATTTCTCCTTGTAGTAAATAAGCTTAATTTTGCTAGCCCAGATCAACTCTTGGACTATGTGAAAATGCAAGTGGCTAGTATTCGCATGGGTAGACTCAAGTTACCCTGAGTTGGCTGGCCTGAACCATGTCTATAACTCACACTTTCTCCTTGCCTGTCCTTTTGCACTGCAGCAGTATCTGAGTCGATCATCTTTCGGGGTACATGTTTCTGCCAGTTCGTTGGGCTTCTATAGAAGTCATTGTTCTGACAGCATCCCTTAACATACCCCACATGGAGACTCATGTTGGAACCACATAGGCTCAAAGAGCACTTCAAGAAAAAGAAAGTTCAGTCTGGAATGAGAATGGTGGTGGTGTGGGTAACCTAATTTCCTCTCTTCTGAGAAAAAAAAGAAAGAAATTCAACTTTATGGGTAGAATGTCTTTTCCCAAAGCAATTCCTAGATGTTAGACAAATTTTCGCAATAAAAAAGATGACTGAACACAGAAATACCATTTAGGACATAAAATGGAGGCCAAGGAAAATAATCCATTTAGTTTATTTTTAGAACCGTTATTAATTCCTAAGGGCCCAGTTAAGCAACATTTTTATAACAATACAATTTAAAGGCTATTGCACAATATTACATTTTGGACTGACAGGGTAGTAAGTGCTTGCTTTTACTGAATGTTTCATACAATAATTTTCTTAAACTTCAGTGTTATGCTATATATTAGTTTATTTTTTAGTGTCAAAACCCTTCATTAACAAAGAGTTTTTAATAGAGGTATAATGTTGAGAAATCAATATTAATATAATAAACAGATTCTGAAAAGGTAATATTCACCGTGTAAATTTGCTGTTTATTAAAAAATTCACTTACATGAAGTCAATTCAATTTGGAAAATGTATCCATTGACTGCTCTCTACTAGGAATAAGCTAAATATTGTAATAAATTTAAAAAAAAAACCAATGCCTGCCCTCAAGGATACCACGACTGTCTCTGAAATCACAGAACCGGGGATGGAGGGGTAGTCACTGGGAACAGCGTTCTATGCTTACAGCGTTAAGTAAATGCGGGACGTGAAGCAGATGATACGGGCTTTGATTTTCTCATCTGTGAAACAAGAAAATTAAATTTAATTTAGAAACGGTGAAGGTATTTTCTCAAAAGTGTGTATATTTTTGCTTCCCTTTCTATAATTCGCATTCTATTCTACCCTAAATTTTATTAATAAGCAAGAATTCTAATCAGACATTAGTAATCCCCTGATATAAATGTATGTGCACAGCTGGTACCACACTATCACAACATGATGACTTTAGACGGTGCCAAAAGTGCCATTTACATGGAGGCCATGTATGCTCAAAAGGTTTTCAAAAATTACATTTATTGATGTGTTCACATTACTGTGCTGTTTTGGAAAATAGCCAAGAACCCATCTGCTGAACGTTTTAGACCTTTGGTGTGGAGGTATCTTACTTGTATTCCAACTTAACCACATACCAAGACCTAACAAATCGTTTATTAGAACAACACTAAGACATCCAAACCAATAAATTAACAGGTGGTGCCTAAAAATTATGAGATTTTTGTTTCATTTTATCAGTTAGTTCAAGTAATTTTAGTTTTCCAGATATGCTAGGTATTGAATCACCTCAGAGAAGAGTTTGAACAAAACAGATATTGTAAAACTTGGTTTTTATTGCTAAACATTGGAAGTCTGAAGATTGGAAATTTGACCTAATATTAGCCTCAGATGGAAACAAATTCAAAGCAGAGCCTGGAGATGGGCGGCGTCCAGGATGTCATCACCTGCACTTCTAAGGGCTGCTGTGAAATGAGGAAAATCACCTCCTGATCTCAGCACCAGGCCTGAGCATGCAAAGTCCCAGGGATGCCTAGGTTCTGTATTTACCATTTCAACAAATTTCCTCCTATCACTGATTCTGAAAACACTTTCAAAAAACACACAAATATGTGCTTTCATATATTAACAGACGATAAAAGAAAAGAGGGTGGTTAAGAGCTACATGGAACCATGCTTGAAGCCCATTTCCACTTACTTGCTCTCTGACACATACTTGATCTTTCTGAGATTTCATTTCCAAATTGATAAAATAGAGCTTTGTGTAGTGGCAGCTTCTGACATGAAGCAAGGCTCTCAGAAAGTGTTGCCTCCCCCTTTCCTTCCTATGCCGCCTCTTGCTTCTACATTGAAAAGCAGTCTGGTGCCCTCTTCTAATGAGACTGAAGCAAAAGGAATAATGGATTAGCACCTCCAACTAGAGACTAATCAGAAGGTCCATACTGAAAGAAGTCCTGACCACAAAAGTGGACTACCATGAAAGCCTTCAAAGTTGTATACATGAGGAACCATGTCTTGGACAAGAGCACACATCAGTATACCTGTATTAAATATGTGGTGTAGAGGATAGACCCTTCCTATTTCAATGAAATTAGAGATCATTTGATAGATCACAAAATTTTAGGTGGTTTTTTTTTTTCATTTTTTGTTTTTTTTTTTAGATGAAGTCTTGCTCTGTCGCCCAGACTGGAGTGCAATGGCACGATCTGAGCTCACTGCAACCACTGCCTCCCGGGTTCAAACGATTCTCCTGCGTCAGCCTCCTGAGTAGCTGGGATTACAGGCACATGCCATCACACCCAGCTAATTTTTGTATTTTTAGTAGAGTCAGAGTTTCACCATATTGGTCTGGCTGGTTACAAACTCCTGACCTCGTGATCCACCCACCTCAGCCTCCCAAAGTGCTGGGATTACAGGCATGAGCCACTGCGCCCAGTCATTTTAGTGGTTTTGTTTTGTTTTTTTAATTTACTTGTATAAACTTGCCAGGTATGGCTTTGATTGGTTTCAGGGCCTGGTGAGGGTGTCAGGGGTATGGGGAGAAGATTCAAAAAAGGGAAGATCTTGACTCTGTGTAGCTCCTTCACAGTGAAAAGCAGCAATTTTCAGCAAATTGTTTAATTTATGAGGATCAAAATATGTTTTAGAAAATGAAAATGAGGAATAGCAATTTTGGATTCCAAGGTTTATGGTGTATTTTTAAGGTGGTTACCAATCAAGCTAATGTGACCGGTTGCAAATGGTGACGTGGTTAGAATTAATAAATTGGTGCCCTAGAGTAGGGTTTAAGAGTGAGTGGTCCCTGCTGCAGACTGGTTAATTTTAGATCCCAGTGATCCTTACAGAGGAAAGGAGCTCAGATATCTATTATAAATAGCATCAGAAATTCTATTTCTAGATTGTTAACTAAATGAGTTTCTCTTTAACAAGAGAATACTTGTATTCAATTGGTACTGAGTATCCAAGACAAGTTGATACGTATTAAATTACAATGATGGCTGGGGGCGATGGCTCATGCCTGTAATCCCAGCGTGCCCAAAATTGGTGGGTTCATGGTCTCACCGACTTCAGGAATGAAGCTGCAGACCCTCATGGTGAGTGTTACAGCTCTTAAGGTGGCGCATCTGTAGTTGTTCATTTCTCCCGGTGGGTTCGTGGTCTCGCTGGCCTCAGGAGTGAAGCTGCAGAACTTCACAGTCAGTGTTACAGCTCATTAAAGCAGTGTGGACCCAAGGAGTGAGCAGCAGCAAGATTTATTGAAAATAGCAAAAGAAAAAAGCCTCTGCAGCATGGAAGGGGAACCTAGAGAGTTGCCACTACGGGATCCAGCAGCCTGCTTTTATTCCCTTACCACGCCACACCCACATCCTGCTGATTGGTCCATTTTACAGAGAGCTGATTGGTCCATTTTACAGAGAGCTGACTGGTCTGTTTTGACACGGCACTGATTGGTGCGTTTACAATCCCTGAGCTAGACACAGAGTGCTGATTAGTGCTGATTGGTGTATTTACAATCCTCTAGCTAGACCTAAAAGTTCTTCAAGTCTCCACTAGATTAGCTAGACACAGAGGATTGATTGGTGCATTTACAAACCTTGAACTAGACACAGGGTGCTGATTGGTGCGTTTACAAACCTTGAGCTAGACACAGAGTACTGATTGGTGCATTTACAATCCTTTAGCTAGACATAAAAGTTCTCCAAGTCCCCACCAGATTAGCTAGATACAGAGTGCTGATTGGCATTTACAAATCTGGAGCTAGACACAGGGTGCTGATTGGCATTTACAAATCTTGAGCTAGACACAGAGTGCTGATTGGTGCATTTACAATCCTCTAGCTAGATATGAAAGTTCTGCAAGTCCCCACTAGATTAGCTAGACACAGAGCACTGATTGGTGCATTTACAAACCTTGAGCTAGACACAGGGTGTTGATTGGTGTGTTTACAAACCTTGAGCTAGACACAGAGTACTGATTGGTGTATTTACAATCCCTTAGCTAGGCATAAAGGTTCTCCAAGTCCCCACCAGATTAGCTAGATACAGAGCACTGATTGGTGCATTTACAAACCTTGAGCTAGACACGGTGCTCATTGGTGTATATACAATCCTCCAGCTAGACATAAAAGTTCTCCAAGTCCCCAGTAGACTCAGGGACCCAGCTAGCATCACTTAGTGTATCCTGCACAGGGGCTGCAGGTGGAGCTGCCCGCCAGTCCCGCACCATGCGTCTGCACTCCTCAGCCCTTGGGTGGTTGATGGGACCGGGTGCTGCAGAGCAGGGGGTGGCTCTCGTCAGGGAGGCTCGGGCCCCACAGGAGCCCACAGCTCGGGGGGAGGCTTAGGCATGGCAGGCTGCAGGTCCCAAGCCCTGCCCCCGGGGAGGCAGCTGAGGCCCAGCGAGAATTTGAGCACAGTGCCGTCGGGCTGGCACTGCTGGGGGTCCGGGTGCACCCTCCACAGCTGCTGGCCCAGGTGCTAAGCCCCTCACTGCCCAGGGCCAGGGGTGCCGGCCAGCCAATCCGAGTGTGGGGCCCACGGAGCCCACACCCACCTGGAACTCGCGCTGGCTCGCGATTGCCACGTGCAGCCCCAGTTCCTGCCCACGCCTCTCCTTCCACACCTCCCGCAAGCAGAGGGAGCCAGCTCCGGCCTCAGCCAGCCCAGAGCGGGGCTCCCACAGTGTGGCGGTGGGCTGAAGGGCTCCTCAAGCACAGCCAGAGTGGGCGCCGAGGCCGAGGAGGCGCCGAGAGTGAGCGAGGGCTGCCAGCATGCTGTCACCTCTCACCAGCACTTTGGGAGGCCGAGGCAGGTCGATCACATGAGGCCAGGAGTTGGAGACCAGCCTGGCTAACATGGTGAAACCTCATATCTCCTAAAAATATAAAAATTAGTTGGGTGTGGTGGGGTGCACCTGTAGTCTTAGCTACTAGGGAGGCTGAAGCATGAGAATTGCTTGAACCCAGGAGACAGAGCTAGGCTCTGTCTCAAAAAGACAAACAAACAAAAAAACAAAACTAATGATGATGAAACAGTGTGATGACCATATTGGTATTGGTGACAATATTATTGAAAAAAGTTTTAAAAATAAAACCTTAAGGCATATGATCCCTTGTAATAATAAAAATAGAATTTAATCAGCAATAGAATTTTCCAAATCGTAAGAGAAAATTGTGTGATGTATTGGCAGGAGAAAAGTTTAGTGCAGGACAGCAGGTGTTATGTGTAAGGAAGACTGAGATAAATTAAGTTTTCAGAGTTTTTATAGTTGTGTAATATTCAGATTTACCCATGCTTTAGAGCACAGAGCAAATCCCTTCTTTTCCTGTCCATGACTTATGAACTTCTTCCTATTCTTCTAGTGCATTGAAAAAGGTCTCAGTTATAGTATTTTGCACAATCTAGTTAGTAATCCCACCTAAAAATTTATGACAGTCTTTTCCCTCTAGAGCGAAGGTATCCAGTAGAAATATAATGTGAGTGATTATGTCATTTAAAATTTTCTAGTAGCCATATTTGAAAAGGTAAAAAATGTAGGGATATCAAGTTTAGTAATATTTTAATTTTATCTAAAATATAATTATTTCAACATATAACCAATATAAAATTATGAATGAAATATTACATATTTTTCATACTAAGTCTTTGAAATCCATTGTGCATTGTATAGTTCAGGTACATCTCAGCTTGGACTAACCACATATCAAGTGTTCAATAGCTACACATAGGTAAGTGGCTACTGGTTTGAACAGAAACGCTCTAGAACTTATTTCTCTACAATGTACCTTATTATTTTTATAATCTTCTGTAATACCATGAGTAACATTTGGCACATAAGAGATACTCAGTATAAAAAATATGTTGAATTAAACTTATCTTTAGTTATTTGAAGGCAATGAGGTCAGTGAGAATCTATGAGTAGCTTTAACCCTGCAGAGAAGTTCTTGTCTCAAACAGGAGCACTGATCTGGGCCAAAATCATCCTGTCCAATGACACTTCTAGAAGCACATGAAAACAAAAGCATGCTAGTGAGAGTTAAATGGGCCCAGTAATGATTGCTGGACATTTGATTGACAGCCCAGTGGATTCTGCTTTGACTCCAGCCCTGAGTGTGAACCATCTCTTCCAGGACGCTGACCTGAGTTTCCTGGCCATGAGGCACACCTCTTTCACTGCACGTGGTACCTGGACACCAAGTAACCTTCCCTTTCTTTTGAGGTAGCATTGACTCTTGGACTCTGGGTTTAGAATTCTTTGAAACTGGACCAGGAGAGGCAAGGACACTAAATAGCATCCTTTATCCCTTAATCCTTAAGTAATCACCAGAAAAGCTGAACAGAAAAGCACTGGTGTAGGCCAGTTCTTTGAAAGGGGAGCTCCTCAACCCTTTTCTGAAGGCAGTGTGATAATATATCCTCAAGAGCTGAGGTCTTTAAGCCAAGGCATCTAAAAGCAAGGATGAGTTACTAGACTGATCAGGAACTGTAAATCCACTTTCAGTCCTCCAATTTATAGACCCTCTTCTGTGACCCAACAGACTTGTCTAAATTCCCCGATAAAAACTTGATAGTTTGCCAACAAACGACTATTTTGTAGGCCAGTTAAGTCTTAACAGATAAACATGCCTTTAAATACGTTTTGTAAATTCCCCCCATATTACACAGCTATTAGTTTCTTTGAAGATACAAGATAAAGACATAATATTCTGCCTATAGTAAAAATAAATAAATAGCATATGTGTCCTGTTAGCCTCATCAGTAACTTTAACTAGACAAAGAAGGTCTTGTCCCAAACAGAAACACTTTTCCAAACCAAAATTATCCAGTGTTCTGAGATTCATCTCAGTTATGTATTTGTTTTTTGTTTATTTCCGTAGAGACTAGGCTTTATTTTTTTTCTGTTTAAATTCCAGTGCCATCACTTGCCAAATTTATGTCTCTGAGATTTTCACACTTAAAAATATCTACCCTCTTTTAAATACATCCTCACTGAAATGTCAGTTTTCTAATTTCATAGTAGCTTTTGTTAGTTTGTTCTGTATTTCTTTGTTTGCATTTTATTCTATTTATATATATTTTTTATATATTTATATGTATATATTTTATTTTACTTTAAGTTCTGGGATATATGTGCAGAATGTGCAGGTTTGTTCCATAGATATGTATGTGCCATGGTGGTTTGCTGCATCTATCAACCCATCATATAAATTTTAAGCTCCACAGGCATTAGGTATTTGTCCTAATTCTCTCCTTACCCTTGCCCCACAACCCTCAACAGGCCCCAGTGTGTGATGTTTCCCTCCCTGTGTCCATGTGTTCTCATTCTTCAACTCCCACTTATGAGTGAGAACATGTGTTGTTTGGTTTTCTGTTCCTGTGTTAGTTTGCTGAGAATGATGGCTTCTAGCTTCATTTATGTCCCTGCAAAGGACATTAACTCATTCTTTTTTATGGCTGCATAGTATTCCATGGTGTATATGTGCCACATTTTCTTTTTTTTTAACTTTGTTTTTGAGATGGAGTCTTGCTCTGTCGACCAGGCTGCAGTGCAGTGGAACAATCTCGGCTCACTGCAAGCTCTGACTCCCGGGTTCATGCCATTCTCCTGCCTCAGCCTCCCAAGTAGCTGAGACTACAGGTGCCCATGACCACTCCTGGCTAATTTTTTGTACTTTTAGTAGAGACGGGGTTTCACTGTGTTAGCCAGGATGGTCTCGATCTCCTGACTTCGTGATCCGCCTGCTTCAGCCTCCCAAAGTGCTGGGATTACAGGCGTGAGCCACCACACCCGGCCTATATGTGCCACATTTTCTTTATGCAGTCTATCATTTATGGGCACTTGGGTTGGTTCCAAGTCTTGGTGTTGTAAACAGTCCTGCAATAAACATATGTGTGCATGTGTCTTTATAGTAGAATAACTCGTCCTCTGGGTATATATCCAGTAATGGGATTGCTGGGTCAAATGGTATTTCTGGTTCTAGTTCTTTGAAGAATTGCCACACTGTCTTCCATGATGGTTGAACTAATTTACACTCCCACCAACAGTGTAAAAGCGTTCCTATTTCTCCACAGCCTCATCAGTATCTGTTATTTCCTACTTTTTAATAATAATCGCCATTCTAAGTGAGATGGTATCTCACTGTGGTTTTGATTTGCATTTGTCTAGTGACGAGTGATGATGAGCTTTTTTTTTCATAGGCTTGTTGACCACATAAATGTCTTCTTTTGAGAAGTGTCTGTTCATATCCTTTGCCCACTTTTTGATGGGGTTATTTGTTTTTTATTGTAAATTTGTTTAAGTTCCTTATAGATTCTGGATATTAAAACTTTGTCACATGGATAGATTGCAAAAATTTTCTCCCATTCTGTAGATCACCTGTTCACTCTGATGATATGCAGAAAGCAGAAAATGGACCCCCTCCTTACACCTTACACAAAAATTAACTCAAGGTGGATTAAAGACTTAAACGTAAAACCTGGCCAGGTGCAGTGGCTCACACCTGTAATCCCAGCACTTTGGGAGGCCGAGGTGGTGGGGAGTTTGAGACCAGCCTAACCAACATGGTGAAACCCCATCTCTACTAAAGTAGCTGGGCATGGTGGTGTGCACCTGTAATCCCAGCTACTCAGGAGGCTGAGGCAGGAGAATCTCTTGAACCGGGGAGACAGAGGTTGCAGTGAGCCGAGATCGTGCCACTGCACTCCAGCCTGGCGACAGAGCAAGACTCCATCTCAAAAATAAATAAATAAATAAATAAATAAGTAAATGGAAAACCAAAAACCATCAAAACCCTAGAAGAAAACCTAGGCAACATCATTCAGAACATCGGCATCGACAAAGACTTCATGACTAAAACACCAAAAGCAATTGCAAGAAAAGCCAAAATTGACAAATGGTATCTAGTTAAACTACAGAGCTTCTGCACAGCAAAAAAAACTATCTTTGTTTGGATTTTAAATATCTTAGAATCACGGTCTGTGGGAATCTTAGAAGTTCTAAGGTACAATTTCCTGATTTTATATTAGAAGATATGATGACACATTTAATTACCCATTTTGTGCAAGTTCATGAAGCTCAAGTTCATAATCAAGACTGGAGCTGACTTCCCTGTTCTGTCAGTATCAAAGCTAAAGACTGGAACTGACTCCCCTTGTTTCTCAGTATCATGGCCGGAGAATCACTTGAGCCCAGTGTGTAAGATATACATGATCTGGAGCCCGGTATCTCTGACTTCGTGCATAATACCTTGCCCTGCTCACACTACTTAAGTTCACAGTCCTCCCTGTGGTTCTCTGAACACCAGGTACATGCCTTGTATGGGATGCCTTCCCGGGTACTCCCTCTTTATAGAACGCTCTTCCCCCAGGCATCTGCACTGTTAACTGTTACACCTTCTTCAAGTCTTTGCTCAGTTGTCACCCTCTCAACAAGACTCACCACCAAGTTTTAAGTTTCATCTTCCCACAAAAATCTCCACCTTTTAATTTAATGTTCATCAGTTTAATTATCTTGGTACATTTTTGAAAGTCAATAGCTCATATAATTATGAGTCTATTTCTCACAGAAATAAACTGTCTCTATTGCTTACATTGTTCTACTGCACTTTATCTCTATCTAAATATCTATCCCCACCATCTTCATTATTAAAACTTTAAAGTAGGTTTTGAATTCAGATATAACAAACCCTCCAGCTGTTTGTCTATTTTGAAAGTGTTTTGGCTGTTCTATATTATTTTTCCATGTACGTTTTCACACAAGAAATTGAAACTTAGTTTCTTCCAAAATCGTCTTAGGATTTGATTGGATAACACTAGCTTCATAAAATAAGTTGAGAAACGTTCCCTTATTCTCTGTTTTTGAAGTAGCTGATGTGAGATTGGGATTATTTATTTTAATATTTACTAGACTTCACCAATGATATAGTTTAAATGTTTGTCTCCTCCAAAACTCGTGTCAAAATTTCTTTGCTAATGTAATGGTATTGGGAGCTGGGACCTTTAAGAGGTGATTAGGCCATGAGTGCTCCACCTTCATGGGTGAGGGTAATGCCTTTTAAAAGGGGCTTTCAGAAGTGGATTCTCTTTTCTCTTCCAGTCCTCTGTCGTGTAAGGAAGATTGTTTCTCCCTTCTGAAGGATGCAGCCCTTAAGGCACCATCTTACAAGTGGAGACCCAGCTCTTACCAGACACCAAACCTGCTGGCACCTTGATGTTGGACTTCCCAGCTTCCAGAACTATAGGAAATAAACTTCTGGTTTTTATAAATTACCCAGTCCCTGGTATTTGGTTACAGAAGCACAAAATGGACATAATGGACAAACAACAAGTGAAGACAAATCTCATCTTTGGGGTTTTCTTTCCATCTTTGTTTTGCATAGAAAAATTATTAGATTATATATTTGTTTTAACTTATTAGAGAGCTATTTCAATTCAATTTTCTTTTTCTTCTAGAGTGAATTCTACTAATTTAATCTTTTAAAAGTAATTTTTCCATTTAATCTAGATTATCAAAATTATTGGCAAGAATTTTTCATAGTAGTTGCTCATTATTTTTCAGTATGTACAGGATTTATAGTGATGTGTCTTTGGTATTTCTAAAGTTGAAAAATGTATTTTCTTTATTTATTTTTATTTTTATTTTCATTTTTATTTTTTTTGAAAGGGAGTCTCTTTCCAGGCTGGAGTGCAGTGGCCCGATCTCGACTCACTGCAAGCTCTGCCTCCCAGGTTCACACCATTCTCCTGCCTCAGCCTCCCGAGTAGCTGGGACTACAGGTGCCCGCCACAACACCTGGCTAATTTTTTTGTATTTTTAGTAGAGACGGGGTTTCACTGTGTTAGCCAGGTTGGTCTCGATCTCCTGACCTCATGATCCGCCCGCCTCGGCCTCCCAACACAACACAATTTTAATTTCCAAGTCTCTACAATGTTTTGAAGGAGAAGTCACTGTCTTTTAGTTTTCAGATTTTTCATGGATACTTTAATTTTTTTGCTCTTCTTTACAATAAAATTGTAAGTTAATTGGAGTTAAAATCAACTTATTTTATTTTTTTAACTTTTATTTTAATCTCAGGGGTACATGTGCAGGATGTGCAGGTTTGTTACATAAGTAAATGTCTATCAGCAGGGCGGGGTTGTTGTACAGATTATTTCATCACCCAGGTGTTAAGCCTGGTGTCCATTAGTTATTTTTCCTGATCCTCTCTCTCCTCTCAACTTTCACCCTCCAATAGGCCCCAGTGTGTGTTGTTTCCCTTTCTGTGTCCACATGTTCTCATCATTTAGCTCCCACTTAAAAGTGAGAACATGCCATATTTGGTTTTCTGTTCCTGAATTCCTTTGCTAAGGATAAGGGTCTCCACCTCCATCCATGCCCTTGCAAAGGTACATATACACCATGGAATACTATGCAACCATAAAATCAACTTATTAATTAAAGTACTTTGATGTCTTAAAAATGTTGACCTGCCTAATCATGTAATGTCATAATTTTCATTTATACAAGTCTATTTTTATGTTTTTAAGAAATATTTTGCACCAATTCTATACTAATTGAATCATTTAAAATAATTTTCTTTTAAATTTTGGCATTATCTCTTTTCTGTCTATGAACATGAAAACAAGACATTCTCATTAATTCAATTAACATAATTTATTGTGTTAATGAATTTCCTAATGCGATGACTCTCACTTGCATTTCAGGAATAAATGGACTTCCTAATGATCTAATATTTTAATGGGTTGGCACAATGGTTTTTAACATTCAAAAATTTTACTTACATATTAATATGCTCTAATTATCTAGAATATTCTATACAACAGCAAACAAAGTTATATCACTTTTATATATCCTTTCTAAAAACTATTGGGAAAATTGGTTACTTTATAACTATTAAATAGTTAAAGCATATTGTATATTAATAAGTTCTTGAGTAAAATTTTCTTCTGAACAATATAAATTTGGTGCTTTCTTGTGTGGAAAACAAATATTTAATAAATGTTCTGTTTCTTTTATGAATATTACTTAATTTAGCATCTCTATCTCTATAAGGTAAATGATCTTAAAATATATATTCCTAGACTATATATGAGCCACAGTTTAATGTTAATTTGCATTGAATCACACAATTTTGTCCCTATTTTTCATTTTAATATTTGTCTTTAAGTTCTTCTCTGCACTGTAACCTGTTGACACCTCCTTCTCAAACTCTTTGTGTGGTCCCATCTATTTACAATTCACTAATAGTTTGGCTCAGGAATTTGGGGGTTAACTGCAAGTCAGATTTTCAGCAGAGGCAGATCTCAGGGAAGCACGGAATCTGGTAAGACACATGTGCTTTGCTGTCAGTATCTCATGTCTCAGACTCGGCATGTCCTGTTCTCTCCATGTGAGCCCCTGTCTGCCTCCAGAGATCATGGAAAAACAGAGCCTCTCCCATTTTCATGTCTTTGAAGGTGCTTGGTAGAAAGTTGTCATTTTTTTGGTCATTGGAAACTAAGACAGCATTATTTAAACTTTAACTCATCAAATATGTACTGTCCTTGTATCTACAGGTGAGATGACAATTGCAATTCTCTGGGGAGGTAAAGTCACAGGATCACAAGCCCATATCTCAGACCTCTTTGCACTCATTTGCTGTTGTGAACATGAACCTGAGCCCATTGTCCCAACAGCAGAAGGAAATCAGGCAAGTAGTTTATATTTCAATCTGTGGGCAGAGTCTATTTTCTGTGGATCAATAGGCAGAATATGTGCCCTTTCCTGGGAAAAAAAAAAAAATTCTGGGTCACGAACTGACCAGGGCCAAATCCATGCATGAAAAAGGAAATTAATTACTGAGTCATGAGCTTAACTTGTGGGAAAATAATGAATGTCCAAGACCATAAATCAATCCATAAGTGTTCCTAAATTAATTCTATGTAATTCTCACTGTTCATCATTGTTGAATTTTGACGTATGAAGCCATAAGATTTGTTTTCTGACTGGGCATGGGGCTCACGCCTGTAAGCCCAACAATCTGGGAGGCCGAGGGTGGCGGATCATGAAGTCAGGAGTTTGAGACCAGTCTGGCCAACATAGTGAAACCCTGTCTCTACTAAAAATACAAAAGGTTAGCCGGATGTGGTGGTGCGTGCCTGTAATCCAAGCTACTCAGGAGGCTGAGGCTGGAGAATCGTGTGAACCCAGGAGGTGGAGGTTGCAGTGAGCTGAGGTCATGCCGTTGCACTCCAGCCTGGGCGACAGTGTGAGACTCCATCTCAAAAAAAAAATTATTTTCTGAAGGTTCTGTAGTATAATTTGAAAATTAATCTGATAGCTGCTCTCTTTTCTACAAGAGTTGGAACATTTCTAGGATTAGCAGAGGTATTTCTAAAATACATCCATCCCTGTAATAATGTATAAGATGTTGCTAATTGATTGATTTTGTTGTATGCAGAAATAGCAAATACGTATAAGCTTTATACCTACTTTGTGTATATTTTGTATTTAGTTGAGACAGTGATTTAGTGGTGTCAGAAAACAACTGTTGTCTGCAAATTATGATTAGACTATTTTTCTTTTATTATTTTTCGTTTTTAACTTTTGTGGGTACACAGTAGGTGTATATAAGATTCATGAGATGGTTTGATGATATGCAATGTGAAATGAGCACATCATGGAGAACGGGGTATCCATTCCCTCAAGCATTTACCCTTTGGGTTACAAACAATTCAGTCACATTCTTGAAGTCATTTTAAAATGTACAACTAAGTTATTATTGACTATAGTCACCCTGATGTGCTATCAAATAGTAAGTCTTATTTATTTTTCTGAACTTCTTTTTTACCCATTCACCATGCCCACCTCCCAAGCTCTCCACTACCATTCCCAGTCTCTGGTAACCATCCGTCTGTGCTCTCTGTTCATGAGTTCAGTTGTTTTGATTTTTAGATCTCACAATTAAGTGAGAATATGTGATGTTTGTCTTTCTGTGCCTGGCTTATTTCACTTAATTATTTCCAGGTCCACCTATGTTGCTGCAAATGACAGGATCTCACTCTTTTTAAGGCTGAATAGTACTCTGTTTTGTATAAGTACCACTTTTTTTTATCCATTCATCTGCTGATGGACACTTAGGTTGTTTTTAAATCTTAGCTATTGTAAACAGTCCTACAACAAACATAGGAGTGCAGATATCTTTTTGATATACTGGCTTCCTTTCTTTTAGATGTATACCCAGCTGTGGGATTGCTGATTCTTATGGTAGATCAATTTTTTGTTTTTTGAGGAACCTCCAAACTGTTCTCCACAGTGGTTGCATTAAACTACGTTCCCACAAACAGTGTCCAAGGGTTCCCTGTCCTCCACATCCTCGCCAGCATTTGTTACTGCCTGTCTTTTTAGCCAGGGCAAGCAGCTAATATTCCTGGCTTTGAACCTTTTTAAGCCAGTGGTACTCCTTCAAGTGACTCACCAACTTCAGTAAGCCTTAACCAAGGTTATGGCTTAATTGAGGTTGCACACAGAATCTCCAAAGAGGTGCAGACCAGTCCTCACAAGATCCAGAACCACCCCAAAGACAGCCCAAGGAAAGGAAAGTTTTGCTACCTGCAAATAGGATACAACTCACATCTGTTCAGCCGTATCCTCTAGGGCGTCAACTTCTCAGCTGGCCATCTACACACAAAGGCCCTAAATCTCTGTGTGCCCCCACAGACAAAAAAATACCAGAAATAAAAAGATGGGAACAATAGACACTGGGACCCACTTGAAAAGGGAGGGGAGGAGAATGGTGAGGGTTAAAAAAACTACCTATGCTCACTACCTGGGTGATGAAATCATTTGTACACCAAACCCCAGTGACATATAATTCACCCATGTAGCAAAACAGCACATGTACACACTGAACCTGAAATAAAAGTAAAAAAAAATATGTCCATTGGAGGGAAAAGGATGGATAACAAATGGTCCCCCAAAAGATAAAAATCACATAAATATCCAACCAAAGTGACTAATTCCCCACCAGGACTCAAACCCAGGCTACGGCAGTGAAAGGATGGAATTTTAACCAGGCTGCAAGGTGCAGTGGCCAGCACTGCAAATTCTGCAGGAGATTCACAGCAGGCACTCTGAGCATATGAAAACTTTAAACTTTGCTTTGGGCCAGATTTTCATTCTTTAATTTTGTCAAAAGAATTTCTAAGGCTAGCCATGAAACCACCATGAGTCTTTATTTTAAGTTAATCTTTCCATAAATACAAATGAGGCAATTGTTTAGAATAAGAGATCTCTTTTTCTAAATTTAGGAGTCTTTCTGACATGAAGGATCAGTTTTCTAACCACTAATGATTAGAATTTCCAATGGTGATCTTATTTCAATAGTGACTTAGTCCAACAAGCCTGTTCATGAAAAGCCTACAAGGCAATTTTACAGGTTTAGAAAAACTTTCACCACATATAACCATATAAGCAATAGGTATTCCTGGAGACAGCATAGATGAGAGAGCCCCAGTGAGCCTCAAAAAATTTATTCTCAGAAACAGGCTTAAGACGGCAAGAGCTCTTGTTGCCACAGATGGTTAAGGATGGTGTTTGTGCATACAGTACCTCCTGTAACCCACAAATTACAGGGGGACTGCCAATCACGGGCACCTTAATCTGCGATACCAGGGAGGCCCTCCTGAAAGTGTACTTTCCCAGGACTAACCGGGCAACAAGGGTTCATATGAGAAAAGCCCCATTGTAGGGGTGGGTTGCCCCTACACACCTGTGGGTGTTTCTCGTAAGGTGGGACGACAGATTTGGAAAAGAAAAAGACACAGAGACAAAGTATAGAGAAAGAAAGAAGGGGACCCGGGGAACCAGCGTTCAGCATATGGAGGATCCCGCCAGCCTCTGAGTTCCCTTAATATTTATTGATCATCCGTGGGTGTTTCTCGAAGAGGGGGATGTGTCAGGGTCACAAGACAATTGTGGGGAGAGGGTCAGCAGACAAACACGTGAACAAAGGTCTTTGCATCATAGACAATGTAAAGGATTAAGTGCTGTGCTTTTAGATATGCATACACATAAACATCTCAATGCTTTACAAAGCAGTATCGCTGCCCGCAGGTCCCACCTCCAGCCCTAAGGCGGTTTTTCCCTATCTCAGTAGATGGAGCATACAATCGGGTTTTATACCGAGACATTCCATTGCCCAGGGACAGGCAGGAGACAGATGCCTTCCTCTTGTCTCAACTGCAAGAGGCATTCCTTCCTCTTTTACTAATCCTCCTCAGCACAGACCCTTTACGGGTGTCGGGCTGGGGGACGGTCAGGTCTTTCCCTTCCCACGAGGCCATATTTCAGACTATCACATGGGGAGAAACCTTGGACAATACCTGGCTTTCCTAGGCAGAGGTCCCTGCGGCCTTCCGCAGTTTTTGTGTCCCTGGGTACTTGAGATTAGGGAGTGGTGATGACTCTTAAGGAGCATGCTGCCTTCAAGCATCTGTTTAACAAAGCACATCCTGCACCGCCCTTAATCCATTCAACTCTGAGTTGACACAGCACATGTTTCAGAGAGCACGGGGTTGGGGGTAAGGTCATAGATTAACAGAATCTCAAGGCAGAAGAATTTTTCTTAGTACATAACAAAATGGAGTCTCCTATGTCTACTTCTTTCTACACAGACACAGTAACAATCTGATCTCTCTTGCTTTTCCCCACACCCCATAGGGATAGAACTTCTTAAGACAAACTCTCCTGAGAGCTTGACACATTTGGAACAAAAAATGTGCTGCCTAAAATCTTACACGTCTGAGGTCCCCAGCCAATTTTAGACTGGCCACTGGATGGGACCCAAACATCACACTTCTCAGATGGTGGAGACCAACTGTGCTCCCACTTGGTTAAAAGCCAAGCTCTCAAGGACATGAAACAAGATCAGAGGGGAACTTCATGTGGTTTTATTTGGGGAACAAATAGTAAAGTTTGCCTGAATAGACACCAGTCTGATCAGAGCCATAAATCTGACCAGTCTTCAGAGGTGGCTCGAAATCGTGTTTCTAGGGGTTCTGGACCCCTGTTCTATTCTGAGGTGCCCTTCTTTGTGACAGTACAACCCAGAGAGACAAACAGAGAGTGAGAGACTATTTCTAGGAGGAAAAGGGATCAAACAACATGATTATTCATGCCAAAGACTACACAAGAGTCGCTACATGCACTACTAGTCACACAAATCTTTTTCTTCCACTAATCAAGATTTTATGGAGAAATAAAAGACAACAATTTTCACCATCTGCTCAAACAGATTCCACACAGAGGCCGGCAGCCTGGCTGATAAGGATTTCTTACTCTTCTGCCAGCTGCTCTGGTCCTGGGTTCCCTTGGCTGCAGCTTCCGGAAGAGCAGGTTTCGGTATTCTGCTCACAGCCGCAAAATGATAGAGCACAAGGGAACACTTCCCCTTTGCGCTCTAAAGTTTCACTGAAAAATCGACTGGCCAAGTGCAGATTAAGAGGAGAAATGGCATGCAGGGCTATTGATGTGCGCAAGGGAGAACCACAAAGTGCTGACCCCAACCTCCAATAGTGCTTAGCACAGCTACCACCTAGAGGCCACGGAAACAATGGGGGCTCACGGCATGGCCAGAAACAAGTGATGGCAAGATCAGGTTATAGTGGCAAGGCAGGCTATAAGAGAGAAGAGAAGGCCCGGCTTGCAAATGAGGTCTTGTTATATAGATGATACTTTACAGCCAACAGCCCTCAGAGAGGGTAGATGGTAGAGGTTCCTTTAAAAGTGGGGTGAAATATTTGTATTTACTTCACTGTGCTAGCCCATAGTATCCTCATCTCTTCTTAGAAGCTCAGGTAGGTAGCGGCTAGATAGGACTGGAATGAAATACTAATGAATTGTACTGGGTCCTGCAGTCTTTTGAAATCTCTCTTTTCCCTAAAACAGCCAGGCAACACTCTCTGACCTCTCCTTTGGTGGGAGACTGACTTCTCCCAACCACGAAGGGAGGAAATGGTCCTGGTGCTCGAAGTCCAGTGTGCAGCTGCATCTTCCTGCTGGACCAGAAGATCAACACTGGGTGGGGTCCCAGGGTTTTAAAATCACTGATCTGGACAGTGAGGCTCAGTCTGTCAATCAGAGTGTTTTACACATAGAGGGCGCCAGCCAAAATATAACTAGAAATAAACCGATATACCCACGCGTTAATGTGTGTATATATATATAGATATAGAATTATGCTTAAAGTTCTGGGGTACATGTGCAGAACATGCAGGTTTCTTACGTAGTTATACACGTGCCATGGAGGTTTGCTGCACCCATCAACCCACCATCTACATTAGGTATTTCTGCTCATGCTATCCCTCCTCTAGCAGCCCAACCCCTGACAGGCCCCGGTGTGTGATGTTCCCCTCCCTGTGTCCATGTGTTCTCATTGTTCAACTCCCACTTATGAGTGAGAGCATGCGGTGTTTGGTTTTCTGTTCTTGTGTTAGTTTGCTAAGAATGATGGTTTCCAGCTTCATCCATGTCCCTGCAAAGGACATGAATTCATCCTTTTTTATGGCTGCATAGTTAAAAATACACACATTATTCCTCAAGGATAATGTGTATATTTTTTACTATATAAAGTAATATATACCATATGTAAATATATGGTAAACATATAAGTAAATAAATAAAATAGAGATGTTTACACATAAACTATGTGATGCTGTCTTTTATTCTGAGGTGGTGTTTCTTCATGGAGGTTAGCAGCAACTTATGTATATATAACTAGAGAGACTACATGTAATTACATGTATGAACATGTATTTCTCTGTATCTATAAAGACAAATATTTATTTATTAAAAAAACATAATCCCCAAATCTCATATAATCACACATGTCCCCCCACCCCACCGCAGATGCAATTCCACATTCCCTGGAGGATCTCACATAAACACGCACACACTCTCACACACACACATGCACATACACACACACACAGATGCACTTCCAAGTTCCCTGGAGGATCTCACATAACACACACACATGCGCGCGCACACACACAAACACACAGATGCACTTCCATGTTCCCTGGGAGACACTGTGCTTTTCTGCCACCTTGTGGTAGCACAGGGAGCCAAAAAGCCCACAGAGTCTTTTTCTGCCAGTTTTATAAGACATTTTATAGTTGGCAAATACCTGGCCATTGGCCTTTAACCAGAACAAGCCCACTGGCTGTTGCCCTCTGTTGGAAAAGCTGCCCACACCTCCAGAACCTCTCAATGAGACTAGGCGCCCATGTTTTGAGTACGTAAGGTACTCGATGTTGTCCCACATCCGGTGGGTGAAGAAGAGGCTTTCCTGGGAGAAGAGAAAATGCTGGGTCTGAGCTTGCAGAATGCGCTGGGGGCAGTGCAGTTGTGGGGGGTTATGGTGGTACATGGCCAGAGGGGCGGAGGAGGACTGGGCGGGGTGCCCCTGAGAGCTTCTGGATGCCTAAGCCTACGTAGACTGAGAAAACCTGTTAGGACAGGGTCTCACGGGCCTGAGGAATACCTGGATGAAAGGCAGTAGGAGAGCCATGAGCCTGAGACCTCACACTAGTGTGAGCAGCAGGGAAACAGGGGTCTGGCTTAACAAAACCCCCTGGACTGCAATACAGGTGGTTGACAAGGAAGAACAGTTCAGTGGTAGAGTGCTGGGCACTGCCTTCCCAGCTGGATGAATAATGCCTGTCCCCAAGCCAGGGCCCAGCTTGTGGTTGAGGCGGTCCATTGTGGTGGATTCAAGTGCGCTTGCTCAAGTGGGGATGCTACTGACATGAATATATGCATCAACATGGAAATAATTTAAACATTGATATACAGATATTTGTGCATACAACATCGTAGTGCTGTTTACCAGATTGTAGTGCTGTTTCTCTATGCAAAGGAGTAAGAATCATCTATGCGCAAATACACACACACACACACACACACACACACACACACACACACGGAAACTATAATATTGTACCCAGAATATACTTATTTGACATATTTTGAGATGGCCCTTCAGAGGGCCTGCAATCAGAATAAGCCCTGCAAAGTTGTCTTTTGCAGATGAGATTTGCAACTTTATAGAAAAGCTGCATTGATAGAGTCATAATTGAAGCTTCCGAGGCCCTTCCTTGTCTGGATGTAAGAAAGTTCAACTGAGAGTCTGACACCTGTAGAGGTCTGAAAAAAAAAACATTTACCGTCTCTTTCTCTGAGGGCTACTATCTGTGAGGATTCTTGTAAATAACAAGACCACCTTTCCTAGCCAGGCCTTTCTTTCTCCTCTGATAACTGGTTTTGCCACCATTCCCTGTTTTGCCATATCCATACCCCTATTCTTTGTGTTACCTGAAGATGTCATAAAATATCAACCCTTTGCTTCTATATTCTGTACAATTCATGTGCATGTTAATACATTTGCATGCTTTTTCTCAGATTAATCTGCCTTTGGTCAGATGTTACTTAAGAGAAACTCTAGAGGGAAAAGGAGAAGTTTGCCCTTGGCCTGTACAATATATTTATACCTCAATAAATATAGAGATCATATATAGAGACATATGTGTATAATATATAGAGATAAACATATAGACATATATAAATATAAATATATAAAATAAATACAACCAGAAAATAAACACACACAAACACAAAAACAGAGCAAATACATTTATACTAGGGGGCACTAGGCCATCTTGCTACCTGCTAACTGTGAAGGGTGCCACAAAGGCTACAAGAGGTTTTTTTGTTTTGTTTTGTGTTTTTTTTTTTTTTGAGATGTGGTCTCACTCTGCCACCCAGGCTGCGGTGCAATGGTGCGATCTTGGCTCATTGCAACCTCTGCCTCCCAGGTTCAAGCAATTCTGCCTCAGCCTCCCGAGTAGCTGGGATTACAGGCATGGGCAACCACACCCAGATAATTTTTGTATTTTTAGTAGAGACGGGGTTTCACCATGTTGGCCAGGCTGGTCTCGAACTCCTGACCTCAGGGGATCCATCCTCCTTGGCTGCCCAAAGTGCTGGGATTACAGGCGTGAGCCACCATGCCCAGCTTGACCACAGGAGTTTTACCCCGTCACTTCCAAGTGACCCTACACTGATGGCAAACACCAGTCCATCACCCTTTTTTTTTTTTTTTCTGAGACGGAGTCTCACTTCTGTCACCCAGGCTGGAGTGCAGTGGCGCGATCTCGGCTCCCTGCAAGCTCCGCCTCCTGGGTTCACGCCATTCTCCTGCCTCAGCCTCCCAAGTAGCTGGGACTACAGGCGCCCCCCACCATGCCAAGCTAATTTTGTATTTTTAGTAGAGGCAGGGTTTCACCATGTTAGTTAGCCAGGATGGTCTCGATCTCCTGACCTTGTGATCCACCCGCCTCGGCCTCCCAAAGTGCTGGGATTACAGGCGTGAGCCACCTCGCCCAGCCCAGCCCATCACCCATTAACCAGACCCAGCCCAGGTGCTGTCACCCTCCAGGGCAAAAGTTGTCCACATCCCCAGAACCTGGCAATCAGGATCAGTGCTCTCCTTTTGAACCCCTTAAGTGCATATGTGGTGTCCTGTTTAAATGGGTAGAGAAGGGCCTTTGTGCAGAGAGAAAGAAAGGCCAGGTCTGAGCCTTCAGCATGTGCTGGGGGCAGTAGCGAGTGCGGGAGGAGCACGATGGTGAAAGGCTGCAGGGACAGTGAGGCCAGGGAAGGTCTCTGCTGAGGACCATTGACAGCTTTCAGGAACCAGGAGAATGGGTCAGACTCTGAAGGCTACTCAGTTCTGAGGAAGTTTGTTCCAGCCAGTTTCATCTGGATTGAGAAAACTCTGCAGTTGTTCCTGAGGTACTTGAGGAGTCAGGTGCATGAGATTTCTCTCATAAGAATAAAGCACATGGAAAACAGGGTTCTGGCTTTCTAGACTCCAAAATAGGTGGCAGGCAAAGAAAACCACTTCAGAAAAAGTCTGTTGGACACTGCTGACTCAGTGAATGGAGTCACCAAACTAAAGCCTAGCTTGTGCAGTGATGAGAGTCTATCATGTCAGATACGAACTGCACATGCACAAGCCAGGAAGCTACAGAGAGCCCTGAGACCCTGGGCTAGGGATCTAGTCTTGGCCAGAAGCACTGCTAGCTTCCCAGCTGGCCTCTGCATCCAAAGACCAGGCTGAAGTGCATGGACCTCCAGAAAGCCCATCTTTTCTACTTTTAAAATCTCATGGAGGTACCAACCAGATAGGACTTGAATGGAAGATCACCTGATATTACCCTGTTCCATAGGCTTTTGGCATCTCCATTCATTCCGGAACAGCCAGTCAGCCCTCTCTGCTGTGTCCCAGAGCACCAGGAAGTGAGTAACAGTCCTAGAGTGAGACATGGAGGATACAGCCAAGTATCAGAGGTGAGTGGCCAGGCAGCCAGTTGCTCTTCTGTCTCATCCCCTCTGCATGAACATTGTGGGGAGGAGGTCTGGGTGATAGCAACCATTTGGAGTCTCCTCCTTCCTCACTGGAGAATAGCAAGACCTGAGGTCTGCAAGGACCCCACCATCTTGCCTTCGTTGGGGGTTCCTCAGCAGCCAACCGCCTATGCTCCGGGTCTTCAGTTCTGATTTTGATGATTCCTGGGGATGCTATAGAGTTGTCACCTGCCTTGACAGTAAGTGTGTGGGAGCTGGGTTTACTCTGGCAGAAAGAGAAGTACAGGGACTCCTCAGGAGCAAAGCCTCTTCAGGAAAGAAGAGTTGACCTCAGGCGTCTCTTTCAGGAGTGCTGGCTCGCTGCTGCTTCTACACGTCACCGTACTGGGGGAATCCTATGTGAAGCCGCCCCATGTCCTGTCTGCCTGGATACTCACCATGCAGATAGCTCTCTGCATTCAGCAGGGTCTGGCTTAGGCCCTCTCCTGGGGGCCGGAGACCCCTCTGTTCTTCTCCAGACCCTGCAGAATTCTGGAGAGGAGAGGAAGGTGGAACACACACTTTCTTCCTGCTTTTCTAGGTTGCTGGGTCATCTCTCTCCTTCTTTTAGCTACGAACTCACAGTCCACCCACTTCTTCTTCTTTACAAGCCCCTTGGGTCCTCCAAGAACCAAAGTAAAAAAATGCTTTAAAAATGCGCAGGTCCATTCTACTTCCACCCTGCCATGTAGCTTCCCTGAAGTGACGCTGCACAGGTTCTTCCATCTGCTTGTGGGGGAGGAGTTTCATCTGCTTGTGGAAAATAAAAGGCAAGCAAGGGGTACAACTTAATTTTTTTTTTCTTTTGACAACTTAATTTTTTTTTTCTCTTGAGACGGAGTCTCGCTCTATCACCAGGCTGGAGTGCAGTGGCGCAATTTCGGCTCACTGCAACCTCCACCTTCCGGGTTCAAGTGATTCTCCTACCTCAGCCTCCTGAGTAGCTGGGACTACAGGTCCCTGCCACCATGCCCGGCTAATTTTTGTATTTTTAGTAGAGATGGGGTTTCACCATGTTGGCCTGGCTGGTCTCAATCTCTTGACCTCATGATCCACCCACCTTGGCCTCCCAAAGTTCTGGGATTACAGGCGTGAGCCACCACGCCTGGGCGGGATACAACTTAACATTTTTTTTAAAAAATAATATTTAGGAAAAACAATCATAAAGATATTGATTATAAAAGCCCACGATTTTGGTATAAATTTGTCCACCTGAAATAATCAAAGAAAGAGAATCCCATTTCCAAGAGTTTATTCAAATGAAAAGCTGGGAAAACCCTTTCATCTTGGTAAGTGTAGGAGTGGGAGAAATAGCATGCTTAAGTCATTTATTTATAGACAGCCATCCAGTTCTTAGAATATACTCACTGTATTCACACAACACTGTTTTTGAGGCCTACTAATAGTGCTTTATTTGTATGTATGTATGCATATATGTGCACAAATATCTATTTTCTATAGAATATATAGTTAATATAGCTATATTGCATCATGATGAAATTGTGTGTAATTGCTATAATATATATAAAGAAAAATATATACATCTATATAAATGTATAAAATAAACACAATCAGAAAATAAACACACGCAAGCAAAAAACAGATGCAAATACATTTATACTAGGGACCATTGGGTCCTCTTGCCACCTGCAAATACATTTACATAAAATTGTATGTAAAAGCTATGATATATACAGAGAAATATATATATGTATATCAATATAAATGTATACAATAAACACAACCATGTCTTATGCATAAATTCTCCAAGTAAAAGCCATCTAAATTTAGCATACTTTGCAGTACAATAAATGTTGCAAATAAGATCTTTGAAAATGTCCTCTATGGCTTCTTGTCAGGGGAATATTCCCAGGATTTGATGGTTGGGGACATAAAGTATATGCATAATTATTTTCACTAAGTACGAAGAAAATCTCCAAGTGTGTCTGAATCCTTGAGATAAAACATGACATGTCCACATACATTTCCAGTAATTTTGGCATAATCCAAATTTCTAAAATTAATAAACTGATATAAAGTGCTTTCTTTTTTCTTTTTTTTTTTTTGAGACGGAGTTTCACTCTTGTTGCCCAGGCTGGAGTGCAATGGTGCAATCTCTGCTCACTGCAAACTCTCCCTCCTGGGGTCAAGCGATTTTCCTGCCTCAGCCTCCCAAGTAGCTGGAATTACAGGCGCCTGCCACCTCGCCCAGCTAATTTTTTGTGTTTTCAGTAGAGACAGGGTTTCACCATGTTGGCCAGGCTGGTCTTGAACTCCTGACCTCAGGTGATCCACCCGCCTCGGCTTCCCAAAGTGCTGGGATTACAGGCGTGAGCCACCGTGCCTGACCTAAAGTGCTCTTTTGTGTCCTTTATCTGATCACTAATTTTTCTGAGTTTCCCTTCACATCTTTTCAACCTATTAAAGTTTTTCCTACTTTGATTTACCTATTCATATGCTTCTCAGTGTTCTGTTGGATTTCACAAGTCTTTTCTTGTTAATGTAAAATAGTTTCTTAAAAAGAAATCATTACGATTACAGAATGAGTGTTCTGTGTGTCTAAAAATCCTAGTTTCTTCCCGATATTTATTCTCTCATTTTTTGTTAGTAACTATAGCCCCACATATTCAGTTGATAACATCATCATTCATGTAGATACTACACTTCTTAGCCTCCCTTGCAGGTCAGTGTGGCCATGGAACTAAAGTCGGGA